>NC_000016.10:85130682-85755682 GCF_000001405.40 Homo sapiens | reverse complement strand
GGGTTTCACCACATTGACCAGGCTGATCTCGAACTCCTGACCTCAGGTGTTCTGCCCACCTCGGCCTCCCAAAGTGTTGGGATTATAGGCGTGAGCCACTGTGCCTGGCCCTGTACTTCTTTTTGTCTGTTTTTTTGGCTTTGTTTATTTTTTGTTTTTGAGACAGGGTTTCACTCTGTCGCCCAGGCTGGAGTTCAGTGGTGTGATCTCAGCACTGTGTCCGGCCTGCAGCCACCTTTAACCCTCCACGCTGCTTAAGAAACCATTGTTGGGCCGGGTGCAATGGCTCACGCCTGTAATCCCAGCACTTTGGGAGGTTGAGGTGGGTGGATCACGAAGTCAGGAGTTCGAGACCAGCCTGGCCAGCATGGTGAAAGCCCCGTCTCTACTAAAAATACAAAAATTAGCCGGGCATGGTGGCACACACCTATAATCCCAGCTACTCAGGAGGCTGGGGCAGAAGAATCGCTTGAACCCGGGAGGTGGAGGTTGCAGTGAGCAGAAATCATGCCACTGCACTCCAGCCTGGGCTACAGAGTAAGACTCTGTCTCAAAAAAGGAAAAGAAAAGAAAAGAAACCATTGTTGAATAGGAAACCGAATGTCACAGGTGCACCACGTGTTGGTAGGACGTGGGGAGTTGTGAATGGGAAGAGGGTCTCCCTGCTAGCCCCACTCCCCACCCTGCAGGACCCCTAGGAGGTGATGCGGAGCCCCCGGGCTCAGGTCCCTGCAGAGTGGGGTGTGGCTGCGGGGTGCTCGTCTCATCCTGCACCCGGAACCCAGAACTTTCCTGGGAGCTTTTCCTCCTGACGCCCACAGGGCAGCTCCCTTGCACCTGCCAGGGCTTCCTCTACAATCACTGGCTCACAGAAGCTTTTTCCTGCCCATCCTGTCTACAATTTTGACTCCCCACCCCCACCCTTTATAGCCTCCGCTGTAAGCATTTTCCCCGTAGCACTCAGGCTCTGGTGCCCATGAGGGGCAGGGTTTGGCCTGTCTCTCTCAGCCTCTCTATTCTCAGGGCCTGGAGTGGTGCCTGATGGGCGCCAGTAAATGTGTAGAGCTCTTGTCAAACTGTGCACAGGAAGCTGCTCTCCCAACCATTAATCCCCAAGGGGAGACGGGGGGGAGAAATTGCTCTAATTCTTCTTCTCCTACTTCCTCTGCAGACCGAGTCTCCAGGTCTGAGAAGGAAAGACGGGACTCAGAGGGCTTTGGTGTCAGGGGCCTACCTTCCCATCCTGTACCCCGCACCTGAAGAATCCCAGCCTCCAGCACCTGCCTTTCCCCGCACTCCAGGGGATTCTGATCACAGGCAGGTGTGGGGCCACAGCCCTGGCCTCGTCTCCGGGGTCTGCAGGTTCAGTGCTCCCTGCAGCTCTTCCCAGGTGGTGGGACAAGGTGAGGCTGCTGAGCGGGACTCTCCTCCCAGAGCCCATGGGTCCCCACTAGCAGCTGCCCGCCACCAGCCCCACCCCAAGGTCAAGACCAAGTTTCTCTGGCAAGCACTTCACCTGGCTGCCAGGAAAGTGACGTGCAGCTGGGCTCTCTGCTGCTAGATTCAAAGTTCTCTGTCAGAGCCAACTATTAACATCATCTGGGTCAGCCTCGACCTCCTAGGCTCAAACAATCCTCCCACCTCAGCCTCCCAAGTAGCTGGAACTACAAGCATGCGCCACTATACCTGGCAAATTTTTATATTTTTTGTAGAGATGGCAGGGGTTGTGTGTGGGGATGTCTCACCATGTTGCCCAAGCTGGTCTCGAGCTCCTGGACTTGAGCAATCCTCCCGCCTCAGCCTCCCAAAGTGCTGAGATTACAGCCATCAACCACCACACCTGGCCTCACCTAGGGGTTTTTACGTAACACCCATACCTGGGCCCTAGCTGGGCCAATTAAGTCAGAGCCCATGGGGCGAGGCCAGGACCTGGGTATTTGCTTCATTCATTTTTATTTATTTATTTGTCAGCTTGCCAGGTGATCCTGGCATGCAGTCAGGGCCGGGAACTATTGGAAAATACTCAGGGGTTCTCAGCCAAGGGCATGGTGCTCCCAGGGCACAGGTGGCAATGTTGGGAGATATTTTTTGGTTGTCATGACTTTGAGGAACGGCTCTCCTGGCACCTCGTAGGTAGAGGCCAGGGAAGATTCTCAGCACCCACAGGGCGCAGGACAGCCCCCCAGCACAAAGGGTGACCGGGCAGATGCCAACAGCGCAGACACTGGGAAAGTGACGCTGGAGTGTAAACCCACTGTTCTCACGGCAGCAGCCTCCTGGGGGAGGAGGCAGCCGGATTCTTTCCACTCCTCATCTCAGTCTGTACAGTTGACAAAACACATCCTCCTCGGCCTCCAGTCATTAGTGCACCGTCCCCTCCCCCAGGGCTGAGGCTTGGGCCAAACTCCCCTGTGATGAGCGGCTCCTGTCTCCGCTGGGGGCAGGAGAGCGCAGGAGTGGAGGAGACGGAGCAGAGTCAGAAGGCAGTCCTCACTGGCTGGGAGACCCAGGACCTGTGACCTCCCTAAGCCTCGGGCCCCACACCTGAGAGGGTTGTCATGAACAGGCAGTGACGTGAGGGCCGCCTGCCCAGTTGGCGCCAGGTTAAACACATAACCTGATAAATAAGTAAATCCCCAGTTCTCCTTTGAGGAAACTGAAGCCCAGAGACAAGCTGATCTCCACCAGTGTCACTCCTTCTGCACCCTTCCAGAACAAGAAAGCAGGGGTGAGGGCAACTGCTTGTCTGTCATCCCTAGGGACTTCCGCTGCCACCATTAGAGGAGACAGTTCACAGCAGCTCTGCCCCAAAGCTCCCTGGAGAGGAGCAGGACATAGGACCCTCAGCAGCCCAGGAAATGGCCCCTTGGGACCTTCAGGAGGTGCTGCACTTCCCCAGGGACCCGCTGACTCCTGAGGGGCTGGGGCACAGGGATCCCCTGGGATGGGCAGGAACCGGCAGTGCGGGGGAGATAGATATTAATCAAATCTTTGCACAATCATGAAAGGGAACCTGGCTGCAGGGCAGGGACAGCTGGGCTGGGAGGTGACTGATGGAGGAGGGAGACGCTGTGCCGTGGGGTCCCGGAGCCTCAGTTCTTAGTCGCCTAGGCTTGTCCATCTTAGTTCCTCAGAAGCCTAGGTCTGGTCCCTGCCTCCCCACACCCAGCGAAGGGCCGGCACACAGCCAGGCATGATGATTTGCCCACAGCCAGCTTGTTGAGCCCCCTAACCCTCCTACCCTGAAGCCTCTGAGCTCTTTCTGGCTTTCTAGCCCCTCCCCAGGGATGTGCCCTCAGCAGGGAGCCACCTGCACAGGCCTCCCCCAGCCCAGCAGCTGGGGCAGCAGCTTTGATGGGCACGCCCACCACCCCAGCACCGGCCAGCGGCAGGTCCCATCCTGCCTCCGGAGGGTGGGGACGAATGGAAGGAACGTCCTGCCCCAGGCCTGCCCCTTCTCTTTGTTAGAGGCGGGGGAGTGGGGGACATGATACATTTCCTGCCTGTCAGTCTGGACTCTATAAGGTCAGGGGAACCTAAAGATCGCCCCATTTTTAGGAATGACTCAAGCAGCAGCACACGGCTAGGAAGATGACTCCATTTCCTGCAACTCTTTGCCACATTCACTAAAGGAATGTCACTTTCCTGCTCTGTGACTCAGTTTCCCCTTCTAAGCCTCCAGAAATATATAGGGCAGGGGGTGTGGAGACGTTGGGCTTGTAGGGTGGACAGGGTACCACAGGCTTGTGACAATGACATAGAAAGCACAGGGCAGGCATCTTTCTGTTCCTCCTGCCCCACTGGGCAGGTGTCTGCAGAGGCCTCCACACAGGTAGGGCTGACGGAGGGAGTGTGCCTCCTAAGAAGCTCATCTGGCCAAAAGACCTCTGTGTCCACACCGCGGGGAGCTCTGTGTCCACACCGCGGGGAGGTGGGGGATTCCTCTCCCTGATGCTCATCAAGGTCATCACCAAACACCTGAAGCTGCCCAGGGGGCCAGGAGGCAAGCCCTGACCTCCTTGTAGGCTGCAACCCAGGGTTCGCCCCCGAAGTGGGGTGCAAAGGCTTGCGTGGAGAGCAAAAGGGAACCCCCACAGCTGCAGCCACAGGGAAGGGGCACTGCCTACCAGTCCCTGGGGTCCTGCACAAGGGGAGGGCGGCTGCAGACGGCGAGATGGGGCGGGGGGGCTGTTCTCGCCTCTCCTCTTCGCTTCCGGGCGGCGAGGTCCACTGAACCCGGGCCCCCCAGTATGGGAGGAACCCTGGTGCCCTTTTTCAACACCCAGGGCTGGGGTGCAGGGCCTCAGGGAGCCCGGCACCCAGCCCCGGAGAGGGGCGCACGGTGGGGAGCCCTACGGGCCGCGGCCCAAACTTTCCCCGGGACTGCCCGGGGCCTGGAGGGAGGAAACAGGCAAGCAGCGAGGGGTCGGGACCGCCGCCGAGGGCGCCGGGCGGGTCCTGGCACGCTCCCCAGGGAGGCGACGGGCGGGCCCGCTCCGCCCCGCGCCTGGCCCGTGCAATCCTGGCGCCCGCGGCCCGGCGGCTGCCGTCAGCGCCGCCCTCTAGGAGCGGGGCGGGACCGCGGGAGGCGCGCGGCTGCCCGAGCGCCGGCCGGGCCATGACCCCCGCTGCTCTGTCTTGCAGGCTCGTCGCCGCGGCCCCCCGAGCCCGACCGCCGCCGCCACCACCACCAGCGCCCGGGCGGGCCTCGCGCGCCTCGGGCGCGGCTCCGCAGTGAGCCCACCAAGAAGGAAGCGGTGAGTGCCCCGCGCCTCGTGCCCGCCGCCCCTTCCCCGGGACGCCCGCCTTCCCCGAGCAACGCGGCCCCGGCCGGGCGGCGTCCACGCCTCGCAAGCTCTAGCCGCTGCAGGGGCGCGGCCCGGGGGTCGGTGGGAGACCCACGCGGGCCCGGGCGTCCCCCCAACTTCTTGCAGACTTTGCTGCGGAGACACGGGCTTTGGGAAACTTGGCCCGGCTCTGGCCGCGCTGCAACTTGCACGGCGGTGGGGGTGTGACCCCGCGCGGAAGCCTCTGGCCCCCCACTCACCACAGGCCACCCCGCGCCGTCACGAGTTCCTTGGGAATGGACCAGAACGCCATTCCTGAGAGCTGGAAGGCAGCCCGGCGGGGGGCGGGGGCAGGAGGCCTCCCGAGGAACCATTTCCACTCTATCGAGTATTTCCAAATCTATTATTTATGAACTGCCTCACTTAGGGGCCCCCCTGCGCTCCCAGGGCATCAAAGCAGGTTTGCAACCGCGAAGGGCGACCCGTGTGGACGCACGCGCTCCTTCTCCTGGCTGGCTGCGCTCGAGCGGAACTAGGGGAGGTCTCAGTAAAAAGGGGCACCCGCAGCTCCCCCCAGGGATAGGCGGAGGGCGGGGTCTGAGGGCGGCTGGGACTTCTCTCAGACCGCCTCCGGCTGCGGGGCCCAGATGGAATCAAGGGAAAATCTGTGCAGGCTCGACAGGCTTTGGAGCCCGGAGGAAGAGGGAGGAAGGGAAGGCTGCGAGGCAAAGGCACTTGTGAGGTAGTGCGGTTCTCGGGGAACGAACGCCTCAATGTACAGGTTAGGAAACTGAGGCTCTGAGAGGGATACCCTGAGTCACAGGCTCTGGCGTTTCCTGCCTAGACCCCACCCATCCAACGCTGTGGGGAGGCCCCTGTCCTGGGCTGGGTTAACTCCAAAAAGCACCCTCACCTGTGCAGGCCACGCCCTCCTTGGGTTCTGCGCCCCCACCGCTGGGGACCCGGTCCTGTGGATGGGAGGAGGCCGTGTATTTATGGAAACACTTAATCCCTCACCAGCCCCAAGGAGGCTGAAAGCTCACCACCTAATCTCGTCTCCCTGGAAGCGCCTTCCCATGCCGGTGGGGTGCACCCCAGACCCACGTAGAGTGTATTTTCCCAGCCCAAGGTGCAGGTCACCTCTGGAGACTTGAAATGGGAGCGTGCCGTCAGTGGACACTGAAGAAGAGCGCACTGATAGTTCATGCTTACGGAGCACTCCTCATGCACCAGACCCTGCGTTTTCTGTTTTAATCCCCTGACCAACTCTCCAACCAAATACTGTCAGCCCCATTTTAAAGATGAGGAAACAGGGCCAGGCACAGTGGCTCACGCCTGTGGCTGCAATACTTTGGGATGCCAAAGCAGGAGGAGTGCTTGAGGCCAGGAGTTCGAGACCAGCCTGGGCAACACAGTGAGTCCCCCCAGCTACTAAAAATTTTTTAATGAGCTGGGTGTGGTGCATACCTGTAGTCCCAGCTACTTAGGAGGCTGAGACGGGAGGTTTCCTTGAGCCCAAGAAGTTGAGGCTACAGTGAGCTATGATCACGCCACTGCATTCCAGCCTGGGCAACAGAGGGAGACCCTGTCTCTTAAAAAAATAATAATAAATTAAAAAATAAAAATGAGGAAACAGAAGCTTGTAAAGGCAAAGTCACTGACACAAGGTTACATGGCTGGAAAATGGCAAGGCCAGGCCTGGAACCCTGAGCCGTGGTACTGAATTGCTCTTACCTGCAGTGGAAGCCAGGCTAGGCCTCTGGGCCTGCTAAGTATAATCCCCCATCATTAAAAAGATTAGTAAGTGATGATGGGGCCCAGGCACAGTGGCTCACACCTGTGATCCCAGTGCTTTGGGAGGGTGAGGCACGAGCATCACCTGAGGCCAGGAGTTTGAGACCAACCTGAGCAACATAGTGAGACTCCTTTCTCTAAAAAAAAATAAAATAAAAAAAAAAAAAAAAAAAAAATCAAAGCCTCCCAATCATCTGAATGGACCACTCCCCTTGGCTAAGGGCATTCCAGAGTTAACCTGCAAAGCTAGTTCAGGCCATGATGAGAAGTGGGGTCAGACATGCCTCATTATACTCTCTTGCCTTTTGAAATTGAGACCCCGCAGACCAGCATTAACATCAGTGCAGACCTTCAGACTAATAGGACAGTCCCTTTAAGTCTGATAAGAAACATGTACAATCTGTTCTCTCTCAAGCCAAACTCCTTATCGTAACCCAGACATTCCTTTCTATGGATTCCAGGTCTTTAGATAATAACTCTTTTGGGTTTTTTTGTTGTTTTTTCTTGAGACAGTCTTGCTCTGTCACCCAGGCTGGAGTGCAGTGGCGTGATCTCGGCTCACTGCAACCTCCGCCTCCCAGGCTCAAGTGATTCTCCTGCCTCAGCATCCTGAGTAGCTGGGATTACAGGTGCGTGCCACCATGCCCGGCTAATTTTTGTATTTTTAGTAGAGATGGGGTTTCGCCCTGTTGGTCAGGCTGGCCTCAAACTCCTGACCTCGTGATCCACTCACCTCAGCCTCCCAAATTGCTGGAATTACAGGCGTGAGCCACTGCACCCAGCCCAGATAATAACTCTCTCAACCATTTGCCAATCAGAAAATTTTTGAATCCTCCTATGACCCAAAAGCCATGTCTCCCCATCCCACGTACTTCCCCCTTCAGTTGTCCCACCTTTCCAGATGAAACCAATGTATGTATGTGTATATATATATATATACACATATATATATATACACACACATATATATATACACACACACATATATATATATGTATATATATATATATTTTTTTGAGACGGAGTCTCGCTCTGTCACCCAGGCTGGAGTGCAGTGGTGCAATACCAGCTCACTGCAACCTCTACCTCCTAGGTTCAAGCAATTCTCTACCTCAACCTCCTGAGTAGCTGGGATTACAGGCACCTGTGCCACACCTGGCTAATTTTTTTGTATTTTTAGTAGAGATGGGGTTTCACCAAGTTGGCCAGGCTGGTCTTGAACTGCTGACCTTGTGATCCACCTGCCTGAGCCTCCCAAAGTGCTGGGATTACAGGCATGAGTCCTTGCGCCCAGCTGGAACCAATGTATATCTTGTATGTACTGATTGATACCTTGTGTCTTCCTAATGTATAAAACCAAGCTGTAGACCAACTACCTTGGGCACATATTCTCTGGGTCTCCTGAGGCCATTGGTCACTCACATTTGACTCAGAATAAATCTCTTCAAATATTTTACAGTTTGATACTTTTTGTGGGCAAGATGATATGCCCATTGTAATAAGTGTACATCAAAAGTGTGCACCAGGTCAAGAAAGAGACCTTCAGCCCCCCAGGACACCCCCAGAAATCCCTTCATGCTCCTCCCAGCCATGGTTTCCCTATGGGTAGCCGTTAACCTGACTTCAAATAGCAGACCCCTTTTATTTATTTTGAGATGGGGTCTCTCTGTTGCCCAGGCTGGAGTGCAGTGGCATGATCATGGCTCACTGCAGCCTCAACCTCCTGGGCTCAGGTGATCCTCCCAACTCAGCCCCCCAAGTAGTTGGGACCACAGGTGTGTGCCACCATACCCAGCTAATTTTTGTATTTTTCTGTGGAGACAGGATTTCACCATATTGCTCTGGCTGGTCTCAAAGCCCTCTTATTTTTTGATAAATGTTTTTATTGATGTATAATGTACAGAAAGGTGCTCAAATCCTAAAGGTGTTCAGCTCTATTATTTCACGGTGGCCCAGAGTCGGCAATGGGCAAGTATTTTGCTGTGAGTCACACGGCTCATCCGTGGGAGGCCAAGCAGGTGGGGATTTCGGTGGGCCTCCTGCCTCCACCCCATCCTGTTTCGCTTCCTGCTGGTGAAGGCTTCCTGTGGGCCAGGTGGAGGTCCTGGCCACTCAGAGAGGGACTCACTGTCCCCGCAGGACCGTGGCTAAGCTGAAGACCAGGATGGAAGCACATGAATGCTTGCAGTATCGCTTCCCAACCCAGTTCCTTTGGCTGGAGTTGTAGGAATTCTAATCCTGCTGCAGAAAGAAAGTGGCTTTCCTAAAGAAGGAAGAAAAGCACCATGTGTGTCGTGAGCCTGCTGGGAGCCCCGCTTGCCCGCACTCTCTTCCCTGCTTGCAGCATGACCAGGCCCAGAGAGCTGAAGGGGCTTACCAAGCCTCAGAGACCACCCTGCCCCACTGGGATTGGAGCCCACTCACCTGGCAAACAGTCACATTCTTCAGCTGTGACTCTTCTTCAGCCCTGCCCTCTTCTGGGTCCTCCTCCCAGGAGGTCTTTGTTAGGCAAGCAGGGCAAGGTGCCACCGTGACTCAGGACCTCCATGGGGTTACTCTGATTTCATCTGGGAGGTGGCTCTGCAGGAACCAGTTCATTCACTTTCCCTGTCTAGTTCTCCAGGTCCCCATCTGGGACAGCCAGACGTTAGAAATCAGATGACCTTGAATAGAGTGGTCAGATTCAGCAGATAAACACAAGGATAACTAAGTTATCCAGCTAAGTTTTTGTTGTTGTTTTTGTTTGTTTGTTTGAGGCGAGTCTCACCTTGCCGCCCAGGCTTGAGTGCAGTGGCGCGATCTCCACTAGCTGCAGCCTCTGTCTCCCAAGTTCAAGCGATTCTCCTGCCTCGGCCTCCCTAGTAGCTGGGATTACAGGCGCCCTCTGCCATGCCCAGTTAATTTTTGTATTTTTAGTAGAGACGGGGTGTCATCATGTTGGCCAGGCTGGTCTTGAACGCCCAGCCTCAAGTGATCTGCCTGCCGCCTCATCCTCCCAAAGTGCTGGGATGACAGGAATGAGCCACCGCACCCAGCCCCAGCTAAGTTTAACTGCAGATAAACAATGAATAGTTTTTATGAGTGTGTCCCATGCAATAACTGGGCATCCTGTATTTTACCTGGCCATCTCTCTCTGACCACTTCCAGCTCTAGATTTCTATGAGCCTCTCCAGGATGGGTTTATCTCATAGCCTAGAGCTGAACTTCTGTGATCCACACAAGTGGTAACTGAAGGGAATCGGCAAACGTTGGAGCCCACTTTGAAAAGCAGGGTCCCTCCAGCCAGCGGGAGATTCTGTGTCTTTGGAAAGCAGGGTCCCTCCAGCCAGCGGGAGATTCTGTCTCTGGTAGGCAGTGAGCAGGGTCCCTCAGTCAGCGGGAGATTCTCTGTCTTTGAAAAGCAGGGTCCCTCCAGCCAGCGGGAGATTCTGTGTCTTTGAAAAGCAGGGTCCCTCCAGCCAGCGGGAGATTCTGTCTCTGGTAGGCAGTGAGCAGGGTCCCTCAGCCAGCGGGAGATTCTCTGTCTTTGAAAAGCAGGGTCCCTCCAGCCAGCAGGAGTTTCTGTCCCTCACAGTCAGTGCTATGTCTTGGTTGCTTTTGACTTTATGAAAGAACACATCATTTTGCTTTTCTGTTTGCACTGAAAATCTGTAGAGGGCAAGCTGACAAGCAGTCTGTTGTGAGCTGGTAATTTGTGGCACCTGCCTTCAAGGCTGTTGCAAAAACAAACACAGCCAACATGGAAGTGGGACCTGTCCCTGGAGATGCTCTTGGCCTTAGAGAAGCTGTGTGGCATGCATGACATCTGATGTCTGTCTGTCTTGCCACCCCTCAGGAGGGGGTGGACCTCTGCCGAGGAAGTCAGTTTTTATAATTGCCCATTGCCCATCCTTGTCACCAGAGAGAATCCGTGACCATTTGGCGACAGGGAGATTTTTTTTTTTTTTTTTTTTTTTTTTTTTAGACAGAGTTTCGTCTTGTTGCCCAGGCTGGAGTGCAATGGTGGAATCTCAGCTCTCCACAACCTGCAGCTCCCAGGTTCAAGCGATTCTCCTGCCTCAGCCTCCCGAGTAGCTGGGATTACAGGCGTGCGCCACAATGCCTGGCTAATTTTGTATTTTTAGTAGAGATGGGCTTTCTGCATGTTGGTCAGGCTGGTCTTGAACTCCCAACCTCAGGTGATCCGCCCACCTCGGCCTCCCAAAGTGATGGTATTACAGGCGTAAACCACTGCACCCGGCTGACGGAGAGTTTTTTTTTTTTTTTTTTTTTGAGATGGAGTCTTGCTCTGTTGCCCAGGCTGGAGTGCAGTGGCACGATCTCGGCTCACTGCAAGCTCTGCCTCGTGGGCTGACACCATTCTCCTGCCTCAGCCTCCCAAGTAGCTGAGACTACAGGCGCCTGCCACCATGCCTGACTAATTTTTTGTATTTTTAGTAGAGACAGGGTTTCACCGTGTTAGCCAGGATGGTCTCGATCTCCTGACCTCGTGATCCGCCCGCCTTGGCCTCCCAAAGTGCTGGGATTTCAGGCATGAGCCACCGCATCTGGCTGCTGACAGGGAGATTTTTATGCCTGGGTGCAAGAAAGAACCTGTTCTTCTTCAAGCTGTTGTGCAAATAATTAACAATCTGATATTTCAACGGGAACATAAACAGAGCCCAATTCAATATGAAACGGAAGTTTTTCACACCCCTGCAAATGTGTGAAAAAGATAGAACATTTATACCTAAACTAGCAGTTCTTTTGGGCCCAACTGCTCCCATACCATCATGCCAAGCTAAGGGTATCCTTGCCTTAAATCTTTTTTTCTCCCATTAAATCTTTATTTTATTTTCTTTTTCTTTTCTTTTCTTTTTTTTTTTTTTTTTTTTTTGAGACGGAGTTTTGCTCTTGTTGCCCAGGCTGGAGTGCAATGGCGCAATCTCGGCTCACCGCTACCTCCGCCTCCCAGGTTCAAGCAATTCTCCTTCCTCAGCCTCCTGAGTAGCTGGGATTATAGGCATGCACCACCATGCCCGGCTAATTTTGTATTTTTTTTTTCTTTTGAGATGGAGTCTCGCTCTGTCGCTCAGCCTGGTGTGCAGTGGCACAATCTCGACTCATTGCAAGCTCCGCCTCCTGGGTTCTCACCGTTCTCCTGCCTCAGCGTCCCGAGTAGCTGGGACTACAGGCGCCCAACACCATGCCCGGCTAATTTTTTTGTATTTTTAGTAGAGACGGGGTTTCACTGTGTTAGCCAGGATTGTCTCGATCTCCTGATCTCGTGATCCGCCCGCCTCGGCCTCCCAAAGTGCTGGGATTACAGATGTGAGCCACCGCGCCCAGCCCAATTTTGTATTTTTAGTAGAGACAGGGTTTCTCCGTGTTGGCCAGGCTGGTCTGGAACTCCTGACCTCAGGTGATCTGCTCGCCTCAGCCTCCCAAAGTGCTGGGATTACAGGCTTGAGCCACTGCGTCCGGCCTTAAATCTTTATTTTCTAGTTACAAAGATACGTGTGTTTGTAACAAACTCAAACAATCTAGAATTCTGGCGTGTGGAATAGAACACTGCAACCCAGTGCAGTGATGTGGGCTTGGCTTTAGTGTCTGGCAGCCCAGAGCTGTAGCTTGCTAGCCCTGGGTGCTGGGAGTCGCTGGACAGCTGTGAGCCCCAGCTCCTCATTTATAAAACAGGATGGTGATAATGTTTATCTCTTAGGGCATTGTTAGGGTTCAGTGGCATCGTTTTTATAGCAAACTTGGCCCAGAATTTGGCACACTGAAAACAGCTGGATATCTATCAGCTGATATTGTCATGACGATGATGATAAAGTTTAAGGTAACAGTGGCTCTTCCCTATGTTTAGACAACTGTATGGCTTCTATTCAGACAGATGTAGAATCAAAGCTGTAACTCCTCCTTCTCAGACATTTCAGCTCATCTAAGGGGCCTCTCGCATGAAAGCATCTGTGGTCTCTGCAGGAGGCTGGCCCCAGATCTCAAAGGGAGTGGACAGGGCTCTCCACACTCCCACATAAATTCACCCCCAACACAACAGGCCACACTGTGGAATTGGGGCCACGTAGTGGGGGTGCCCTGGTGGTACCTAGTGGCAATCACACTGATGACGATGATGAGGATGATGATGGTAAAGGTGGCAGCAACAATGATGACAGTGACAAGGATGACAACAGTAGTGAGGTGACACCTGTCTTAGTCCATTTGTGTTGCTGCAAAGGAATACCCAAGGCTGGATAATTTATAAAGAAAAGAGGTTCATGCTGGGCACCGTGGCTCACGCCTGTAATCCCAGCACTTTGGGAGGCTGAGGCAGGCGGATCACCTGAGGTTGGGAGTTCAAGACTAGCCTGATTAACATGGAAAAACCCCATCTCTACTAAAAATACAAAATTAGCCGGGTGTGGTGGCGCATGCCTGTAATCCCAGCTACTCGGGAGGCTAAGTCAGGAGAATCGCTTGAACCCAGGAGGCGGAGGTTGCAGTGAGCCGAGATCGCACCATTGCAGTCTAGCCTGGGCAAAAAGAGTGAAAGTGTGTCTCCAAAAAAAAAAGTTTCATTTGGCTCACAGTTCTGCATGCTGGACAAGAAACATGGCGCCAGGATGGTGAGGGCCTCAGGCTGCTTCCACTCAAGGCGGAAGGTGAAGGGGAGCCACAGAGATCATGTGGCGAGAGGGTGGCAGCAAGTGGGAAGCAGGGAAGGTGCCAGGCTCTTTTATTTTTTCTGAGACGGAGTCTCGCTCTGTCACCCAGGATGGAGTGCAGTGGCATGATCTCGGCTCACTGCAACTTCTGGCTCCCAGGTTCAAGCGATTCTCATTCTTCAGCCTCCTGAGTAACTGGGATTACAGGCATGCACCATCATAGCCAGCTAATTTTTGTACTTTTAGTAGAGACGGGGTTTTGCCATGTTGGCCAGGCTGGTCTCAAACTCCTGACCTCAAGTGATCCAGCCACCTCAGCCTCCCACAGTGCTAGGATTACAGGCGTGAGCCACCACGCCCAGCCACCAGGCTTCTTTTTAACAGCCAGCTCTTGCAGGAACCAATAGGGAGCGAACTCATCCATTACTGTGAGGACGGCACCAAGCAAGCTGTTCATGAGAGATTGCCCCATGACCCAGACACCTCCCATCAGGCCCAGTGTTCTGAATCAAATTTCAACATGAGGTTTGGAAGGGACAAATATCCAAACTATAGCAATAAGAATGATGAGAACAATGATGATGATGAAGATGATGGTGACAACTCTGTCCCAGGCCCTGTCCTGGAGGCTGGTGGCTCAATGCCTGTTTGGCAGAGGAGGACACAGAACCTGGGGGACCGAGCCCCAGCACCTCAGACTCGGGAAATGACCTGCTTGAGGTGGCACAGCTCCTCTAGACTCCCAATTCTTTCTTGTCCCTTCAGCCAGTCCTGTGCCTGCCGCCTTTGTGCTGTCCTTGGAGGGAGGCAGAAGCAGGATGACAATGAGGGCAAGTTCAGGGACACTGTGGGAGATGAGAAAACTTGCTGTGTGAAAACTCTCCACGTGGGAGTTCCACACACCCCACATCAAATTGCCATATGTGGACGTGACCACCCTCGATGCTGCACCTGCCTGACCCTCACTGCATCCTGCCCCCAGTGTCACCTGAATCCTGGCTGGAGCTGCTCCTGGTCCCCCATCCTCTGGTTTGCTTCTTCCCTCCTTCCCTCCCTGCCTTCCTTCCTTCCCCTGTGTGTTTTGAGGTAGGGGTCTTTCAAATTGCAAGACAGCTGTTCAGAGAAAACCTGTCAGTTCCAGACACCTCTTCAGGGAGGTGGTGCTGCCTGGCACGGCATAATACAGATCCTTTGCTCGGCCAGAGCCTGGCCCCAGGAACGCATCTCCACCAAGCTGTAGAAGCTGCTAGCAGGAAAACGCGATCTGACGCACATGCTGCCGCCCGCATCCTGCCCTGGGAGACCATGGTGGGGAGGCCAGGCATTGCGCAGACTCTCACTGAGCTGCCCTGTCTCTTCTGGATGTTGCCTTTCTTTCCTTTTTAAGCCTTTTTCTTGAAGCAGTTTCAAAGTTAAAGAAGAGTTGTGAGAATATGAAGAGGCCCTGCAAATATCCTTCGCCAGAAATGAACATTTACCTACACGCGTGTCCTCATCTCTCCCTGCACGTATTCATGCGTATCACTATGTTCCTGCTGAACAATTTGAGAGTTAAGTTACGGAAATGATGACTCTTGAGCCCAGACACGTCAGTGTATATTTTCTTTCTTTTTTTTTTTTTTTTTTTGAGGGTCTCACTCTCTTGCCCAGGCTGGAGTGTAGTGGCACAATCTCAGCTCACTAAAACCTCCATCTCCCAGGTAGCTGGCATTACAGATGCCCGCCACCAAGCCCGGATAATTTTTTTTTTTTTTTTTTTTTTTGAAACAGAGTCTCGCTCTGTGCCCCACGCTGGAGTGCAGTGGCACGATCTCGGCTCCCTGCAAGCTCCGCCTCCCGGGTTCACGCCATTCTTCTGCCTCAGCGTCTCTAGTAGCTGGGCCCGCCACCACGCCTGGCTAATTTTTTATATTTTTAGTAGAGACGGGGTTTCACCGTGATAGCCAGGATGGTCTCGATCTCCTGACCTCGTGATCCTCCCACCTCAGCCTCCCAAAGTGCTGGGATTACAGGCGTGAGCCACCGCGCCCGGCCACACCTGGATAATTTTTTGTATTTTTAGTAGAGAGATGGGGTTTCACCATGTTGGCCAGGCTGGTCTCGAACTCCTCACCTCAGGTGATCTGCCCTCCTCAGCCTCCCAAAGTGCTAGGATTACAAGGCGTGAGCCACCATGCCTGGCCATCAGTGTATATTTTCTAAGAGCAAGGACCATTTCTTTTTCTTTTTTTTTTTTTTTTTTTGAGACAAAGTCTCGTTCTTGTCGCCCAGCCTATGGGTGCAATGGCGTGATCTCGGCTCCCTACAACCTCTGCCTCCTGGGTTCAAGCGATTCTCCTGCCTCAGCCTCCCGAGTAGCTGGGATTACGGGTGCCTGCCACCACGCCTGGCTAATTTTTGTATTTTTAGTAGAGACGGGGTTTCACCATGTTGGCCAGGCTGGTCTCGAACTCCTGACCTCAGGCGATCCACCCGCCTCGGCCTCCCTAAGTGCTGGGATTACAGGCATGAGCCACTGCGCCCGGCCGAGCAAGGACCATTTCTTACAGAACACAGTACAATAATCAGAATCAGAAAACTTAATATTGACCCCAGACTGTCACCTAAAATACAGTTGTTTCTCTTCTGACTGTTTTATTACTTCTTTTCTTTTTTTGAGACAGGGTCTTGCTCTGTCTCCCAGGTAGTGCAGTGACACCATCACGTCTCACTGTAGCCTCCACTTCAAGGAGGCTCAAGCGATCCTCCTACCTCAGTCTCCTGAGTAGCTTGGGTTACAGGCATGCACCACCATGACTGGTTAAATTTTGTATTTTTTTGTAGAGATGGGGTTTCGCCATGTTGCCCAGGCTGGTCATTACTTTTCAAACAAACACACCAGTATGTCATGCTCTCCTATCTCCCAGTCTCAACAGTAAACAGCATCCCGCTGCTCTCATGGTGACGCCTCCCTGTGCCCCACAGCATTTTGTTGTTGTTGTTTTACTGAAGTATTTTACAGCAAATTCCAGACATCATTCTTTCTGTGAGAACTTCTGTACAGATCACTGGTTTTCAAACCCTGGGTTGAGACATGTCAAAATCCACCGGGTGGGCTGTGATCAATGCTGAACAAAGACAGGATAAAAGGGAATAGATGATAAAATCCGAGTACTTTGTGCAGGGCCGGTCTGCGCTTGGTTGGGATGTCGAGTCTGGCTTACCAGCAGCCACAGTCCAGGGAGGTTTGGGAAGCCTGGCCAGCAGAGGCCCTGGGGCTCTGTGCAGCTTTCCCTCTGGCTTATTGTGGTTGATCCTGACGTCAGGGCTGCAGGACCCCTTGGCAAGGCTGGCGGCAGGAGAGCCAGCATGGGCACAATTGATGAGGGATGGAGATGAGGTCTGCTCCGCCCTCCCCTGTTCCTGGAAGCTCTGTCCCCTGGGGACTCCAAGACTTCCCAGGTCTGCCTGGTCACTAAAAGCGTGGGCTCTAGAGTCCAAAGTTCTGGCTTCAAATCCCTGTTCTGTCACTTGCTACCCAGATGACCTTAGGCAAGTTAACTAATTTCTCTGTGCCTGTTTCCTGTGAGATGGGGACAGGAACGGTCCCAACTTCATGGGGTTATAGTGAGGATTCACTAACCATGAATACACATAAAGGGCTCTGAACAGTGCCGGGCCCATGGTGAGTGCCAGGAAATGTGCCTGTCGCTCCCACAGGCCTGGGCCCTCCGTCCCTCAGCCCCAGCCCCACTCCTCCGCTACCCCTCACTCCTCCCATAGGGAAGGATTCTCTCTCCTGCATGTGAGAGTCCTGCAGGGAGCTTTTAAAAATCCCAGTGCCGGGCCCGGCGCGGTGGCTCACACCTGAAATCCCAGCACTTTGGGAGGCCGAGGTGGGTGGATCACTTGAGGTCAGGAGTTCGAGACCAGCCTGGCCAACATGACAAAATCCCATTTCTACTAAAAATGAAAAAAAAAAAATTAGCTGGGTGTCATGGTGCACGCCTGTAGTCCCAGCTACTCGGGAGGCTGAGGCAGGAGAATCACTTGAACCTGGGAAGTGGAGGTTGTGGTGAGCCAAGGTCACGCCACTGCACTCCAGCCTGGGCAACAGAGTGAGACTCTGTCTCAAAAAAAAAAAAAAAATCCCAATGCCAGCCACACACCAGACCAATTGCCCCAGAATCTCTGGGGGTGGGGCTCAGGCAGCAAGCAGCATTTTGTTTTTAAGAGACAGGCTCTTGCTGTCACCCAGGCTGGCGTGAAGTGGCACGATCAAGGTTCACTGCAGTCTCAACCTCCTGGGCTCAAGTGATCCTCCCACCTCAGCCTCCTGAGTAGCTGGGACTACAGGCACAGGCCACCACACTTGACTAATTTTTTAAAAATGTTTTATAGCCAGGGTGTCCAATCTTTTGGCTTCCCTGGGCCACACTGGAAGAAGAATTGTCTTGGACCACGCATAAAATACACTAATGACAGCTGATGAGCTAAAAAAAAAAAAAAAAAAATCACAAAAAAAATTCATAATGTTTTAAGAAAATTTACAAATTTGCGTTAGGCCACATTCAAAGCCACCCTGGGCTGCAGGCAGCTGGAGGGCTGCGGGTTGTACAAGCTTGTTCTTTGTTTTTTGTTTTTGAGATGGAGTTTCGCTCTTATTGCCCAAGCTGGAGTGCAGTGGCATGATCTTGGTTCACTGCAACCTCCATCTCCCAGGTTCAAGAGATTCTCATGCCCAAGACTCATGAGTAGCTGGGATTACAGGCACCCACCACCACACCCAGCTAATTTTTTGTATTTTTAGTAGCGATGGGGTTTCACCATGTTGGCCAGGCTGCTCTCGAACTCCTGACCTCAGGTGATCTGCCCACCTCGGCCTCCCAAAGTGCTGGGATTACAGACGTGAGCCACCGCGCCCAGGCGTAAGCTTGTTTTATAGAGACAGGGTCTTCTTATGTTGCCCAAGTTAGTCTTGTACTCTTGGCCCCAAGTGATCCTCATGCCTCAGCCTCCCCAAGTGCTGGGATGACAGGTGCGAGTTACCTAATCCGGAAGAAAAGGTATTTTGTAAAGCTCCTGGGTGATGTGCGGAGGCTGCAGTGCCCAGCTCTTCTTGGCTGTAGTGTGGATGCAGGTTCTGAGTGGGCAGGGCCAGCTCAGGGCCTGAGACTCTGCATGCACAGCTACCGGGAAGCCTGTGCTGCTGTTCCATGGGCCATTCTGGGAACAGCAAGGCCCTGGATAAAAGGCCTAGCTGGAAACCTCGACCTCCTTTCCCTCCCTCTCTGTCAGGAGGGACAGCAGCAGCTGACATTGTTCGGACTTCTCCTCTGTCCCCAGCACAGATCACTTCCCCACACTCAGTTCTCGCTGCTGCTCAATGAGACTGTTATGTGCCTCACCCCTTTTTACATTTTTTTTTTTCTCGAGATGAAGTCTCACTCTGTCGCCCAGGCTGCAGTGCAGTGGCACGATCTCAGCTCACTGCAACCTCCACCTACGGGTTCAAGTGATTCTCCTGCCTCAGCCTCCTGAGTAGCCGGTATTACAAGCACCCACCACCATGCCTGGCTCATTTTTTTATTTTTAGTAGAGATGGGGTTTCACCATGTTGGCCAGGCTGGTCTTGAACTCCTGATCCACGCACCTCGGCCTCCCAAAGTGTCAGGATTATAGGCGTGAGCCACTGTGCCCGGCCAGCTCATCCCATTTTAAAGATGAGGAAAGTGAAGTCTTGAGATAAACTATCCGTGATCACATGGCTGGGAGTTGCCAAGCTGGGACCTGGCCCAGCTAGTGCAATGGGGAAGCTCCAGAGACCACTCGTAAGTTGGAATGGCTGCCTTTCATACGCAGCTGGCCCAAGCCTGTTCCCATCAGTATCTCTCGCTTTCCCTCCCTTCCCAAGGCCCCGGTCTATGTCTTGGTGGTATCTCCCACCCATGTCTTACTAGCTCCACCTGGACTTCCAGCTCCTTCTCCTCCAAACCCTTCCTGGCCTGCCATCTTCACATTCACCTCCCCGATTTCTGGCCCAGAGCAAGCATCTCTGACCTCAGCAGGCACAGGAATCCCTGGGGCCTTGTGCGCCTGGGTGGGCCTGAGCTGCTGCCTTGCTCCCCAGCCTCCGGGTTGCTGATGCTACCAATCCACCAACAGCCTGCACATGAGGGCCAGGCCTGGGGTCTCCTCACAGGTACTAGCCACACACCCCTCTAGAAAGCAGACTTGCTCCTTGGCGTCCTCAGAATAAGCTCTTAACTCCAAACCAGCCCCAGAAACCCCAGGTCCCACCCATCTTCGGCTTCTCCCCACCTGTTCCTGCCTGACCTCCCATCCCCTGGGGTTCCTCCCACGGACTGTTGCTTTATCTTCCTCTGGATCTCTGCACACTACAGGCCCCTGTGGGGTGGGGCCCCAGCCTAGGGATTAGGACAGTCCTGGGTTCGAGTCTCAGCTCCACAGTCCCTAGTAAGCTGGTAGCCTTGGGCAGGTGCCGCCACCTCTCTGAGCCCTGATTTTTGTGTCTGTGAAGTGGGGACAGTAATAGTACCTTGCGGGGCTGTTACTGAGGAGTGAGTGTCAAGAGCATGCAGGGGCCCCGCACCACTGGCTGCTGCTTCTATTTTTCAATTGCTTAGAACTCGGGATGCCTCATGTTGCAGGAACATCATGAGAACACTGGTTGGGACAATTCTAATACCCGTGGGCTGGGGGGGCCACACGTCCTCTATAGCTCAGGCTGTCAGATCTCCAAAGAACCTGCATTAGGGGAAAAAAAAAAAGCATTAGAACGGGAGGTACATGGCCATGGGGGCCTCTGGGCCACCCCCGAGCCCTGCTGGCAGGTCTTCACATCTCTGCAGCTGCGGCCGTCCTGTGGCTCTTGAAAGGAAAGGCTTGGTGGTGTCGGTTCCCCATCATCAGTTCACTGCAGCCTCCGCCTCCTGGGTTCAAGTGACCTCACAGAGCCAGGGCTGCAGACGCCGCCTTGGCTTCCTGTATATTTAACTTTGAGGCACCCGTAAGTTTTTTCCACCGTCACAGACTCCATCTTTGAGCAAATCCAGCCCAGATGTAGTTGACAGGTGGCATGACCTGGAGGCCGGTGGTTTCTCTCCACCACAACCTCCTGTTTTGCACTCATCAGGGCCAAGGGTGGGGGCCCGGCTGCACGTGGCCAATACAAACAAGTCGCGCCCTCCCCTCTCTCAGCGCTGTCCTCTCTCCACAGGCCTGCAGAGGTGCCGACATGGGGCTTAAGATGTCCTGCCTGAAAGGTAAGGCCTGAAGCTCTGCCCCCACCAGCTCTCATGGCAGAGGGGGTGCTGGGTTGGGGGGCAGGAGAGAGGGGAGTTGAAGCCCTCTGCCCTGCAGAGGGAGCAGGGCACCATCCCTTAAAGCAGTCCTGTACACAGCAGGTGCTCTAAAAATGCTTGTCCTGACTCTGAGCACCCCTCCAGGCCTTCTATTTCACTAGCAGTGGGTGACTGGGAAGGTGGCAGTGCCTTGGGGCCTCAGTTTCCCCCTCAGGGTGCCTAATCCCAGGCTGTGGAGAGTGAGGGAGGAGGAGGCCTTTGCGAAGGAGCCAGGCATATGCTGGGCTGTTTGCTTTCCCAAGGACACACCCGGGGCCTGTTATCACCCAGACAGGAGGTCCAGCGTCCAGGTGGTAGGAGAGAAGGCCAGCGGGAGAAAGTTCTAGAAGGACACAAAACCACTGAAGGGTGTTGTGGGTGTTAGCAAAGGCAGCCCAGACTTCTGTCCTGTGTGTGGATGGCCCTGGGGCACCTCAGACCAATGTTGCAGGAAACCTCCCATCCCAAGTCCATTGCTGCCCCTCTTCTTTACCTTGGTGACAGTTGCTTTGTTCTCCCCAGCCAAAAACCTGGGAGTCACGTGGGCGGCCCCTGGTCTGACTTGCGGCCCCGCTGCCTGAGACCGCCTCTGGCTCCAGGTGTCCCATGGCCAGTGGTGTGAGTGCCAAGCTTCTAGCCTGCCCCGGGGCCACCTACCTGACCCCAGCAGCCCCTTCCAGGCAGAGGCCACCTACCCACCTGGAGAGGTGGTTGGGAGCTGAGCCAAGCCTGGGATCAGCCTGCATGGTGTGAGTTGTGGCCTCACCAATGCCTCTGTGAGACCTAGATCAAGGGCCTCAGTTTCCTTATCAGTAAAATGGGGATCATGGCGGACCCGTCTCAGGTCACCGGGAGCACGAGAGCAGGGCCTGGAACACTCTGGCGGTGGCTGCTCTTAATTAATTGTACTATTTCCTTCGTCAAATTCACCAGGCTCTGTAGCCCATCCTTTGGGTTTAGGCAGGCTTAGGGCTTTTAGATGCAAGCTACAGAAGCGGATACTGGTTAACAAGGAATTTACTGGAAAGCCGAGGGGAGCCCACAGGAAAAGTGAAGTAAGGAGGCGTGAAAAGGCCCCTGCTGGGAGCCGGGATGAATGGACCACCCTTCAGATTCCCAGGCTGGGAGGAATCCGCTCCAGGAGAGCATCCGATTGGCCCAGTTTAGGTCTTAGGCCCGCCCCTTTGGCCTGGAGGGAGGTGCATCTTGATTGACAGCTCCTCCAACACCGCTTGCGGAGAGATTGGTTCCCCTGGTGAAAATCGGGGTGTCGTTTACTAAGCGGGATGGGATGCCGGACAGACACAAACAGCCCACGTCCTCTCCAGGACCTGGCTTCCTCTGAGACTCCAGGCTGACCCCACAGAGGAGTGGGGAGATGTTTGTTGAATGAGTATCTGTGAGTGGCTGAGGTTAATTCAGCAGCAGACAGTGGTTGAGAGGGTCAAGCCTAACCCCTTGAAACTTGAGGACTTTCTTCCCTTAGACATGAGTTCCCCAGTGCCTGTCACAAAGTAGGCATTGAGGATACTTTTCTTCTTTAAAAAATAATATATATCACATAAACTTACCGTTTTAACCATGAAGTGTACAAGGTTAGTGGCATTAAGCACGTTCACAGTGTTGTGCAACCATCACCCCACCCGTCTTCAGAATGAAGGTTTCATCATCTCCAACTGAAACTCTGTCCCCGTTAAACACTAACTCCCCGTTCCCTCCCCAGCCCTTGGCAGCCACCATTCTACTTCCTGTCTCTAAGAATCTGCTCTAGGGACCTCGTGTCAGTGGAATCATCCAGCATTTGTCCTTTTGTGTCTGGTCTCCGTCACTCAGTGTGGTGTTTTCTAGGCTCATCCACATTGAACATGCATCACTGCTTCGTTCCTTTTCACGGCTGAATAATATTCCACCATGTGGACAGACTACATTTTCTTTATCCACTTCTCCAACGATGGACACTGGGTTGTTTCCACCTTTTGGCGATTGTGTCAGGACATCTTTGACGGAGAAACCAGGCCCCTGGAGGTATCTCTGGGACCACTTTTCTTCCAGCCCAAGGCCGGGACTTGATCAGGAAGGTAGACCAAGACCCTGCAGATCCTGACAGTGCCTGGGAAATGCCCTCCCACCTCCACCCACCCTCGGCCCCTCACGAGTGAAAGCACAGGCAGCCAGATCAGGGCTCGTGGGGCTGGGAGCTTTTAAAAGGACCGTCTTCCTGTCGGCCCCAGAGCTGCTAAGTGTGCTAAGTGCTGGAACAGCGCCTGTCCCGAGTGTGGCTTGTCCATCCATTTTTCATGGCTGGCTTTGGTGCTGCCGGCCCCTGCCCACCCCCACTCGCCCAGCCTGGGTCTCTGGAGGTGATGAGGCCCACACAAGCATGGGGGTGACTTGGGGAATGGGGATTAGGGGGCCAGAACTCTTTTTTTTTTTTTTTTTTTTTTTTGAGACAGAGTCTCGCTCTGTCACCCAGGCTGGAGTGCAGTGGTGCAATCTCGACTCACTGCAACCCCCGCCTCCCGGGTTCAAGCAATTCTCCTGCCTCAGCCTCCTGAGTAGCTGGGATTACAGGCGTGTGCCACCACGCCCAGCTAATTTTTGTATTTTTAGTAGAGACGGGGTTTCACCATGTTGTCCAGGCTGGTCTTGAACTCCTGACCTCAAGTGATCCTCCTGCCTCAGCCTCCCAAAGTGCTGGGATTACAGGCGTGAGCCACCACACCTGGCCCAGAGAGAATCATTTTAACTCCATATTTGAAGTAGCCAGGAACTCTGTAACATGGGGTCTTACTGTCCTAGGGCTGCCGTAAGAGATGACCCCAAACTAGGTGGCTTAAAAGAGGAATTTATTCTCTCACAGTTCTGGAGGCCAGAGGTGTGACATCCAGGTGTGAGCAGGGCCTCGTTTCTTCTGGAAGCTCTAAGGAGGCTCCTTCCTGCCAAGCTCCTGGTGGCACCAGCCATTCTTTGGTTTGTGGGCTTAGCTCCAGCCTCTGCCTTGTGGCACATGGCTTTCCTCTTCTGTCTTCCCTTCTCTTTTAAGGACAACTGTCATTTGCTTTAGCACCCACCCTAGTCCAGGATAATGTCATCCCAAGATCCTTAACTCAATTACATCTGCGGGGCTGCACGGTGGCCCATGCCTGTAGTCCCAACACTTTGGGAAACTGAGGCAGGAGGATCTCTTGAGCCCAGGAGTTCAAGACCAGTCTGGGCAACATTGCAAAACCCCATCCCTACAAAAAATACAAAAATTATCAGGGAATGGTGGCATTTCATGCCTGCAGTCCCAGCCACTTGGGAGGCGGAGGTGGGAGGATCCCTTGAGCCCAGGAAGTCAAGGCTGCAGTGAGCTGTGATCACACCACTGCACTCCAGCCTGGGTGACAGAGCCAGACCCTGTCTCAAAAAAAAAAAAAATGACATCACAAAGATCCTGTTTTCAACAATGTCAGATTCCCACTCACAGGCTCCGGTTAGGTGTATCTTTTGGAGCGGGCACCGTTCAGCCCTGGATACGATTACTCTCACTCCCTGGGGCCTCAACACTACACGCTGCCCAGGGCACCAGGAGGAGGGACCCGCCAGGACCCAGGCCCTCTGCCCCTCTGCTCTAGCCCCGCAGCCTGGCCCAGGGACTCAGACCCACCCACCTGTTTCCAGGTGACCCTCCTGTACCATGCCCCCAGCTCCAGGCCTCCCTGGGTTCAAATCCCAGCTCTGCCCCTTAACGATTTGGCCTTGGAGCAGGGCCAGCTTCACAGGCATGTGACCTCTGCAGCTGCACAGGGCCCCATGCTCAGTTTAATGCTCTTAATACATATTGAACAATGGGCCTCACATGTTCGTTTTCCACTGAGCCCCACAAATTACACAGTGGTTCCTGCCTTAGGGCAAGTGACCTTGTCTCTCTAGGCCTCAGCTTCCTCTGGGGTAAACTGAGGCATCCTGCATCCAGCCCACAGGTTTTATTGAGTGCTGGGTTCTGGAGAGGACTTGAAGAATCATAAAGACAGGACTCTGCTCAAGGACATACTATCTAGAGCCACACCATCCAGTAGAAATAGATTTTGACGTTTCTAGCAGTCCCATGAATAAGGTACAAAGAAACGGGTACGATTACTTTTAATATGTTTTATTTAATTCAGTATATTCCAAACATCATTTTAATGAGTGGGGTCCAGTTCACTGGTCTGGGAGGTTCAGTCAGCTGATCTGGGGGGGTTCAGTTGTCTAGGGGATTTAGGTTTGTGGTTTGGGGGATTTTGTTGTCTGGTCTTGGGGGGTTGTCTCGTATGGGGGAGTTGGTTAGTTGGCTGATCTATGGGGTTTAAGTTGTCTGGTCTGGGAGTTACTTGGCTGGGCTGGAGGCTTTACTTGGCTGGTCTTGGGGGCTTGGTTGGCTGGTCTAAGAGGGTTTACCTGTCTTGTATGGGGGTTAATTGGCTAATCTGGGGGTTCAGTTGGCTGGACTGGGGTTACTTGGCTGGTCTTGGGGGTTTAGTTGGCTGGTCTGGGGGTTTAGTTGTGTGGTCTGGGGGTTCAGTTGGCTGATGTGGGGGTTCAGTGGCTGGTCTGGGGGTTCCCTCGGCTGATGTGGGGGTTCACTTGCCTGGTCTGGGGGATTTAGTTTGCTGCCCTCCTTTCCCTTCCCCTCCAGTCTGGGAATCTCTCCCTCTAGAACCAAAGTAGGCTTTCTGAGCCGGGAGGCACCTTGGCACTCATCTTGCAAAGCCTTACATTACAGATAGGGAAGTTGAGGACCAAGGAGAGGAAGTGACCAGCTACAGTCACACCAACTAGAAATGAGACATGGGCTCCTCTAGGGAGGCAGCTCCGAGACCCGTTCTTATTCCCTTTGGAGGCGTGGTTACGGGAGGCATGGGCTGAACCCACTCAGCAGAGTGTGAGGGTCACAGTGGGTATGACGTTCTTCCCTGCGGGCTTCATCTCACCCGCTCTGACCAGCCACAGCCCCAGCCCTCGCCACCTCCTCCTTCCTCAGCTCCCCCAGGGGCTCTGAGGCTGTGTAACTGCCCAGGAAGACACAGGCCCCTTCCCTATTGGGCTGGCTTTGTGTCGATGGCACCCGACTTGGCTGGCTGGGATGGGATCTGCCCACTGCTGGGCTGGCTTCCATCTCTACCGTGCGTGACTGTCCGGTGGCTGCTGTGACAAATGACCACGCTGGGGGGCTTAAAACAGCAATTTTTATTCTCTCATTGTTCTGAAATCGGCCCTGGCAGGGCCGCCCTCCCTCCTCAGCGCCAAAGGAGGAACCTTCCTGCCTCTTCCAGCTTCTGATAGCTTCAGGCCTCCTGGGTCCAGTCTCTGCCTCTGTCTTCACGTGGCCTTCCTCTCTTCATGTTGCCCTGCATTCAACCTCCCTCTCCTCCTCTTGTAAGGACACCAGGCATTGGATTTAGAGCCCCTCCGCCCCCAAATCCAGGATGAGCTCATCATGAGATCCTTAACTAATTACATCGGCAAAGACCTCATTTCCAAATAAGGTCATATTCTGAGGTTCTGGGTTGATGTGAATTTGGGGGACACTATTCAGCCCCCATTAAGTCAGTTCACCTCTGAGCTTCCCCTGTGGGGGGCAGGAATGTGCTTCTCCTGTCTGGCAACAAAGACTCTGCCCAAGGGTGGTAGATATTGAGAGGGTGGCATAGGAGGAACACAGCTGTGCCAACACCCCTTTGTTTCCGAGTCCAAAGGAAAGGGGCTGCAGAGTCCCTCTGCTCAAGGGCCTGGCCATGGTGACTGTGACCCACGGGAGTGTCCCACAGGCCAAAGAAAATCTCCCTCGTGCCTCACCCTATAAGGGTTGGCACGTGCTGGCATCAACAGGATCTGGGCATGGCACCCTCATCACTGCTGAACTCTACAGACAGGGAGGCTGAGGCACAGGGGACCTCTCACTGGCTCAAGGCCACATGGCCAGTTAGGAGGGGTTGGCTCCACAGACGGAAGGGGAAAGGGGGAGTCGTCTCCTTGGTTCCTAAGTGCGCCCTCTCCAGGTTCCAGCAGGGCGGCACAGCCAAGGAAATGGCATGGTCCTGCTGCATGGTTCTCAGTGGGGTCCGGGACCTTCTGTATAGGCATCACTTAGGAACCAGTCAGACCATCAGATTCTCAGGACCCACTGGATCAACTGAGTCAGGAACTCAGGGTTTTCAACACATCCTCCGGGGGGATTCCAGTGGCTGTGTAACTTTGAGGACCACTGGCAAAGTGGCTCTGGGGTCAGAGATCCGAGTTCATATTCTGGGTCTGCCTCTGACTGACTGCAACGTTGTGCAAGTCACTTCCCGTGCCCAGGCCTCAGTTTCTGTGTCTGTAAAATGGAGTGGTGACTGGGAAGATCTCCTGGGTCAGGTCTCGAGAGTTTTCTGAGATAGGCACTAAAGATGGCACCCAAGGAGCCGTTACACCTTCCTGCTATGGAGGTGGCTGCAGGTGTGCGGGGGCCTCTGCAGGAAGACTTAAACTGCAGGCATGGGCTTTCCCACTAGAGTGGCTGGCTGGGGCGTTAGGGCTACCTGGGAGGACCCCTGTGATCTGTGAGGTTCTGTGGGGGCGGGGTGGGCGTCAGCTCCAGCCTGGGTTAACTCCAGTGTCACCATGGATACAGGCTCCTGGGAATGAGACTGGTCCCAGCAACTGTCCTGGGGAAGGTCCCTTGGGGCTGCCTGGGGCTTGGTGGGAAAGATGAAGGCTTTGTCCTGGGTTGGTAGTTTGTCATTGTTTTTTTAATTAGACTTTATTTTTTAGGACAGTTTTAATTTACAGAAAAATTGAAAAGATAGTACAGAGAGTTCCCACACACCCCACACCAGATTCCGCTGTTATGAACAACTTACACTCACACGGTCCACTCGTTACAGCAAACCAATCAATACAAATCCATTGTTATTTATTTATTAGTGTTTTATTTATTTCTGTGCTTATTTATTTATATTTTTGAGACAGGATCTCACTCTCCCTCTGTTGCTCAGGCTGGAGTGCAGTGGTACCATCACAAGTCACTGCAGCCTTGATCTCTGGGGCTCAAGTGGTTCTCCTGCCTCAGCCTCCCAAGCAGCTGGAGTATAGGTGTACAACACCACGCCCAGCTAATTTTTTTTTTTTTTTTTTTTTTTTTGTAGAGAAGGGGTCTCGCTTTGTTGCTCGGGCTAGTCTTAAAGTCTTGGCTTCAAGCCTGGACCTCCCAAGGTGCTAGGATTTCAGGCATGAGCCACCGCACCCGGCCAGATCCATTCTTATTAACTAATATCCACACTTTTTGTTTTTTTGAAACAGGGCCTGGCTCTGTTGCCCAGGCTGGAGTGCAGCGGCACAACCTCAGCTCACTGCAACCTCCACCTCCTGGGATCAAGCGATTCTCCCACCTCAGCCTCCCAAGTAGCTAGGACTACAGGCAAGAGGCACCACACCCGGCTTATTTTTTTTGCATTTTTAGTAGAGATGGAAGTTTTACCATGTTGCGCAGGTTGGTCTTGAACTCCTGGGCTCAAGCTATCCTCCTGCCTCAACCTGCCAAAGTGCTGGGATTACAGGCGTGAGCCACCGCACCCGGCCAGATCTGTTATTATTAATGAATGTCCACGTGATTCCGATTTCCCCCATGTATTTTTTCTGTCGCAGGATCCCACATGATATTTAGTTGTCATACCTCCTTAGGCTCTTGGCTGTGACAGTTTCTCAGACACTCCTCGTTTTTGTGGGGACCCCAGGCTGCCAGGCATGGCTGTGACTCCCTCGCTCGGGGGGCTCAGCCTGGGGTTGATTGGTGGTTGGCCGTTATGATACCCATTTTTCTGATTTGCCTTCAGAGGCTTGCGTCTAGCCCCTGGTCAACCCAAAACCCAGAATCCCTCCATATGGCCCCGTGACAGTGTGAATGCCTGGCTCTGCTGGCGGACAGCTGCAGGCCAGAATTGCGTGAGAGATTGTTCCCTCCACAAACGTTTATTGCGTCCCTACCGTGCACTGGGCGCTGGCCCAGGTGCCGGGGCTACAGGGATGAACAAGGCAGTGTGGTCCTGGCCACTGGGAGTGTACAGAGGTGAGGAGTGACCTTAATGCTAACTCAGTGCTGGATGGAAGCTAGCACCTGCCTACCCGGGGTGGCTAGGGGTGGCATCACCCAGGAAGCACCCCAGCCTAAAGAGCTGGCCTGGCACAGAGCGGGGAAGGGGTGGCTGTTTCCGGTAGCAGAAACTCATGGGCACGGGCTGGGAAGCAAGCAGCAGCCTGGCGTGCATGGTGGAGGAACTGGAGGGGCCACAACGCCGGAGAGGATGGTAGCAGCCAGGTGGAGCCAGGCAGGGAATGTGGAGTTTCCATCCCTGGGGACAGGAGCTCTGTGAAATGGGAGGGTGAGAAAAACGTTCATTCCACTAATACATTTCAGCAGTGTTCAGAACAAACTGGAAATTTCATACATTTGAAGGGAGATCACATGGTGGAATCCAGTCCCCGCTGAACCAGGAGTTAGAAAATAGCCAAGGTCAAGCACCCCACTTCCCTGAGCTTTCCTGTCCCTGTCTGTAAAATGGGCTCAGGCTCCTGCCTGCGGGGATCCTGGGGGAGGTCCTCACCCACTGCCTGCCATTGCCACCGCCATGTTCCAGGGGTCTTTGTCTACTCTGCTGACCTCCACACCCAAGCTGCGAACAGGAGCCAACGCACAGTCGCTGTTCCATGGTGCTGGTTCCCTTCCAGTGCGGGACAGAGCCCAGAGGAGAGTGTGTCCCGGGCAACTCCACACAAACATGTACTGAGTACCTGCTGCATGCCAGGCAGCACACTCAGCCCTCGGGATGCAGCAGTGAGCAGCACAGAGCTCCTGTCCATGGGGGAGAGACGGAAATGTGGAATGGTGTGTGTGAACAAACACACACCCAGCAGGCTGGATTTCGTGGTGAGTGCTGTGAAGGGAATTGAGCAAGGAGGTGCAGTCGAGGGGATGAGGCAAGGTGAGGGGTTCTCTGTGGTGCCGACACTGGAGTTAGCCATGTGGATGCAGGGAACAGTGTTCCAGGCAGAAGGAACAGCAAATGCAAAGGCCCTGAGTCAGGACCAAGCACACTGAGCTGGTGAGCAGCGAGGAGGCAGGTATGGAGGCCGGGCTGAGCTGGAGGAGCTGAGGTCCCTGGGGCCAGCAGGTGATAGAAGCTGAGGTGTGGATTGAGAACTTCAGAGTAATACAGGCCAGGTGCGGTAATACAGGCCAGCACTTCGGAAAGCCAAGGTGGGCAGATTGCTTGAGGTCAGGAGTTTGAGACCAGTCTGGGCAACGTGGTGAAACCCCATCTCTACAAAGAATAGAAACATTAGTTGGGTGTGGTAGCATGCGCCTGTAGTGCCAGCTACTCAGGAGGCTGAGGTGTGAGGATTGCTTGAGCCCAGGAGATGGAAGTTGCAGTGAGCCAAAATTGCCAAATTTTGCCAAATTGCCAAAACCACTGCACTCCAGCCTGGCAACAGAGCAAGACCCTGTCTCAAAAAAGAAGAAATACAAAGCACTGGAATCATTCTAGCCCAGGAGTCTAAACCTCCACCCACATCAGAATCTTCTGGAAGGCTTCCAAATGGATGCAGCCACTGCCCATTCCCCAGAGGTTGGGATGAGATTGGTGTGGATGGGTCCCAGGCACTGGTGCTCTAGGAGGCCTCCTAGGTGATTCCCCTGGGTGGTCCAGGCTGACAGCCAATGTCCTTGCCTTCCAGATGGGGCTGCGGTGGGGACTGGCTGCCCAAGTTAACAAGGAGCAAGTCAGCCTGGCTGGGAACCCAGGTGTGCAGGCTCAATTCCAGGGCTCTTTCTGGAACCTTCTGAACAGATCTCTGCCCAGGAGGCAGGAGCTCCTGAGAGACACCCCACTCCAGCCTCCCTTCGGCTCAGGGCAGTGGGGTGGATCATCAAAGCCTGTTTTAAACGAGGGAGCAGATGGCGTCTGATCTCGCCCCGCCCCCTGCCCAGGGCAGAGCGGGCACCCCTCCTGGCTTACAGCAGGGACTTAGCCGGTCCCCCCCCCATCAGTCACCCATGCTTAAGCTAAACCTCCGGCACCTGATATCCTCCGAAAGGAGGGAGGCCAGCAGGTGGGAGACGAAGCGCCATTTCCAGCCGTGCCTGGGAAGGTCAGCCTGGCTGGTCTACACCCCAGCACTCTGTGTTAGTATTCGGGTGATAGTTCCCAAGGATGTTCTCCTCCTCACACTCCTGGATCCGTGAGGTCAGGAACCACGCTGTCTTTTTGATCCCTGTAGCCCTGGCACCTGGCCCAAGACTTGGCACACACAGACCACGCAACAAATGTTTGCAGAATGAATGTGCTCTCAGCCTTAGGCACCATATGGAGACCCTCCTCGGACTGACCCTCCCGCCGGCCGGGGTGGCTGCCCTGTCATCCCCATTATCCTCGTCATCCCCATGATTCCCATCATCCCCGTCATCCCCGTCATTCCCATCATCCCACAGGGAGCTCAGCGCTCCCAAAGCTCACACCTCACCAGGCAGGTTCAGCTCTTTCCCTCCATCTCCTTTCATCCGCACAGCAAGGCTTCCGTGCTGTCCACTGTCCCCACTGTAGATACAGAAGCTGAGGTGTCAGGTGGTAAAGCTCCCACCTGAGGTCACCCAGCCAGAGTATGGCCGAGCTGGATCCCTAGGGGCCTCAGGAACACAACCCAACCCAGCAAGTCCAGAGTCCAGACAGAGCCTCCCCCTCGTTCCCTGCAGTTTCCTTAGGGCCTGGCCTGCACCACGTGCTCTAGAAGTATCTGTGGGATGGACAAAGGTGAGGAATGAGCCTCCAGGGAGACAGAGGGATGGGGAGGTGCTGGGACTCACGGTCCCACCGGGGGTCTCCCTGGCTTTGTGTTGCTCAAGACTCGGAAGTCAGAGCGGGCCAGGTGCAGTGGCACACACTTGTAATCCCAGCACTTTGGGAGGCCAAGGCAGGAGGATTGCTTGAGACCAGCCTGGGCAATATTAGTGAGACCCCATTTCTACAAAATAAACGTAGCCCGGTGCCACTGCATTCCAGCCTGGGCAACAGAGTGAGACCCTGTCTCTGAAAAAAAAGAAAAAAAAAATCGAAGGAAGTTAGGGCAGTGTTGACCAATTACCAGCTGCTGGACATGGCCGGGCACGGGAGCAGACCAGCCTAGTTATCCTGGGCCAGGGCATCGCGGCTGCCCTCCCAGGGGCCTGGTTTCCAGAGAGCAGATGTGTGTCTGGGCAGGGGCAGCCTGCTCTTGTGCCCTGTTTTTGTCACCCAACAGCACACACCAGGGATGGCTCCTGTCAGCCCCACAGTACTGCCCACCCTTTCCCACAGCTGCACAGCACGGCTACGTGCACGCCCCACCACCCTCGAACCCAAATCCGGCCTGCCTTGCCCAAGCAGGACTTCAGTAAATATCCTTCTACCATCCACTCAGAAGGTGGCCTAGGGTGGAACATTCTAGATGGTTGGAGGGTGTGTACCCTTCACATTTTGACAGCTTTGCCAGTGAACCCCCTGAAGTCACACCAGCAGCCCCTTCCACTCACCCCATGGGAGATGACCGTGGCCATAGCGTTAACAGCTTTCCCGTTTTTGCCAATCTGTTGGGTGAAAAATGGTACCTCAGGAGAAGTTCATGCTTCCTCTGTTTTTAACAGGAAGCATTTAACTTTTTTTTTTTTTTTAGTACAGATGGGATCTTGCTATGTTGCCCAGGCTGGCTTCAAATGCCTGGCTGGCCTCAAGTTGTCCTCCTTCCTCGGCCTCCCAAAGTGCTGGGATTACAGGCATGTGCCACTGCACCTGGCCTTTTTTTTTTTTTTTTTTTTTGAGATGGAGTCTTGCTCTGTTGCCCAGGCTGGAGTACAGTGGTGCGATCTCAGCTCACTGCAGCCTCCACCTCCTGGGTTCAAGTGATTCTCCTGCCTCAGCCTCCCAAGTAGCTGGGATTACAGGCATGCACCACCACACCTGGCTAATTTTTTGTGTTTTTAGTAGAAACAGGGTTTCATCATGTTTGCCAGGCTGGTCTTCAATTCCTGACCTCAGGTGACCTACTTGCCTCAGCCTCCCAAAGTGCTGGGATTTCAGGCATGAGCCTGAAATTAGCTGTGTGATCTTGGGCAAGTGGCTCAACCTCTTTTCGCCTCCGTGTCTTCCAGGATGAGCTGGGCGGGATAACACCAGGGGCTGTTTAGATCATTTCAGGAGCCAAGTCCTGTGAAGGCACTGGCACCGTGGCGCCTGGTGCACATAGGCGTTCATAGAACGTGCTGAGGGACCTGTCACTGCACTTGTCTCTTCTCAACACTGGGGCCAGCAGCTCCTGGGGCCCTGGGCCGGGGCTTTCCCGTCAGCAGTGAGCCCCTCTGTAAGATTCGCTGAGGTTGCCTGGGCAACATAGGCCGGGTCCCAAAGCATGTTGCTGCTGTCGGAGTCCAGGAAAGTCCTGGTCCCTGATCAGGGAGCGAGCAGAGCAAGGCAGTCCTGGGGCCCTGGGCCCACTCAGCGGGAGCCAGGACTCCCCGGAGAGCTCACCTTGCAGAGTGGCTGGACCTGAGCTGGGAGTGACAGTGCTTGGTGCCGCTTCCGCTCCTGAATGTTGCTCCTACCTGGAGCTGCAAATCCAGCCCAGCCTTCAGTCTGCTCCGCTCTCTGGCTGCGGCCTTTCCCAGCTTCAGCTGCCCACAGGGCCCATGTTCCCCTGGGATACTCCCAGTTCGCTCAAGTAGCAACGTTCACCACCTTTCTCTGGTACTAACTGGAATCGGCCTGCTTATACTACTCCTTCCAAAGCAGTAATAATGGTGCTAATTATATGGCCTGACTAAGTGCCTGCCATTCGACACCTTCCTCTTAGTACCATGCATCCTTATGACAGCACTGCAGTATACAGGTTATTATCTAGGGCAAAAGTTACAGTCAGAGCTGGGCACAGTGGCTCACACCTAGAATCCCAGCTTACTTAGGGGGCCCAAGCAGGAAGATCACCTGAGCGCAGGAGTTAGCAGGCCAAGGCAGCAAGACCGCGTGAGCCCAGAAGTTTGAGTTCCACCTGGCAACATAGCAAGACCACCATTTCTTTAAAAAAAAAAAAAAAAAAAAAAAAAAGGTTAGAATCTCTATTCCAATGAGAAGGCTAACTGTGTGTAGCAATTGTTAGCGCTGATAACCCCCTTTGCAGTAGGTGACAGAGAGGGTAAGAAACTTGTTCAGACCACACAGCAGGTCAAGGGCAGACTGGGGGCTTGGGTTCCTCTGGCTTGGGCCATCCTGGAGCCCCTCCGTGTAGCCCCAGGCACTGGGACCACATGGGGACAGAGGAAGCCAGCAGCTCCATGCCAGGAGTGCCAGCGCCAGCCCTGAAATGCCCAGTTATTGTTGCAGTGAATGACAATTACCCCTGTCTTTGAAGACCGTGGGTGACGGGCCTGCTCCCCCGACAGCCCCATGTAGAGCTGCCAGATTGAGGAGGAAAATAACATAAAAACAGGATGCCCAGTTATATATGAATTTCAGATAAGGAATACTGTCAAGTAGAAGCATGTCCCAAGCATTGCATGGGACATGCCTCTACTAAAAAAACTATTTGTTAACCTGAGATTCAAATGCGATGGAAGGCCCGCATTTTACCTGGTGACCCTGCCCTCCAGGGACAGTTGGCAATGTCTGGAAGTATTTTTGGTCATAGAAGCTGGGGGTGCTACAGGGTCTAGAGGCCAGGGACACTGCTAAACATTGCCTGACACACAGGACAGCCCCACCGCAGAGAATGACCAAAGTGTTAGCAGCGCCAAGGCTAGGGGACCCTGGGTCACACACGAGTGTTTCCGTGGCCAGGCAGGGTGCCAAGTACGTGGCTTTTTTTTTTGTTCTCATGGTTGTCCTGCTCTTGTTTCCATTTTAGGGATGAGTAGATTGAAGGCTGGAGGAGGGGACACTGCTGGGAAGTGATGGAGCAAGGGCTGGACCTGGGCTTCATTTTTTTCTTTTCTTTGGAGACAGAGTTTTGCTCTTATTGCCTAGGCTAGGGTGCAGTGGCGCGATCTTGGTTCACTGCAACCTCTGCCTCCTGGGTTCAAGTGATTCTCGTGCCTCAGCCTCCCAAGTAGCTGGGATTACAGGTGCCCACCACCACGGCTGGCTAATTCTTTTTGTATTTTTAGTAGAGATGAGTTTTCACCATGTTGGCCAGGCTGGTATCGAACTCCTGCCCTCAAGTGATCCACCCGCCTCGGCCTCCCAAAGTGCTGGGATTACAAGCATGAGCCGCCACGCCCAGCGCCACCCCCAACCGCTTTTTTTTTTTTTTTTTTTTGAGGCAGGATCTCTCTTGCCCAGGCTGGGGTGCCGTGGTGTGATTGCAGCTCACTGTAACCTTAAACTCCTGGGCTCAAGCAATCCTCCCTTCTCAGCCTCCCAGGTAGCTGGGACTACAGGTGCACATCACCACATCTGGCTAATTTAAAAAAAAATTTTTTTAGAGATGGGGTCTTGCTATGTTGTCCAGGCCTGTCTTGAACAGAATTGCTGGGCTCAAGCAATCCTTTGTCCTTGTCCTTCCAAAGTGCTGGAATTACAGGCATGAGTCACTGTGCCCGACCCTGGACCTGGCCTTTGGAATCTGGGCTCACCACACTGTACCTACACCCTCCACAGCCTTCCCAGAGCGCCCAGTGCTAGGATGAGCAGGAACAGACCACGGGAACTGGGAGGGCTGCCCAGGAGGGAGGAAGTGCAGTCAGTGCCCAGGGCAGGAATGTGGTTTGGCTGGGCAGAGCCAGGCGGCTGGGCACCTTCCCCCACCTTGGTGTGTCGAAGCTCCTGTCTCTAGCTCCTCTCAGGTTGTCTCTCTCCAGCAGCTCATCCCTGACGCAAGCTAGGGCTTTTTCCTTAATTAAAAAGAGATTTAAAACATCCACTGCTGTCTCTATCGGGCCTGGGATGCCTCGAAAAGGTAAAACCGCCAAGAGCTACCCCAGCCTCATCCATAATAACACAAAGCTTTCCCTGTAATTGGAATTAAAAAAAAAAAAAAAGATTAAACGCATCTGGAACCCTTGGAGGAATTTATCAGTTTGCTTTTGAAAGACCTGCACTAAATCCAGACACCCGGTCATCTCTGAGGGATTAGTGTCACCCCGCTCAGCCCCTGTGGCCCCTCTGTTCCTGCCTCAGGGCCTTTGCGTGTGCTGTGGCCTGTGGCCCCTCTGTTCCTGCCTCAGGGCCTTTGTGTGTGCTGTGGCCTGTGGCCCCTATGTTCCTGCCTCAGGGCCTTTGTGTGTGCTGTGGCCTGTGGCCCCTCTGTTCCTGCCTCAGGGCCTTTGTGTGTGCTGTGGGTGCCTCGGGAATCTCTCCTGCCGCTTTCTGATTGACCCCTTCTGAAAAGCCTTTTCCAATTCCCAGTCTCCCCTAAACCCTGCTTCTTGGTACTGTGAGTGGGCTTATCATCTGCCCCTAGTCCCTGCTTGAACTGACCCAGGATCTTGGAAATATCTTTGTGCTTCCAGCCCCCAGATCACAGGCTGTGCGCAAACAGGCTGTGCCCTGACTTCTCTGTGCCTCAGTGTGCCCGTCTGGAAGATGGGGGCTGCCTCACTGGGAGGATCAAACGATCAGTGCCCAGAGGCACTCACACAGTCCAGCCTCCCACAAGCACTGTTCTCAAAGCTCAGCATCGTGGGCCCCTCCCAGTGATAGCTTGAATCACTGGGGACCCTCCTGCTTTTTCTCCAGTTGACCCTGAAATCTTGGGGACCTGATTCCTGCTACTGGAGCCTGGACAGGAGGTGTAGGGGAAAGGCACAGATAAACCTCTGTAGAGGCCGTTCTTTCCGCAGCAGTGTCTGCAGCACCTGGGGCCATGCAGGGCACACAGCAGGTGCACAATAAATGCCTGTTGACTGGCCACCTCCCTGGCCCAGGCTCAGAGCTGGGGTGTTACACCTGTGCTGCAAAGGAGGGTGACATAAGCTGGCTCTGCAGGTGAGAAAGCCCAGGCCGAGAGGCAGTGTCACAGCAGGAAGCAGAAGTGAGATTCAGATGGAGGATGTCCTCCTTCCCAAGCCCCTGGCCATTCCCATAGAATAAGGGAAAATTGTGCCCCAAGAGTCAGGCTGGAACCAGGAATATTTTGTGTAGCACCCACTCCAGCTGCGTGACCGCAAGGGGGCGACAAGTCCCCCGACCCACACTCGGGGCTGGAACAGTAGCCGTTGGCACCCAGTAGGTGCTGAATGTTGAAGGAATCAATGAATAAGTGCCCTGAGGACACTTACACCTGCAGTTCAAATCACGTGATGTGGATCTAAGCTTAGCATCAACTCGTGATCTGAATGACAGCTTGTGTTTATTACGTGTGCACAGCGAGGCCAGCACTGGAGTTTTCTCATCCACAAAACGCATATAGAATCATCGCACCGCATTGGCTGGAGTGAGGACTCAAGTGTGGTCCTTAACCTCTCATGCCTGCCCACCCGGACCTGGGCACTGTTATTTACCCCAGTTCTGCAGGTGAGGAAGCAGAGGCCCAAAGAGGGGGAGCCACTGCCCAGGTGGACCGTAGCCCAGGTGGGCCGTCTGGCCGTCCATCGCATCGTGGGTCCGACAGGCTGGAGCCCTGTGTGTGTGTGATGGTGCCTTGGGGAAGAGGGCGTGGTCCCATTCAGGGCCTCCAAGTGAAACGTCTGGGGTGCAAGCCCAAACGCTGTTTTTAAAAGAATCAGGCCGTATGGGGTGGCTTATACCTGTAACCCCAGGACTTTGGGAGGCCAAGGCAGGAGGATCGTTTGAGCCTAGGAGTTCAAGACCAATATAATGAGGCCCTGTCTCTACAAAAAAGTTTAAAACTTAGCCAGGTGTGGTGGAGAGTGCCTGTAGTTTCACCCAGCACTTTGGGAGGCCAAGATGGGAGAATCGCTTGAGCCAGGGAAGTCCAGGCTGCAGTGAACCTGAGCCACAGAGAGAGACCCTGTCTCAAAAAATCAATTCATTAATTTAAATGAAATGAAAAAGAACTAGTAGAGGGCGCACGTGAGCCGTGATGCCCACGCTTGCTCCTGTCTCCAGCGGGTGTCTGCGGTGACCTCTGGGCGGCCGGGAGTTCACCAAGAGCTGGCACAGGGAATGGTGCCCTGACCCCAGGGACCTGGGCATCCTCCACAGAGCCTGGATGTAGCGTCTCGGGCACGGGCTTGCCTGGCTCAGGGCTTTTGAAGGATCAGGGCTGCGGATCCCAGCAATGGTGAGGGCAGTGGGGCCTGGAGCCACGTCAAGCCCCAGCCCTGCTCCCCAGGCTCTGTGTATTACCAGCACGTTACCTCCCTTCTCCAAAGCTCAGTGTTCTCCTTTGTAGCATGGGCGTGATCCTAGTGTTCTCCCTGAGGGATGGTGTGAGGGTTGAATGCAGGAGTGCAAATGGCAGGCTCAGCCCAGAGCCTGGCTCCGGATGCTTTGGAAGTAGTGGTCTCAGCGGAGAGGCGGCACGGCACCCCCAGCTCAGGACCCCCTAGGCCCCGGCCAGCTGGCTCCCCGAGGGTCATTTCTCCCCACACTTGGCAGCCCCACACCCCACACCTGGCACTTCCTGCAAGGCTGGTGTCATAACAGTTTTACAGCCAGGGAAACTGAGGCTGCAAGAGTAAAGCCACCTGTTCCCACAGTGGCCCTAGCTCAGGGGTTCCCATCCCTGGCTGTTAAAGTCACCTGGGAGTTTTTCAAAATCCTGGCACTTCTCACAGAGCCTTGAATCAGCCTGGGCTGAGGCCCTGGATAGGTGATGTTAACTTCCCAGGTGATCTCAATGGGCAGCCGCGATGGGAACCGCTGTCCTGGAGCTAGGAGGGCCCAGAGCCGGGTCTCAAAGCCTGTCCAACCTCGCCATGCCAGCACCCGCCTATGTAACCCATGTGGAAATCCAGCTCCAGGGGCCTGGGTTCTGTGGTCTGGTCTGCGTGGCTCTGCCCCCACTGCGAGGACAGTGCATGGCCGCAGAGCGGGGGTCAGGGCCTGGTGACCCGGAGCACGAAGCCTCCCCGGAAGTGGGGAGGTCTTCCTGCACAGGCTCCATCCTTCTGAAGCCTTGGGACGGGCCTGGGTCCCTGGGATCTGCTCCCTTCCTTCTGGAATCCCAGGCTCAGGAAATAGGCTTTTAATAGCCCGAGGCAGGCACATAATTAACAAATAACAATTCTGGCCTTAGCACAAATGAGCTCCTTGTCTGGGGCAGGGCTGGCATTTGGTTTTTAATCCCCAGCATTGGCTTCATCCTCCTGAGAGCTTTCCCTCCTGTTTGGCCACCTCTGCTGCTGAGGCTTGGCAGGCCCTGGGGATGTGAGAGGGGCTGGGGTGTCTCTCTCCTCCCTGCCTGCCCTCCCCTCTCCCTCCCTTCCTCCTCCCTCTCGCCTTCCTCCTCCTTCCCTTCCTCCTCCTTCTCCCTCTGCCTTGTCTGCTCCCTCCTCCTCCTCTCTTCCTCTTCCTGCCCTGTCTTTCCTCCTCCCTCCTTTTCTCCCTCCTTCCCTCTCCCCTTCCCTCCCTCTGTCCTCCTTCCCTCCCTCCTCTTCCTTCTCCCCTGTCTCCTCCCTCCCTTCCTCCTCTCCTTCGTCCCCTCTCTCCTCCTCCCTTCCTCTCCCTCCTCTCTTCCTTCCCTTCCTCCTCTTCCTCCTCTCTCCCTCTTCTCCCTCCTCCCTTCCTCTTCTCCCTCCTCTCCTCTCTCCTCCTTCCCTCCCTTCCTCCTCTTCCTCCTCCCTCCCTCTTCTCCCCCAACTTACTCCTCCCTCCCTCTTCTCCCTCCTTCCCTCTCCTCCTTCCCTCCGTTCTCTCCTCCTTTCCTCCTCTCCCTCCAACCCCCTCTCCTCCGAGACTTCTGCCTCTCCAGGGCTCACTGAGAACCTGATCCTTCCAGGTTATATGTGTAGGTTTTGTCCTCAAGCTCCAGACCACGTTAAAATGCAAACGTGGGGTGTTTTATTTTAGAATCTTGGAGTATTCACCGAGGAAGGGGTTTGGAGACTGAGCAGGGAAGCTCCCTCCTGTTACAGACACGATCATCAGCGATTCCTTTTGTCGGGGGCCTCCGATCATCAGCGATTCCTTTTGTCGGGGGCCTCCGCAAGGAGCTCTTTGTGGATGATAATAGAGAACACTTATGGGGCAGCTGGCTGGGCGAAGTGCTTTCGTGAATTCATTCATGTCCTCACACGCAGCCCTTCAAGAGGGAGCTGCCCTGCCCACCTGCAGCTGGGGTTCTGGCTGTGGCTTTTGTTTTTGGCACGAACAAGCCTCAGGCTTTCGAGGTTCTGCTATTGCCAGTGTGTCCTAGATCTCAGCTCCCCTCCGCAGCCAGTCCTGGATGTTATAGAGCAGGGATTGGCAACCACAGCCCTGAGACCCAATCCTGCCTGATGCCTGCTTTTAGAAAGAAAGTTTTATTGAGACAGAGTCATGCTCGTTCATTTCCACGTTGTCTACGGCTGCTTTCAGGCTGCCGTGGCAAAGCTGTGTGTGTAGTTTGTGTGGCCCACAGAGATCAAATATTTCCTGCCTGGCCCCTTGCAGAAAGTTTGCCAGCTGTTACATGGGATTATGCTACAGGAAGCACCGGCTCTTGGGGTCAGCCAGATTCCAGTCTGGGGATGGATCCTGGCCCTGCCTCCCACTAGCTGTTCAGTTGTGGGTGGATATTACTCTCTTAGGTCCCCAGTTTCCACATTTGTAAGATGGGGCTGGTGACACCGAGCACGGTGGCCATGGAGCCTGAAGGAGCGCACGCCTCGGCCCCAGTAGATTGTCTGGGCGGTGGCAACACATCCCTTTGTCTGTGGTTGTTTGGGGTAGGGGCGCCTCTCTCCAAGTGACTTCCTTTGATTTGTTTCACACTCTGGGCTTCTGTGCAAGATTGCAGGAGAAATGTTCTCTTCTTTTTTTTTTTTTTTTGAGACGGAGTCTGGCTCTGTCACCCGGGCTGGAGTGCAGTGGCGTGATCTCGGCTCACTGCAAGCTCCGCCTCCCGGGTTCACGCCATTCTCCTGCCTCAGCCTCCCGAGTAGCTGGGACTACAGGCGCCCGCCACCGTGCCTGCCTAATTTTTTTGTATTTTTAGTAGAGACGGGGTTTCATTGTGTTAGCCAGGATGGTCTCGATCTCCTGACCTCATGATCCGCCCGCCTCGGCCTCCCAAAGTGCTGGGATTACAGGCGTGAGCCACCGCACCCGGCTGAAATGTTCTCTTCTTTAAAGAAGGTTCAAACCCCACTGTATTAGACCTGCTTCGATGGGACTGTGTGGGTGCCGCTGAGGGGCTCGGAGTTCTGTTGGGCTGAGGTGGCCTCTTCCCTCAAAACTACCCAGCAGTCGGGGGCCAAGAGTCTTCCAAGGCCGGGCACGGTGGCTCATGCCTGTAATCCCAGGACTTTGGGAGGCCAAGGCGGGTGGATCACAAGGTCAGGAGTTCGAGACCAGCCTGGCCAATATGGTGAAACGCCGTCTCTACGAAAAATATAAAAATTAGCTGGGTGTGGTGGCAGGCGCCTGTAATCCCAGCTACTAGGGAGGCTGAGGCAGAAGAATCGCTTGAACCCAGGAGGCAGAGGTTGCAGTGAGTCGAGATCACGCTACTGCATTCCAGCCTGGGCGACAGAGCAAGACTCCGTCTCAAAAATAAATAAATAAATAAATAAATAAATAAATAATAAATAAATAAATAAATAAATAATAGGTCTTCCAAAGGAGGAAACAGTGTTGGGGTTCAGAAGGTGGGGAGGTGACTGGGGCAGTGCCTGGGGTGAGGGGCGGATGCTCGTCACTGGGTTTGAGAATGAGGGGAGGGAAGTGAGTGGCTGTGCACAGGACAAAGGGGGCTCATCATGGTCACCTCACACCAGCCGTGTGTCCCAGGGACCGTGGCCGTCTCTCCCCAGCCCAGGGAGTCGGCTGATTCCCCCACTACCACCTTGCGCTTGTCTGTGAAAACAAGAAGGCTGCAAAGAGTTAGACTAACAGAAGTGGGGCGGGGGCACACATGACCACCCACCCTTCCACCACCAGCTGCAGGTTTGGGGCTTCCCCAAACCACCCTCATGTTTGTTCATTTGCTGAAAGGACTCACAGAAGTCACTGGAGGCTCTGATTCCCGGTTATGGCTCATTCCAGGGAAGGGACCCAGGTTAAGACCAAAGGGAAGACGCTCACAGGGCAGATCCCACGAGGGTCCCAGGCACAGTCTCCCACTGTCCTCTCCTCGTGGAGCCATGGACAGCACCAACTCCTCCTGACGATGGTGCGTGACAGCACAGAGCATCATCAGGAGGGAAGCCCCTTGGCTTCAGTGTCCAGGGGCTTTAAGGATTGAACCGTGTCTTCCAAAAATTCATAAGTCAACCTCCTCGCCCCCAGGGCCTCAGAATGTGACCTTCTTGGGAGTAGTGTCTTTGCAGGTGTAATGAGTTAAGATGAGGTCATTTTAGTAGTGTGAGCTCCTAGTCCAATATGACGGGTGTCCTTATCAAAAGGGGAAATCTGGGCTGGGCGCTGTGGCTCATGCCTCTGATCCCAGCACTTTGGGAGGCCAAGGTGGGCAGATCACCTGAGGTCAGGAGTTTGAGACCAGCCTGGCCAACATGGTGAGACCCTGTCTCTACTAAAAATACAAAAATTAGCTGGGCATGGTGGCGCATGCCTGTAATCCCAACTACTTGGGAGGCTGAGACAGGAGATTTTGTTTGAACCCGAGAGGCAGAGGTTGCAGTGAGCTGAGATTGTGCCACTGCACTGCAGCCTGGGTGACAGAGTGAGATCCGTCTCAAAAAAAAAGCAGGGGGGAGTCTGGACAGAGACAAGACGCAGGGAGAATACAATGTGAAGGCAAGAGGTAGAGATGGGGTGAGGCTTCTACGAGCCTAGGAACGCCAGATTGTCAGCAACCACCAGAAGCCAGGGGAGGGGCTTGGAACAGTCTCCCTTGCAGCCTCCAGAGGAACCAGCCTTGCCAACACCTGGATCTGGAACTTCTGGCCTCCAGATCTATAAGACAATGAATGTCCATTGTTCCAGCCGCCTGGTTGACGGTGCTTTGTTGTGGCAACCCCAGGAGACGAAGGCACTGGGGCTCCTCTGGAGGCTGATTGATTGCTCACTTTGGAGCTCAGGCTGCAGGCTGCTGTCTCTCCGGGCATGACCCGGAGCCCCCCTCCATCAATCACGCCTTTGGACACCCAGTGTAACCACAGCCCCCGGCAAACAAAGACTCTCCTATCAGGCAAGATATTCCAAGGGCTTAGAGAGCACCTCTCAGAAACCGCGGACAGAGACCAGACCTCTTTTTAGGCAAGATTAAATTATTTACTGCACAAAGGGCCCAGAGAGGAGGTGCAGTGCACGCAGGGTCACACAGCTGGTGGCCTGATTCCAAAGCCAGTGTGCCTACTGCTTTCAGTTTTTCTGAGCCTGCAGCCTTGGTCAAGCTGCAGGTGAACCAAGAATTTGGCCTGAATGGCATGGCTCCAGGTCCTCTAGGTGTACATGCTTTTGTGGATTCAAACAGATCATCCCTGACAGCCCAGGTGTAACCTGCCTCTCAGAGGAACACCCCTTGGGTGAACAAAGGTTACCCTGAGAAGCCTCCTGTGATTTCCCCACAGCCGGGTATGAGATTCCCACTGTGCACCTGCCATCCCTTCCTACTGGGTCAGGGAAAGATTTGCTGACTGTCAGTAATCTATCACTGCATAACAAACTATGCCAAAACTTTGTGGCTTAAACATCAAACCTTTATTATCTCAGAGTTTCTGTGGGTCAGGAATTGAGGAGTGGCTTATCTGGGTGGTTCTGGCTCAGGGTCGATCATGATGTTACATCCAAGATGTCAGCCGGGGCTGCAGTCTCATCTGATGGCTGGACTGGGGCTGGAGGCTCCACTGCTGAGGAGGCTCCCTTGTGGCTGTTGGCTAGAGGCCTTGATTCCTCACCCACGTGAGCTGCTCCACAGGCTGCTTGAGCATCCTCGTAACATGGTGGCTGGCTTCCCCAAGAGCAAGTGTTCCAAGAGAGAGCAAGGAGGAAGTTGCAATGTCTTTTATGACCTCACCGTGGAAGTCACACACCATCATGGCAGTCCTATTTGTTGGAAGCAAGTCACTAAGTCCATCCACACTCAAGGGCTTAGACTCTGCCTCTCAGAGCCATATTTCAGAACCCCCACACTGACCCTACAGTGGTCACTTAGGAACATTGTCCTAATGGTGGTCAAGGGAGGCCTGAGAACAGTAGGAAAAATATTCCCCCAACCCCTTATTACTCAGCTTCTCCTGTTGGTCAGGGGCTCTGATACTTGAGCTAATTTAATCCCAGCCTGGCACCGTTTGGGGCAAAACCAAAGTGATGGGACATAGAGACAAGGATTGTAACACCTAGCTTAATGCTGCCTGAAGGGTTTTTGGTTGCGTTTAATTTTTTTTTTTTTTTTTTTTTTTGAGACAGAGTTTCACTCTTGTTGCCCAGGCTGGAGTGCAATGGCACAATCTTGGCTCACTGCAACCTCCGCCTCCCGGATTCAAGCAATTCTCCTGCCTCAGCCTCCCGAGTAGCTGGGATTACAGGCGCATACCACCATGCCCAGCTAATTTTTTTTTTTTTGTATTTTCAGTGGAGACGGGGTTTCTCCGTGTTGGTCAGGCTGGTCTCCAACTCCTGACCTTAGGTGATCTGCCCACTTCAGCCTTCCAAAGTGCTGGGATTACAGGTATGAGCCACCACGCCCAGCCTTTTTTTTTTTTTTTTTAAGATGGAGTCTTACTCTGTCATTTAGGCTGAAGTGCAATGGTGTGATCTCAGCCTACTTCAACCTCTGCCTCCCGGGTTTAAGTGATTCTCCTCCTGCTTCAGCTCCTGAGTAGCTGGGATTACAGGTGTGTGCCACCACACCGGGCTAATTTTCGTATTTTAGTAGAGATGGGGGTTTCACCATGTTGGCCAGGCTGGTCTTGAACTCCTGACCTCAAGTGATCTGCCCGCCTTGGCCTCCGAAAGTGCTGGCATTACAGGCATGAGCCACCGCGCCCGGCTGGCATTTGAAATTTAAAGCACTCCTACTTACTCTGTCTCGAGCATGCGCTAGGCTCAAGGGAAACACAGATGAATGAAATAGAGACTGTCCTCCAGGTGTTCACAGCAAAGAGAGGCAGAAGTAAAAATAAATCATGTCATTCATTGATGAATGAGTGAGTGCAGATGGGCAAAAGAGGGAGCAGCCAGATCTGCTGGGACACCTTTCCCAAGGAAGAGCCCGTTGCACTGGGCTTTGAAGGATAAGCAGGAGCTTGTTACTCAGGCAGAGGAAGAAAGAGCATCCCAGGCGGGGGGAGCAGCATATGCAAAGGCACGAAGGGGCCCCAGGAGCCTAGGGAGTCTGGGGAAGTGTGAGCACTTTGGAGAGTGGAGGCTGGAGCGCTGTGGAGAGTGGGGGCTGGTGGCCGGGAATGAGGCTGCAGCTGGCTGGGCCACATGGTAAAGGCTGACAACTGGACCCAGAGGCCAACTAGCCTATGATCAGCATTTCCCAAAATCTGTTTCCCGACTCATGGTTCTGTGAGATGTGACAAGGGCTCCTTTTTCATTCCTGAGACGCCGGTTTTCATCTGTGATGCGGGGACAGCTGCGCTCCTTGCTGCGAGGCGTCAGGACCCAGGTGATAGTGAAGGGAGGGTGGCGCCCGCGGTTCCCGGCGGCCACTGATGCCTGTCTCTCTGTCGTGTGTACGTGCGTGTGTGCTCCACGCCTGGCTTCTCAGGCTTTCAAATGTGTGTCAGCAGCAGCAGCAGCAGCCACGACGAGGCCCCCGTCCTGAACGACAAGCACCTGGACGTGCCCGACATCATCATCACGCCCCCCACCCCCACGGGCATGATGCTGCCGAGGGACTTGGGGAGCACAGGTGAGGCCGTCCCCTCCACCGCCAAGCCGGGTCGGCTGTGGGGGCCCGGTGGAGACAGCTCTCAGGGGCGTCCTTCCTGGCCACGGGGCCTAGCTTGCGTCCCCACCTCCCACTGGGTTCGTTAAACATTTATGGTCAGACCTGTGTACACTGCACCGTGAGCCCCCTGCCACGGCGCCAGCCTCAGCACGACGCGGCGTGTTAAGTAATTAGTAGACAGCCCCTGCCAGCAGCCAGGACGCTTGATGGATGGGGCCGGGCTGGCCCGCCACGCCGCGGCTCCGGCCAGCCAAGGTAATTGATGGATGCTCCTTCCCCTGCCAGCGGGAGGACCGCTGCTCCATCTTGTTGGCCGCTGCAGTTTGGCCGGACAGGACAGACTTGGAAACACAGCTCGTGCCCAGGCTGGGGCCGGACCCTGGGCCTTCCAGATGCAGCTCACTGCTGGGAGCGGCGAGGAAATAGAGTTCTTCCCAGGGAGAGGGTGAGGAGGTGGGAGACAGAGGCCCAAATCGGCAGCCCTACCTGCCTCTCTGTGATACCTCTGGAGCTGGTGGGACAAATTGTTCATGTATTCATTGAGCAGAGATTTACTGAGCTGGGCCTATGCCGGGTGCTGAGGCTGCTGCTATGAATAATAATAATAATAATAATAATAATAATAATAACATTGGGGATGGTCATGATAGGTAGCACTGTACTGAGCGTAACAAATGGATTTTCTTATTTAGTTCTTACAGGAATTCTCAGAGTTCAGAGTTAAGTACAGATTTCATCCCCATTTTATTATTTGTATTTATTTATTTTTTTGAGATGGAGTGTTGCTTTGTCACCCAGGCTGGAGTGCTGTGGTGCACTCTCAGCTCACTGCAACCTCCACCTCCTTCATTCAAGTGATTGTTCTGCCTCAGCCTCCTGAGTAGCTGGGATTACAGGCACCTGCCACCACGCCCAGCTAATTTTTGTATTTTAGTAGAAATGGGGTTTCGTTGTGTTGGCCAGGCTGGTCTCAAACTCCTGACCTCAGGTGATCTGCCCACCTGGGCCTCCCAAAGTGCTGGGATTACAGGCATGAGCCACCACACCCCCATTTTAGACAGGGGTAAACTAAGGTTGAGAGAGGCTGAGACACTTGCCATGTGCTAGTCACGGGTGCCGCAGGCATGCAGCCCCAGGCTGTGTGATCTGCACTTCACCCCGTGGCCCCCAGGCCGGATGTCCTCCCCGCAAGTGGCATCAGTTAGCTGACAGCCATCATGACATGGGTCTCGCTGGGCCCATGCAGGGGACAAGGCACCCATGAGGCTGGTGTAGTGTGCATGGAAGGCTGTCTGGGAGGGGGAATCCATAGACCCTTCCAGATGTCCTGAGCTTGGGTCTCCACTTGCCCAGCAGAGCGAGTGACTGGGAGAAAGCTGTCAGGCCCCTCTGGGTTGGGCCAGTGCAGGTGCTGGGTGGAGCCATGGTGGGTGCAATGGGGCGCATTCCTCTGTGACCTTTCCAAGTGCCTGGCACCAGGCTAAATGCTTTTCACAAATCTCATTTAATTCTCATTCCAACCCTTATCTCTAGTTTAGAAATGGGGAAACAAACAGGTCCAGAGAGGGACAGTGCCTCGCCCAGGGACACACAGCAAGGTGGGAGAAGAGCTGGGCTCCTGCTGCAGTGCGCCTCCTGCACCCCAGTACTGTCTAATCAGAGAGCCCAGTGTGGGCGGACAGAGGCGCAGGTCCTTAGCTCGGCTGTCAAAGTCTCTTCCCTCTCTGAGCCTGTGTCCTCACCTATAAAATGGGATCATACCACCTTCCCTGCTCCCAGGACCAGTGGGGGCATAGGGGAGACACAGGGTTACTCTACAAAGTCCGAGCCCCAGGGAGGTTCCTGAACGCTGGGAGGGGTTCCTCTTAAACTGAAGCAGTTCCGGGGTCCGATTCACCCAGAAGGATCCAGCATCACTGGGCTGGGTCCCATCTCAGCCTCTGGCAGCACCAGAAAGCAAGGAATCCCAGAGGCCCCAGCCCTGCAGTTCCCAGGGAAACGGGGCTTGGTGTGGTGGGGGCAGGGTGCATCCAGGTGTCCATCCCCTCTTTCTCCTAGTCTGGCTGGATGAGACAGGGTCGTGCCCAGATGATGGAGAAATCGACCCAGAAGCCTGAGGAGGTGTCCTGGGTTTGGCTGGCTGGCTCCTGCTCCAGCGGCCCGGCTTCAGGTGTCCGGGGGCGTGGCTGCCTGGAGCAGGTGTGCTGAATACCCTGGATGGGAACTGAGCGAACCCGGGCCTCCGCTCAGAGAGACGTGGCAGGACCAGCGAGGAATCCAGCCTGTCCACTTCCAGAACAGTGTTTCCCAGGCCCCGCTGAGTGGACCGGACCTCTGACACCTCCAGGTTCTTGCTGACTCCGGCCTGGTGAAAGGGAGCGCCATGGTCCTGGCTGTTGGGGTCCCAGGGAGAGGCTCTCTTCTGGACAAACACACCCTCCCAGCCCCCAGGGCTGTGCAAACACATGCCCCTGCCATAAGCACCAACAAGAACTTCTTGCAGGTGGAGTGGCTGTTTTTTATAAGTTGTTTTACAGATACGGAAACAGTCCAAAATGGGATTTATAATTTCTTTTTTGCATTATAAATAAAGATCCTCTGTAACAAATAGTGAATCCTTTTTTTTTTTTTTTGAGATGGAGTCTCACTCTTGTCTCCCAGGCTGGAGTGCAATGGCATGATCTCGGCTTGGCTCACTGTAGTGTTGCCTCCCAGGTTCAAGCAATTCTCCGGCCTCAGACTCCTGAGTAGCTGGGATTATAGGCATGAGTCACCGCACCCGGCTAATTTTTGTATTTTTAGTAGAGATGGGGTTTCACCATGTTGGTCAGGCTAGTCTCGAACTCCTGACCTCAAGTGATCTACCCGCCTCAGCCTCCCAAAGTGCTGGGATTACAGGTGTGAGCCACCATGCCTGGCCACAAATGGTGAATCCTGCTTCTTGGGTCAGGAGAAGGCGATGGATCATGCCAGGTAAAGCGTGGGTTTAAGAGAGACGCTTAAGATGGAAGAGCCAATCTGGTGTGTGCAGGCCATTGTGGGGGTCTCGAGCCCCTCCATTTTCAGTCTGCTGTCTAGGCTTCAGCGTGGCCCAGCCATGGGCTCTGCGGTCACGTGGACCTCGTTTGAGTCCCAGCTGTAGGATCCTGGTAATAATACATCTCTAAGGTGAGAGGCAACGTTGTGTTGGCTTTTTAAATTACATCACATCAGGGCCGGGCACAGTGGCTCACTCTTGTAATTCCAGCACTTTGGAGGCTGAGGCAGGAGGAGCTTGAGGCCAGGAGTTCAAGACCAGCCTGGCCAACACAGTGAGACCCTATCTCAATCAATCCAAATAAATACATAGCCAGTGTCCCTATCTTCCCATAGAGCACTCTGATACTGGTGTGGATGCACGTGTAGTGTGTATGCGTGTGTAGTGTGTACGTGCATGAGTGGGTGTGTGCATGTATGTGCAGGTGTGTGCATGTGTGGTATGTATGTGTGCATGTGGTGTGTGTGGTCATATGTGGATATGCCTATGTGTGTGTGTATGTGTGGTGTGTGTGTGTGGGTGTGTGTATGTGTGTGTGTGGTGTGTATTTTCTCTCTCTTTTTTTTTTTTCTTTGAGACAGAGTTTCGCTCTTGTTGCCCAGGCTGGAATGCAACGGTGCGATTTTGGCTCACTTCAACCTCCGCCTCCCGGGTTCAAGCGATTCTCCTGCTTCAGCCTCCCAAGTAGCTAGGATTACAGGCATGTGCCACCACACCCAGCTAATTTTGTATTTTTAGTAGAGACTGGGTTTCTCCATGTTGGTCAGGCTGGTCTCGAACTCCTGACCTCAGGTGATCTGCCTGCCTTGGCCTCCCAAAGTGCTGGGATTTCAGGCGTGAGCCACCGTGCTCAGCCTTTTTTTTTTTTTTTTTTTTTTTTTTTTTTCTTTTTTGAGACAGAGTTTAGCTCTTGTTGCCCAGGCTGGAATGCAATGGCGCGATCTTGGTTCACTGCAACCTCCACCTCCTGGACTCACGTGATTCTCCTGTCTCAGCCTCCCGAATAGCTGGGATTACAGGCATGCGCCACCACTCCCGGATAATTGTGTATTTTTAATAGAGACGGGGTTTGTCCATGTTGATCAGGCTGGTCTTGAACTCCTGACCTCAGGTGATCCTCCCACCTCGGCCTCCCAAAGTGCTGGGATTACAGGTGTGAGCCACCACGCCCGGCAGTGTGTGTTCATTTTCTGTGGTGTCTCTTGAGTTTGGTTTTCCTTGTGTCTCAGGATCCCTAGAGCAAAGCCTGAGCCAAGGCTTTGGGTGCGAGGGGTGGATTTGGAGGTGGCTCCAGGACACAAAGGTAGCGGAGTGGGGAAGGGCACTTCCAGGGTCCCCAAGACCACCCTCAGGTCTAATCATCCACCAGAAGAACGTCATGGTGATGGCTTATTATGGCAAGCAGATACAGGTTAAAATCAGCAGAGGGCAGGAGAATCCAGGAGAGGTCAGGCACAGGCTCCCAGCCGTCCTCTCACAACAGAGTTGGGGAGAGTGGGAAAGTGCTAACTTCTCTTGACCATGATGTGCGACAACATGCGCCAAGCATTGCCAACCAGGGACGCCCCGAACCTCAGTGTCGAGAGTCTTCGCTGGGGCTTGGCCACATGGGTGTGGCAGATACCACATGGCTGACCTTAGTCTCCAGCCCCTCCAAAGGTCAGCTGACACCAGGTAGCCTAAGGCCCCACCATAAATTCCATGATTAGCCTAGACGATCCTGTGTAGCCCAAGACCTCAGCAAACAAAGACAGTCTCATCAGGCAGGACACTGAAAGGGCTAGAGTTGAGGAGGGAAAGGCCAGGCCTGTCTCTGGGCATGGCTGATCCTTCACTGCACGAGAGGCCAGGCAGCGCAGGAAGGAGCTTATAAGGTGCCATGGGGCCTCTGGGGAGGCAGTGTGGATCCCTTCAGTGAGGGGTCCTTGAGGGGTTAGATGTGGGGTCTGCACCCTCCCACTCCCACTCATTGCTGGCCAAGAGCAGCTTCCAGAACCACCCAGGATTCCCAGCCTGTCCACCCACGGACAGCAGTGCTCGCAGAGGCCGTGTGGGCACACACCAGGCTCTGAGTCCCAGGGATACGGTGGGCCCCAAGGCCAGGGCCAGCTCTCTGGATTTGTCCTGCACACTGCCACAGGGCCCGTCTCAGAAGGCCCACGCTGGGTTCAACACTCTGCTGTCGCACCTTGAAATTCTCAATCAGGGTCCAGCATGATGGCCCATCCCTGTAATCCCAGGGCTTTGGGAGGCCAGGGTGGGTGGATCACTTGAGCGCAGAAGTTTGAGACCAGCCTGGGCAACATAGAGCCCCATTTCTACTAAGAATTTTTAAAAATTAGCCAGGTGCACACCTGTAGTCCCAGCTACTAGGGAGGCCAGGGTAGGAGGTTCACTTGAGCCCGGGATGTTGAGGCTATACTGAACTACAATGGTGCTGTTGCACTCCAGCCTGGGCCACAGAGTGAGATTCTATCTCAAAACAAAAAAGAAGGCTGGGCGCAGTGGCTCACGCCTGTAATCCCAGCACTTTAGGAGGCTGAGGCGGGCGGATCATGAGGTCGAGACCATCCTGGCTAACACAGTGAAACCCTGTCTCTACTAAAAATACAAGAAAAAATTAGCCAGCATGGTGGTGGGTACCTGTAGTCCCAGCTACTTGGGAGGCTGAGGCAGGAGAATGGAGTGAACCCGGGAGGCAAAGCTTGCAGTGAGCGGAGATCACACGCCACTGCACTCCAGCCTGGGGGACAGAGCGAGATTCCATCTCAAAAAAAAAAAAAAAAAAAAAAAAGGAAATTCTCAATCATGGCTGTGCAAGGGGCTCTGCAAATGTGATATGGCCAGTCCTGCTTCCAGCCCCCGTGAACATCTGTGTGCCGAGACGCAGCTGAAATGATGTGATGGCATTACACCCACTTGGGGGGTTCTGCCCGCTGTCCCCCTCAGCCCGTCCTCCTTAGAGTTTCACATGTTTTCTTTCTCATCCTTGGAGGAACCAGCCCACATCCTGGGAAATGGGAATAGCAGCCTGGCACTGGCGTCTAAGCTGCTAAGCCACTGCCGCATCTGCCCCCAGTGTGTTTGTTTGTTTGTTTTGAGATGGAGTCTCACTCTGTCGCCCAGGCTGGAGTGCAGTGGCACGATCTCAGCTCACCACAGCCTCTGCCTTCTGGGTTCAAGCGATTCTCGTGTCTCAGCCTCCCAAGTAGCTGGGTTACAGGTGTGCGCCCCCGCTCCCCACCACCATGCTCGGCTAATTTTTGTATTTTTAGTAGAGATGAAGTTTCACCATGTTGGCCAGGCTGGTTTTGAACTCCAGACCTCAAACTATCTGCCCGCCTCAGCCTCCGAAAGTGCTGGGATGACAGGCATGAGCTACAGCACGGCCTCCAGTTTTTAAACTTCTGTATTAAGGTATTACCTGGACAATTAAGTACAGCCAAACATCAACCTGTGGCTCAATCAGGTGTGTGTGCATGTCCACCATGAAACCACCTCCCTGAGCGAGACAGGACGTCGCTGGGACCCTGACCACGGGCTTCACTGGGACCTTGGAGAGGTCATTGCTGTCCTGGGTCCCTGACCATGGGTTCCTCTATCCTGTTCTCGCCCTTCATATACATGGACTCTTACTACAGTGGACTGCCTTGGCTGAGTAACTGTCTTAGTCTGTTCCTGCTGCTACAAAAATACCTTAGGCTGGGTGAAAACAGTAAAATGTATGGCAAACAGTAAAAACAGTCTTGGAGGTGAGAAGTCCAAGATCAAGGTGCCAGCACATTTGGAGTCTGGTGAGGGCCTGTTCTCTGCCTCAAAAGAGGGCACCTTCATACCATGTCCTTGCCTGGTGGAAGGGGCAAGGCAGCTCACTTTCCTCTCCATCCTCCTGACTTAATCACTCCCCCAAGACCTCACCTCTTAATTCTATCACACTGGGGTTGGGCACAGTAACTCACACCTGTAGACCCAGCACTTTGCGAGGCTGAGGCAGGAGGGTCACTTGACCTCAGGAGGTTGAGGCCAGCCTGGGCAACATAGTGAGACCCCCACCTCTACAAAAAAAAAATAAAAAAATCAGCTGGGCATTATGGCATGTCTGTGGTCCCAGCTACTCAGGAGGCTGAGGCAGGGGGATTGCTTGAGCCTGGGAGGTCGAGGCTGCAGTGAGCTGTGATTGTACCTCTGCACTCCAGCCTGGGTGATAGTGAGACCCTGTCTCAAGGAAAAAAAGAAAAGAGAAAAAAAAAATCCTATCACATAGGAGATTAGTTTCCAATATGTTAATTTAGGGAAGACGCCAACGTTCAGACTATAGCAGTAACATAAGTGGCTTGATTTAAAGGTGGTTTTAGGCCAGGCGTGGTGTCTCCTGCCTGTAATCCCAGCACTTTGGGAGGCCGAGGCAGGCAGATCACTTGATACCAGGAGTTTGAGAGCAGCCTGGCCAACATGGCGAAACCCCGTCTCTACTAAAAATACAAAAATTAGCAGGGCATGGTGGCACATGCCTGTAATCTCTAGCTGCCCGGGAGGCTGAGACACGAGAATCACTTGTACCCAAGAGGTGGAGGTTGCAGTGAGCCGAGATCACGCCACCGCACTCCAGCTGGGGTGACAGAGTGAGACTCGGTCAAAAAAAAAAAAAAAAAAGGGAAGGAGGGAGGAAGGGAGGAAGGAAGGGAAGGAAGGGAAGGAAAAGAAGGAAGGAAAGGGCATGCCTGCTGATGCTTGGTGCTTGCCTTCTCTTCTACTTCTGTCCTTCACTCTGCTGCCTGCTCAATCTCTGAGCCCTCCACTGCCTGCTTAGCAGCCTCCAAAAACTCTCCACACTCCCTAAGAGGCCAAAGGCTCAGCCTTGCTCAGCCTCCACTCCAATCAAGCTGAACTCCTTGATTTTCCTTGTGTGCATGCCTCTCGTTCTGGTTACCATTGCTGCATAACAAATATTTAGTGTGAAGCAACAACAATCATCTATTTTGCCCACAAATCTGCAATTTGGACAGGGCCTGAAGAGAGAGTTTGTCTGTTTCATGAGACATCAGCTGAGACATGTATGTCATCTGGGGCTAGAAGATCCACTTCCAAGATGGCACACCCACAAGGGCAAGCACCTACCACGTGGCTGCCAAGTTGGTTCTGGGCTCTTGTTTTTCTCCACGAGAACCTCTCCCTGGGCGGCTTGGGCTTCCTCACAGCATGGCAGCTGACATCCAAGCAAGAGCATCTCCAGAAAACCAGGTGGAAGCTGTATCGCCTGTGATGACCTAGTCTCTGAAGTCACATCACATCACTTCTGCGGTCCTCACGTGCCTTCCTAGATGAAAAAGGAGGGAACATAGGCACCACCTCGTGACGGGAACAAAGTCAAAGGCGTAAGTAGAGCACCGGCTGAGTGCAGTGGCTTCTGCCTATAATCCCAGTGCTTTGGGAAGCCCAGGGAGGAGGATCACTCTAGGCCAGGAGTTCAAGACCAGCCTGGGCAATGTAGTGAGATGCTGTCGGTACAAAAATAAAAAATAAAAATAAACTGGGTGTGGTAGTGTAGACCCACCAGTTGGAGGCTGTAGTGACCTGTGATCACACCGCTGCGCTCCAGCCTGAGTGACAGAGCATTAAGACCCTGTCTCTAAAAAAAGAGGAGGAGGAGGAGAGAGGAGGAGGAGGAGGAGGAGAAGGAAGAAGAAGGAAAAAGATGAAGGAGAAGGAGGAAGAAGAAAGAGAAGAAGAAGAAAGAAGAAGAAAATGTGGATGGGAGATGTTGTGGCCCCACTTGGAAACTACAACCTGCCACCCGGTTCAGGCATTTCTTCTCCCTGGAACGCCTTTGCTCCCAACCCCAGTCTCTCTGCAAGGTCCAGTTTCATGGAAGCCTGGTGCCCCTCTGTGCCAGGTCCTGCCAGCAGAAAGCCTTGCTGTCCTCCAGCTCCCACAGCACGTGTTCCCTCCCTCCCCTGTGAGCGGGGTGCCCTTCTGTTGTTTCGCAGTCACTGATGTGCAGGACATCACAGGAAGAGGTGCCTTGTCACTGGGGCTCACAGCCTAAAGCTGATCAACTCACCAACACCCCGGGAACCCCTGCCACTGTCTCTAATAAATACATTTCCTAAAGGTAGTGACTTAGTCTCACACATCGGTATACTCCCAGCACCTCTGTCATAGGCACTACCATATTTATTTCGTTTTTGTTTTTTTGTTTTGTGGTGTTTGTTTGTTTGAGACGGAGCCACATTCCCTGCTGCCCAGGCTAGAGTGCAATGGCGCCATCTCGGCTCACTGCAACCTCCGCCTTCCAGGTTCAAGCTATTCTCATGCCTCAGCCTCCCAAGTAGCTGGGATTACAGGCCCCCAGCACCGCGCCCGGCTAATTTTTTTTTTTTTTTTTTTTTTGAGACGGACTCTCACTCTGTCGCCCAGGCTGGAGTGCAGTCGCGCAATCTCAGCTCACTGCAAGCTCTGCCTCCCGGGTTCACGCCATTCTCCTGCCTCAGCCTCCTGAGTAACTGGGACTACAGGCGCCCGCCACTATGCCCGGCTAATTTTTTGTATTTTTAGTAGAGATGGGGTTTCACCGCGTTAGCCAGGATGGTCTCGATCTCCTGACCTCTTGATCGGCCTGCCTCGGCCTCCCAAAGTGCTGGGATTACAGGCGTGAGCCACCGCGCCCAGCCTAATTTTTGTATTTTAAGTAGAGATGGGTTTTTGCCATGTTGGTCAGGTTGGTCTCGAACCCCCGACCTCAGGTGATCCGCCCACCTCAGCCTCCCAAAGTGCTGGGATTACGGCTGTGAGCCACCGCACCTGGCCTTGTTTTGTTTTTTAGAGACAGGGTCTTGCTCTGTCACCCAGGCTGAAGTGAATAGTATGATCGAACTCTGGGGCTCAAGCAATTATCATGCCTCAGCTCTGGGATTACAGGTGTGCACCACTGTGCCCGGCCCTTATTTAGCATTCATATCGCCTGCTATGTACCAGGCACTGTACTTAACACTTGACAGATATTTTAACTCACATAATTCTCATGGAAACCCTGAGAGATAGCGTCTTAGTCAGTTTTCTTTTTGCTGTGATGTTGCTATGTAACAACCCCTGTCCCCCGCCCCCAAACTCAGTGGCTTACAACAGCGAGCACTGATTCCTCACTCACGGGTCTGTGGGTTGGCCGTGGCCTTGCCGATTGGCTGCAAGGAGCTGGGCTTTATCAGCTGCAGTTGAACTCCGATTTCCTTCAAGTGTCCTCTCTTTTAGGAACCAACCAGAGTATGTTCACTCACTCAGTGGGTGGCAGAGGCACAGAGCACAGGCAGAGCCAATGCATTTGCAGCTTCTGCTTGTGACACATGCCCACATTCCCTCAGCCAAGCAAGTCACATGGCTAAGCCCAACACTGTGAGCCGGGAAGTTGCATGCCACAAGGAGGGGGCAGACAATTCTTCTAAAGAGAGGGAAAGGTGAGTCAGAAACAATAACCTAATCTCCCGCAGGTCGGTGCTCTTATTACCCGCATTTTACAGATGGGGGACTGGAGGCACCTAGAGGTTAAATCATTTGCCCAAGGTCATCCGAGGTAAGTAAGTGGCAGAGGTGGGATTCAAACTCAGAGCCTGTGGTCTTACCACCCAAGGAATCTGCTTCTCTTGTGCTTGTTGATTGGCCAGGCAAATCGTCGCCCCCTTCCTTCTGGCTTCTCAGAGCCCCTTCTGTCCACCTAGAAGCCAGGCTGGACCCTCTGCCCTCCTCTTGAATCCAGGGGGCGCTGGGTGTCAGGGTTGCAGGAAACCTCACGCCTCCCTGAATACTCCTCAGCGGTCTGCCGTGGCTGGTCACCGGCTTCCCCTAGGGATTCTAGGGCCCACAGCAACCTGGCTGAGGACTCTGAGCTGGGGACACAGGTGGGAGGGCCAGCTAGAGGCTGCAAGGCCCCAGGACTCTGGGTGTGGCTTTCTCTCAGGGGCCTGGGCTGAGTTCCCTTATCTCCTAAAGGAACTGGGGCCCAAGGCATGCGTAGCAATCCCCAGCTTTGGGCCTGGTGTGGCCAGAGGCCTCAGTGAGGTCAGCATTTGGGAGGTGTTACCCCACGATGATGTCTGCTGAGTAAGGGCAGAGAGACCCTTCCTGGTGACAGCTGCCCCCACGCTGCCGTCAACCCTGTAGCATACCCACTGCCCAGCTCCTCTGCCTCTCATATGCTTCCCATAAGCTCTGCCACCCCTAGGAAGGGAGGGGCTCAGCGGAGGGGGGCCTGCTCCGCACCAGCTCTCACACAGGAAAGCATGGGAGCTGGGGGAAGGGCACCCACTGCAGCCCTGGCACCGGGGAATGGGTAAGAGCGAGGGCTTTGGTGTCAGCCAGCTCCCCGTTGTGCTGTGTGATCCTAGAAAGTCACTCAACCTCTCTGAGCCTTTTCTTCACCTATAAAGTGGGGATAGTAACTACCTACCTTATGGAAGCATATGAGGATTGTGTGAAATCATCCATGTAGCCCTTCCACCGCCACGTGGAGTTTGGCATGGAGCAGTTTCTAAATGGAAGTCATCTTGATCAGGTGGGCTGCCAACCTCTCTGAGCCTCAGTTTGCTCTTCTAGGGAATGGGGACAATGCAATGGGAATCTGAGGATTGTGTGAAATTGTGCAAATGCATGAATGTGGGCTGGGATAGTAAAAGGGAGGGCCCCGGAGCAGCCCACCTGGGGTCCTATCTAGTGGACGCGCCCGGTGCCCACCCATTGCTGTGATGCCAGCAGCCCACTGCAAGCATCCTCTTCCTTTCCAAGGTTCTCTCTGGTACATGAATAGGTGTGGCAGGGGTGGGGGCTCCTGAAGACCAACTAGGGGTACTAGGGACCTTAGACTCTTGCGAGAGCCTGCACCCCATATCAGGTGGGGTCAATAGATAAATACCCCTGCCTCCTTGCCCCTTAGTTCTGGTGTGGTGGGCAAGTCAGAGGAACTGTTCTTCTCACACTTTCACGTGCTCTCGGTGGAGATCTGGTTCAAAGGCAGAGGTCTGGGCTGGGGTCTGTGATTGTGCATCTCCAACCAGCTCCTGGGGGATTGGCTCTTGCCGATGGTCCACGGGCCACACTGAGGAGCGAGGCGTCATAGCTGCCCAGAGGTTCCCGGTGGAACTGAGCCCTGGTTGCCGGCCATAGAAACCTTCTCGCTAACCTGAACCAGCTCCTTCTCAAGTTCCCGGTCTCAACCTCCCTTCCTGGGACTGCATTCCGAATAAACCACTTCCACTTGGATCCTGTTTGGGGATCCAACCTCAGGTGACGCTCCCGCACTCCACCTATCAGCCGATGGCCTCGAGCAAGTCACTTGGCCTCTCTGAGCCTCAGTTTCCTTAATCTTCAAATGGAGATGGTAACCAGGATGTGCAGAAGATGGCATGAATGAACACGCGCAAGGAACCGGAAATGCTAGCACCAGCGCCGATGTTTGCCCAGCTGTGCTGTAGAAAAGCAAGGCTGATCCGCGTTGCCACAGGGTTGCTGCAGTGTTGGGCTCTCAGTGAACCGGACGCTTCATCAAAGGCTGGGGTTGCTCTGTGGGTGGGGGTGGGTGCCTCTTTGGAGCAAATCCAGAGTGAGGATTTATGTTGAACCCAAAACGTCACTCCCCTATTCTTATTTTTTGTCTGTTCTTCTTTAAGTACGTCCTGGGGGAATGGTTCCTAATGTCTGCAGTTTATTTTTCATTTATTTTTAATGCCAAAGCCAAGCATACTGATTAAAACCAACGATAAAAAAGCTTCGTGAATGGCTCCCCCAAAGTGTGTGTTGGGGGAACATGGGGCCACAGTAAATGGCAAATGAAGAGGAAATAGATGGAAATTAACAGCACCGGCTGCCGGCAAAGCCCCTTAACCCTAACCCTGGTGTGTCAGGGGAAAGTTCCCAGGTTCCAAGAGGCGAGGGAACGTTCTGGTCTTGAAACTTGGGATTCATGTTGTATTCCTCCAGGAAGGGAGGTTGGGAGGGAGAAAAGTGTGAAAACAGATGGAAATGTAATTTTTTAATGACAGCAGCAGATGGCAAAAAGACACAAGAGTGTATTCACACCATGTCGGAGCCATTTGAGAACGCCTGGCCCAGCCGTAATGTGCGCGGCGGGGCTGTCATGATGGCTCCCCGGCCAAACCCAGGAGCCGGCGCGCTGCAGGCAGGAACATGCCGGTCCCCCAAGGAGGCGTGGGACACGCTGCCAGGCTGTGCAGAGCTACAGGTAGATGGGGAAATACCTGTGGCCACCTGGGTTGGATCTGGAAGCTTCCCTGTGCCTGGCTCTTCCGGACAGAGTGTAGATGGTCCGTGGGCTTTAGATTCAGACAGACCCCACTCTTGGTGCCTTGGCTGCTCGGCTCACCTGCCTCCAGGTGAGTCTCCTGCTGCTATACTGCATCCTACCCTCGACTTCATGCACCCTAAATTCTCTTCTAAAGTGTATATCTAGGCTGGTCATGGTGGTGCACCTGTAATCCCATTGTTTTAGGAGGCTGAGGCAGGAGGACGGGCTGAGCCCAGGAGTTCAAGGTTGCATGAGCTATTATGCCACTGCATTCCAGCCTGGGGAACGGAGAAAGACCTGGTCTCTAAAATAAAATAGGCTAGGTGTGGTGGCTCACACCTATAATCCCAGCACTTTGGGAGGCTGAGGATTCCTTGAGCCCAGGAGTTTGAGACCAGCCTGGGGAACAAAATGAGACCTTGTCTCTACAAAAAAAATCAAAAAATTGGCTGGGTATGGTGGTACATGCCTGTGGTCTCAGCTACACAGAAGGCTGAGGCAGGAGGATCACTTGAGCCCAAGAGGTCAAGGCTGCAGTGAGCTGTGATTGCACCACTACACTCCAGCCTGGGTGGCAGAGTGAAACCTGTCTCAAAAGTATTAATCAAATAAATAAAATGCAGCTCTATCATGTCACCCCAGGGTCTCCTATAATGAGATGGCTTGCCTTAAAGGGCTTCTCATTGCCTTCAGGATCAAGTCCAAGTTCTTCAAAGTAGCTCGCAAGGGCAGGCCCCTTCAGGCTGGCCCCCACCCATCTTTCTGGCTTCACCACTGGCCCCTGCCCTGGTGGGATGCTGCACTCAGCGGGAGAGGAACGCCTGGCAGGACTGTTGAGAGACAAGCCCTGCTGCTGCCTAGAGGACACGCCACTGTCTATTGAGCAAGGCTGCGCCAGACACCACTGAGGACTTTACCTGCGTCAGTCCCTTTAAGCCTTGCAACAGCTCCAGGAAAAGGTGATGTTCAAAATAAGCCACAGGTGAAGTGGTAGAGGGCCCAGTCCATCAGACCCACTGCTGCTAGCCAGAAACACTGGGCCATGGGCACCTGGTGGAATCGGCCCTGCAGGAGGTCACGTGGTTGCCCCCTCGCAGACCGAGGTGGACTGCATGCCCAAGTCTCTCAGCAGGAGCCGCAGGGGTGGGAGGCCCCGCGTGGGAAGTCCTCCTTTCCTATTCTCAGGGCCCTGTTCTGTGCCATATCCCTGGCTTGTTTCAGAGGAGGCAGAGCAGGAAGAGTTACCCCCGAAGAGGTGATTTCCATTCTGTGTGTCTTTTTGGCTGTGTCGCTGTGTTTCTAGCCCCTCCTCAGCTCAGCGATGACACCGCCAGCTGCTAGCTACTGCTTTCCCCTAAGCTCCCCACAGGAGACCCCAGGAGACAGGCTGGGCTCACTTTATGCCACAGTGGTGGCGCCTAACCTTGGCCGAGGAGTCTGGAAAATTCTGTTGCCCTGGCCCTGCCCCTAGAGGTGCCGATTTCTTTGGTCCAGGAGGAGGCCTGGTCGTGGGGCCGGTGGTTCTACTGCAGATGGGGCTGGGAGTTTGAGGAGACTCTCCCCCATCTCCTCGTGTCTTCACTGTAACTCGTTATTTTCCTAGGCTGCTGGTCTCCTCACTGTAAGAGGGTGAATTAAGGGTTGAATTAACATCCTCTGTGCAGGTGGCCCACAGGTGCTCAGCCCCACAATGACCTGTGCAGGTGCATCGGGGGGCAGGCCTCGCCCCAAGTGCTGCCAGCCCAAAAGTCAGACACATGCTTGAGTGGCCCACAGAGGACCCAGTCCCCTTGCAGGCACTCAGTCTCAGGGGCCACCTTGCAAGCACTGTTTCCCACATGCTGGGTAACACATCCCATCGTTGCTGAAAGATGACTGCTTTAAAATAGCACGACCAAGTCTCATTTTTGGAGGACCATTTGGCCTGTCTACATTCTAATGTCACCAAAAGATACTCTAGGGCTGATTATCCTGAAATAGGTTCACAGCTTCACGGTGTTATAGTTTTAAGGCTGGGTGTGGTGGCTCCTGCCTGTAATCCCAGCATTTTGGGAGCCCAAGGTGGGAGGATCGCTTGAAGTCAGGAGTTCAAGACCAGCCTGGACAACATAGTGAGACCCCCATCTCTACACAAAATACAAAAATTAGCCTGGTGTCGCGATGCATGCCTGTAGTCCCAGCTACTCAGGAGGCCAAGGGAGGAGAATCACTCGAGCCCAGGAGACTGAGGCTGCAATGAGCTAGAATCACACCACTGCGCCCCAGTCTGGGTGACAGAGCGAGACTCCATCTCAAAAAGCAAAACCAAAAAAGAAACAATAACAAAAAAAACCACCCACAATAAATAAAATAAAATAGTTTATTTATATTATATATATATATATATTTTTTTTTTTTTGAGATGGAGTCTTGCTCTGTCTCCCAGGCCTGAATGCAGTGGTGCGATCTTGGCTCTCTGCAACCTCCTCCTCCCAGGTTCAAGTGATTTTCCTGCCTCAGCCTCCTAAGTAAGTGGGATTACAGGTGCCGGCCATTATGCCCAGCTAATTTTGTATTTTTAGTAGAGACGGGGTTTCACCATGTTGGCCAGGCTGGTCTCCAACTCCTGACCTCAAGTGATCCACCCGCCTCAGCCTTCCAAAGTGCTGGGATTACAGGCATGAGCCACCGCACCCAGCCACTCCCATGTTTATTGCAGCACTATTCACAATAGTCAAGATATGAAATCAACCTAAATGACCATCAACGGATGAATGGATTAAAAATGGGGTACAGGCTGGGCATGGTGGCTCACACCTGTAATCCCGGCACTTTGGGAGGCCGAGACAGGTAGATCACCTGAGGTCAGGAGTTTGAGACTAGCCTGGTTGACATGGTGAAACCCGTCTCTACTAAAAATACAAAAAAAAAAAAAAAACTAGCCAGGCGTGGTGGCACACGCCTATAATCCCAGCTACTTGGGAGGCTGAGGCAGGAGAATCACTTGAAGCAGGGAAGTGGAGGTTGCAGTGAACCGAGATCACACCATTGCACTCCAGCCTGGGCAACAAGAGCGAAACTCTGTCTCAAAAAAAAAGGTAGGTATATATACACCATGGAATACTGTTCAGGCTTAAAAAAGGAGGAAATTCTGTAATTTGTGACAACATGGGTGAACCTAGAGGACAGTAGGCATACTGAAATAAGCCAGGCACAGAAAGACAAATAACACTGCATGATCTCATTTATATGTGGAATCTAAAAAAGCTGAACTCATAGAAGTAGATAGTAGCAGGGGAAGGAAGGGGAAGTGGGGAATAGGGAGATGGGGGTCAAAGGGTACAAAGTCTCAGTTAGACAGGAGATCTGGCCGGGCACGATGGCTCATGACTGTAGTCCCAGCACTTTCGGAGGCCCAGGTGAGAGGATCACTTGAGCCCAGGAATTTGAGGCCAGTCTAGGCAACATAGTGAAACCTCATCTCTACTAAAAAAAAAAAAAAATTGGCCAGGCATGGTGGTGCAGAATTGTAGTCCCAGCTACTCAGGAGGCTGAAGCAGGAGGATCACTTGAGCCTGGGAGGTCAAGACTACAGTGGGCCGTGATCATGCCACTGCACTCCAGCCCTCCAGACTGGGCAACAGTGAGATCCTGTCTCAAAAAAAAAAAAAGAAAAAAAGAAAAAAGACGGGAGATGTATTGCAAATCATGGTTACTACAGTTAATAGTCATGTATTGTCTATTCAAAATAGCTAAAAGAGTATATTTTAAATATTCTTACTACAGAAAAATAAAAATAAGGATTTAAGTTGATGGATACGTTAATTCACCTGATTTGACCGTTCCACAATGTATACCTGTGTCAAAACATCACTGTACCCAGTAAATACATGTAAGTATTGTAAATTAAAATAAAACATAAAATGCAAAACAAAATACTTCTGTGTGCATCCCCTGGCACCTGCATTAAGCTAAACTTGAGTTCATACTGACGTCTCCAACCGTAATTCATCTCCAGATGAATCATTCCAGCTTTCTAGGGGAGGCGTTTTACAGAACAGAAAATGATGCTGGAAGGTCCAGCACCCCCACCTCCACCACTGCCCTCTTCCCCTCCCCTTTGGTTTCCTTCTGTCTGTTGACTCTGGTTCCCCCACCCTGAGGCCAGGTGGGAGGATTGGCCTTCACCTGGGTGCTGGGAGTGGCTCAGAGCTGGACCAGATTGGGGCAAATCACTTCACCGGTATTCTCAATCATAAAAACCTCTTGGGAGCTTCTTGAGTGTGCTGTATACCTGGGCCTACCCCATACTTGTCAATCAGAAAGTCTGAGCCTGGGGCTTAGAGAGGGGCATTTTTCAAAACAGCTTTATAGGTTGGGCGTGGTGGTTCATGCCTCTAATCCCAGCACTTTGGGAGGCCAAGGTGGGTGGATTGCTGGAGCCCAAGGGTTGTTTGAGACCAGCCTGGGCAACATGGCAAAAACCTGTCTCTACCAAAAACAAAAAATACAAAAATTAGCTGGGTGGGGTGGCACACCTGTAGTCCCAGCTACTTGGGAGGATGAGGTGGGAGGATCATTTGAGCCTAGGAGGCAGAGGCTGCAGTGAGCTGAGATTATACCACTGCATTCTAGTCTGGGTGACAGACCCTGTCTCAAAAATTAACAAACAAACAAACAAATAAAATGGCTTTATTGAGGCATAATTCACATACTGTAAAATTCCCCCTTTTAAAGTGTACAATTCAGTGGTTTTTAGTATATTTACAGATTTGTGCAATCATCACCGCTATCTAATTCCAGAATATTTCTGTCACCCCAGAAAGAAACCTTGTACCCCCTAACTCCTCATTCCCCCTCCTCCAGTCCCTGGCAACCACTAATTCACTTTCTGTTTCTATGGATCTACCTATTTTGGACATTTCATGGAAATGGAACCATATAATATGTGGACTTTTGTGTCTGGCTTATTTCACTTAGCATAACTTTTTTTTTGTTTGAGACTGAGTCTCGCTCTGTCATCCAAGCTGGAGTACAGTGGTGCAATCATGGTTCACTGCAGCCTCCACCTCCCGGGCTGAAGCAATCCTTTCACCTCAGCCTCCTTAGTAGCTGGGACTACAGGTGTGTGTCTGTGTCACTGTGCTGGGCTAATTTTTTTTTTTTTTTTTTTTTTTTTTGAGACAGAGTCTTGCTCTGTCACCCAGGCTGGAGTGCAGTGGCACAATCTCGGCTCACTGAAACCTCTACCTCCCAGGTTCAGGTGATTCTCCTGCCTCAGCCTCCCGAGTAGCTAGGACTACAGGTGTGTGCCACCACACCTGGCTAATTTTTGCATTTTTAGTAGAGGCAGGGTTTCACCATATTGGCCAGGCTGGTCTTGAACTCCTGACCTCGTGATCCTCCCGCCTCGGCCTTCCAAAGTGCTGGGATTACAAGCGTGAGCCACCGTGCCACCCCCCACTCCTTTTTTGTTTTTTTAATGTAGAGATGGTCTCTCACTATGTTGCCTAGGCTGGTTTCGAACTCCTGGGCTCAAGTGATCCTCCCACCTCAGCCTCCCAAAGTGCTGGGATTACTGGTGTGAGCCGCCACTGGCATCACGGTTTTGAGGTTCATCCACGTTGTAGTGTGTACCAGGACTTCATTATGATTTGTAGCCAAATACTACTCCATCGTATGAATAGGCACCATTTTGTTTGTCCAGACGTCAGTTGGTGGCCACTGGGCTGTTTCCACATTTTGACTATTATGAATCGTGCTGCCATGAAGGGGAAGACACAAGCCTACCAAGTGATTCTCACACACTCAGGCTTGAGGCATCAGGACACCACCCTTCTGCAATCTGTAAAGCTGCACACTTTCCCATCCTGTTCTTTCCAAAGCCCAGTGAGGCTAACAGCAGCCCTGTCCCCATTTTACAGATAAGGATGCCGAGGCTCTGTGATGTGGACAGCCAGGCTCTGGTAGCCCTCCTACCCATCCCTCAGCAGCCTCTCTGAACCTCAGCTTTCTCATCTTTTCCTTTGCTCTTTTATAGGCTGGACAAATCAGGACGCAAACCCTCGTCAGCTTTGGAACACAAATATTTGCCAGTGAAGAAAACATTCCCTCATCAGTCAAAACCCGGACAGTCTGGCACACACGTCTGCAGCTGCCTGAGGGAGCTTCTACTGTGGGAGGGGCCAGATGGCCCACAGCTCCCCCTCCTCCCTGAACACTGCAGGCTCCTTCTCTTCCTACTTCATTTTGAAGATAAAGAGACAGGGGTTCAGAGTTGTCACTTGCCCTTGGTCACATAGCATCCAGAGTGACCTTTGATTTCTTCTCTTCGAGCATATCTGTCTTTTCTCTTTTGTTTTTATTTTTTTTTAATAGAGATGGGGTCTTGGCATGTTGCCTAGGCTGATCTCAAACTCCTGGCCTCAAGTGATCCTTCTGCCTCGGCCTCCCAAAGTGCTGGGATTACAGGCGTGCCTGGCCAAGAGTATGTGTCTTCACACATGAAAGTAACTCAGCGAAAACTCCAGATCTGTAAATAACAACTTCTAAGGCAGATACACAACAGACACAGCTTTGTGAGCAGGCCTGTGAGCTTTACGGCTTTTTTTCACCTTCCCAGTGACCCTCTATGGGGCTTCAGGGAGGTTGGAGAGGAGAGCATCCGGTTAGCTGGGGCGGGGGCAGGGGGTGCTTTCTGCTGGAATTCCAAACCCTGGAATCCTCATGTCTCCTGTGATTTTTCTCGCGGGCCTAATTATCAAGGTTTCAAATTCGACTGCAGTCCTAGAATAGCGCTTCACCCCCAGGAAGCTTTTCCGGCCATGACCACCCCATCAAAATCACCTGGCCCTGGATGAAATTCAGCTTTCTGTCCTTTCCACGACTCCGGAATCCCAACTCCCAGGAGCGTGCACACAGACAATGGGCACCCGCTAGGGGATTCTGACACAGGTGAGCTCCAGCCACCGCTCTGGCTTCACCTGCGCCCACTGTACAGGGGCAGCCGGTCCAGCGAGCAGGTGAGTATTTGCTCAGGTGGTGCAAACCTGCCGCTCCTGTCTCATGTGGGGCTCCTGCCGAAGTGCAAATTCTGAGCTCCTGCTCTGAAGTGTCCGAATTGGAAGCTGTGGGGTGGGATGGAGGAATCTGCATTTTTACAGCTGTTTTAAACAATGTGTGCAGAGAGGGCAGAAGATTGTGAAATTAATGGAAACAAGGTCTTCCCTCATCCCTCTATCTGTCAGCCCGGGTGATGCCTAGTCCCGGGCCCGGTGCTGAGTTTGGGCCAATAAATGCTTGTACTCTTGGCCTGGCACGATGGCTCCCACCTGTAATCCCAGCACTTTGGGAAGTCGAGATGGGAGGATCGCTGGAGACCGGAAGTTCAAGACCAGCCTGAGCAACACAGCAAGATCCCAAATCCACGAAAAGTTGTTTAAAAATTAAAATAAAATAAATGCGTTTACTCTTGGCCCCATGCGGAACGCCGGCGTAGAAGCGGCCCGGAACCCCACCCCCGGCTCTTGATTAGGGCCGTTTGCGGCGGGCGCCGGGGACAGGTGAAGGGACACCAAAGCTGGCGCCCGCGGCAGGAGATCCTGACAGCGCCAGGTGCACGCCCACGGGCGGGGCGGGGCCGGGGTGGGGGCGGGGCCTGTCCGCGGGCCGGGGCGGGGCCGGCGCGCAGCCTCCCTCGGCCTTGCCAATCCGCGGGCTCTTCGCGAGCGCGGTCTCCGCCCCCCCGCCCGCAGACAGCGCCTATAGGCTGTCTACCGCCTTCCTATAGGCTGGCGCAGGCCGTCTTCCGGCCGGGGCGGGCTCTCGCCGTGGCGGGAAAACGGCGGCCGCGGCGTCTCCTCCGGGACGCTGAGGGGCCCGAGGAGACCGTGAGGCTCTGGCCTGCAGCTCGCGCCGCCATGGACGCTGCCGAGGTCGAATTCCTCGCCGAGAAGGAGCTGGTTACCATTATCCCCAACTTCAGTCTGGACAAGATCTACCTCATCGGGGTGAGGCCTGGGCCCGCCGTGGGGAGGGGAGGCCGGGCTGGGCGCGTCCGGGGCTCCCGCGTGGCCTTCAGCCCCGGGGTCGCGGGCTCGCCCTGCTCCCGCATCTGCGGAGGCCACCACTCGGCGCTTGACTCGCTCACCGCCGTTCCCGCTTCTCGGATGAGGAAAGCGAGACTGCGCTCTTTGCCAGTGCCCCGAACGCCCGGGTTTACAGGGTTTTTTTGATCTGTTTGGGGGCTTTTTTGGTTTGTTTTTTGGTTTTTGAGGTGGAGTGTCACTCTGTCGCCCAGGCTGGAGTGCAGTGGTGCCGTCTCGGCTCACTGCAGCCTCCGCCTCCCGGGTTCAAGCGATTCTCCTGCCTCAGCCTCCTGAGTAGCTGCTGTTACAGGTGCCCGCCACCACGCCCGGCGCATTTTTGTATTTTTGGTAGAGATGTGGTTTCACCGTGTTGGCCAGGCTGGTCTCGAACTCCTGACCTCATGAGCCACTCGCCTCGGCCTCCCAAAGTGCTGGGATGACAGGCGGGAGCCACTGCGCCCGGCTTATTTATTTGGTAGAGATGCGGCTGGCCTCGAACTCCTGGGCTCCCCAGGCGATCCTCCCACGTCGGCCTCCCAAAGGGCTGGGATTATGGGCAAAAGTCGGCTTTGCCTCTGTTTGTTTTTGTCTTTATCTTTGAGATGGAGTTTCGCTCTATCGCCCGGGCGGGAATGCAGTGGCGCGATCTCGGCTCACTGCGGCCTCCGCCTCCCGGGTTCAGGTGATTCTCCTGCCTCAGCCTCCCGAGTAGCTGGATTGTGAGCCCCCGCGCCCGCCCGGCTTTGCGTTTTCAGTATGAGGGAGGCGCCTCGGCGCTGGGAGTCCTGGAGAAGGAGGGCAGGCTCTGTACCTGCCCAGACCCACCTCCCCGCACCCCAGGACCCCAACATTGGGTGTGTGAAACCTGTTCCGGAGTTGGAGGGTGCAGGCGGGAGAGGGAGCGCCCCCCACCCACTCAGGGGAGACTTGCATCCTGTCCGCGGAAAGGCCAGAAGGACTGAGCCCCACGCTCGCAGGTGTCTCGGAGCCGCTCAGGAGGCGCTTTGTTCTGAGTCTGGTAACAGTTGGGTTTTTATTATTTGCATTTGGACTTCAGCCTCTGCAATGCCTTGCCTCTTATTTGATAGCAGTAACGCACAGTAATGCTTTTTTTGTTCTTTTTCAATCTTACGGGGAATTGTTTTACTTTTGGCAGGGGGACCTGGGGCCTTTTAACCCTGGTTTACCCGTGGAAGTGCCCCTGTGGCTGGCGATTAACCTGAAACAAAGACAGAAATGTCGCCTGCTCCCTCCAGAGTGGATGGATGTAGGTAAGGATGTGGTGGAGACTGGTTGATGCGTGGGTGGGGCTGGGCTTGGGGTGACGCCCTCTCCCACGGGGTGGAGGCATGGGGCCTCCTTCCTGACTAGGTCCGTGCTCCCTCTGTTCCGTTATCTACTGATCAGCTGAAAGGAATACTTCCAGATTCACCTCTCAGCAGAGTCTGCTAACCACTGTTAGTAATGTCATGTTAGGTTTTGGTGTGTGTGAAAGTTGTAGTTTGTTTTTTGAGACGGGTCTGACTCCATCACCCAGGCTGGAGAGCAGTGGTGCAATCTCGGCTCAATGCAGCCTTCACCTCCTGGGTTCAAGTGATCCTCCTGCCTCAGCCTCCCAAGTAGCTGGGACCACTGGCGTGCGCCACCACACCCTGCAAATTTTTGCGTTTTTGTAGAGATGGGGTCTTGCCATGCTGCCCAGGCTGGTCTCAAACTCCTGGGGTCAAGCGATCTGGCCACCTTGGCAGATCTGCTGGGATTATAGGCGTGAGCCACTGTGCCCAGCCTATATTTTAATGTAAGATATTTCAATTTGCTTTAAAATAAATATATGACCTTAAATAAGCATTTGTTTTAAAATTTTAAAAATAAGTATAGATTAGCATGTTGAGAAGCAGTTATAGAGAATGCATGAAAATAATATATCACAATAAGGTTGAATATTATTCAGCTATAAAAAGGAATGGAATTCTGATACATGCTACTGCGTGGATGAACCTGAAACATCTTAAAGATCTTGCTGAATGAAAGAAACCAGGCACAAAAGGCCGCACACTGTATCATTCCATTTCTATCAACTGTCTAGAATAGGCAAATCAATAGAGACAATGTAGATTAGTAGTTGCTTAAGTATGGGGGTCTTGCTTTGGGTGATGGAGGGATTGTGGAGTTTCTTTTTGGCATGATGAAAATTGGGATTGATGGAGGTAATGGTTGCCCAAGTCTGAATATACTAAACACCATTGACTTGTACACTTTGTTTTTAATAGCCCACAAGTGCTACTAAAACTTGTATACTTTTTTTTTTTTTTTGAGACAGAGTCTCGCTCTGTCGCCCAGGCTGGAGTGCAGTGGTGCGATCTCGGCTCACTGCAAGCTCCACCTCCTGGGTTCACACCATTCTCCCGCGTCAGCCTCCCAAGTAGCTGGGACTACAGGCGCCCGCTACCACGCTCGGCTAATTTTGTTTTTGTATTTTTAGTAGAGACTGGGTTTCACCGTGTTAGCCAGGTTGGTCTCAATCTCCTGACCTCGTGATCCACCCACCTCAAAACTTGTATACTTTAAATGGCTGAATTGTATGATATATTAATTATGCTTCAATAAAGCTGCTAGAAAAAACTGAAACAAATCAAAGATGCAGACAGGCTTTATTCTGAGCCTTTGAAATCTTTTTCTTCTCTTGGAGATATGAGTAGCTTATTATAGGGAAAAAAAATCTTAATTTTTTTGTGTGTGTTGGTGAGGAGAGGGGTATGGTCATACATATAGAATTTGAAAAGACCCTGAGTGATTTTTTTTTTTTCTTTTTATGGAGATGGGGTCTCAGCCGTGAGTGATTTTGACTGCCCCCTCCTTACTGGGACTTATTGGGGGTACCTACCTCCTAGAAGCAAGAGCTCATTGAGCCAGCCACTCTGGGGTCCGTTTAAGACAGACTGCTTAGTGTCTTCCCCTTGCTCCCTGTCCTAAAGTGGCAAGTGACTCAGGTAGTCCTGAAACATAATGGGAAACCCCAGTTCCTCTGCTTTGAGACGGTTTTTTTTTTTTTTTTTTTTTGAGAAAGGGTCTTGCTCTGTCACCCAGGCTGGGCTATAGTGATGCAATCATAGCTCACTGCAGCCTTGACTTCCCAGCCTCAAGTCATCCTCCTGCTTCAGCTTCCGGAGTAGCTGAGACTACAGGTGTGCACCATCATGCCTGACTAATTTTTTGATTTTTTTTTTTTAGTGGAGATGGGGGTCTTGCTATGTTGCCCAGGCTGGTGTCAAACTTCTGGGCTCCAGTGATCCTCTCAGAGTGCTGGGATTACAGATGTGAGCTGTTGCCCCTGGCCGGAAGGCTTTTGTAGAGGAGAGGCTCACCAGGCCTGGCTCCATTAATGCAGCATCCTCTCCAGGCCCCTTGTTTAAAATCAGTGTCTGGCACTTTTGTCCCATCTAGACCCCAGGTGATAACATGGCAAGGGCCTGTTTTATCGCAGGCTAGAGTCAGAAGGTGTGGAGAGTTCCCCTTGAACTTTTTACCTGGGCTGGAGCCATATTGTGGGAACAGTGAGGCACCATTAACCTGTCTATAGACCCTACCCAACAGCCTGCTGCCTCCTGACTTCTGCACCACAGATAAGTTCTGCCTGTTCTGGGCCAGGCGCGGTGGCTCATGCCTGTAATCCCAGCACTTTGGGAGGCCGAGATGGGTGGATCACCTGAGGTCAGGAGTTCAAGACCAGCCTGGCCAACATGGTGAAACCCTGTCTCTACTAAAAAATACAAAAATTAGCTGGGTGTTTGGTGGGCGCCTGTAATCCCAGCTACTTGGGAGGCTGAGGCAGGGAGAATTGCTTGAATCCAGGAGGTGGAAGTTGCAGTGAGCTGAGATCGCGCCACTGTACTCCAGCCTGGGAGATACAGCGAGACTCCATCTCAGGAAAACAAATCCAGTTCTGCCTGTTCTGGGACTTCATGTAAATGGAATAATCTAGTATGTCATTTTTTGTTTCTGATTTCTCTTATCCAACACTGTTTTTGAGATTTACCTGTTTACGTTCTCAACACCGGGACACAGAGCTCAGCTCCCAACCCCTTTCTCCACTACTGAAACTCATATTCACACCACCTGGCTATGTTCTTTCATTGCTGGGTACTCTCCATACTACATATTTGTTCACCGATTCTTCTGTTGGTAGATATTTGGGATTCCCCTTTTTGGCTTTAACAAAAAATTTAGAGACAGGGATTTCTCTGTTGCCCAGGCTGAATTGCAGTGGTTATTCAAAGGTGTGATCATAGTGAATTGCAGCCTCCAACTCCTGGGCTCGAGTGATCCTCCCATCTCAGCCTCCCTAGTAGCTGGGACTACAGGTGTGCATCAATGTGCCCAGCTCATTTTTGGCTTTTGAGACAGTCTCTCGCTCTGATGTCCAGGCTGGAGTGCAGTGGCGTGATCATGGCTCACTGCAACCTCCACCTCCTGGGCTCAAGCGATCCTCCCACTTCTGCTTCTTGAGTAACTGGGAATACAGGTGTATACCATCACATTCAGCTAATTTTTATAGAGACAGGGTTTCACTTTGTTGCTCAGACTGGTTTTGAACTCCGGGGCTTCCACCTCGGTCTCCCAAAGTGCTGGGATTACAAGTGTGAGCCACTGTGCCTGGCTCATTTTTGGCTATTCTTAATAAGGCTTTTGTGAATATTCTTGTCCACGTCTTTTCATGGATATGTTTCTTTTTCCCTTGGGTAAATAAATACCTAGAATGATGGACTTGCTGGATCTCAGGGATAATGCTTAACTTTGTAAGAAACGGCCACCTGGTCCTTCAAAGCAGCTGAGCCTTTATCCTACAAGAAATATGAGTTCCCATTGTTCCATGTCCTGGCCAAAAATTTTGACTGTAGCTTTTTTATTTGCTAGAAAGTTGGACCAGAGGTGTTTCATAAGCTGATTCAGATGTTAATGAAAGGATCACTCTGCTGTGTAGAGAAGGTTGGTGCAATAGGAGCAGGGAATGAATCCAGGCAAGCACTGAGAGTGGCCTCTGGCTGATGGAGGTGGGAGATGTGGTAGGTGTCTAGGTGTGTTTTGAAGGAAGCAGCAGCAGGATTGGCTGAAGGACTGGCCATGGGGTGTGAGGGAGAAGAGTGAAAGCTGACAGCCAGGCTCTTGGCTGGAGGCCCAGGAGAGGGAGTTGCTGTCTCCTGAGGTGGGAGGCTGCAGGAGCAGGCTGTGGGCTGCAGTGGGTATCAGGAGTTGGGGGTTTGAACTGTTGTGCTTTCTGGATATCCAGGAGGAAGTTACAGCAGCAATGAGGTTATTGAGTTAGGAGTTAGAGCTCAGGGGCTGATGGGGGTATAAATTTGGAGGTCTTTCTGAGCATGTGGGTAGCATTTGGACGAGGTGGTGTGGATATGAGTTTAGGTAGTGAAGAAAGGGGTTGGGAGCTGAGCTCTTTGTCCCAGTGTCGAGAGGTCAGGAGGAATTGCCAGGAGACAAAAAGGGGAGCCTAGTGAGTTCATAAGCAAGCTCAGAGGGGTGTTCACGGAGGGCCTTCTTTTTAAGGCTATATCTATTAGTGTGTTTGGGAGGATCAAGCAAGGAGGGGACAGTGATCATTTAAGAGCATGAGAGCTGCTGGAGTGCCTTACTGTGCAGGTGAGAGGAGGGTCCAGGACACCTGGAAGGCTGGTCCTCGAGTGGGTAGGAGCTACACAGGGAGTTTGGGGGATGGGGTGGTGTGTGGGTCACACTCAGCTGGGTGTCAGGTGAGAGGTGGGTGGTGGGTTGAGGCGGTGCTGGCGGCAGTGAAGAGAGGGTGAGTAGACCAAGGAATTGGGCCAGGATTGCAGGACGGCACCAAGGGCCCTGGGGATGGGTAGTTGGCCGTTTACAATGGGACCCTGCAGCGTAGCTGTGCTCCGTGCTTGTCCCTTAGCTATAGTACACAGTCTGCTCCCAGGACAGGTTTCTCTGTAGAGGGGGAGGGCTGAGGGAGCTGGAGCATGTGTGAGAACAGTGCTGATGCTGGTGGAATTGGATACAGCTGTTTGATTCTAGACGCTGGGCTTTCACCCCTCTAGGATGTCATGCCTCCTCCCGGCTGGGGTGGCTTAGCCCTCTAGGATATTGTATCGTGCCCAGGCTGGGGTGGCTTAACCCCTAGGATATTGTATCGCGCCCAGGCCAGGGTGGCTTAACCCCCCTAGGATATTGTATCACGCCCAGGCTGGGGTGGCTTAGCCCCTAGGATATTGTATCACGCCCAGGCTGGGGTGGCTTAACCCCCCTAGGATATTGTATCGCGCCCAGGCTGGGGTGGCTCTAGTTTTGTAAGTTGTCTTGCTCCCTTCTGAACAAGGCTTAGTATAAATAAATTTAAGTCACTGACTAGTTTGATCACTTATTGCATCAAAGGTCTAATACTGACCAGGTGACTCACTCCTATAATCCCAGCACTTCGAGAAGCTGAGGCAGGGCGATCACTTGAGCACAGGAGTTTGAGACCAGCCTGGGCAACATAGTGAGACCTTGTCTCTACAAAAAATAAATGGTGGCATGTGCCTGTGATCTCAGCTACTCCTTGGGAGGCTGAGGCGGGAGGATTGCTTGAGCCCAGGAGGTTGAAGCTGCAGTGAGCTGTGATGGTGCCACTGCACTCCAGTCTGGGCATGAGAGAGACCCTCTCAAAAAAAAAAAAAAAAAAAAAAAAAAAGGCGGTAAAGGTAAATCACTTTGCTGTTTCCCTAAAAAAGAAAAAAAACAAAAGCAAAACACAACAAACATCAAACTTTTGACTCTAACATTGTTTTTAGGAATATCTTCTGCAGGCTAAAGCAGCGACAAAAATTTACCTTTCTTTTGGAGAGAAAGTTTCAAGGAGGAGGCCTCAAATCATCTAGATAATGATACAAATGTCATCCCAAAATGTTTTTTCATGTATTTGCTAGTTGATAATGTATTTGCCAGATAATATAGGCACTTGGTAAATTTGGAAGGTTTAATAAATATCTTGGTTATAATGATGGTAAAATGTATTAACTTCTAAATTTCAGAAAAGTTGGAGAAGATGAGGGATCATGAACGAAAGGAAGAAACTTTTACCCCAATGCCCAGCCCTTACTACATGGAACTTACGAAGCTCCTGTTAAATCAGTAAGTAGATCTCACCTCTTAGAGGCCACACCCAAGACTGGACTCGCCATGCCCTTCCCCTAACCCTCGTCCTTCCTCTCCGCTTCCCTGCTTATTGCCTCAGTAAGTGGCAACACTGGCCGCCCTGTTTCTCAGGTCAGTGACCATGAGGTCATCTGTGTACACACACCTGCCAGGTGCACTCTGTCTGTCTCTGTGTGTCTTTCTGTCTGTTCTTTGCCTTTCTCTGTCTCTCATTTTTCCTTTTCTCCACTTCCCGGTGAAGCCCTTGGCTCTTTTTGTTCTGCCTCACATCACTCGACATTGGACCCCAGTGTGAGCCACCAGCATCTCACAGAATCGGCAGTAGCCATTCTTTGCCATGTATGTGTTTTATTTAGCACAGCTTTACTCCTGTTTCTCCTTGGAGTAGGTGGATTTGAGTTTTTTTGTGTCTTTCGCAGGAAAGGCCAGAGGGCTTACATTTGCCTCTGTCCTTGGGTTACAGGAAAGCCCACTTCCTGGCAAAATCATGCTGTAGTAACTCCGTAGCTTGTTTGCCTTCATCCATACTGGCTCCGCTCAGCTTTCCATTCATTCTTCACATCTCAGCCAGAGGGGCCTTTGAAAGGCAGAACTGCCATGTGACTCCCTGCTTAAAATCCTGTCTTCCCTCTCGTCTACCTGAGCGTGGTGTTCAAGCAGTGTACAGCCTAGTGCGTGCTCCTCCTCCCTCTTTCACCCTCTCTACAGCTCTTTTCTCTGCTTCTGGAGGGCTCAGGCTCACACTGGCCCCTGTCACTTCTTCAAGCATTCTGACTTTGCATATACTGTTCTCTGCCCTGTAAGTCTGTCCTTTCCCTGCCCCTGCTCACCTCTGCTGGTTAGCATAACATGTCTCTTCTGGGTTCAGCACACATGTACTCTTGGCAGCTCTACACATTGCTATGGCATTTGCCAGTTGTAATTTTCTTGTTTGCCTGGCTGTGCCATCACATGTACCCATTCTAAATGGGCAGGGGCTGGGTCTCGTATGCATATGTCCCCAGTGAGATGCCTGCGGCTCATGTTTGTTGAGTGAAAGTGAAACTAGTGAAGAAGGCAGACAAGGGTGGATAATTTTGCTTGGGAGATACTTAGAATGTCATTTGTACAATTTCAAGCTTCTGAAGCTCCCCGGGTATCCTTTAACTGGGTTCAAGAGCAGAACTAGAATAAAAAATTGTGACACTAGTACTACTGCATGCTGCAGAGCAGCAGGAAGGGCTGGGAGCCCACTGAATGGCGCTGCTGAATTTAAAGGAAAAGTTGGGGACACAACATGGGCTTGTGCTTAGGCTGAGATGAGGCTGCAGTCAGCCCATGAATTTCATAAAAAGCTGAGAAGCAGCAATGCACCAAGCATTCCACTCGGCAGTGGCGTTTGTCCCATAGGCCTGCTTCCTGGTGTGGTGCGGGAGAGATGTGGGCCTGGGAGCCTATAGTGAATCTTCAGTGTGACCAATGCTCTTGACAGTCCATCAGAGCGCAGTAAGGCCAGGTGGTGCCAGAGAGGGCTCACAGAGGTTTGCTGGGAGTGCAGACTTGTAGGAGGTGGACGGTAGGGGAGAGGGCAGTGAGGCAGGAACTGATATGCTCAGGCAGAGTGTGAAGGACCTGGTGTAGCCGGGCAAGCAGAGATATTTGAGGATGTGTAGTACATTCATGGGAGCAGAGGAATGGAGGCATAGGTTCTGCTGCAGTGGCCAGCCCCTGGGAGGGGCATGTGGCCTCAGAGGGACCTGAGAGAGACTGTAGTGGTGGTGGGGATGGTAGCTGGAAGGGAGAGGATCTATAAACAGGCTAGGTAAGAATTTGGCATTAGCTAGGTGAGGGGGCCTATCCATTTTTTGTTTTTGAAGTTCAATATATTATGGATGTAGTTTTTATCAAAAACCTTGTTTTATAATTCATTCGGTTAAGGGACTTAATTTTACGTTTGTTCTATAGTTCAGCTGACGAGGAGTTGGGGTCCTTTGTCCTTTAACCTGCTGTTGAGAGCACAAGATCTAAATGTTTGGGTTTATAAATAAAACTCACTACATAAATTTTGTACCAGTGGTTTGCCACTTACTCATCAGGAATTAATTGTAGCATATGGAGAGAATGTCTAGCGTAACCTGTAATGCCTAGTGACGAACAATATTTGCTTCTGCTTTTATCGTGTAGTTTTTCTTCAAAGGTTAGTTTAAAATACTTCACAACGGGAGCCTCGACTTTGTGAAAGCCTTCCTTCATCCCTTGCTGGCTTTGAGCTTCTAGCCAGAATTTTGCTATGTGTAGGTGTGCTCACTGTATACTAATTTGCAGTTTCTTCTGTGATTTTTGAAACTTGTTTTTGTCTTCTCTGAAGAGCAGGAGAGTCCCTTCCCTTCAGGGCTTTTGTGAGGATAGAAATGCCAGGTAAAGTGCTGAGCCCAGTACCTGGCATGGAGTTGGCGTTTTCCTTCTCTAGGCTGTGAGCCCTGGATTCCTGGTGGGGAATAGGGAGATCTGCTCAACACTCTGTAAATGAGGAGCAATAGAACTCGACCTTTGAGCCAGCCCTCGAAACTGATTCCTTGTAGATGGAGGTTAGGCAGCACGGAATGCTGTTATCCTGAGACAGAGGCTTCTGACTTAGAGCTGATTCTCTACTAATTTTCTTAGGTAAACAGCAGTCCTGTTCAGCAGCCTGCCATGGGATAGTTAATGTGAGCAAAAGAAACTCCATGTGGATCACTGCCGCACCAAGCTTAACTGCTACAAATCTTTACACCCTAAAGTTGAAAATAAAGCAAAACAGACTTTCTGAGTCTGGAATAGCCACGGTATTTTGCCTGAAAAGAGCCACTCTATCCAGCATTGCCTCAGGTTATCAAGTGTTCCCCGACTGACTTTAGCCCTTGCTCCTTTAGTGCTTCAGACAACATCCCGAAGGCAGACGAAATCCGGACCCTGGTCAAGGATATGTGGGACACTCGTATAGCCAAACTCCGAGTGTCTGCTGACAGCTTTGTGAGACAGCAGGAGGCACATGCCAAGGTAGGTGCCGCCTTGCCTGGGTGCTGGTGGCCTTGATGCCGCATAATTTCACATGGCTCCCGTCTGCTGAGGCTATTACAGGCAGGCATTACTAGCTGTGCTTTTCAACAGTTCATTGGTTTCTTATTTTTATTCAGTAGAGTTTACCTTTTTCTCAAAATCAAAAACTCCTTGGCCAACTTGGTCTGTTTTCTTGCTTTAGCTGGATAACTTGACCTTGATGGAGATCAACACCAGCGGGACTTTCCTCACACAAGCGCTCAACCACATGTACAAACTCCGCACGAACCTCCAGCCTCTGGAGAGTACTCAGTCTCAGGACTTCTAGAGAAAGGCCTGGTGCAGGCGGCTTGCTGGGGGATGTGAGCGCTCAGGACGTGATGAGGTACTCGTGGTTCTGGAGCTCTAGAAACACTTCTGATGCATGAAAAATGTGTGATGGTGCAAGGAATGGATTCAGGATGTTGTTGGAGAAACAAGTTTGTGATTAGTCCTTAAAACTTAGCTCCCTGGGACATTCTTCAATTCCACATCTGTTTCTAGAAACCAGCCCTTTTTCCCCCCACTTTTGAGAAATAAAAAAGCCTTAGGTAAATAAGTCATTCTCCCTAGCAGAGCCACTTGGGTCTCCTGCATGGAAGCCATCACACTTGGGCAGGTGTTCAGTGACTGGTAGGTGTAGATACAGCAGGAGTGGCCATGTGGTCCACGGCTTTTTACCCCTTCTTGATCCTGATTTCTTGGGCTGAATTTAGACTCTCTCACAGAGGTGGCTCACAGAGAAGGATGGCAGATGGTGCAGCCAACAATGCTGACCGGTGCTTATCCTCTAAGCCCTGATCCACAATAAAAATGGACCCAACTCAGCTCTGACTCTCTAGGTTTTTGTGCTGCGTAACTACCAAGTAAAAGGACTGAGCCTGTGGCTGAGATGACTCAGTCAACGAAACTGAGGCACACGGCAGTTAAGTGGAAACTGCAGACCAACACCTGGGGTGTCTCCTTCTCTTGGCTACTTCTAGCTCAGGTTTAATGGGTTGCTTATCAAGAGGAGAGTCAGGAAAAAAACGAATCCAATGTATTGAGCATGAGTGACAATGTATTGAGCATGAGTGACAATGCTAGAAGAAAAGTCACTTTCAGTGCTGCTCTTGATGGATTTGGGGAAGGATTCTTTGTTGTAGGTAACAGTGGGCTCAGGGGAAATTATTTTTTTCCTAAGAGAAAATTACTTTATTCGTAGCATTTTGGAAATGTTAGGACCTTTACAGAAATTACATTACCTTGAGAGGTGAAATGATCGTCCAGCATCATGCAATGGATAGAAGGTTCTGTAATCAGCTTTAAAAAAAACTTTAATTTTTGGCCGGGCACATTGGCTTGGCTCATGCATGTAATCCCAGCACTTTGGGAGGCCAAGGCAGGTGGATCACAAGGCCAGGAGATTGAGACTATCCTGGCTAACATGGTGAAACCCCGTCTCTATTAAAAATACAAAAAAAAAAAAATTTGCCAGGTGTGGTGGCACACGCCTATAGTCGCAGCTACTCGGGAGGCTGAGGCAGGAGAATCGCTTGAACCCGAGAGGCGGAGGTTGTAGTGAGCCAAGATTGCACCACTGTACTCCTGCCTGGGCAACGAGAGCAAGACTCTGTCTCAAACAAAAAAAATTTTAACTTTTTTTTTAGACAGGGTCTCGTTCTGTCATCCAGGCTGCAGTAGAGTGGCGTGATTATAGCTCACTGCAGCCTCGAACTCCTGGGTTCACACAGTTCTCCCACCACAGCCTCCCAAAGCACTGGGATTGCAAGCATGAGCCGCCATGCCTGGCCAGCCTATTTTTGGCTGGACACCAGTGGGCCAAAAGCAGTGGGGTGCTGTCTGGGGAGCTCTGAGAATGCGCATGTGTGACAGGCTGAGCCTAAAGACTTATCACCCAGCATCTGCCCTCCAGTGTCTAGCATGCTGCACACTATCACTCCATGTTGCTGCCCACGTGTCCCCGCCAGGCAGGTTTTGGTGGTTATTTGGACACTGAAGGGTCAGACCTGGAAGACTGGGACCAAAAGATGAGGTCTCCATAATTTAAGGTGCTGTTCAGACTTGGTTCAGCTCATAGGACTTGTTCTTTCATCTCAGCCTTCCTTGGAATCCTCCTGCTTTCATCTGGGGATCTTTTAGAATGAAACCACTTGTTATTGTGGAGGGCAAGGGGTCCTAATGCCCTCCTCTTAGAGCCTGAGCCAGTGGAGGCAGCTCCGTCTGCGGAGATGTATAGTTATTGAGCTTTTCTTTGTTTGGCTTTGTTTTATATCATAAAAAAGATTTTCCTCTTAACATAATTTAGGAAGATTTTATTTTTTGGATGTTGTCAGAAATTACAGCAATATATTCATAAATACCTAATTACTACATTCAACAAATAATATTACAATACAATTAATTCAAACAAGTACACTTAGAACAGGTTTAATTTCACAGCATCTAAACTGCCCCCAGAGTGACCGAGGCACCGGTGTTCCTCCCTCCCACCTGCGTATGGGGTTTACTGTTATAGAATTAAGCACAGGGTACATACAAAATAACACCAGTTAGCATGGTCTTCCTCAGGTCAAGGCAGAGTTAAGGAGTTTTTTAGGTTAAGCACTGGATGGAAAAGTTGGGGACAGGCTACTGCAAGTAGTAAGAAAGTCAACAGCTTGGTTACTTGAAAGAATATAGAGATTGCTAAGTGGCTAATATACACTTTAAAGAGGAACAGAATCGGTTTGTGCTGACCATCTCCATCTTGTGGTGGATCCCTGGCATTTTCTACACTTGTGTGAAACATGTGGCTCAGGGAAAGGGGTAGGATCTGGTGTGAAATTCAGCTTAACTTTTGAGATTTGGCAGTATTATGAGCTACTTGAGGAAAATACCATTCTGCTACAAACTGCAGATTCCCTGTGTTAGAATCCTTCACTGCTGAAGGTGTGGGCTCCTTTTGATGCTCTCTGAATACTCTTAAGGGTGCAACCTATCAGAATGTTAGTCCCAATTCAGTGCTTTATTCCTTTAAGATTAGAATGTAGACTAAAATGTGGAAAGTCCCGTCTTGGTCACTTATCTGAGACAACAGATTAGGAACATGATATTTTATCATGTCAGTCTGACTCTGACTATATGAAGCAAAAATAACTTGTTTCAGTGAGGAACCAGATAATTTACTATTGGAAGGTATCCCTCTGCAGAGGGACAGATGGCAGCTCCCTTCCAGGTAATGTAGGAAGATGGTCTAAGGACCGAGCCGAGGGCTTTCAGGTGCATCCTGACACACAGGTGGCATAATCGACTCCAGAGCAGATTTGAGGTACTCAGTGTGAAGTAGCTGAACAAAAAACTTAAGAGATTGCATGTCAATTTTTAAGCCCAATTGAAAACAGATTTAGGTGCTACTGTGTTCTTTGAGAATAATCTGAAAGTAAGTTTTCAAAGTATGAAACTAATAGTTGGATGGGGAAACCATGACTGGGTACTGTGTCTTGGGTGGTGTGCTTTCGTTTTTGAGACAGTTCTTACCTTTTTCTTAGTTTATTCGTGTTGCCTTACTGGTTTGTATTCTGATTGTCGTATTACTTCTTGAGCAAGAGTAGAGTACTCAGATCGCCACAAGTAGGTGGAAGGATGGGGAGACAGTGGGCAAGAAGCTCAAGGGCCGGGCAGAAGTGGGGTTTCCACTGACAGGGGAGAAGCCAACTATTGCTAGCACAGTGACACTGCTCCCACCCTGGGCAGACCTCTCATGGTGTGCCACCTGTCCCCTGTGCTGTCATAGAAAATCCAACCAAGGGAGTGCCCCTTGGATGGTAAGGGATGAGCTACGTTTTTAAGTTATCGGATCTACTTTTCCCTTTTACTTTAGCCAAGGCCATTTCCAAAAGCATCCAGACATCTGTGATGGAGGAGGAGGCCTGAGAGCGGAAGTGCTAAGATGTGACTCTTAAGCCTTCAGACCAGAAACCTCAAGTAGGTTTTCAGTGGAGAAATCCAGTGAGATTTTGCCCTGATAGTTTGTAGCAGACTCCCTCTGAACACCTGTGGAACATGCTGACCTCCCAGTGTCTTTCGAGGGGAGGCCTGCAGCACAGCCCCTCGAGTTCTCTTCCAGCTGCTTCTGTGGAGAGGAAGGTGCTTGTTGACTGCTGATAATACTGGCGGTACATTCGTCTGAGTTTGCTAATAACTGGAAGATTCTTGGCAGACGTACAAAGCAAACTGTGCGGGGGCAGATAAAGCGACACGATGCCAGCTGCCAGCAAGCTGTTCTGCGCAGCAAGGGCTAGGGCCAAGGGCTCGGCTGCTGGTCACAGCAGTGAGCAGCCGGCACACAGGTCAGGCACCCTGCCCTCAGCTCAGGCCTCCACCCCCCAGACCAGTGACTGGCAGCCCTGGCCTCTGGTGAGGGCCCTTGGGAGCAAGAGAGGCCTTCTTGATCTAAACACTGCCTCCATAGGCAGTAACTAGGACAAGGAGGAAGACTCGCCCGTTGCTTTGCCTTGGTGTGATGAGCCCAGTTTCTGACCGTTCCTGTGCTTGTCACAGTAAGTTCAAAAAGGAGGGGTTCAGCTCAGACCTTGTGGCTTTTACAAAGCTTTGCGTTTAAACAAAGCCTCTGAAGTTCCTATTCTGTACCTGCTCTCAGACACCTTAGAATTATATCAATCACAGAAATCATTGACTTCCTGAAAGGTTTTTAAAAGCCCCCGCCCATGTGTGCACATGACTGTCACACATGGGTTCTACAGACTACCCCCTCCTCCCTTGATAGCAATGGGTAATATTTGCTATTAGCTTGTCCAGATGCTGGGGGCAGGCAGGGGGAGTGGAGGAGGTAAGCAGTAGCGCATGGCTTTCTACGGCAGCTTCTGGTGCAACTCAAACTAAAAATGAAGTGATCGCATAGGCGCCAGTGGTAAGCTCTTTTACTTTTCTTCTTCTTTAATTTTTAAAAACACTTCAATATTTTAATGTCCTGACCAGCAGCAGTACAAACACTAAAAGCAAGGTTTTTTTTTTTTTTTTGCCCAAAAAAAACCAAAACAACAAACAAAACCCCCAAACAGGAAAAACAAACAAAAATCCCCCAAACCACATATTAAAAATGGCAGGCTTTTTATAACAATAGTTAAAGTAATAAAAACATACAAAACTTTGTTTTTTTTTTAATATATATACACAGTACAAGGCTGAAGCACCTTTGACTTTTCTCTCAAAATTTACGTCTGTATGAAAACCCAACCCACTGTAGTAACAATCTGGTGGGTGTGAAGCTGTGTATACACAGAGCTCTGTACATGCTCCCCACGGAGTAATAAAAAGCTACCTTCAGTTTGTGAATTGGTTTTATCTTTAGGTAAGAAAGAGCTTTTCCAGGGAAAAGCCTTTGGGTTGCTTTGTGTGCTCCTAGGACTTGTTGCTTTGAAGAAAATTTTGCAGGAAAGTAAAATGAAACAAATAAGCCCTTTTTACTGACAATGCACCCAACCTTTTCAGCTGAAGCAAGTTTCACTCCTGGGGAGGAATGAGACTGGCCCCATCGCTGCGGCAAAAGCAAACTGGGCTTGAGGCATAGTAACATGGCAACACAAGAAAGAACAGAACCGGTTTGATCCACTCATATGCACAGGGGGCTGTTAATGATCAAGTTTTAGTGTTGCTAATGGAGCCTTCATGTTCAGATTAAGAAATAATGTGGGAGAGGAAGGGCGAAAACCACCTTTAAAAAGAAAAACTGTGGGCAATCCTACATTGGTTGCTCGCTGAATGACAACGGTGATTCAATTGCATTGACGTCAAGGTGAGTTCATTCATTTTTTCTGGAGCCTGGAATCCTTTGCTTCATGCATGGCACATTCTCATTTTGTAAGCTTCAAACCTCCCAGTGAAAAATATTAAATATTCAAGGTAATAAAATAGATAATATTTCTATACTATAGGTTCGGCCTAGTGCAAGGGAAACCGTCACCTGGGATATCCCTTCAGGTAGCCCCTAGGCCAGTGCATTGCAGGCAAGGCAAGGCACTTTCGTAAGTGGTCCAGTTCTGCCTGGAGCCGCTCCCTTTCTGAGACCATCTTCTGTTTCTGGCTCCTCAACTCCTGGAGAGAGGGAAATTTGTGTCAAAACCAACCCGTTTCCTCTGTAAGGACAAGCATGTAGAGTACAAACATGCTGGATGGAAGGGTAAACCTACATTTGAAAATGTCCCGGCCGGGCGTGGTGGCTCACGCCTGTAATCCCAGCACTTTTGGAGGTCGAGGCGGGCAGATCACCTGTCGTCAGGAGTTCGAGACCAGCCTGGCCAACATGGGGAAACCCCATCTACTAAACAAAAAAATTAGCCAGGCATGGTGTCGTATACCTGTAATCCTAGCTACTCGGGAGGCTGAGGCAGGAGAATCGCTTGAACCCAGGAGGCGGAGGTTGCAGTGAGCCGAGACTGCGCCACTGCATTCCAGCTTGGGTGACAGAGTGAGACTTCGCCTCAAAAAGAGAAACAAAGTCCACTTCTCAGCCTGTGTTCTGTCCCTGGCTCTTCCAGAGTCTTAAGAATCGGCATCTGCTGCTGTCTTGGCTCAAACTCGGAGTTCTTGGAACCCCCAGATGTAAAAACTTTGGGAGTGATCTGAGACCTGCTTCCCATCCCTGCCCCCCAAGGACATCTGCTGAACCAATCCTGCTAGTGTGGCTGTGAGCCACGTGAGATGGTTTCAGTTGCTTCAGCTTCCCTTCTCTAATAAAACCCTGCTGCTCTCCTCAGCAAATCACGGTAGAGGAGACTGATACAGGCAATAATTCATTCTACAAACAGCATCCCTACCCTTCCAGGATCGATATTCTATAAGTAAATCCTAGATAATCAACTGGTGTCTGAATTTACCCCTTCAGGAGACAGTGGTCTTGCTCTGTCAACCAGGCTGGAGTGCACTGGTGTGGTCAGAGCTCACTGCAGCCTTGAACTCCTGGGCTCATGTGATCCTGCCTCAGCCTCCCAAAGTGCTGGGATTACAGGTGTAAGCCATTGCATGCAGTCCAAATTTTGATCTTTTTTTTTTTTTTTTTTGAGACGGAGTCTCGCTCTGTCGCCCAGGCTGGAGTGCAGTGGCGCAATCTCGGCTCACTGCAAGCTCCGCCTCCCGGGTTCACGCCATTCTCCTGCCTCAGCCTCCCAAGTAGCTGGGACTACAGGCGCCCGCCACTACGCCCGGCTAATTTTTTGTATTTTTAGTAGAGACAGGGTTTCACCGTTTTAGCCGGGATGGTCTCGATCTCCTGACCTCGTGATCCGCCAAATTTTGATCTCTTAAGAGCACATTTCCTCTCTGAAACTTATCTGCATGGGTGTTTCTGAACCCAAACTCAAAAGGTTGCGTGTTTGAAGGTTTCCATCCCTTCCCAACTCACCGCCACGCTGTGGGAGAGCTGCTCTGCCGTCAGGCTGAGGCTGTAGTGCCGGGCCTCCAGTCGTCTACATTGTGTCTGTAACACCTGCCGCTCCAGATTTTGCTCTGAAAAGACAGGAGATGGTGATGTATTTTCCGTATGCAGGAGCCCGAAGGCCCGCTTTGTGCTCTCCTCTTCACACCCTGCCCAGCAGAGCCCAAAACCTCTCTCCAGTGCAGCCAGCGAAGGCCTCTCCTGTGGACCACAATGCTCCCAGCCCTTTGAATTGTACCGATAAATACATAAACGTCACTAAATTAAGCCCAATACACAGGAATAAAGACAAAGGATCCAGGACCTAAAGGCAATTTGATACAGATTAGGAAGAAATTTGATGGCCTTAAAATGCAGCTTTCAAAAAAAAAAAAATAGGCTTTCAGTTTAGGCTGCTGGAAAAAGGCCAGAGTACACCTAAAGCACAGATTTAATTAATAAAATAAAGCCTCTGCTCTACCAAAAGATACCAGGCCTAGTTTCAACAGGAGAGTGACTTCACATCTTTCAGGACAAATCCCTACCTTATACACAGTGTTTCAGCAAATGAAAAACAGGGAAAGTGCTCACAATCTGGATACCAAAGTACAATAAAACTAGAGTCTAATACTAACGAACATACATTAAAAATCCTAAAAGTACTAACAAATTCAACAAGGATGGAGCAACATCAAGAAAAAAAAAATCAAAGGATGAAAAACTCCGGAAATGGGAACCTTCACTCTTTAATGGGATGCTTTAAAGTTTCACAGACAAGGGCCCCACCAGTGCCTCTCTTTGGCAGCACTGGAGTGACAAGACAATCAGACAAATTCAAAAGGAAAGAACCAAACCTTGTATTTGCAGGTTTGATCATCTGTGATTCCTCTGATCTAAGGAATAATCACAGGCAACACAAAAATCCAAAGACCCCCAAAATCTATGTGATACCTGAAACTAAATCTAGTCAAAACTTCACGTCCAAAAATGATGTAATAGTTTTGTACCATATTCATGGAAAAGGATGCCAACCACGCCTGTAAATTCAATGCAACTGAAAATCTAACAGGACTCTTTGGGGTGAATATAAGGCGATCCTAAAATCCTTAGGGGAAAAGTCCTTGGGGGAAAGCCATGGGCTAAAAACAGCTGAGCGGTAGCTGAGAGAAGAGGGGGTCAGCGCAGGTCATGCCTGACAGGGGCGAAGCCAGGCCCAGCAGGTGTGGGAGTGAGGCAGGGAAGAGGGCACCCCACACATTGCCAGGACAACTGGTTGGGTGGGAAAGGTACAGTTAAGATTTCTGCCTTACTCTGTACACACACATGAATCCTACGCAGAACAGGAAAAAGCCAAACTCACAGAAGAAAATACAGAAGAATAGCCTGACAGCCATGGGGTATGGAAATAATTCCCAACACCACACCAAAAAACCTACAAAACCAGCAAAGATGGAAATATTTCATCTAGGAGAGTTAAAAATCACTGTGTATTGCTTCTGGATATATACGAGTGCACTAAAAGAATGGCAACATGTAGGGGGTGGTGCGCAATAAACTCAAAGATTCCACGGGAGGAGGAAAGGAAACAAAATACGGGATTTGATGTCCTGGTTGTGGCTACATGGGCGTTTGTTTTTAGTTTGGAGAATACTTTTCCTGACTGAGTTCTACCAGGAGAAAAAAGAAAAAAACTACTTTTCTAAGTATTTGAAGTGGCTGACATTCATAATCAAGTCTTTGTGTTTGATGATATTTACAACACTGTCATATGTGATGATAAAGAGTCCTCTAGGACATGTTAAATCAATTACAGGTGGCTGTGGCCCAGCCCAGCTTTTGTCAAAGCGCATACCCAGCAGTGCCCACGCAGTAAGGATGGTGAGTGCAAAATGAAGGCTGGGTACCTCTGCTGTTCCCCAAAGGGGCCTGTGCAATATCCTAGGGAAACTGAGGCACAGAGGCAGAAGGTGGTGTGCAGTATACAGGAGCATCAAATGCTGCAACGCCCAACTTCGTGGCCCCACTCCCTGGCAGGGGAGATGTGGCCTGAGTCCGCCTGGTGCTGTGGCTTCCCAGGAGGGTTGGTGTGTGCATTCCCAGGTGGGATCAAAACATCCTGGGTATTCTGAGAGGCGGCAAGCCTTCGACTAAGCCTTTACCAGGAGCCTGTCTTTTTAGGCAAAGTGCTTGGCTAAAGTAAAGGCAGCTGAAAACATGACTGGCACCCACCGGCCACAGAGCAATCCTTGCAGTGTGGGGAGTCTGTCACTAGGCAAGAGGCATGCTGGAGCAGTGACCAGGCCTAGCTGCCAGGGCTCAGCAAATCAACCAACTAGGTTGTCTCCCAGGACCCTTACACGAAGCTGAGGCCGACATCAGCACTGATGCAGCCCACAGAGCAGGGCCCACATAAAGAATGACAGGTGCCACCAGAGCTGGCATCATGGTACTTGGATGCCCTAGCAAGACTGGCCTCAGGTTCCAGCATGGGACATCACCGCTACCAGAAGCCGGAAGAAACTTCCAGTATTCATATCTACTGTGCCCCAGGACGGAGAAACAGTCCCCAGGCTGGCAGAGGTCTGCATGAACTCATCACTCAGCTTCCTTTCCAAAGGTACTTTCCTGACCCCCTCCCCCCTCTTCCCCAGCACCCCCTTACCTTCTATGTGTTCCTGGTAAGCTTCAAAAACGGCCTCGATCCCTTGCCACTTGCGCTTGGGGACTTCCTCCTCATCTTCTCCATCTTCATCATCCTCCTCTTCCTCCTCCTCCGAGTCCCGGTCCAACTCCTGGGTTGGGGGGCCCTTCCTTGCAGTGGGGGGCTCCTGCTGCCCATTGTGCTGGGGTGGAGGGGCGCGGCTGGAGGACTGCAGCTCAGGAATGTTGTAGTGGACGGACGTGTCAACCTTGTGGTTCTGCTCTGCAGACAGCACAGCCACGCTCCCTGTGGAGGGGACAGGGCTTGCATCAGTGTGTTGGGGGAAGGGACACAGGGTGCTGTCTCAGAAGGGAGCTCTGCTCTGCCCTTGGTGCAGAGTCAACATGACTGCAGGGCTCCGGGGACCAAGATGACATCGCGTAGAGAGGAGGGACCTAGCCCAAGGCCTCTGGGCCACTTGAGAAAGTCCGAGACAGCCAGGAGACAACGCAGCCCTGAGTGCTAGTTGATTCTGGTACGTGGACCATTTTTGTTGGAATTCATCTCTGAGACTCCATTTTTTGTTTTGGCTGCCCTCAGTCCTCTGGGTAGCAGGCTGGAGAGAAATGGCGTGATCTCGGCTCACTGCAACTTCCCCTCCCAGGTTCAAGCAATTCTCCTGCCTCAGCCTCCGGAGTGGCTGGAATTACACGCATGTGCCACCATGCCCAGCTAATTTTTGCATTTTTAGTAGAAACAGGGTTTCGCCATGTTGGCCCAGGCTGGTTTCAAACTCCGGACCTCAGGTGATCTGCCCGCCTTGGCCTCCTAAAGTGCTGGAATTACAAGCGTGAGCCACTGCGCCCGGCTGCCTCCATCTCTTTGAGCTTGGTCTATAGTCAGCCCTCAGCAGACACCAGCCCATCCTCTCACAAGGCGTGGCTGTTTTGATCCCTAGGCATAATGGGGCTCTGCCCTCCCCCAGGAATCAGCCTCATTGTGCCCCGTTTCAAGAGGGCATGCCCTGTCTCATGGCGTGGCCTGGTGGGTGACATCCTCAGGAGCACACCTGGCCTCCCGTGGGGATGGCAGCCCCTGGTGGGGCCTGAGACCAGCCCAGTCAATGGAGTGACTTGGCTCAAACTGGTATGGCAGAGTGACTAAAATCTAGAGGAAACAGTTTAGTGTAAGGCCAGGACAAGGTCAGAATAAGGCAGAAAGTGTCCTAGGGCCACAGAAAAGCCTCTACAAGGTGCACTGCCAAAGGGCAGGGAGGGAGGGTATTCTGAAGTTTCGAAAGGCATCTCAGTAGCACTGTATAGTCTCCCTTGGTATCTGTCATGGAGAACTGGCTCCAGAACCTCCTGTGAATACCAAAAGCCAGGGATGTTCAAGTCCCTGATATAAAGTGGCATAGTATCTGCGTATCACCTATGCACACCTCTAGAGTACTTGTAATACCTAACACAATGCCTACACTTGACTTGATTTGCATGGATTCAATGTAGTACCTGGTGCTTGGCAAATTCAAGTTTTGTTTTTGGAACTTGGTGGAATTCCACCCCACCCACAAATATTTCTAATCTGAAGCTGGTTGAATCCAAAGACGCGGAACCCACGGATCCAGAGGGCTGGTGGTGACATCTTTAGATACCACCATGAAGGAAGGGAAGCTCTACCCTGAGGACTGGCGGCCATCTGCATCTCTGTCTTGAAAAACATGATTCTTTCAAATGAATGCGGGTAAAAATCCACTCAAGTGCTCTTCCTGCCTTTGGGGAATCTTTTAATCTCTGCAAAAACCAATGCCTGTCGGCGTTCACTCCTTTACCTCTTACCGATCGATGCGTCCCTGCTCACAGCACAGCGTCAGCGCTGGTGCCTACAAACGTTTCTCACCTACGAGTTCAGGTTTTAGAGCTTGGAGATAAACAAACAAACATGGTTTTGGCATAATAACGAAATTATTTTCTTCTGGTGATTGGAGTTTATAAAAACTTGTGCCCACGGCTGAACGGCTGAGCAGCTGTGGCGCTCAGCAACTTTGGTCAGCCTCAACCACAGCCGAGAGCTGAGCAGGGACTGGCAGCCTCATTACCTTTATGCTTCTGCAGGGCCTTCTGGGTGGACTGCAGCACTGACTCGTGGAACTGATGTGCAAACTCTTCTGCCACAAAGGGCTCCCACGGCTTGCTCTTCCCATTGGTGCTGTGGGACAGCGGCACAGGAATGTCCTTGGGTGCAGCGCCCCGGATATAGTGAAGCATGCTCAGACTCTTTTTGCCTCCAGGGGCCTCGCTCAGCCTGGCCTTCTCCCCGCTGGCAGGAGCTAGCTCCTGGACTCTCGACAGCTCCTGGGGCCGGACCTGTTCCAGCTTCCCAGGCTCCGCGGCCTTTGGGATGTCAGACAAGGAAGCAGCAACACCAACCGGCTTCTCCACATCCAGAGAGGCTTGCTGCGTGGCTGGTTCTTTTAGAGACAAAGTGAAGGAAAATATTAAGAAATGCAAGTTAACAGGCTGAGTGTCCAGCACGCAGATCCTGGTCTCTAGAGCTTACACTTAACAAAGACCTAGCGCAAAGAACCAAGACCCGGGGAACATTTAAGTAACCGCCGCGCACATGGCTATTCTCTGAAGACAGTGGGGTGTTTAGTGGCAAGTCCATCCTTGAAAGATGTCCCAAGAAGGAAGAAGCAGATCCACAGGAAGAAGGAAGTCCCCCAGCCACGGAGGCAGCATGGAGGTATTCAGTCCAACCGGACAAGAGAGTGTGTGAGGGGCCGAGGACTGGGACGCACTGTAAAGATTCCCTCTGACATCTGACAGGGCAGAGGCCAGCCAGAACTGTAAGAGGAGGAAAGGTGTGGCGGCAGGTGCCGGCAGGGCCCAGAGGGCAGAGTGAGGAAGACAAAGAGCAGGAAGAGAGCCAGGGCGGCTAGGCTAGTGGCAGGACCAGGCTGCGGGCACTAAGGCTGGAGCACGCCCTCCCTCCTGGGATGGTACCATTGGATTGGCCTCCATGTGAGCCTCTGTGCCGTAACTGAAGGACAACGGTTACTACGACCATAGTGACCAGCACGTAGAGCTCCACAGAAGCCAGACCCTCCCCTCAACTCTGAGCCCGCCTTCAAACTGACGTTCCGTCCCAATGACTGTCACAACTGTGCAAGAATCGTACGCTGGTACAAGAATGGAAGAAGACAGCCTGCAGGAGGCCACATTCACAATGATGAAGACCTCGAGTGGTCGCCTCTGAGCCTGGGCAGCCCATGGGATGGTCCTGGGTGGTGGCAGGTGGGGCTATCCTTCCCTTACCACTCAGGGAGACGGCAGGACTGTCCCTCGGAGAGTTTGTCAAGGAGTCGGCCACTGCTGCTGACAGTGCCTTCTGCTTCATGGCACGGAGCATTTCAACAAGTCTCTCTTTGTCTATGAGAAAAGCAGCCTGAGATTAACGAGCCAGTTGCATCATTTTTTGGAGAGAAGGACAGCGGGATTCTAGCCGAGCCTTGAGGGGCAGGCAAAGCACTAAAGCCCGAAAAACCAAAAGCAGGTGTGATGGGGCAGGCCCAGTTGAAAGGAAGCAACCATCTCAAAGCGAGCCCAGATTGCTCTCGGCATCCACTACACAATGTCCTAGACGTGCTCCAAAGACAGCTGTCCGTGCGGTGACGACGCCTCTGTGAATCACTGTGCCCACGGACCTCGGTGGTGACGTGCGAGGATGTATTCTTATTTCAAGTCAGACAAGGTGGCCCCAACACAAAGAAACACCCCAAAGACCCAGGCCTGGCCTCTGAGGCAGGGTGCCTTCTCCCCCACTCCTACCATTACTGCCACTTCCTGAAGGGGAAAGATGACCCCACGATGTTCCACGCAGCAGATCCCTGATGTCACCCGGCCCTTCTTGACTGTGAAACTCAAGGGCTGCATCGCCCTTAATTTTTTTTCCTCCAAAAATTCAGGGAAAAAGATGCTTTGTATCTAGGGAACTGGGCTGGCAATCAACACGTCACTAGCCCGCTAAGAGAAAGGGAAAACTACTGACTGGTTAAAAGGAGAAAGTAAACGGCTACACCCTGATCAACACCTTGAAGCTGCTCAAGGTCCAAGAAGTAACTCTGCTTTCCTTCGACTTTCTCCCAGAGAGGAGGCCAGGGGCCCACGAGGACTTGAAAGCGTGCGTAAGGGGCAGGGCCAGGAACGTCAACATCTGGGCACCAAGCCAGCCTGCGCTGCAGGCCAAGGAAGCCAAAACCCTGAGCAGGTGTTGTGGCTGCGTTGTTTCTTCTGCTATATGGATTCGAGCCCAGAGGGTCTGTCCCAATGTGGCCCTGTGTGGCCAGACTGAACTGGAAGCATCTTTCAAGGCAAGCCATCTGCTCAGTGTGTGCTGCCCTGCTTGGCAGCCCTTCCCCAGGCCTCCGGCCACCAGGACACAACACCCAGCAGACCACCTAAGCGGTCCAGCAAGAGGAAAAGCCTGCAGCAGACAAACCTGGAACACCTGGCACCTCCCCTCACGCCTGGTGGTCACTGGAGCACTCGGCTCAAAGAGCGCCTTCTCGGGCGCTGGGAGATGGATGAGTGACATGGGTAGTCCTCAGGTCAAGATGGTGGGGCTCTCAGAGCAAAGCCTGTCAGGTAAGGCTGCTATGGAGGGCTTGTAAGAACAGAGAGGCTGTTCCCGGGAGCCGGGAGGAGTAAAGGGGCAGCCTCAGGCTCAGTGATCGCAGATCCTGCCTGGAGTCCACCGGCCCCACCTGCTGCTTCAGAAACCCACTTCCACCCCAGTGAGCCCCCACCTTCCTACCCAGGCGAGGCCCTACCTTTCCTCTTCTCAGCGCTGATGTGGGTCAGGTTGAAGATGGTCAGGAACTTCTTCTTTTCTTCGAAGTTGGGACTGTTGTTCATCTCATCAGGGCTGTAGCGGGTAGACAGCGCCAGTCTCGGTGAAGGCGTCTGCCGCTTGCTCTGAATTGTTGGGGGCGACGGGCTTCTCTCTCGCAGCATCCTCCGCCGCTTCCTCCGCTTCTGGGCCACCAATTCCTCCTTCTGCTGTTGGGTGGTCAAGCCAAAAAGTTGCAAAAACTCTAGCTTCTAGATTGGGAAAGAAAACAAATGAGTTTGAAGCCACTGGCAGTGGTATGCTTGCACTGTCCCGGGGTCCCCTCCTGGGGTCCTCGAAGTGTGGGCCGTAGCTGGCTGCGCCTGGTGGGAGAAGAGCTTCATGGGGCGAACCCGCCAGGACTTCGGAGGAACCTAGCAACAGTGGGGTGGACTGCAGGGTGTGGACGCTAGGAACGAGAGCCCAGCCCAGAGCATGTCCGTGGGGAGGAGAGCCCAGTACCTCAGAGGACGTGTCCAGTTTGAGGGGCGGCTGCTCGGCCACGCAACGGAGGTGGGCCCTGACCTCCTCCTCATCGCTCTCGTCGTAAGAGTCATCGAGGTCGTAGTAGTACCCTGATGGAGAAATGGTTGTATTCAGCCAGACAAAGAGCCTTCATCTGTCCAGTGGACATGCCCGCAGGGCCTCATGTGTGCAGAGCACCTATCAGGCCAGGCCTGCTGGCACCTGAACACCCTGAAGGCCAGTTCCTTTCAACCGAGGTGGAAACCAACATTAACCCAGTCCTGGGGCTTTGCAGGACCGCAGACACCAGGCTTCCCTGGGATCCATGGCTCCCAGTAGCTGGGTGGTCCCCTGGGCTGACAAGACCTCCCTCCTCCCCCTGGCAGGGAACCATTCATCACACAGGCCTGGGGCTGTGTCCACGGCAACACAGGGCTGCTTGTGCACATGCACTCCCCCATGCTGTGGCCATCTGAGTCCATCTCCTGGGAGGAGACAGGCACACACAGGCCTGAGCTCTCTAAGACACAGAGAACAATAGCAGAGCCCCTGCCCAGGGGCGCTGGGGTATCTCCCTCCTCCTTTACAAAGTGAGTAGGGGAGAGAAATTTGGCTGGGCCCTCCATCCAGCCTAGACCAACAACCAGGAAGACCGCCTGTGCCCCAGCTTCTATTGAAGAGGAGGCTGAGCTCAGCACTGGACAGGACCTGAGTGTTCAGCATCAGGAAGAAAACTGGGCTGGAGCCCCTGCTCCCCTCTGCACACTCTCGCCTGCTCGGTTGCTCTTCCTGGCTCTCTGGAGAACTCAGGGAGCCGCTGGCTGAGGACGCCCCACCCCCAAGCAGAAATAAGAATGAAGTGCCTGACCTCCTACCCTGACCCGGGGCAGTGCCAGCCGCCGCGTCCTCAACCCCTGACCCACCTGCTGCAGCTCGTGGCAGCGGCCCTGTATGTGGAGCCCCCGCTGAGCCCAGGCCGGCTCTCCTGTTATGCTGCACTATTAATATTTAAAACTATCTTATTAGCCTCCGCTCATCACTTATTCATCATGCTTGTCTGCGGAACTATCTTCACAGGCGGGCTTTGATTTGGCTTTTTGGGACAATTTGCATCGAGGCAGGACAGGCACGGGGACTAGGGTCTGCCTCCCCTACGAGGGTGTCATGCTGCTACAAAGAAGCCAGTGCACTTGCCACCTGGGGCCTGGGACTACCCCAGGCAAAAAGCAGGAGTGGACGGAGAGGGGCAGGTGGCTGGCATGCAGGCTCCCCATCCCCACTGTGCGGCTCTCCCTGAGCAGCTCGGGGCCCGCGGGGAGGCAGACCTTTCTCCTGGGCCTCCCGCCGCCTGCGCTCCTCCAGGTCCAGCTTGCTGACCAGCCTCCGGCGCTGCTGCAGGAACTCATCATAGATGTAGGCAGGGTCGGGGGCCCGTGGCACTGGGGGCCGGTAGGGCGAGCCAGGCTTCAGGGGTCCGCTGAGCTCCCCGAAGGTGGCCGCCTGTGGGAGGGAGGCCCGCTGCTGGCCCAGGATGGTCTGGGTGGACTTCTCGAGCTCAGCCAGGAAGGGCCCGGGCCCGGGCAGGAAGGGCTGGTGCTCCAGGCTCCCTCCCTCTCGTGGTGGCGGCGGAGGTGGCTGGTACTTGTCCAGAGGGGCAGGCTCACGCTTCCGTGGCCCCTCCTCTGCTTTCTCCGGGCAGAAGACCCGCTCCACCTTCACCAGCGGCACGGCTGCCTGGCGGCTGGGCTCAAATGCAGCCGGGTGGCTGTGCAGAGAGTGGCTTTCGGCCCGCCGCGTCTCCAAGGTGTTGTCCATCAGGGACACGGGGTTCCAGAGGGCCGTGGGTGCAGCATGGAGCTGGGGCTTGGGCGAAATCAGAGGTGGTGGCCCCCCAAAGTGCTGCGGAGGGTCACGGCCACCTGGCTCGTGACGGTTTGGTCCTGGCCTAGGGAGTGAAACCAACCCTTCAGTCAGGGAGAAAAGACCCTTCAGTCATCCACAGGCTTCCCTGGCTGCCTGCCGCTCCTAAGATGACACAGATGGCGCAGCCCCTTAGAGAGCCAGTGCCAACAGGGCTGCAGGGAGGGGACACACACTCCACCCCAAGGATCATTGTTTCTGTCTTTCATTTTCTCTTTTCCTTTCTTTTCTTTAAAGACTCGGCCGGGCGCAGTGGCTCATCCCTGTAATCCCAGCACTTTGGGAGGCCGAGGAGGGTGGATCACAAGGTCAGCAGTTTGAGACCAGCCTGGCCAACATGGTGAAACCCCATCTCTACTAAAAAATACAAAAATTAGCCAGGCATGGTGGCGGGTGCCTGTAATCCCAGCTACTCCAGAGGCTGAGGCAGGAGAACTGCTTGAACCCAGGAGGCAGACGTTGCAGTGAGCTGAGACCGTGCCATTGCACTCCAGCCTAGGCGACAGAGCAAGACTCCGTCTCAAAAAAAACAAAAAAAAAGACTCACTCTGTCACCCAGGCAGGAGTGCAGTGGGGCAAGCTCAGCTCACTGCAACCTCCGCCTACCAGGTTCAAGCGCTTCTCCAGCTTCAGCCTCCCGAGTAGCTGGGATTACAGGCGTGTGCCACCATGCCCAGCTACTAATTTTTCCTATTTAGTAGAGATAGGGTTTCACCAAGTTGGCCAGACTGCTCTCGAATTCCTGACCTCAAGTGATCCACCTGCCTTGGCCTCCCGAAGTGCTGGGATTACAGGAGTGAGCCACTGTGCCCGGCCCTCCAACACCTGCGGCAGGTGTGTGCAGGCTGCTCCAAGAGGATAGGGAGGCTCCCAGCCTAAGCTGCTAGGGAAGGCAGAGACCCTCTCAGGCCTGGGACAGATCCAGTTTCGGTCGATTTTCCCACCTGCTTGCGTGAATTCCCCTAAGGGCAAGCGCTCATCCGCACTTTCCATGGGGAAACCCACTCTATATACTGGGCTGTGGCCCTGCCACCAGCACCCTCTCCTCCTGCTGTGCCTTGTAGGGACACATGACACAGGGCAGGCTGGCCACCTTCACAGGGCAGTACTCCTCCCTCCCCACTGTCCCCGCAGGCAGCCACAAGACAACCTTCCAGTGTCTGCCCAGCCAGAGCCAAACCCACTGTGAAATGAAGATCCTCCCAGTCAGGATGGGGCCTGTGCCGAGACTGCCCCCCAGTGGCCCCTGTCACAACTGCAGCGACCCCACTGCCCAAGTGGCCTGTGGCAGAGGCCTCAAAGTGTCTTCAAGGACCCAGGCTAAGGCCTGCTGAGGCAGGGAGGGAAAGAAGGGATTTCTAACATCAGAACCCTTCCATTAAACAAGAAGCTGCCCCTTAGTTACACTAAATGGCTTGTTTCCTCAGTGCAATTAAAACAAGATTTAATCTACTCACAGGGCTATTTTTAGTATTGTTTTTCCAGCTTATTTTTAAGAGATGGGTCTCGCTGTGTTACCCAGGCTGGAGTGCAGTGGCTATTTACAGGAGCAATCCCACTACTGATCAGCGCGGGAGTTTTGACATGCTCCATTTCCGACCTGCCCTGGTTCACCCCTCCTTAGGCAACCTGGTGGTCCCCCGCTCCCAGGAGGTCACCATATTTGTGCTGGACTTAGCTGGGACACCTAGTGGGTATAGTACACTACAGCCGAGAACTCCCGGGCTCAAGCGATCATCCCATCTCAGCCTCCAGAGTAGTTGGGCCTACAGGCATGTGTCACTGTGCCTGGCTATCTTTCTTTTTTTTAAAGGGAGATATACTCACAGGATGTCTGGACCAATACTGTGCAGAGACCCTGGGCAAAGCTTGAGGGGAAGAAAGAGGCAGAGGCCACAGCAGGCACACGGCCGGGCTCAGGGATCTCTAGCCTGCCCCGGGAGCCCTGTTTAAACACAGCCACCAAGGCTCTCCCTAGTTATTCCAGACTCCAGGCCAAGGGACAAATCCGACGCTGCTGTCCCTCTTAGCAGAATACAACAGGGAACCACAGGAAGAAGCTGTGTCCTTAAGTAAACAGCAAGGGAATGAAACCTGCAGGAGAATAAATATTTCATGCGCCACACCAAGCACTGAACAGTTTTCTAGCTTGGAGCATGAGGGCCCTGTCAGGCCCCCAAGTTCACAATGCTGTAAGGCCACGTGTGCAGCCGGCCACAGGGGAACCACCGCAGCCAGGGGAGGCCAGGCCCTGCTTCCCATCATGCCCCAGGTCCGGATGGGGCAGCTACACTGGCTGGAAGCAGTCCATGGGTGGGCAAAGTCACAACACCTGTGCTGGGGCCCTGGGGAGCCCTGAGGAAGAAGATGCCTACAGGAGTCAGGGCACCCTGATGTTATCAGGCCATGCCAGGTAGGAGCTGGCTGCCCTCAGTCCTCTGGGTAGTAGGCAAGGCTGAGCCTGAGAGGCCTCAGGGACGGGGGCTGGGAGAGGCAGAAGGGATCTCACTTCGGCCGTGCCGGGCAGTGTGAGCCACAGGGAGACTTAGCTGTGGCCTGGTGACAGTCACTCCCAGTCATCCCTGATCAGCGGGGGCGCATTCCCTCGCTGCCCTACTGGATAACGGAGGCAGGCAGAAGGGAGGACAGATTTTAAACCACCAACACGCTTCCGTCCCAGAGCCCAAGGGTTTCTTATCCCAGGACAGCATCACAGCCTTGAGAGCTGGAAAGATGCTCAGAAATCATCCTACCCACCCTCCTTTGTGGACAGTTGAGGAAAGTGAGGCTCAGGGAACAGAATCAGTGTCCCTAGGTCCCTGAGCTGGGCCTGGAGCAGAGCTATGGAAGGCTGGCAGGTCATTCCCACCAACTCTGGCTGAGGATCTTAGCTCAGCCCTTCAGAGTGAGCCCTGGGGGTATATGACGTGGGGGCCTGGGACCAGCACAGCCCCAAGGCAGGAATCCCAGGGCAGGCAGGGGCAGGGAGGACTGGGGGCACTGGGGCCCAGCTCATAAGACCTGTGTCTGCAGCCGGGGTCCAAGGGACCACCACACAGTTTCCTGGGAAATGCTTTCATAAAGGGCTAGAAAACGGGCATGTGTTTTTACTATTAATACAAAAGCAATAAAACTCATTTTTTTCCTTAAAATCAAAAGCTGTCCCCTTCTTGTTAAAAAAAGAAGTCCAGGCTCAAAAGCAGAGGAAGATGGAGAGAACAGGTATTATTAGTAATTAAAGCTTCTACCTTGCACTCTTCATCTGCTGTGAATGGCCTCCTGGGAACTAGGTCAGGCTGCGTGTGCAGTGCCCTGGCTCTCAACATGGACTTGATTGGTCTCTTTACTTACTGGTGGGGATACCTTTGAGCAATCCATTTTCTTCCTCAGTCTCAGCTTCCCCATAGGCAAGACAGGCATTATAACGTGAAGATGAAAGAACAGAAATGAAAGAGGCAGGCAGAAACGCTGGGGCAGGATGTTGGGCAAACAGGAGGTGCTCAATACACGCTGAACAAATCGGAACGTGAAGGCTCATCCCTCCTTCCTTCCTGGGGCTCACTCACCTGGTGGTGCTCTCCGGCCTGTGCTCTGCCTCCGCCGGCACCGGGGGCCGGCCCATATCCAGGTGCTGCTCCAGCACCTGCTGCCGGAACTCGGACACCTGAGACTGCCGGTCCTCCTTCTCCTGCCGCAGCCGCCGCTGCCGCGCCAGCCACTTCTCCTCCTCATTGGTGCGCTGGATCAGCAGGGCTGTGGCAGCACTGCTGCTAGGCAGAGAGAAGATGCCATGGTTGGAGATGAGGCTGGGCACCGTGTGGTGTGGGGTGGGCACCGGATGCAAGGGGTGTTGGACGGGCTTGGGCGCCTGCAGGCCGGCATCCTTCAGCTTCTCTGTGGGGGGAAACACGGTCAAGCAGGATCTCAGCCACGTGGGCCAGCATGCTCCCTCCCCGTCCTCTCTCACCCAACTGCCCAGAGAAACCAGAGCCCTTCCAAAGGGTTCTTCCCGCAGCCAGAACCAAGATATTCAGAAGGGGCCCTACGGGAGCTTTCAAGAAGCATGTCTTGTCCCTGGAAGGAAACGCTCCGTGGCTGGCTGGCAAAACTCTTGCCCAGCCAGTGCGGTGCCAGAGCCAGCTCATGCTGGCTCAAAGAGCAGACTATTAAATTTCCGGGAAACATGCAAAAGCTGGTTGTTATTACTGGACAATTGTTTCGTAAACTTACAGAGAAATAAAATCAACGAAGCACTCAAAACATCCCTTCCTAATGCCCCGGCTACATTTCACAACTGTCCTCCTGGGGTCAGCTATATCCACTGTGTCTACATCGTGTGCCAACGTGCCTCTGCTCCCTACTCCATGTTCAGCCACACCACGCTTTTAGGGCGAACTCAGCTGGGGAACATTTACACCACGGCAACCGGCAGGTGCTGCGATTCAGGGCTCCTCCCCGCGGGTGGCTGAGACCTTGCCCAGCACAGCCCACCCACGCCCAGGTACCTGCTCGGGTTGGGGTCAGCTGCTCCGAGGGCTTGCCCCGCTCCTCAGTGGCATGGCCACGCAGCCCATGCAGCTCGGCCACGGGCAGGAAGCTGGGCTCCAGGGCCTTGGCGGCCAGCAGCTCCTTCTCCCGGGCCCGCTGCTCCCGCTGGCGCTCCAGCTCGCGCTCGCGCTCCTTCTCACGCTCACGCTCCTTCTCTTGCTCGCGCTCCTTCTCGCGTTCGCGCTCACGTTCCTTCTCCCGCTCGCGGTCAGCCTCACGCTCACGCTCGCGCTCGCGCTCGCGCTCCCTCTCCCGCCTTAGCTCCTCGTCCATCTGCAGCCTGCAGCACATGGAAAGAGTTGGGGGCTCTGCTGCACCAGGAACAAGAGACGGACCTGGGGCAGGCCCTTAAAAAGCATAACCAGGAACGAGCCAGGGCGCTAATCTGAACAGTGACGGGAGGTGAGCCGGGTTTCACTGGTGCAGGAAGAACTTAAGGTCCATACAATCAAAGCGGCTTACAAAATGCCCAAGCACGCCCGAGAGCTCCTCGGCCTGCAGGTTTACTGCAGGAGACCACGGCTACCGAGACAGGCGCTATTTCAGAGCAGAGCCTGAACGATCATTGTCCCATTTGGCAGGTGGACAAACTGTGAGGACAGGCATGGCCAAGGAGTCCAGTCAGGTTCCAGCCCAGGCTTTCTGCCCAGCTGCCATCAAGGGACAGGGAGGGCAGAGGGGCTCCTCGGCTCGAGACGCACTTACCTCTCCGCGCTGAGGCCAGACATGCGCTCCGAGTGCAGCGCTGCCAGGGATGAGTGGGAGAGCTCGGGAGGGTAGCGGACCCCAGAGAGGTGCAGGTGCATCGCTGATGGGTGCAGTGGGGGCAGGGAGCCGGGGGTGGGGATGGGGTAGAACGGGGACCTCAGGGCAGACAGGCAGTAGGAGTCGTCCATCCTGTGCAGAGAAGACGGGGCTGTGAGCAGCAAATGAACCAAGGGGAAGACCCAGCCCTGTCGACAGGTGTGTCTCAGCCAGGTACACACACCTGCCTGAGCGTGGGGAACGTGACAAAATGGCTGGGGATGAAGACCATGCCTGCTGCTAGCCCCAAAGCCCCTTGATGCCGGAGGCTGCTAGGTGCCGACAGCTTGGGGTTCCAGGGCGCCGCCTGCCACCTCCCTCGGCTCAGCCAGACCAGCACAGAGTGGTCAAGCGCCCAGGCCCTTCCAAGGCTGGCGAGCAGGCTGGGCTGCCCTGACGTGGGGTGGTCCATGACATGACTACAGGCCCCTCTGACCTCTGACAAGGATGGGCAGAGCTTCTCCACGGACCCAGGCCAGACCACAGTGCCACCGAGGTCTCCTGCTACACAGCAAAGCATCGCCTCTCCCACGGGCAAAGCCCTGCTCTCTTAACAGTGACTTGCTGTCAATGGACCCCCCGGTGAGAAGGGGAGGAGCCAAGGATGACAGTACAGTCACCAAGGGGGACTGTCTACCAGGAGGGGACCCCTAATGGGCCATCAGGGCTGAATTTAGGCTCAAAGCTGGGGACGATTTCAGGGGCTACTCTAGACCCTCCCCTAGGAGCCTGGCTCTCAGGTCATAAGAAACACCTTCCCCGCCAGGTTCCATCTTGCCAGGAACAGGCCAGCACCTAGACGAGAGGGCGCGTGGGGGATGCCTCACCTGAAGGCCGGGTGGGGGAAGGGGTGTGGGGCCAGGTAGCTGGGGTGGTAGTAGGCTGCAGCAGTGGCCGGGTCCAGGCCGAGGGGAGGCAGTGAGGACATGCGGAGGTCGTCGGTGGTGTGGTAGGGCCGGAAGCTTCTCAGGTAGTCCTCGGTCACGGTACTGGGGGGCACCACGTGGTGCACGGGCCGCTGGAGGCTGCAGGCGGGGATAGTGGGCAAGGTGGGGACAGGTGAGTGCACACCTGCTCCTGCATGGGGGGACGGCTAAACTCCCTGCATCACCCCTGGCGCTCAGTCGGCACCCAGACTCCTGGCACCCCGAACGAGGACGGGGCTTAAGCAGCGGGGGGAGCGAGCTGCCACTGCCACCTCAGTGTGAAGGGGCACAGACAGGGCTGCAATCCCCAGGGCTCAGCGGCCGACAACCATCTAGCAGGCACAGCCTCATCTGTGCAGACCGCAGGCTGCCTGGGGACCCAGACCCTGAGCACTGTGTCCCCACCTGGCCACCTCACCGAAGTCCCCGCCGACCAACTTACTTGAGTGGCGGGAAGCGGGAATCCTGCACAACTGAGCTGGGGGAGAGGCCGAAGGGGTAGGGGGTGCTGAGCAGGTGCGAGGGGATGGCTGGTCCCCCTGCCTTCTCCTGAGGGAGCGGGGGCTCCACAATGAGGCGTTCCCGACCTCCACTGCTGCTCCTGGAGCCGGCATCCTGCGGGAGGAGAGCGTCCAGTCAGGGCAGGAGCCTGGTATAGGCCACTGACCACAGGACACAGCCAGGTCTCCTGACTCACGGGAAGGCGCTAGATTTAGTTCATGTTCTAGAAACATCCTTTCCCTAAGGCTTTCTACGCAAAACATGGTGCATGTGGTGTGGGAAGCAGAACCGTAAGAAAGGGGATGTGGCTGCGACAGGTCTGGGGTGAAGTGCGTCTCGGGATCCGTCTCCCTCCCTGGGCCTCCTCAGTCCAGCAAAAGAACTAGAACCCCCCAGAAACACAATGTGTGCAGGTGAAGGATGCAGGGTGGCAGGGGCTCCTGCCTCCACCCCTCCTGGTGTGGACATCCGAAGGTCACACCAGACACACACCCGGGGAAGCAGACACCGTTGGCACCCAGCACGCCGTGAAGCGAGTGCCACGATGTAGCCAAGACGTCAACTGCGCCGACAGCTGCCCACCTGGCCGCAGATGTCCTGGCCCTGGTGCCCACGTGGAGGGCAGGGGCAAAGGAAGCTGGCACTGCCCCTGGGCCGAAGGTGCTGGTCTGCCCCCAACCACCTCCTGGGGTGGCCCTGGCCCTGGAGCCCACCAGAACAGGCAGCAGCTGGGCCCTGACTGGCCAGCTGGGGTACCGGCCTTCACACACACGGTGGGGCAGGGAAGGCAACAGCTCGCCTGTCCCAGGCTCCTGGACACAGTGGACCTGGGTGTAGCTGGGAAGGTGGTCCAGAGGACTCAGATGAGGGGTCTTCTCCAGGCACAAAGCAGGAGGAGGCAGTGGCCCAAAGCCCACCTTCCGGGCTGAGGTCCCTGCCAAGTTCAAGGATAGGCCGTGCCACCCCTAGCCACGCAGAGGCTGCCCCGCACACACGCAGGGTCCAGCCCGGAGAAACCAGAGCATGAAAAGGCCTTGCTTGTTCCTGTTATTCGTGTGACTAAGTGGGAGGAGGAGGAGGAGGGGGTAGGAGGAGGAGGAGGGGGTAGGAGGAGGAGGAGGAGGAGGAGGGGGTAGGAGGAGGAGGAGGAGGAGGGGGGAGGAGGAGGAGGAGGGGGAGGGGGGAGGAGGGGGGAGGAGGGGGGCGGAGGGAGCCTCAGGGCGGCCCAGATGGGGGCTGTGCTCTGGACTCTGGATGGCTGCCAACCCAGGCGTCACTCTGTCACTGGGGCAGCCGTTCTCAGCCCCAGCATCTTCCCCATGTGGGGACAGCACTGCCCAGGCCTACCCTGACCTGGGGGTGTCTGAGAGCCATGGCCACGCTGGCCCCTCTGAGCTTCCCAGGGATGCAGAGCCACGGGAACCCGGCCCTTCCTCACGTTCCATCTGGCCATGTCAGGTAACGACTGCTGATCAGCGGGCAGTGCTCCTGAAGAGCACCAGCCCCGCTCTGCCTCCCTGAGCCACGAAATGCCAAACACCCAAAAAACAAGGAGGCCATGGCCGTCTCCCCACAAGATCAGCAGGAATGATGGCCCAGGGGCTCTGAGACCTGCCCCACCGTGGAGAAGCATCTGTCTCCCAGGGGCCGTGCCTGTGTCCCTGACCCGCCAGCCCCTCTTCCTGGGCCCATCCATCTTCATAGCGGCAGACGGTGACCCGGCAGCAGCACATGGCACCCGCGCAGAGGCAGTGCAGGCAGCCCGGGCCGGCGCCTCCCCTCTCTCCACCCTCCAGGAGACAGTCAGCGAGGATTAACTGGAGGAGCCGCCGCCGCCGCCGCCGCCTGGAATCTTCAATGAGAGGCAGCATCTGCTCCCTTCCCGCGGGCTGAGCCCCGGCCCCCCTTCTCTGTAGGGTCCTCCTGGGTTCACGACTTCTGACCTGCCTCTCCAGGGTGCTGGTCTCGAGGGTGGGAGGTACACATGGGCACTGACGCCCTGCGTGGGGCCGGGAACTTCCTATTGAGGAGCCAGCGCCTGGCCTTGGGGTCTCCAGCCGGTGTCAGCAACCGGGGTAGTGGGGGAGTGGCCGAGGGGCCAACCTGACCTTGGGAGACCTGGCCATCCTGTCGTGCCTCGTGCACACATCAATGGCATGTGCCCGTCACGGCACCTGCTCAGAGGACAGCAGAGTTGATGGCACGGCTATGAACGGGCATGCGGGGGACTCACAGGGCAGCAGAGTTGATGGCACAGCTGTGCACGGGCATGTGGGGGACGCACCAGCAGGGTGGGGGCCCGGACATGGCAGGTGTGTTGCCAGGCTGGCCTGCCTACCCCAGCCCCGTGAGGCTATTTCCAGGCTGGGCTTCTAGATCCTGCCTCACGCCCCTACCCTGCCTGGCATAGGGCCAAACATCTGAGGAACGGAGCACGAGGAAGGACACACCCTGTTCCTAGGGTCTGGGATGGACTTAACAAGACGGAGTGGCCCCTGGCCCCCCAGCATCCAAGTAGCACCCCAATGAACACCAGGCCTAAAGCTAGTGGGTCTCTGGATGCCCAGAACAGGGGCCTCGCCTGCTCAGGCACCCGGGGTACCTGGACTCCCCCTCCCAGGCTGGTGGGGAGGCCTCCAGGGCAGGAGGGAGACGACAGCCAGGGGCTTCAATCATCACCCAGCCTTGGGTGGCCAGAGTCAGAAGAGGGCTGGAGGACAGACCTCGACCTGAGGACAGCACCCAGGGTCAAACTACCAACAGCCCAGGCCTGCCGCCCTCCTCCGCATGCTGCCCGCGCCGTGGGCCGGGTCAAACGGCAAAGCACAGGGCCCCAGCCGCCCCGCCACAAGGAGGGGCCTGTCCCCAGCCCAGACACGGCCCTTGAACCCCTTCTCCCCTCAGCCGAGGACAAAGCCCTGCTCGCAGGCCAGATGGCACCTTCCTGGCCTGGCTGAGGACAAACAGGGAGTCCGGGGGGCTGGGGGGCAGCCAGCAGGCGGGGCAGGGGCCCGGCGAGCCAGACCCACATGTCTGTGGCTTCCGTCTGGCTGGCGCCCGGCCAACCCTGGCACAGACACCTGGGAACTAGGTCAGCGGGGCCTGGAGTGAGGCACAGGGCTGCCCCCCATCCAGGCAAGGCCCGGCAGGCTCGGCAGCTACCCCAAAGGCACCCCGATAGCGGCAGCCGGGGTCTCACTGCCGTCTCCACAGACAGACGCATCAGGGCGCATCTGTGGGCAGCTTTTCATTTCTGAGCAGCGGCTGCAGCCGCAGCTGCAACGATGAAAGAAAGAAGGCGGAGGGGGAGGGGGAGGAGGGGCGGAGGGGGAGGGGGAGGAGGGGCGGAGGGGGAGGGGGAGGAGCAAATCCGTCATTCTCCGGTGATTAGAGCAAGGGTTCCATAGTCAGACAGGCGGGACATGCCCTGTTAGCTTTAAAACAGGCTTTTTCATCTCATTTCTCCTCTCGCAGCTCCCACTACACCTGGGAGAGAGGGGTGACCCCGAGAAGGGGCCGAGAAGCCTCCGGCCCGGCAACTGCCACCCACGTCCGCAGCCTCGGAGACTCATGGCCACAGCTTTGGGCCGGGTGGGAGGGGAATCCTCTCTCTGCCTCCCCACTCCGAGAGGATTAAATGCCCCGCTGAGCCTCTGTGCCCGAGCGAGGAGCCGTACATCACCTGCTAATCCAGCTGCCGGCCCCGCGCCTTCCCTGGCGGCACCGTGTTCCATTAAGCGCCGCGGTGGTACACTGCTGGGGCGGGCCTGTCGCGCCCCTGCTCTGCTCTGGGGTAGCTCAATGTTCCCGAGGCGGTAAGGACCCTCCGAGGAGGGACCAGCTCAGAGCGGAGGAGTCGCCGGAAAAGGCGCTGGAATCCCCTCGAGGCGTCCTGGGTCTAGGCCAGGAGCTCTGGTCGGGGTCAAGGCAGTGGCTGGGTGCAGGGTCCTGGCTGGTAGAAGCTCCTGGTCCAGGCTGGGGCAGGGAAGTGGCCTCCCATGAGCTGCGGGCGCTGGCACCAGCAGCCAGGCCCCACCAGTGGGGCGCAAGGAGCCTCAGCTGTTTGAGTCGGGTGATTCAGGGCCCATGGGGTCAAGGCTGGCCCTGGGGGGCGGCCTCTGGAGGCAGCGGAGCTGGTAACAACTCCCTCAGCCTCCCTCAAACCAGGACGAGGGCCGCCTTGGGCTGCTCCAAGCCCTGTGGGGTGTGGAGGCCCCTGTGGCCAGGGTCCACCCTCCAGGCCACGCCCTGCCCCTCGGTCTCCAGACCTCACATGAGGATTAGTCAAACTACGAGAGGCTTCAGGGGCAGAGGAGGTCCAGCAAGGTGAGGACCCTGGGCAGGTTTGTCCCCTCAGCCAGGGAAGGCGTGAAAGGAAGCAGAGGCAACGTCAGGCCCCGGGGGTCCCAGTCCGGAGCTCCCAGGGATTCCCACTGGGACCCTGGATCAGGGCCTGCCCGGGGGCTGTCACCTGTGGACTGAGGCTGGCTCCCTTCCCACACCTCTGGGGATAGAGGGCAGACAGGCCCTGATGATGAGCAGGTGGCTCCAATACCCATGTCCTCCCCTGGGGGAGAGGGAGCTTCAGGCAAGAGTGACTCTCCCCTCCTCCCCACCTTCTTTGTGGTTTAATTAGTATTTCCAAGTGGGGCTGTCCCTCTGGGAACTCAGCAGAAAAGTCCAGGTGACAGCAGCCCCTGAGAATCGCTCTTAATTAGGAAGGGCCCACTCCAGGCTGCGCGCCAGGGGTGGGGGGCCGGGAGAGCTGCAGGTACCCACCTGAGGGCGCACAGGCCCCAGGCAGCGGCAGAAGAGCAGCTCCCAGTGCCAGCTCCTTCCACACAGGCAGGCCCCAGTCAGTGCAGAGCGAGGGGCCCACAGACATAAGGAGCCCCGAAAACTTGGGGAGGGGCCTCCGCTGGGAGCCCCAAAAGTAAGACAGAAACACAAAACCCACCAGATGTCTTGTTCTGATAGCGTCTGGGCTGGGATCTTTCCTACCTCAATTCTTTGTTCAGTTCACAGACTATGACAGTCACAGCTAGTGTGCCGGGTGCTCAGCGTGCAAACACCACTTTCACAGCTTGAACTGGACTGCCACCCCCGCCCAAATCCGTGTTAGAGCCCTGATGCCCAGGGCCTCAGAACGGAACTGCATTTGGAGACACGGTCTTTAAAGAGGTGACCGAATGAGAATAAGGACATTAGGGTGGGCGCTAAACCAGCTGACTGGTGTCCTTATGAGAAGAGGAGATCAGGACCCAGACATGGAGACACCACAGACGACCCAGGGAGAAGGCAGCCACCGGCAACCCAGGAGAGGCCTCTGGGGAAACCAGCCCTGCCGGCCCCCGGATTGTGAACTTGTGGCCTCCAGAACAGGAGAAAATAACGGGACACCCCCAGCGGGTGGTTTCTTCTGACAGACTGATGCGTGGGCCGATGTACTCACCCGCACAGGGCCTCCAGGAGGGTGCCGCTGTCACCCTCACGTTGCAGAGAAGGAGACGGAAACTCAGGGTGGGGGAGGGGGTGTCTGGAATGTAAACTCAACCTCGAAAGCTCCAGAGCCCCCAATGGATGCCTGAATCCAGCCTCCCCACTTAGAGGACGCTAGGCTCCCTGCCCCGCCCCACTCACCTGCCGGCTCTCACTCCTCCAGACACCATTCACGGTTTTGGTTGGAGCGATGGTCACCACGGGGGGGGTGCTGGGCACGCTGTGGCCCCCAGGGGGGACGATGATAGGGCCCATGGGCACGCGCTTGGGTGTGCTGGCGGGGGAGCTGTGGTTGGTGGCCGGAGAGGACACGGGGGACGACTCGCTGCTCAGTGAGGACCCTGTGGAGGAGAAGACGGTGGCCTGAGTGGGAGCCGCAGTGACAGCCACGTGCAGTGCCAGCTGGGGACCTGGGCTCCAGCTGCCCCCCTGCTCCAAGTGAGGCCCCAGACCTCCAGGTCTACCAGCCTCATGGGCCCCCACCCAAGACAGGCAGGCAGGAGACACCTCTCCTGAGGCCCGATCGGGTCAGCAGCTCAGTCTACCCCGGGCACTCCCTATCCCTTTGCCCCACGGGCCCTGCTCACGTGGCACAAAGCACAGATGCTCTGGTGCCCAGGGCCGCCCACCGCCACCAGACAGGAGGAGCCTGGGCAGGGCGGGCAGGACCAGTGCCTGACGTCCCTGAGTGAGAGACGAAGGTAGCACCTTCCGGGACAGACATGGAGCCCCAGAGTTAGAGAACACACGTGTTTCTAGGAGGTGTCATGAACCAAGGGCCTGTGGACATCCCAGGACACACAGGCCAGCTGGGCCACACACCCTGCCCCACCGAGAGGCAGCTCCACGTGTAAGCAGCAGAGACCCCAAGCCTCTGAGTCTTCCCGGGGAGCCCCCATGTGCTTGGGGGGTCACAGGAAAAGGCGCCCCCTCCGGGGGCTCCCATCAAGCAGGGCAGACATGGGGCTGCAGTGCAGCAGGGAACAAACACAAGAAGCGGTCAGCACTGGCCGGGCGCGGTGGCTCCCGCCTGTAATCCCAGCACTTTGGGAGGCCGAGGCAGACAGATCACGAGGTCAGGAGTTCGAGACCATCCTGGCCAACATGGTGAAACCCTGTCTCTACTAAAAATACAAATATTAGCCGGGCGTGATGGCGCGCGCCTGTAGTCCCAGCTACTCGGGAGGCGGAGGCAGGAGAATCGCTTGAACCCGGGAGGCGGAGGTTCTGGTGAGCAGAGATCGTGCTGCCGCACTCCAGCCTGGCGACAGAGCGAGACTTCGTCTCAAAACAAAAAAAGAAGTGGTCAGCACCCCTCTACGGGGCCCAGCCAAGCAGGGATGCAGTGCGGTGGTGGCTGAGGAAGCCCAAATGGCAGCCATTCAGGGTGACCCACGGTGACCCTGGGGGAGTTTCTTTAAAAGATCCATTTATTTTTAAATTTCAGAAAATGAGATATAATTCACCATCTTTAAGGGTACACATCAGGAGGTTTGCCTAGGTTCGCTGTTTACAACCACCACCACGACCTACCCCGGAACTCGCCCGTCGCCTCAGAAAGAACCCCTCAGCCCCCAAAACGCAGCAGGGATGGGAGAATGGGTGGCTGCAGCCCCGCGGGTAGCAGGGGGAGGGTGCAGGGCAGGCAGGAGGGCTTTGGGCCTGGGTGACTGGTGGCTACAGCCAAGAGGATACCCCAAGGACAGGGGGCATGGACGGGCAGGGCCGCCCCGGCCCATCTGCAGGTGCGGCAGGGGTTTGGACCGGGGAGGACGGGGAGGAGTGTTCCCAGGCCCTAAGGGAAGGGGCTTCCTCCTTCATGGAGCAAAACTGCCTTCTCAGACCAGGGCTCCCCTCTGTTGTCTCCCTCCCGCCCAGGTCAGAAGGGGACCAAGTGTGTGTGGTGGCAGGGGTAGGGGGTGTCCAAAGGCACCTGCTGCAAGAGTCCTCCTGTCCCCAACCAGGCACCAGCCTCGCTTCCGGAGCCCCCACCCCCCCCCTTGTTGTGGGGATCAAGCCCCCGTGACCGAGACCAGAGCAGCTCCCCAGAGGCTGGGGCTGCCAGTGAGGCCTGGGCCTGGGGTTCCAGAAGCTCTGCTGCCTGGGGGTCAAGAGCCCTGCCCAGCCTGACGAAGCCCAGGGGGTGCACGGCTGCACACTCACACCCCCGACTCCGGCTGGCCTGCAGCCTGCAGCGGGGAGACCTCGTGCCGCTCACACGGTTGTGGACTTGTACACAGCTCAGTGTCCGGCTCACCCTCCCCAAGCCCCCTTCCCTGACACAGGCCCAGGGCAGATCTCCGCCCCCAAGAGGCACACACAGCACCCAACTGGTGTCCAGCACAGGCCAAGGTCCCCAACAAGGCAGGCCGCAGAGGTGGCCCTGGATTCTATGATATCACAGCAGTGTCCACTGGGGGCAGGTTCCAGCAGGAGCAGGCACATGTCCACCCACCAGCAGCACCGTGCGTTCAGGCACCCAGACCCCGTGTCACAGCAGCTGTGCAAGCTTGCACTTGGGCCCACGGGGACAGATGCTGCCATCTGAGGAGGTGTGGTACAATTGGGCACCTTCTGTTTGCAAAAGCCCCACTTGGGAGGCACCTACAGCCCGGGGCATGGTAGAAGCAAGTAGAATGCGTGGTAGAAGCAGGTAGAATGCGTGGTAGAAGCAGGTAGAATGCATGCATAGGAAGCGTGGTAGAAGCAGGTAGAATGCATGCATAGGAAGCGTGGTAGAAGCAGGTAGAATGCATGCATAGGAAGCGTGGTAGAAGCAGGTAGAATGCATGCATAGGAAGCGTGGTAGAAGCAGGTAGAATGCATGCATAGGAAGCGTGGTAGAAGCAGGTAGAATGCATGCATAGAAAGCGTGGGAGAAGCAGGTAGAATGCATGCATAGGAAGCGTGGTAGAAGCAGGTAGAATGCGTGGTAGAAGCAGGTAGAATGCGTGGTAGAAGCAGGCAGAATGCATGCATAGAAAGCATGGTAGAAGCATGGTAGAATGCATGCATAGGAAGCATGGTAGAAGCAGGTAGAATGCATGCATAGGAAGCGTGGTAGAAGCAGGTAGAATGCGTGGTAGAAGCAGGTAGATGCCCTTTCCAGAAGGAGGACCCCAGCCCATCAGCTCCCGGCATCCTGCCCGACTTCTGTTCAGACCTGGCCTTGGTTCCGGGGGCAGAAGCAGCCTCATCTCCCCTTCACTGTGTCCGGAGTGGGCACGCGCACATTCACCAAAGAAAACTGCTGCTCACAGGGGGTGCCCAGAGGCCTCAGGCAGCCAAAGTGGCCTTAGTGGCGTGACCAGGAGGCAGAGGCCCCACAGGCATCCCGATGTGGAAACAGAACTTTGCTCTCCCAAAGGTGCTCCCTTGGGGTGGGGCAGCTGCCCTGTCCCGAGGGCAAGTCCGTTGCTTCCTGCAGAACGGTATCTGGGCCTCTTTAATGTGGTTTCCTGGGCTTGTGTGCAACCTGCACAACTGGATAGGGCAGCTCCACAACAGACACTCCGTCTAGCCAGATCGGCCACGCCCCAGAGCGGCCCAGAGGCACGTTCACATTCTCCCCAGCAACCCCCGAACTGCCCAAGGCAAGGCCCCCACCTCATCACGCTCCCACCCACCAGGATCTGGCCCAGGTGGGGAATGAGGCTGAGGGCTGCTGCCCCTGAGGCGTGACCCAACCCCAGACCCCCAGATGGACTAGCCAACCACTGCCCACACCCTGAGAACTCCACCACCCCAAGTCGACCGGGCCAACACCTGGGACTGGGCACTGTGCCGGCGGGCTACTAGATCCACCTGAGGAGGGGAAACGCTGGCTGCAGGGCGGGGCACCACGCCCCTCACCTCAGGGGCAGAGGGTGGGGACAGGAGAACAGGCCTCAGCCCTCCTGATCTGTGGGTTCGTTCTGGACACTGGCAGTCTAGGCGCTTTTCTGTATGTATTTAGATTTTGAGAAAAAGTTCACTTTAAGTTTTTGGGGAAAAAAAATAAAAACTAGGGAAAGGATCGTTGTTTAAAAAAAAAAATTCCATGGAACCTCCATGGCTCTTGGGTTTCAGTTGTTATAGCTTCACCGAGCTATGATTCCATCCCGCGTAATTCACCCACCCAGCGCGCGGCCCCACGGTTCTAGCACGTCCAGAGTTGTGCGACCATCACCACAATCCATTTCAGAGCATTTCCGTCACCCCAAAAGGAACCCCCTACCCATGAGCAACCACTCCCGTCTCCCCAGGCCCCGCACGCATTGGCTCTCCGTCTCTAAAGAAGGGCCTGTTCCGGAGACTTCACATCAAGGGAATCCCACCGCGTGGCCCTTCTCGCCTGGCTCCTCTCACTGGGAGCCGTGTCTTCACGGTTCATCCACATTGCAGCACCTAAGAGAATCTCTCCTTCCCGCGGCTAAGTGACAGTCCACTGTGTGCCTCTGTCCACCCACTCCTTACTGGTCCGTCCCTCAGCTGGTGGCATACAGGCTGGGCCCACCTTGTGGCCGCTGTCAACAGTACTGTGCCCAACACTCTTTTTTTTTTTTTTTTTGAGACAGGATCTCACTCTGCTGCCCAGGCTGGGCTGGAGTGCAGTGGTGCAATCACAGCTCACTGCAGCCTCAACCTCCTGGGTTCAAGTGATCCTCCCACCTCAGCCTCCTGAGGAGCCGGGACTAAAGGCACGTGCCACCAGGCCCGGCTAGTTTTTTGTTTGTTTGTTTGTTTTTGGTAGAGACAGGGTCTCGCTGTGGTGCCCAGGATGGTCTCAAACTCCTGGGCTCAAGCGATCCTCCCGCCTCAGTTGCCCACAGTGCTGGGATTACAGGCATGAGTAACGGTGCCTGCCCCACCACCCTACTTCATGGAAAGCCCTCCTGTGCACCCGGCCCAAACCCAGGGTGTTCCCATCTAGATTCCAGTAGCTGTGAGTAGGGGAAATGTGGACATTTGTGCTGTGGAGCCGAAAAAGGAAATAAAACCAACACACCGAGAGCCGCCACCCCACCCAGGCAGAGGCTGCCAAGAGCTCATGATCCGGGCTCCTGCTGCCCAGGGGAAAAGTTGGGGCCAATGGCCAGGTGGGCTGTGGGTCCTCCCTGGGGACCGGACAGTGGGGAGCTGGGAGCAGGAGCTTCCGAGCCCCACCACGTGCCAAGCCCCAGGAACCTCAGAGACTTCTCTGTACCCCAACTCTACAAATGGGGAGAACCTTATAGCCCATGCCATAAGGGGATGCACAGAGACCTGGAGCTGCCTGGCTCCAGACCCCATGCTGCCCCATCCCTCTGAACCCCACCTCCCAGAGAGACCCCTTGCCATGACCAAGGCAGCTGCCACTCCAGAGTCTCTGAATGAGCCTCGTTTCTAAGCACCAGTGGGTGAGGAAGAAAGAGGCGCGGGTGAGGAAGTAAGAGGGGTGGGTGAAGGGTGGGGAGCTTCTCTGGGGCAGGGCAGGCCATTGACACTCAGCGGCCTAATCCCCGCTGGCGGGTGCTACTCATCAGACCAGCCAGCTCAGCCTCGATCGATGCCCCCACAACGCCAGGCCCATTAGCGAGGCTGGCACCTGGCCCTCGAACCCTCATTCTCACCGCGTGGCTGGAGCAGGAAGGTCTGTGATTGCTGTAATTAACTGGCGGTATTCAGCCAGGAGTTAAGTCAATGAAACGGATCTGGATTGGAGATGACAAGAGGCAGCCCGTGTCCGCGTCACCTCTGCTGTCTGACCTCGAAGATTAGCGCTGAGGCCCACGGGCAGATGTAATTAACAGCTGACACCCCAAAGTCAGCGAGGGAGTGTATTGAGGGCAAAAACAGGACCGCAGCGCCACAGCAGCACCTGTCAGCCACCCAGGCTCAGGCCCACCCCGCCAGGCAAAAACCACCGGCACCCCCTGAAGAGTCATCGGTCTTTAAGAGGCGCTTGGGGGCCACGCCACAGGACCACTCTCCAGCGCACTGTAGACCGAGGCGGGCGTGGCCTCACCGTGGTCAGGCCCCAAAGCCACAGGCCCTGACCAGGCCAGCAGCGAGCATGGAAGGAAAGGGGAGGGCAGGGCACCCGGAGAGGTAAAGACTCCCCAGCCGAGCTCGGCTCAGGCATTCCCCCAGCCGCTGTTCTGCACGGCCCCGACCCACCCCAGGGCCCGGCCCCGCTGCAACTGCTCAGGGGAACGGTGGAGAGAACAGAACGGTAACTACCGGACGTGCTTCCCTAAAGAGGGTCCCTGGAACGTCTTTGTGAGATGCCATGGCCGGGGGCTGCCCAGAGCTTAGCAGGGCCAGAGCCCTAGGGGACGGCTCCGGTGTCCACAGCCCATGCCTAGCCCATGCTGCCGATGGAGACACAGGTGAGGGGCAGCTTGAACAGATGGGTGAGCGACAGACCCCTGTCTCAGCCCCTTGGAAGGAGGGTCCCCAGGTGCACTTTGCCCCCTGCTTTCAACCATGCAGGGGCAGGTGCCGGCCAGGGTGGGAACCCAGGGGACCCTGTGTGTCTGCTAACCTGGGGGCTCTTCCTGTCATCAGTTCTGTCCCCAAGTTAGTGTTTAAAATTTTCTTTTTAATTACAAAATATTTTTAGAGACAGGGTCTCTCTCTGTCACCCAGGCTGGAGTGCAGCAGTGTGATCATGCCTCACTGCAGCCTCAACCTCCAGGGCTCAAGTGATCCTCCCACCTCAGCCTCCGAGCAGCTGGGACTATAGGCATGCAGCATCATGCTCAGCTCCCAGCTCAACCTTGAAAAGCTCTGGGCAGAGTCCACTCAGCAGGAGACTCAGTGTGCCACGTGCCATGACTCTGGAGCAGACCCACCAACGGCGATGCCAGCTGGGCCCTCAGCCGGTGTAGGCTGGAACAGCTGGAGGGAGGGCGGGGCAGGTCCACAGAGCCTGTGTCTGCCAGGGCTGCTCCTCCACTTTCTACTTTCGCCTACCGACCTGTTTCCACCCAAAACCTGGGAACCCAGCCCTGGGCGGACTTGTGGCGACATGGATGTGGAAAGGAGCCCGGCCAGAGGAGGTCCAGCCCCTTGGCCCAGGAGGCCCACGGGAGCCACAGGAAGCCGCCAGCCAGTGAGTAGGGAAGTGGGACAGGAGCTGAGTCACCCCAGCCACTTTCCTTGAAATCTGCCCAGTGGAACGGGAATAGCAGACCCCAGAGGAAAGAGCCAATCAGCCCCCCACCCACTGGGAATGGTGCGGGTCTGGAAGGTGAAGTCCCCATCGCACAAGTGACAAGAACAGGCTGGGAAACCTTCTGGAGTCACCGCAGCCCTGGTACACGGGACAGCAGGCACACCACAGCGCAAGGCTGAAGTCACGCCGCGACCCCCTGCGTTCCAGGGAGAAGCAGGAGACCAAGTAGCAGCAGCCGCCCTACAAGGCTCCCAGGGCAGGGCTCTCCCGACCCGCGGCCTGCGTCCACCAACGAGGCTCCACCTCACAGCTGCAAAAGGGCGGGGGGGGGCGTCAGCCAGTGGCGGGCTCCCATGCCCACCCTGCCATCACGTGCCACAGTCATCAAACCCAAACTGACAGCGGGAGGTGCGGGTTTCTAGCTGGAGATGCGTTTTGCCGGGGGCGGATTATGTGCTGAACAGCGTGAGCTTAGATGCTGGACCCTGGGAGCCGGATGGAGCCGGGAGAGTCCGCGTGGGACCAAAGGAGCTGAGACAGGTACCCTGAGGGAGGTGGGACGTTAGGACGAGGAAGAAGAAACGGGCACAGGGGCTGCAGGGAGGCACAGGGTGCATCAGGGAAAACCGGAAAAAAATCACCCTTATGTCCACGTGGCTAGGGGAGGCCTTGCCTCCATTATCCCAGGACAGGCCCCCAAAGGCTGACACGCCAAGTACTGGGCTCCTCCACCCTGCCCAGGGCTCCCCACTGTGCTATGCGGAGAAGGGGTCGGGATAGGTGGTGGGGTCCTCTCCGTGGGCCTTGCTCCCCTTTGGCTCTGGCTTCCCCTGACCACCAGCCCTCTGGCCCCCGGGCCAGGAGAACGGAGAGGCACCATGAGGACGCCCGCGGCGCTCACACCTGCGCGGGAGACAGACGGGCTCCAGACGCCTGCAGAGCCGCCGCCGCCGCAGACTGACACCCACGCGAGGCGCGCCTGCCAGGCGGGATCCTTCCTCCGTGTTTGTTTTGCTGTTTTCTTTGAGAGGCAGATTTCCGAGGCAGCGGCAGAAAGGGGGAGCCTCTCCCCCGCCCAGGCCGGCTCCACGGTGGAAGCATTCCCACGGCAGCTCATGAGGATGGGTCTGTGGTCCCTGCTCCGTGGTCCCCGCACACGTAGTCCCCACTCACTCAGGTGGGATCTCGGTTTCAGGTGGCACCAGGGACAGGACAGTAACCGGATCTGCCTCCCCTCTTGCCTGCAAAGCCAGTGACAAGACGAGGCAGGCAGCCAGCAGACACCACCAGGGGAAGGCGGCACAGGGCCCCGCGGGCCTCGATGACAAGAGAGCAGTTCCAGCCCCACTGCCACCACCTGTCGGCCCCGTCCCTGTGGCCCAAGCCGGGCTATGGGTGGCTGGGCCACCCCTGCCGCAGGTAACACAGCGGCCAACACCTGCTTGGAGAGGCCTCTGGCAGCTTCCAGGGCAGGTACCATGAGCCCCCGGCCGGTGTTAAGGGAGCGAAGTGTGGGCAGGGAAGCCATGAGTCCCGGCCACCGGGCTGGTGACAAGGAGGCGGGGTGGGAACGGGCTCAGACTCTTGTGCGCCCAACCCCAGCTCCCTGCACCATGGGTGGTGCTGGGGTGAGGTGGGGCTTCCTCGCCAGCCAGGAGCACCTGCTCAGAACTGTCCTCCAGACGGCGGCTCTCCAGCCCACCTGGGAAGGCTCTGGAGCCACCCTGTTCCCAAAGCGCCGGCCTCCCAGAGCAAAGGCCCGCAGCACGATCGCCCCCAACTGTTTCCCAGGGAGGGGGTGCCTGGTCCCAGGTGCTGCCTGTGCCTCCTGGAGCAGCTGAGGACACGCAAGGCTCCCCGTACCTCCGCCCCCGGCCGCCTTGGCAGACGGGCGCTGCGTCCCTGCGGGAGGCTGCCGCCTGCTGCACACGGCAAGCAGATGCCACACAGCTTGCGAGGGTGCCTGGCAGCAGCCCTGGCTTCGTCACACAGCAGTGGGGGCGGCGGTGGAGGCTCCACGGCCTGCCCTCTGCAGAGACACTGGGCAGGCCCGACAGCTGTCACACCCCAGCCTGGCTCAGGGCTGCCTTCAGGGTGTGGAGCTGGGGAGCTGGAAGCACAGGGCCTGGCTCCACGCACAGGCGTTCCCGGGGCACCCTCGGGGCAAACACCTCTTATTCAGTCAGTCAACAAGCACCTCCAAGGACAAGGGATGATGGGGGGATCCCGACACACCCGCAAGGCAGGCTAGGCCTGGCGCCCAGGAGGCTTAGAGGGGAGTCAGAATCTGTCCAGCGCAGGGGGTGGGACACAGGGCTGGGACCCATCCCCCCAGTCTTGGGACTCCTAGGCTGAGGTTTCAGATGCCTATGGGGGTGGTTGGGTGTCTGTGCAGAAGAGGTCCTGGTAGGAGAGGCAGGGAGGGAGGCGGTGGCCAGGCCGCCATTCCGAGGAGGGGACAGGTCCCTGCTTGTACCCAAGGACCCGGTGCCACCCGAGGAGTCTGGGCTACAGCGGGAGCTGGCCCAGCTGCGTCGAAGGGAGGGCTGGGCGGCCCCGGGGACGTCCCTTTGGTGGCTGGGACAATGTGGGAGGAACAAAGAGACCAATAGCCACCAGGGCAGAACAGGGTCAGGGACGCCTCGGCTCAGACTGCAGCCCAGGCCGGTCGCTGGGAAGGGGCTGGGGGTGCAACCCAGGATCAACTCAGGATCACGCCCAAACCTGCAGCCTCCTTCTAGAATGTTCTGCGTGGGGCCCGGGCACTCCAAGCCCCATTTCTCCCAGAAAGTCAAGACCAACAGGCAGCCACTTGGCCCTGCCTGCACCCTGCACCACTGGGACAGAGGAAGCCACCGCAGGCTCCCGGCCCAGAGCCATTGACGGGGGGAAGCCATGGCGGACCCACACCTTCCAACCCCACCGGGGAAGCACACGCCCTCCCAGGGCAGATGATGGGGGTCACAGGGGTAGGACGGGGAGTCAGGGGAAGGGGTGGCAGTGGGTGGAGGGGTAGGGGAGGCACGTAGGAGGTGGGGGTGGCAAGAATGGGGAAGGTGAAAGGAGGCAGCATTAGGGTGGGGGGCAGGGAAGGGGAGGCGGGGGTGGGAGCCAGGGTGGAGGCCTGCTGCATTGACACTCATGCCACCATTCCCGGCTGTGGCACATTCCCACCCAGTCCCCACGATTCATGAGGTAGAGACCTGCTCCTCACCCAAGAAAAAGTGGAAGCTCAGAGAGGCAAAGCGGCCTGCCCGGATCACACAGCAAGGAAGGAAAGTGCTGGGGCATGCATCGGCGATTCGCAAGCGTCTGCCCTTGCCCAAAGCGCCCCAGCCTCGGCAGTGAGTAGGTGAGTAGGTTAAAGGGTCAGGCTGGCCCTGGGGAAGGGTGTCTGGCCCGCGCTGGTGGGCGGGTGACTGAGCTTTGAAGAAGAGAAGACGTCTCAGCGCCTCCAGAAAAATAAATCCCAGCGAGGGCCTCCTCTTCCTCTCCTTCCCAGCCTTTCTCCCAGGGCAGCGCATGCCACAGCTTCGTCTGAATTGAATTTTTAAACTACACCCTTGAGACACAATGAGAGGAGAGACGCGGAGGCAATCGCAGTCAGATGGCGAAAACCGAGAGGCACTTCCAGAAGTCGTCAGGCGTGCACTGGAGAGGAGGGTCAGGGTGAGTGAGAAGGCTTGCCGCAGGCGGCTGGGGCCCAGGGCACCCAGAGGAGGGGCCGCGTGGGGCAGCACAGCCTCTGCTGTTCCCTGGGTGCGCCAGCTCTGCCACCTCTCCTGCCACCTCCCCCTGCAGCTCTGGGAGCTGCCCTGCTTCCATCCCTGCCCCCTCTGCCCAGGACGTGCCGTCGCCAGGAGGCAGCCCTGGCTGCGGGCCGCTGAGCTGGCCAGCTCAGCCGCTAGCCCGCTGGGGCTTGGTGCTCTCTTGGGCACCTGGCAGGCACCAGAGGGACCCCACTCCCCGGCAGGTGTGGCTTTCACAGAGGCCCGGTCTCCCTTTCTGCAGGGAGGAGGCTACACCTGCGGGGCAGGGGTCTATGGAGTCTCAGGCACAAGCTGGGGATTGGAATTCCCCATGCCACTTACAACGTGGGACCCGGGCAAGCCGGAGGCTCAGTTCTCATCCACCAGAGGCGAAGGGTGTGTGAGAAGCACAGCGAGCCCGCCAGGGGCACAGCAGGCGCTCGATACACAGCCACTGCCGCGATCAAGGGGGGACTCAATACATAGCCACTGCCGCGATCAAGGGGGGACTCGATACATAGCCACTGCTGCAATCAAGGGGGCACAGCCACTGCCATGATGAAGGTGGGGAGGCCCTCACTGGTCCAACTCCAGGACGGAGCAGAAAGGCAGCTGCGGGTTCGTGGCCCCACCCAGCTCCCCCGACCCGGGTCGTCCAGCCACGAGAAGCAGGAAGGGCTGTCACGCCGCAGATGGCCCACAAGGACCAGGAGATGTCACGCTCAGGGTCCAGACACGCACCGCGCCAGCCCATGTGTACAAAATGCCCACAGGTACATCTACAGAGGCAGAAAGCAGACAGCGGCCGCCGGGGGCTGGGGGAGGGCGTGGGAGCTGACGGCAAATGCAACCGAGGTTCTCTTAGGGGTGACCCAAATGTTCTAGAATTAGATGGTCACACAACTGTGTAGGAAAATCACCAAATCATGCGCTTCTACAGGGTGAATTTTATGGCATGTGAATTGTAACTAAAAAAATTTTAAATAAGAAATGCAAACCCCTCCCACTGCCAAGTCCGCCAAAGGTTCCCCCTGCTGCCCTCTGGCGCAGATGGGGAGGTAGCACCAGGGAGCTGGGGGGGTAGCACAGGGGAGCTGGGGGGTCCACATGTCCCCACTGTCATCCAGGACTCCACAACCCACAGGGAGGCAGGGTCAGCGTGCTGACAGCCAGGCATAGACCCTTTTGTGCGCCCAACGCCAGCTCCCTGCTCCACTGGCAGTGGTGCTAGGGGTGAGGGGGGCTTCCTTTCCAGCAGGGACCGCCGGGACCACCAGCTCAGAACTGTCCTAACGGCGGCTCTCCCAGCCCCCCCCCGGGAAGGCCCAGCAGCAGTGGGACACGGACACGACCCCACCCGCTGTGGCTGCCGTCTTGCGACTTGTCCTCTCTGAACTTTGGCCTTCTCAGCTGCCCGAGGGTCCCGGGAGGGCTGCCGGCCAGTTCCATGGACGGGGAAACGTGAGGTCAGGGTCCGGGTGACTCCATGAGAATGGGGACCAGGTGCACTGAGTGGCTGAGGTCACGAGGAACGAGTCACCCAGTCCCTCCCCATCCAGACCAAGGCCTGACAGGGGTGACCAGCTGGAGATTCATCAAAACGGGTGGGGGCGACGAGGGCCCAGGCCTGGCTGAGGGCGTTCCAGGACCCAAACACTGCTCCACATCCGCAGACTCCGAGCCCCACAAACCTTGGCATTCCCAGCTCAATAGGGGGTGAGGTGGGTGAGTGAACCGATGGGCACATGGCTCAGGCAGTGGCACTGCTCGCCCGCTCTCCCGACCCTCTGCCATTCAGTTCCCAGGCATCCACCCCGGGGGCATCTTTCCTGGGGGGCATCCACCATGGGGGACCCTTCCCAGTGCCCAGGTTGCAGCTGGGAGGGAGCAGGGCCACGAGGCCATGGTGTCTGGCCTCCCGCCAGGGGCGCCCAGCGGCACTTTGTTCCTGGCCAGTGGGGACCAGCGGCCTCTGGCACTCAGGCCACCCGCTGGCCGAGCCACCAAACCAAGTGCTGGGGCCAGCAGCATGGGGCAGCGGAGAGGAAGCGACGGCCCTGTGAGCAGGCTCCTGCTGTGACGCCCACGGCCGCTGCTGGGCCCAGGGAGGGAAGGCGAGTCTGAACACCTCTCTACCACCTTCCTTGGCGAGGAGGGAAACCTGCCCTTTCCTGACCACGTCCTCTGCAGCGTTACCCAGGGGTGGAGCCCAGAGGCCCCAAAGCAGACACAGCTGCTGGATGAAAGCAGGATGCAAGGATAACCCAGCCCAGGTAGCACCAGCGCCAGTCACGTGCCGCCCGTGGCCTCGGAAATCCCTCACCAGCCCTGGTTCTCCTGCCCCCAAACGCTGAGAAAAAAAGACAACTGCAGCAGCAGGAGCTGGGCCAGCTCTGACCTCGCTTCTCTCCACCCCTCTCAGGAGAGCCCGAGTCTCGACTCCAAGCTCAGCTTCCTCCCAGGGTCTGTCCCCAGCTGCCTTGTTCACCGCCCCAGAGAGTCCAGGATGCCTCCACCAGGCAGGCAGTCTGCTTCCCCCTGAGCCATCTTGCCTGCAGCTGTCCGGCCTCTTGACACAGGTGGGGCCCATGCAACCTGGCCCGCTCAGGTGTGGCCAGGGAGTCCCCTGCCAAGGGCGTGGAGGGTTTTCTGGCGGTCCTGCCTGTGCCTGGTTTGCCAGGAAGAGCCAGGAGGCGAGGGGCTGCCCCCTGGTGGTACGGAAACCAGACCCCAACGGGCCTCCCTCCTGGGCCAATACCCCCCATCCATCAATGTCAGGTGTGTCCTCTCACACTCCCCCCATTCTCCAACGAGCAGCAGCAGAAAGGATCCAGGAAGGAGACATTCAGAAATGAGAAGTCCCCCCAGCCCGCCCTGGTCAGGGCAGGTGTCCCCTCTGCCAAGCTGGAACCCGGGTAATGTAAAGACGGACATGGCTCCTGCATGTGTTGCTGTGGCCACCCCGGAGGGCCCTGGCACCCGGATCTTAACCCGTGGGCCTTGGAGGTGAATGAAGCGGATGCCACTGGGGTCCCGGTTTCCTCAGCCCCCCCGCCTGTCAGCAGCGAGTCCAGAGGGTGTCCGAGGCCAGAATCCACATGGCCAAGGCCCCCAGCAGCTCCAGCCGCCCACTGCCCCTCCCCATTTGTGCCAGCAGCAGCCCCTGCCAATGGTCATCGCAGGCGCCAAAAAGTACCCCAGAGCCAGAGCCAAAGGGGGCGTCTTTAGAGCCTCACTGCACAGACAGGAAAAATGAGGCTCAGAGGATCAGCAACGTGCCCAGGTTCACACAGCAGGTCCTGCCCAGGTGATACCAGAAGCCAAGGCTCCAGACCCCGGGGGCCGCTTGTCTATGCTCCCCACAGTCTCTGCCTCAGGGAGTTGAGCAGTGGTGGGTTCAGCTGTGCCAGAGACCCCCGCTCCAGACCACTGTGTTTCCAGGGACACCATGTTCTCTGCCACTTCTGGAGGGAGTGTCAAAACCTGGGCAAGGAGCCACTTGGGGAGCACTGGGGCCCAGCTCTCCCTCTGCAGCCTCTTGGGGCTCCCCTGGTCCAGGGCACCCACCCTCCTCCCAATCAAGTCACAGAGCTGGTAGGAGCACCTCGCTACATCCGGACACCCCTGCAGTGGCTCCGGGGGCCGAGGAAGGACAGAGGCAGGAGAGACAGAAGCACAGAGGCAAAGCGGAGGTGCTGGGGCAGGCGGACTGGCCCAGGGTCTGTAGCTCAGCCAGCACTGCCTGCTCCATGCAGAGCACACGGCGTGGGAAAGACGAGACCTGCTGTGAGCGTGCACGCCGCAGGCGGGAGGCTGAGTCCCGGCCTCGGGAGCCGCCGCTCCCCCCACGCGCAGCCTGGCGGGCCCCCTTACCTCTGGGCTCCTCCGCCTGTTTGGCGAGCTTGCGCAGCGCGGCGGCAAAGCTGGAGGATGGCGCGGCCTGGGCCGACAGCGCGCTGCTGGTGGCGGGGCTGCCGCTGGGCACCAGGGCGCCATTGAGCGGCGAGGGGGTGAGGGGGTTGACGGTGGCGGTGGTCCTGGTCGCGGTGGAAAGCATCCCTAGCGAAGGGGACTTGGGCTCATGGCTCATGCCTGAAACAGGAAAAGAAGAACCAGAGGTCACCCAGAGAGCAGGAGCGCCCAGCACCAGAGCAGGGTCGGCAGGGCCGGTGTCAGCAGCAGCAGGCAGGGAGCAGGGGCAGCCCCGGGGGCTCCAGCAGGACAAGCAAGAACAGGACAGAGCCAGCGCTGCAGAGAGAACAGACCCCGTCCCCAGAGTCCAGCTGGAACCCGGCACAGACCCAAGAGGCCCCCAGGACCCCAGATGCTGAACGGCTTGGGCCAGCACTGTCCCTCTACCTCTCCAGGGCAGTCCAGGCTGGGCAGGTCGTGGAGGATCCCACGCATCACCCAACAGGCCCCTGACCATCAAATGGCGTGGGGAAGGAGACTGAGGCCCAGGCGGAGGAGGCGTGCGGCCCGCATCCTCAGGATAGAAACACGCTGGTGGAGAGGCCCAGGGACGACGGGAACCAAGACAACTGCTGTGGCCACTGACGCGACAAGCACACGATGCCAGGCACGCATGGCAATGCCCTCAGAAGACTGGCGGGAGTTCTGCCCCACGTTACAGAAAAGGAAACTAAGGCCCCAACTCGGCCCAGTCCACGCGGGCACTCAGGGCAGACCCCCGGCCTCCCCGCCACTCAGGGACCCTGTGCGTCTCTGTCTGAGAGGGGTCCCAGAGATGGGGCCACACAGGCAGGCTGACAGGGAGCGGTGGGGAAGAACACGGCCGCACTGCAGACCCCACTGTGGCCCCTTACTGGGCACAGAGTCTGCCCGGAGATGCTAAAAACAGAAAACCGCAAATCCAAACCGCGGTGCAGCTTGGAACCCTCTTTCCTCCCAGGGCCAAGTTCAGGCCGACCTGGCGCAGCAACGGCTGACCTGGCCCTCCCGGCCAGTGGTGACAGCGGCGGCGGCGGCGGCACCAGAGGTCTGAGCCCAGGGGCAGCCACCTGGTGACATCAGAACCACTGGGGAAAGGACATGGCCACCTCCAAACAAGCCCTCAGTCCGCCCACCCCGTGTGTCCAATCAATAAAAGCCCAACCTGGTCAAAATGTTTCCACCAACATCCCTCCCCCGCAGAGACGCCCCCACCCCTACATCACCCACAGACAGGGTCCCGGCTTCCTCCCTGTGGATGCATCTTGGGGCGGGGGGGCGCTGGGGCCACACATGGTGGGGCTGGTGTCACAGAGATCCGGGGGGCAACACACAAGAGGGGCGGACTGTGCACTTCCTATGGGGTAAGGGCAAGGGGGCCCCCAGGTTCCTCCCCGGAAGAGGCTGCCCTGGCCTCCAGAGCCCACTCCACCTCTGCCAGATTCTAAGTGACATTGACAAGTCTAATTGGAACCTGTCCCCATGGGACAGCAGGCTCGGAGGCAGCGTGGAGAGGACCCCCTCAAGACCTCCTTTGTCCACCTGCTATCCCCAGAACTTGCCACCAAAGGCCGTGAGTCCTGGCCATGTATTCAGGGAGCCAAGTCCTCCCTCTCCTGATAGAGGGGACGTAGGGAGAAAATAATTCTTTGGGGGCACTGAGGGAAGGGCTGGGGGCACTGCCTGAGAGAGGGGGCTGCAAATGAGAGAACAGAGAGGCGGGAACGAGTTCGGGGGGCATCGTTTGTTCTCCCCAGTGAGAGCTCACACCTTGGGAACAAAGGACCCCTGAGAGCCCCATGCCCATGGCAGGCAACAGCCAGGTGGCGCCGTGGCCGTGCCCTGCAGCAGCGGGCCCCACCTAGCCTGTCTTCCCTTGGCTCTTTCTGGAGGGGCCAGGGGTGGAGGGGGACCTGCACCCCCATCCTGCCTTTCCAAGGCCGCTTCAACCCGGCACAGACATCCAAACAAGCGGGAGGGCGGGGGCTCTGCCTGGCAGCCTCACTTCCAGAAAATGCGGGCTGCCAATGAGGGCCCGTCCTCGGCCAGCCTGAACCCTGCCAGCTGCTCTCTGCTCCGCACCGCCAGCCACGCTGCCCCCAAGGCGGGCCTGGCCTCTGCGTGTCCCCCGCACCGGGCTGCCATCAGTGCCTCTCCCTGTGCACAGAGGCGCAGCGGGTCCATTGGAGGCGATGAAAACGCGCCTGTGGCTCAGACCCAGCTTCTGGATGCTTCTGGCTGAACAACCTTTTGGGGCAAGTTACTTTGCCTGTCAGGGCCTCCGTTTCTTCATCTACCAAACGGGGTAACAGCACAGCAAAGCTGACCTCATGAGGTCACTCCCCTGAGCATAATGGGGTAACTGACATGAGGGGCTTCAGAGCCTGTGGGGCACCCCAGGGCCATTACGAGACAGCATGCCAGCCAGCGAGGACAGATGCCAGTCCCAGCAGGCAGATGCCAGTCCCAGCAGGCAGGGGGTCCAGCCAAGGCCACGCAGGTGTCTCAGCAAATGGGACCCATGCTCTGAGTCTGCGATGCTCACCCCACTGGAGCCACAATGGGGAGGGCACATGGTGTCAAGCTGGCAGGCACCCTGCCCACAAGCCCCGTGCCCTGGGCCCACGAGCCCACACACCTTCGGCAGAGGGCCACCCCGTGACCCCAAAAGGCCGGTGGCCGGGAAAAGGTGACCCACAGGACACTGGAGGATGGGGGAGACCAGAGCTCTTGTCCTGGTGCCTGCAGGGGACACTGGAGGACATGGCCAACATAGGGGCTGCCATGGGCAGTCCAGAGGACCTCCGGGTCCTATCTGTCACCGAAGCACCTTCAGCACCACACCGAGTAGGCTGCGGGTTTTTAGGAGGGAATGTCTAGAAAGACGAAGTGGCACAGGACAGAGCCCCACCCTCACAGGGACCCACACGGACATCAATGAACCAGGTCCTCGTGGTCCCAACGAGGCACTCAGGAGGGTGACGCTAGGAGAGCTGCCTGGAAGACAGGAGCAGGGCCCCGGGGAACGCAAAGACCACCCCCCCAGGGGATACTGCAGCAGCTCTCAGAAGTCACACAGACCAGTCGGGCACCTCTCAAGACAGCCTCACAATGAGCCCAGGAGAGGCCACAGCAGCTGAACTGTCACCCACCACCCAGCCTGTGTCCCACCCCTCACAGCCATCGCCCAAGCCCAAGAGGCCTAGCGTACAGATGGGGAAACCGAGACCAGGAGATGACCTAAGCTTGGTCCAAGGTCAGTCAGTTGAGCAGCATGTCCAGGACTTGAACCCGGCTTCCTGGGCCCCCACTGCTCATTACCAGCACCTGCCCAGTACACGGCCCAACCATGGCACCCGATCAGAAGGCGTGAATGGTCACATGTGCGCGCACCACACACAGCTAAGATACGTTGAACTGTAATGGTTAAAAACATTCATCCTGGGCATGGTGGGCACACCTGTAATCCCAGGTAAGTAGGAGGGTGAGGTGGGAGGACTGCGTGAGGCCAGGAGTTCAAAACCAGCCTGGGCAGCATAGACGCTGTCTCTGTAAATTACCCTGAAACGACACATGCGTACCTGTAATCTCCGCTGTTTGGGAGGATTATTTGAGCCCAGGAGTTGGAGCTACAGTGAGCTATGATCACACCGCTATACTCTAGCCTGGGTAACAGAACCCTGTCTCTCAAAAAATAAAAAGAATGTCTATAAAGTCTTCATCAGTCATCCTTTCAAGAGGTAGAGACCAATTCCCTTCCCCAAGCGTGGGCCAGACTGAGCAACTCACTTCTGATGAACAGAGTATAATGGAAGCAGCAGTCTGCAGCTGCCAAGGTAAGATCACCTCCTTCCTGGCCCTCTTGGGTCACTCCAGTGGAGGGGGGTCAGCTGCCGTATCATGAGGATGCTCAAGCAGGTCATGGAGAAACCCACATTTCAAAGAACCAAGGCCTCCAGCCAACAGCCATGTGAGAAGCCACCTTGGCAATGAATCCTCCAGCCCCAGGCTGGCCTTCTGATGAGACCGCAGCCCCAGCCAACATCTCAAGTAGGCTCATCACAGACCCTGAGCCAGAACCACCCAGCTAAGCCATCCTCCAATCCCTGGCCCACAGAAACTGAGATAACAAAGGTTTTGTGTTTAAGCCACTGAGCTGCGGACAGTTGGTCACACAACGCTAGATAACTGATACGGTCAGCATCACCACACCCTCTATTAATCCAGGCCGCCCCCTCAATCCATCAGAAAGCCAAGAAGTGAAACTATCTGCACACAGAGACTCTGCATCTTCACCCAGAGTCTCCAAAACATGTCCCTTCGATGCCAGAGACCATCAGCATCCCCCATCCCCCTTTCCCACATTCCTCAGAGAGCCAGCCACTCTACATCTTGGCCGCCCTATGAGAAAGCTGGGACTGGGCCTATTTCCCAGATAGGCGAAGGCAGGCTTGGAGCCCAGGTCCAGTGCAGAGCAGGGCTGAGATGACCTCAGCACAGTGCCCATGTGACAAGCCAGCCAGGGCCCAGCTCGACCTGCTCCAGGGCCGCAGGAGGGGCCGATCTCCGGTGCAGGCTGGGTGGCTGACTATGCCCTGCAAACCACACCACATGCTACCGCAAAAGGGGAACGTGGGGCACCGTATGGTCATTTCACCTCCAGGTGACCCGCCCTGAAGGTCTGGGAGCAGATGCCAATTCTCTCTCCTGTGGCCTTCATGAGGCTGGCTGGCCACCCGGGCAGATGTGCTATGACCACCAGCCACAGGCACGGGCTGGGTGGCTGAACTAGGCTGTCTGTGTTGCTATAAAGAAATACCCGAGGCTGTGTAATTCATAAAGAAAAGAGGCTTATTTTGGCTCCTGACTCTGTGGGGTGTACAGGAAGCGTGGTGCTGGCATCTGCTTCTGGGGAGGCCTCAGGAGGCTTCTAATCATGGCGGAAGGCGAGGGAAGCCAGCACATCCAGTGGTGAGAGAGGGAGCAAGAGTGGGGAGGTCCCAGGCTTTTAAACACCCAGATCTTGCGAGAGCGTGCTCACCACTAAGGTGACGGTGATAACCCCTTCATGAGAGATCCACCCCCATGATCCAATCACTGCCACTGGGCCCCACCTCCAAAACTGGAGGACACATTTCCACATGAGATTCGGAGGGGACACACATCCAAACCCTATCAGTGGTACACAGAGGCCATGGCGCGAGTCCCAGACCAGACCCCAGATGGCGCACACACCTTGAGGCTACTGGCAGTGTCTTCAGATGGCAACGAGAAGAGCTATGTCTTTCACTTTCATCCTTTTTCTCTCTCTGTATGTTCTAATTTTTCTGCAGTGAACCAGGCTTTTAAAAGGCGGACATTCAAAGGGATGGCGGCTCGACGGCACGAAGTCAGCACCGCCAACAAAAGCGTGGGGCTGTCCAGCCACAGGGCAGAGGTGGAGGGAACTGGGGTGTCCCTGCAGGAGTCTGAACCTGAGCCCTCACCCACAGCTCCCCAGCCCTTCCCTGGTGACCAGGGAGGCCCTCTGCCTGCTCCCTCCAATGCCTGGGTCTGAGGCTACCTCAGTGTCACTATCACCAGCCCACTGGCATCCTGACAGCAACCTCCCTACCCCGGCCTCTGACAAAGCCCAATATCTGCTCCCCGGGCCCCATGGGCCCCCTCCAGCCCCAGGTACAGTCTCCCTGGGTCCCTGGGGGTCCCCTGCGGGCAGCATCCCTGCCCCGGTGTCAGCTGCAGGCTCCTGAGGAGCTGTGAGCCTGGGAAGCGGCTCTGCTGATGTCAGGTCACTTAAAATAGAATTCCAAATGAGCGGCTTCATTAGGGGGAATCTAAAATTAGCGCTGCTCCTCAGTATGTGTGCACTGGGCAGGCGGGGCGGGGGCCGCAGCAGCCGGGCGCAGCTCCCTTGAGGCCAGGACAGGAGGCCAAGAGCCGGGGAACCCCGAGATCCTTGGAGGGGTCCCCCTGGGCCTGCTGTGAATGGACACAGCCTCCAGGGCCCACGTGCCTCCTGCCCCTCCAGGCCTGGTGGGGATCACTTCAAGGCTGCTGCCCCCGAGGCCTCGGCACGAAGCCCCCAGCCCTCCCCAGGGAGACCGATGCGGGCCTCCTCCCGTGCAGGTGTTCTCTGGCTGAGGTCAGTGCAGGTGCCAAGGTGTCCGTGGGGGACACAGGGATGGCGGGGAGAGGGAGGCCCTGGGAGAGCACACCCCCCTGCTGCCCTCATTAGAGAGGTATTTATTAACTTCTGCGCTCCTGGACATTGACTGAATTCTTGTCTACATTATCAGCTCATGTAAATTCATTATCCTAACAGCTGGGAATACGCTCCACCGTGTGAAGGCCTGTGACGGATGAGGGCCGGGGGGCCGGGGGGCCGGGGGCTGTCTCCGCACTGTACAAGCTCTCTTGACATGTGCAGCTCAGCAGGCGAAAACGAGCCAGGGGTCTAGGTGGACCAGGTCTGCGAGGCCCCCACCCTCTTATTTACATCACGTGCTGCTCTGGACAACCCTTCCTGCCACTGTCAGCTGCCACCTTGACCCCCACCCCCAGGAAAAAAAAAGCTGCCACAGCCAGACACCTAAAGGCCCCTCGGCCCTGGGCACCCTCAAACTGAGGGGCCAGGGGACATACCCCTTCTTCATGTGAGCCTCAACTGTCTGCTCCCTGGACCCTTTCAGAAAGAACCCACCTGGTCTAGACAGTCTGCCTGGCAGAGCTGAGAACCTAGAGGCTTCTGCCAGAAGCCAGAGGGCAGGAAACGGAGAATGAAGCAGCAGCCCACAGCACCGCAAAACCCTCAGGTCCCACCATTTCACAGACAGGAAAGGTCTGGGGAAGCAAAGACCACCGCCCCCGGGTGAGGCCCCCACCCCCCGCCCCCCGTAACAAAGCACCGCTTCTTGAATCAATACTTTCTCCTATTCTCTGGCTAGGTTTCTAATAGGGTCAGAAGCAGCACAATGCTTTAAAAAAAAAAAAAAAAAAAAAAAAAAAAAAAAGGCAAGAAGAAAAGGAAGCAAAGTCCCAGTGGAGAGGGACAAGGCTGGCTGGCCCAGCGAGCTGCTATTTTCCGGAACCCATCTCGTTCTTAGTTCTTCAGAACAGACCCCAAACCGGTCTGCCTGCTGTCCAAACGCTCCAACAGCAGGATTTAAACGAGGGGGGAGGCCTCTCTACTCCATTAAATATGGTGTCCCATTCCTCGCTCCCCCTCCCCACGAGGCTGGAGGGGCTTATTAATCAGCGTGCCAGCCGCCCTCCCGGCCTCCCGCGGATCCCGTAATTACTGCTTCCTTTCATCCCGGCTCTTCCCCGGCACCAGACCTCAGGCCTGCTCCCTCTGTGCTCTGTAATTACAAGCTAATAGCTGAGGTGAATTTTCTGCTGGGTCCCGGTTCAAGCACCAATCCGCCCCTTCCCCCTGACAGCCCCCCGTGGGGTAATTACACCCCGTGAGGCTGGGCCCAGCAGGCCTTCACTTTCAGGCCCCGCACACACAATCTGGACCTGGATTCTCTAATCACCCCTCTTGGTAATTTTTCATTACCGCAGAAAGAAATGTTTGTGAACAAATAAAGGGCGTCCCCCAGCTCGGGGACTGGTGCCCGCCCCCGCGATCCCCACTCCCCCAAAGGGGCGAAGCTTCCGTGGCCCTAACGAGGTCGGGTCACCCTGCTACAGACCCTGGCGGCTGAGGCTGCACGGGCACCACGTGATCGCAGGAGCCTGGGCGGCTTCATGATAAATTCATTATCATATCTGCCCTCCACGTGCTCCAAGCTCAGTGGCACAAAGCAATTTTTCTTGGGGGTGGAGGCAAGGGAGGGGGCGGGGAGACCCTGGGGAGAGGTCTTCTTGCTCCAGACACATGGGGGCAGCCTGCTTGTGCCTTAATTTTTTTTTTCCAAATAAAAACACCCCCCCAGGCTGCCCTGGGTCCCCATACTGGACTTGCTTCCCAAGGTCTATGCCCCAGAAACCGGCCAGGGCCATCACTCATGGCTAAGGCAAAGGACAGCCCTTGCAGGTGGCCAGGATCCTGACCTGGAACAAGAAGGGCTGAGAAAACACAAGCAGGTGGGCGGGGGCAACCTGTGCAGCCACAGGAGTCCCTACCCCAGGAGGAAAGAGCAACACAGCGCCTGGCCCGTGTAGACCTGTCCTCTGCCACGCTCACTGAGCCACGGCAGGAGCCCCCAGACGCTGCCCTCCAGGGCCCCGGTCAACCACGTAGAGCCACCCGCAATGAGCCATCTCCCAAGCAATGCCTAGGGCCCCCAGCAGCCACCCTGAACCCCATATTCTGCCCGAGCCCCACGACACCCTTGAAGCTGCAGTCCTGCTGTGAATGGGGGTGACGGGGAGGGGGCTGGCCACCCCGGTTTCTCCCCAGCCTTCTCTTGCTCACTGCCATGCTGGGAACACAAAGGAGGCCGTGTTCTGCAGAAGAACACGGGGTGCAGAGCTCTCGGGAGACGTCCACACAACAGCATTGGACAGTGCAAGGGAGCAGGTCAATCCCAGGGGTGTCACCTGGGGGGCCAGGTCACCTGGAGGGGCTTCCCAGGTTGGACGCCACACTACAGTTTTGAGGACAGCAGGGGGGCTCTGCACAGAAGGCGCTGGATGCTGAGGTTGCATTCTGGGGACCCGCGGACAGCAGCCTCCTAGGAGCCGACGGTCCTGCGACTGAGGTTCACGGCCACGGACTGGTCCCGGAGGTTCCCGGATGGAGGCGAGGGACGGGAAGTCAGGCAACAGATGGCAGCAACATTTGACGCGATTATCCTAAGCGGCTGCTGTGTGTGCGGAGAAGCAGGCCGGGCAGATGAAGGGCTGGAGAGGAGGGCGGCGGGAAGGGCGGGACTGGCAGATGCGGGCGGCAGCCTGGCCTCGGCAGGGAGGCGGCCTCCTAAAGGGGCACGACAGACCAAGGGAGAGGGCGGGGCCCTGAGTCAAGGCTGGGGTCGGTGTCCAGAGCTGTGACTCTGGGAGATGGTGCCCAGCACCAACAGCGATCAAGGTACCAGGGGGCAACTTTTACAGGGCGCCGGCTACCTGTACCCTTACTTCCCTTTACGTAAGCAGACCCCAGAAAGCAAAGCTGCGAACAGCAAAGTGACACAGGCCGCTGGGGCCACACAGCTCAGCTGAGACAGAGCCGGGGGCTCACCCATGCCGGCCGATTCCCAGCCCCTCCGCCACCCTGTGCCCTTGGCGGTACCTGGGGTCCCTTGTCACATTCTCCCCATGGGCTGCTTCCCGGAGGCAGTGGTCCTGGCGGTGCCCAGGCGCCTCTCTCCACCTGTTTATTCCACACAGTGGGATGCTCACTCCCAGCCTACAGAGGCTGAACGGAGGCTGGAGATTCACGCCCTCAACCCGGGTCACATGTAGAGGCTCAGGAGCCGGAAGGAAACCCAGCTGTCCTGGCCATGGTGCCGGCTGCTTCCCTTTAATGTGCGAAGAGATTGGAAATGGCTGGCGTCACTTGGGGTCCCCTCCCTGTGGCAGCTCTCACCCTGTGGCGGCTGTTTGGGTGCCCACCCTAGTGCTATACCCGTTTTACGGACGGGACCTACACGGCTGGGAATAGGAAGGCTCTGGACTCGAGGCCTCCCCCAGCCCCACTTTCCCACAGCTCTCAGCCAGAGGGCACCTGTGCTAGAGGCCGGAACCGCCCCCGGGTGCCCTGTGTAGCCCATGGCACCAGAGCTGACCAGGCTGCCTTCCATTGCACCTGCTCCTGTGGGAGCCCTTCCTCCCTCCAGAGGCCCTGGGCAGAGGAACGGATGAGGTCCAAGGTGTCCAGGCAGGTGAGAGGTGCCCAGGAGGGAAATCCAACCTGGCTCCCCCACCCCAGGGCGGGCACTGAGGTCTCCAAGTTTCCGTGGGACGGCGGGTGGCGGCCGGGGGGCATGGGCCAGCAGGAAGAGGAGGCTGAGACGCTTGCTCACAAGGACCCACGAAATGCAGGCCCCTCTCCTCTCCCCAGTGTGGAGGAGGCTGAGTGTTTAACAAGCTCCCTCAGGTAAGTGGGAGGGAGAGAGGATCCAAGGACGTCTCCTATGAATGCCTGTCCCTTCTGTACCGAGTGAGTGCCAGTACCTATCTACAGGGCCCTTAGTCTACAGCCAAGAACAGGGACCAGGCCGTACAGGAGCTGGACACCAACAGGTGCTCAAAGAAGCAATCATACAGGGGCCAGGAGTGGCCTGGGCAGCAGGGGAGGTGGCGCGGGGGCAGAAAGGGCCACCTGGCCTTCGAAGAGGGGTCCAGGGTCTCCAGCTTCAGAGGCGGGGAGATGGTGATGACTGGAAAACGTCCCTTCCCTCCAACAGGGCGGACGCCCACACCAGCAGAAATGGGCGCCTTTAAGTCAGAAGGCGCAGTGTGCCTGCCTGCAGGCACCGGGGTCCTCACATCCCACTCAGCCAGCCTGAACTTCCACTGAAGGCTGAGAGCTGTGGGGCCTCGAGGGAACACACTATGGGGGCAGAGCAAAAAGGGCTTGGTCCTGAGCTGGAAAACCAAGGGGAACGGGGGTGGGCCCAGGCTGACTCATGCCCAACAGCTCAGTGCGGACTTCCAGGGCACCGCATGGCCTGAGCCTCAGTTTCCCTGTCAGTACCATGGAGAGAGGGTGCAAATGATTGGACAAGAGGGTCAGTGAACAGTGGCTCACGCCTATAATCCCAGCGCTTTGGGAGGCCGAGGTGGGGGATCGCTTGAGCCCAGGAGGTTGAGGCTGCCTTGAGTTGTGATTGCGCGACTGCACTGCAATGTAGGTGACAGAGCGAGACCCTGTCTCAAAAAAAAAAAAAAAAAGGAGTGGACAAGGGGCCAGCCTTTTACCCTTCAACCTGTTTTTATTTGACCTGAAATCACGCTGTGTTGTTTAAACGAGAATCAATGGGCAATGTCTTAAAATAGGAGGCTTCAAGTCAACGAGAAGGTGCCCAGTTTCTCCCGAAAAGTCTAAGCCATAAAAACCACAGCCCCATGAGTGGCACTTCTCCCTTAGTTTGTCCCTAACTCTCCAGGTTGCCAGAGTCTGCACCCCTCCCCTCCCTATGGTCTCAGGCCAGCCAGCTTCCTCAACACCAGGTCTTCCCAATTCTCCAAGTACATGCAGGTCTGAGCAACTAACAGCCCTGCGGCAGCTGCAGCTGCAACCCTCAGCACAGACACTCCACTCAGATGTCATCGACACGGTAACTCCATGAGGGTGTAACAGAAAGAGGTCAACCCCTTCCCAGGCTCAGCTTCAGGGGACGCCTATGAAGGCCACAATTCTGGCGTGTGTCAACCCCAAGGTAGGTCTCCCCTGAATCAAAGCAAGCTCACCAAGTCAGGACTTGCCCCTCAAGTCATAAAACAGTTACATCCGCCTTTGCAAAAAGGTCCACTCTCAAGATGGTTCAAAGTGGCGGACCAGACCCTCTCCCCAGGAAAATACACCTACTGCATGTTACATACAGTTTTACCAAGTTCGAAGAGCCTATCTGTAAACCCTGTGGGAGCGTGTGTTTGAAGATGTGTAGCATCCATGAACCCAGGCTACAAACTCCTACAGCACAGAGTTCCCTAAGTGGCAACCCACGAGTATGAACACCCTCCCCAATATGACCTGCCTGGACAGAGGAAATACAGGGTGGAAAAAGAAAGGGCCCAGAACCATCCACGTTCTAATGGCGTTTCCTCGTCCAGACTCGTCTCCCATCTTCAAAGCCCCAAGTGCTGTGCCCAGACATCACTAAATGCCTCACTGGAAAAAACCAACAAGCACCCTCAGCCAAGATGGACTTTGGAATGGAGCTGTCCAGGAAAAGCTCCCATAACAGTCATGCGCCAGGAGTCCTGGACTCCCTCATCCAACCCAGCCACCAAACAGGACAAACTGGTCACCTTTTCCGGCCACAATCATCCTGTCAACTGCTGAATGGCTGACTGCTTAAGTCTAAATGATTCTGTAATTCTCAACATGCACACACACACGCCCCTCCAGAATCCCAGTGAGGAACTAGTAAATTTCCCAGTCAGGTGCAGACCTGGCTGTTGGGAGCTGGCAGTCTCTGCCACCAAGACTGGTAACAAAGTTCTTGTTGCGCCATGAGAAGTAGTCCAGGCTATGTCTCCTGTCCTGAAGGCTGCATGGGGAGTATGGGGTGGGAAGAATGAGCCCGAGGTGGGCAGGTAAGCAGAGGTGGGCCGGAGCGCCCTCCCCTCCCCTGCTTCTTCAAGGGTAATCTGGCAGAAGGAACACAACAGTCTCTCCAGTGGATAAGAGACACGGATGACACAAAACCCCAGGGTCCACTCTGCCAGCCGTGGCTGGAGAAACCCCAGCTCCAGCATCCAAGCAGACACAGTCCTGCTGTTAGTGGATTCAGAGTCACTCCGCAGGATCCCAACCAGTCTCAACCTGGAAACCAGCTGCTTAGTTAAAATGTCCTCCCTGTGCCCAGGTGACAGGCTCCAGGGGTCTGGCATCCCTGCTAAGGATGGATTAACTTCCTTAGTCCTATAAAGTCTTATAAGATGTACATTTAGGTGGAAACAACACGTTGTAAAACGATAAGACTGTATTCAAAAAAGGACGCCAGGACATCGGCTTGATTTAAAATAGATACGATCTCAGCGCACACTCCACTCCCTGCACACCCCAGCACGGGGGGCGGTGGACACAAACCTTTTTCAAGAGACGATCTAAGCGGGTTCCCCCAACACCGCAGAGACCCAAGGCCAAGACCATCTAAACGGGTTCCCCAACAGAGCACAGACCCAGGGCCGAAACCATCTAAACGGGTTCCCCAACACAGCAGAGACCCAGGGCCAAGACCATCTACACGGGTTCCCCAACAGTGCAGAGATCCAGGGCCGAGACCATCTAAACGGGTTCCCCAACAGGGCAGAGACCCAGGGCCAAGACCATCTACACGGGTTCCCCAACAGTGCAGAGATCCAGGGCTGAAACCATCTAAATGGGTTCCCCCACACAGCAGAGACCCAGGGCTGAGACCATCTAAACGGATTCCCCAACACAGCAGAGACCCCGGGCCGAGACCATCTACACGGGTTCCCCAACACAGCAGACACCCATGGCCGAGACCATCTACACGGCTTCCCCAACAGAGCAGAGACCCAGGGCCGAGACCCTCTAAACGGGTTCCCCAACACAGCAGACACCCATGGCCAAGACCATCTACACGGCTTCCCCAACACAGCAGAGACCCAGGGCTGAGACCCTCTAAACGGGTTCCTCAACAGAGCAGAGACCCAGGGCTGAGAACAGTGCAGAGACCCAAGGCTGAGACCATCTAAACGGGTTCCCCAACAGCTCAGAGATGCAGGGCTGAGTGGGGCGCCAGCCCAGGCATTCCACAAGGGCTGATTCCGAAACCCTGTTTTCTTATCTGTTACGGGGTGACTAACCGCACCCTCCCGACGGGCGGCAGAGACGACCGCGTGGATCGGCAGCCTCTGGGAGGCGGAAGTCTCTCCAATGCTCCCATCTGGCTGAGAATTTTTGCTTGAACCGCATTCCACTTTGTGTCTTCAACACCCAGTATAGCATCGGCTGTCTAGTGGATCCTCGTATATTTAAGTGAATGGAAAAAATACCACATGTCAAATGCAAAAACATTACAAAAATACACTCAAAGATAAATGTACACTGGGAATTCAGTTGGAAGAATCCACTCACATCCCGAGACTGGGTGAAGCAGCTCAGTTTAATTTTGTTTTTTTGCTGAGACAAGAGTCCCGCTCTATCACCCAGGCTGGGGTGCAGTGGTGCGATCACAGCTCATTGCAGGCAGCCTCGAGCTCCGGGGCTCAAGTGATCCTCCCTGCCCAGCCTCCTGAGTAGCTGGAACCACAGGCGCATCCCACCAAGCCTGGCCAGTTCTTTTTATTTTTATTTTTATTTTTTGTAGAGAGGAGGTCTTAAACTGCAGAGCTCAAGCAATCCACCTGCCTCGGCCTCCTGGAGTGCTGGGATTACAGGCTTGAGCCACCGCACCCCATAAGCAGCCCAGGTTAAACAGGGCCTTCCGAAGCAGCCGGTGACCTCTCTCCAGGCTCTAAGGGAGAGCGGGTGGGAGTTGGGTGAGGAGGCTGGAGTGGGAAAATCATGGTGTGGGTTTCTGCTCCTCTACCAATTAATTACCAGCTGTGTGACTACAGGGAGGATATGGATCCCCGGGGCCCCTTTCTTCCCTGGTGCATGGCTAAATGGGGATAATCCCTGCCTAGCAAGTCAGTCCCTCCCTGGGGAGGAGGAGCACGTTGGGGTGAAAACGTCCCCCCACCACGCCTGACGCACAGCCCACGGCGTGACCCTCATAGGCTGGGGCAGCCACAGCACCTCTGGATACAGAAATACAGTCTTTCCCATCTGGTTACTAAATCCCAGAGACAACTCCTTAAGTGGGATCAAGACCTGGCCGGCACACCATCTGCCCACAGATCACACCACGTAAGAGCGCCTGCCGTCCCTCCAGGCCCGTCTGGGGCTGTGGGGCATCGCTTGGCACCCCCGGGCTTTGCCCCCCAACCCAGAAGATAAGACTCAGGGTTAGCCTAGAAGTGGCCCTTAAGGCTGCGCCCCACCCCCCTCCCGCCTCCACTCGCAAGCTGTCTTGTGCTCAGCTTGACATATAGATTTTCCTTCGGGACGGCTTAACCTGTCCAACATCAATACTGCTCAACCAAAAGCTGGGCGGTCGATACCCTTCATTGCTGCCTGTGGCCACAGACCCACCATCCGAGCGCAGGAAGGGCAGGGCTGGGGGAGGGACAGTTTGTTAAAGCATCTCCCGCCACCTGGGCCCAGAGTGCCAATCACCAAGGGGGCAGTGGTGTGCATGTGAGCCCGAGGGGACGTTGAGGCTCCTAAAAAGAACCTCCGGTTGTTAAAGCCCAGCAGAGGGGCCGGCAGGGTCTGCTGTGGTGACTTGAGCCTTAGGGCAGAAAAAGCAACTCCAGTCTTTTTGGGAAAAGGGGCCACCCCCAACACCGCAAGGGAGTCAGTTGAGCGTAGGGGAACAGAGCCTTGGAACTTTATAAATTAAAGCCAAGCTGGACACAGTGGCTCATGCCTGTAACTCCAGTGCTTTGGGAGGCTGAGACGGAAGGATCACCCAAGATCAGGAGTTTGAGACCACCCTGGGCAACACAGTGAGAGACCCTGTCTCCACAAAAAAATTTCTTTAAAATTAGCCAGGTGTCGCGGCACGCATCAGTGGTTCCAACTTCTCAGGAGGCTGCGGCAGCAGGATCACTTGAGCGCAGGAGTTTGAGGCTGTGGTGAGCTGTGATCGCACCACTGCGCCCCAGCCTAGGCAGCAGAGCAAGACCCTGTCTCTAATTAAAACAACAGCAACAGGAGTAGCCGCAAGGCTTTGCAGAGCCTGTGTCAGGTGCTGTACTGGGCACTTGGTAATAAAGGCTTTAACCCTCAACAGCCTCAGGATACAGGTGACATTGTCATTCCTATTCCACAGATTAGAAGACTGAGGCCCAGAACACAAGTGCCTGAGGTCACACAGGCTAAGCAAGAGGCAGATACGAACAGTCAGATGCACTGATCGACACAGTAACAGCTGACACTCATCAGGGGCTCACCCCACGCTCCAGGCCTTCTCAACCCTCACCCGCATCTGTCATTTACCCGTCAGGGGCATGTGGCGGGCATTACAGCATCTCATCCTCACCCTCAACTGCCAGAGGGCCTCTGCATCCTCGTCTTACAGATGAGAACATGGGGGTGGGGGTGAGGACGTGATGATTAAAGTGGAAGGATCTATGTCACCATTAGCACGCACCCCCCTCACGCCACCTCAGTCCAGTGATCCCAAAGCCACTATTACACACACCTCCTCAGACACGTCAAGTCCTCCAGCTGGAGGAACCGGTTCCAGAATTGGAAGGCCTGGCTAGAGATGCAGGTGAACACGAATCCACCCATGCCAGTGGGACTCTGCATTTGTAAGCCCCTTTAGAAGAGCTCAAAGCACACCTGGGCCAGGCAAGAATGACCTTCAGGATTCTGCCTGGGGTTAACACAAGGCCCACAGACATCCAGAGAGCAGCCAGGTGACAGGTGCCACGCCGTCCTGCGGGGGAGGTGGCGTAGAGGGGAGACGTCCATTTCTGAGTCACCAGGGTTCTCCATCCAATTCCGGGGCAAGCAAGGCGGTCTCTGGCTTCCCAGGTGGGAAGAGAGACCCCAGGTCTCCTGAAACAGCATCAGCCCATCTTCCCAGGAGAAGGAATTCCTACCCACATTGCTCCCCCCAGCAGAAGGCCCTTCTGGATTAGGGGGGCCAAGCATTGAAAAGCTCCCACCCTGGCCCCTAGGTGACTAGGAAGCTGCTCTGGAAGAAAGCAGAGCCAGGGTCTCAGCTTGGGCTGCACGTGGCAGTTAACGGGGGGGGGGGGGGGAGGGTTGACACACGGATGCCCAGGCTGCATCCCTCCGAGATTTGGCCTGAACTGCCTGGCAGTACAGCCTGGACACTGGGAGCTTTTAAAGCTCCCCAGGTGATTCAAAAGTGCAGCCAGGAGAGACCCCCGAGCTGGAGGCTCCCCACTTCCTCCACCTGCCTCCCTAGAAACCCCCAAGTCACAAGGACCCACAAAAGCCTCAAGTGCAGCCCAACCCCTTCTTTCCACAGATGACTGGTAGGTGCAGGTGAAGGTAAACCAGAGGCCCTCTCCAGCACCAGCCCTGCCCTCATCTACAGCTCCTTCCTCCAGGCCTGGACTCCGCCCCAGCCTCCCGGGGGCAGCTCTCACTTCCCCTCTGAACTTCTGATTCCAGACACGGGGTGGGCATGGGAGTATGGATGCGAGGGAGGCATCAGGTTAGGAGGGGCAGGTGGACTGGCCTCAGTGACAGGTGGGCTTTGGAGCAGACGGGAGAATCCCAGGCAGACGGGATGGCCCATGCTAGGACAGGGACGTGGCCAAACGCAGGAGTGGCGAGAATGGCGTGTGGTTTCGTCTGGCTGGAGCTGAGGGCGTGAGAGAAGAGGCTGGTGGGGAATCAGAGCTGCAGAAGCAAGATTAAAAGGCCCCCGAGTGTGCGTTTGGCAGGCATGCAAAGGGCTGCTTTTGGCCACGCTCCTGTTTTATCTGTCTGTACACCTCCCAGCAGCAAGCACACGGCTGGATTCAGAGGAGGAGCTCAATAAATTCTCATTGACAGCGACACTCCGAAACGTCACCTCCCAGGCTGTGGCCTCAGCCGGGGGAGAAAGGCCAGCATGCGGAAGTGAAGCCAGCAGCACGGCGTCCCACACCGCACTCGGTGAGGCCACCGAGATCTGAGACTCCACTGGGGGAGGAATTAAAGCCAGGCGGCCAGGCTTCGGCACAGCCACCAAGCTGAAATGTCACCTGCAACATGGATCTCTGCAGGTTAAAAAAACAGCTCTCCCGGCACACCAGGAAAGGGAGGGGAAGCCCTGTGGTTTCAGAGGACCCTGCTGTTGCCACAACAGAGACAATTCACAGGCTACCCAGAGAGGGTCCCCATCCAACCCTGGCCCGATCCCAGGGTTTGATCCTTGGACTTCGAGTAACCCAGGCTGGGAATTCCAAGGCTTCAAATGGGGCCAGGAAAAACCGGCCCTGCTAGCCGACTCCACAAGCCCCTGCGAGCTCCTGGAGGCAGGGAAAAGGTAGCAGCCAGCCCTCTAGCTTATCCGCACTCTTCCAGAAAAGTGGGAGGCACCAGCTCCTGCCCCTCAGCTCGGGGCTCCGAGCCCAAAGGCCCCCCAGTCCGCCTCCTTCAGAGCAGGGGAGGACAGACAGTACCTGCTCCAGGGGCTCAAGGGGAATTTGGGACTCCAGGGGTTGGAAGGGGGGAATCTCTAGCTCAGAGGTGCAGGACCCCGGTCTGCCACAGAGTGGCGCTGTGCAGACTTGGCTCTTCCTGGGGCCGGCGATGCTGAGCCCACAGGCAGGCTTGGCTTCTGCTCTGAAACCACAAGGCACTCAGATCTGCAGCCCCTGAACTTCCCCCAGAGACAGGGAAGTGACTGCTGGAGGGGAGGGCTCATCGGGGCCATCGGAGGAGGCTTCCTGCTGTGAGCGCGGTGTCCGCCCCACGCCTGGCCCCAAGCCTCAGTTTGCCCCTTGTTCCTACCCCCAGTGTGTACGTTAGGATCAGCTGGGGAGCTCTGACAACCCCCAGACCCGGGTCAGGAACCCAGAGGCTGTGGCTTAACTGGGCTTGGAAAGGCCTGGCCAGCAGCAGTTTTAAAACACCGAGTTTGGAGATGTACAAGCCCCTTTGAACTCTGACACTCCAAGATCCTAAAAACTGTCCCAAACAGCTCAGAGCCTGCGCCACAGTGGACACCTTGTTGCCTTCCTTGTTTTGAGCTCAGCCTCACTGTGCCTAGAACTAGGACTTCCCGACCTCCCTTCCCAAGGCAGGGCTGACCCTAGGTCACCGGAGGCTCCTGGCGGGCTCTCACCAGCTCTGGCCCGGCACCGCCCCCAAGGCTCCAGGAAAGAAAACTCCAAGCGTCAAAACCGTGGTTGGCTCCAGCTTCCCCAGCTTCCCCTCCTGACTTTGGTGTCTGCTGCCAGAGTGACAAAAGCCATCCTCGCACCCGGCCCGCAGGAGATCAGGAACGCTGCCGACACGGGGCTGGCTGTCTCGGAAAGTCTCTTAGGAAGCACCGAGGTCGCTGCTCTCGCAGGCCAGGGCCTCTTCCAGCGCTCCTGAATCTACCTGGGCGGGGCGACTCCCTGCACAGCCGGCGGCCGGGATGACACACTTCGCCGTCGGAGCCTGCGCCCTGGGCCCCTCACCTGTGGCGTGGCGGCTGAGTCAGGCACAGCCTGTGCCTCAGGTTCTGCCGTCCCTGCTGGTGGAGGCGGCCGTAAACACAGGGTGAGCAACACTGAAGTGCCCCAAGCTTAAGCAACACCGAGGGAGGCCAGGGAAGGCTGCTCACCTGGGTTCCCCCTTCCACCCCTGCCGGGAGGCGGGAGCACGGAATCCCAGAGGAGAGGACGAGACGGCCGACCAGGGGGCACATTTCACAACGCCCCCACCAAGACCTTCTCTCTGCCCCTTTGTCCCCCGCCGCCTGGAAATCGGCTTAGGCGGGTTCGCTTCCACCCGGAGTGCGGCTGGGCCTTTTGTTCAGGCGCCTTTTACAAAAGGAGCCCTCTTTCCATTTGGTGGCCCCGCTTTTTGTTTCCAAACCCCAACCTGTGTGGCCGCTACCCCTCAGGCCCCAGATAAGGCACCGCAGCGGGGAGCAAGGGTTTAGTGTGTTTTAAACGCACTTTGTACAAAGGCTAGTTTGTAAGAGCCAAACCGACTCAACTCCGGCTGGCATCCACCGCCCAGCTGGGAACCCGGCAGGTGCTCCCCCACCGCCAGCACGCTGCCCTCGGAACTCAGACGGGCACTGCGGCCAGGCCCCCGGCCCACCACGTGGAAAGGGCGCAGCCTCCACTCCCCCATCTAATGAGGGTGTCGCGGTGTCCCTTCCCCCCATCTGGGAACCCCCTCCCTATGGCCTGCGCCTCGAGTCTCCACCGCACATTTCTAAGTGCCCCCCTGGTCCCCCACCCGGCGCTGGGGAGGGGAGGCGGAAAGCTGGGGGTGGGCGGGCGCAGGGAGGGTGAGCTCCACTCCCGCTCCGCCTCCATGAAGGGAATTTAATTAGCCTGCTAGAGAGGCGGGCGGGCGGCCGAGGAGGTGTCTCTGGTGCTGCAATATAATTGAATCGGCTCCACTCGGTCGGGCCACTCGCCGCCCATCAGCGCGGCCGCAGGGCCCGGGAGGGCTGGGGGCGGGGAGGCGCATCCAGGCGGAGCAGGAAGGGCCGGGGAGGGAAAAAGGCCAGTGCGGGTGGGGGGCGGCGGATGTGCAATCCCTCTCCCACCTCCGAGGCTGGGGCAGCCATCTTCTGCGGGGGGGAGGGGAGGGGCAGGGAGCCGCTCCGCCGGGGGTGGGGGGAGAGAGAGGAGAGAAGCGGCCGAGCCCGGGGCGCGCCCTTCCTCGGGAAGCAGGGCGTGGGGGTCACAAACCCGGCAGGCTGCGGTCCCGCCCTCCCGACCAACTCCCCCGAGACAAGGGGTCGGGGAGGGGGAGGGGAGCAAGACAAGAACCCTAACCGGCGCGGCCCCAGTAGCGAGCACCCCCCCCCCCCACACCCCCGCTTCCTCGGCCGTCGCCAGCACCTGCCGCGGGGGCGCACAGCCACCCCCATTCGCTCCCTCCCGCGTCGCCGCAAAGTTTTCATTCCAGCTCTCCAGCGCCCGCAGCTCTCGGAGACTCCCCCCGCCACCCCCATCCCCCCACTTTACCTGCCCTCTAGCCCGCACGCACTTAAACGCACCCCCCCCATCCCCCGCTGAGCGCACTCCTGAGCCCGGAGCCCCCGAGTCCCCGCCCGCAGCCAGGCCTCCCAGGCTGCGACCCGCGGGCGGAGGAAGGGGGTGGCCTTTGGTCGCCTGCCCGCCCTCCCGGCTCTTATCGCCGCTAACACTCCGGGGAAGTTGCCCGGGAGCCGTTGGCGGCCGCCCCCGCGAAACCCGCGAACTTGCAGGAGGACAGTGCGGTGGGGGGAGGGGGGAGGACCCCGTCCCCGGCCGGGTGCGGCGCGCTCACCTTTCATGCCAGGGCCCCGCAGCTCCACCTCGGCTGATACATGCTGGAGCCACCGTCGCCCAGTGTTTGTCTAAACTGCTTATCTCACCCGGGGCTGCTCGGCGGCGGCAGCTCGGGCCCGCTGGGGAGGTGGAGCTTCCGGGGCCCCGGCCAAGAAACACCTGCTGCTGTCGCCGCCGAGGACACACCCAAACGCAACGCCGCCCACTCCCGGGCCACTGGCTCGCTCCCGGCTCCCTGACCTCAGCCAGCGGGAGGTGTCGGGTTTCAGCCGCAAACACACAGGCGCGCGCGCGCGCACCGACGGGCGCCCGGATCCACCCGCCCAGGCACACGCCCCTCCCCGGCCCGGCCGGCCAGGTGAGCCGGGGACACCAGCGGGGCCGCGGAGGTGCCACCCCCACACTCTCGGGAGCCCCTGGCTGGACTGCTCGGGGGTCCCGGGGACCTTGGTGGCTAAGACCGGCCACTTAACTCTTAAAGTAGTGCAGCACCCTCGCCACGTGAGCGGAGCCCTGTCTCGCAGCTGCGTCCCGGGAACCTAGAACAGTGCCTGACACAGAGCAGGCCCAATAATGGGCGGACGGGTAACTCCGTGTCCTGGAGGCCTTTTGGAGAACAACTTTCTGGGCGCTGGTGGCGCGTGGGGTGGGGGGAGGCGACACAAAACAGACTGTGTACCCAAGCCCCACCCCCCCCATGCCTGACCTTATTACCCCAACTAGAAAAGGCTGAATACTAAGAACTTGGCCTCAAAATTCCATAAGGCACCCCACCCCCCAGTTTTAAGTAACTTTTGGGAAGGCCACAATTGCGGGCCGCTGCGGGGGGTGTTCTTTAAAGAACCCGCGGCCCAGGGGCTGGAGAACCCACGGAGGCGCCGCTTCGCCAGGGGGATCATTAAGTAGCTGGGGTTGCGGTCAGAGGCGAGGTCGCCCGCCTCCAGAAACTGGCACGACCCATTGCGCTTCTGGCCCCAGCGCAGCGCCTCCCCATTCCTGGCACCCCCCACCCTACCTCACCCAGGCACTTGACTGGAATGACTCAGGGAGCGTCCTGAAATTCCTGGGCACCCACAGGCGGCGCGGAGAGGGACTGAAGGCCCCAGCCTTCCCACCCCCCGGCTCCGCCCACCCCGCCCCGCCCCGCCCCGCCCCCACCCCATCGCGGCGGGCGCGTCCCCAGGAAGCTCGGGGTTAAAGGGGCGGGCCTCGGGGGCAGGGGTCGGCGAGCCTCCCCTGCCGCCTTCTGGCGCCCTGGGCTGTAACCCCCCCGGGCGGCTCTGAGGCCCCGGGGTCGCTCCCTCCTCATCCTCTTCCAACACCCCTCTGATCTAGCGCGTCCCTACTTCTGAGCCCTGGGGCAAACCAGCACCCCCTGGGCGGCCGCCCCAGCGCTGCGCTGCGGTGCGGGTTTCGACTTTCAGCCCCCTCGTGCCAGCCCCAAACCTGCCCCGGGACATGCCCGCGCCAGGCTTGGCAGGCGCGCACGCTGCCGTCCCCGCGAGCCCGCCTCCCCCGCCTTCCTCCCTCCCCCTCCCCGCGCCAGCCCGGATTGCGACGGGAGCGAGCGCTGGGCGCCTGCCACCCCCCATCCATCTGTTCCCGATGACGCTGGCGGGCCTAGAGCGTTCGGGGCCCGCGCCAGCGGGGAGCAGAACCAGCCTGTGTGCCCTCCGGGGGGCAGGGTCTGGCGGGCTCCCTCAGGCCCCACGCTCCCCGCTCGACCTCCGACCGAGCGCGCGCCGGGGCCCGGAGGTGGGGGCGCACGCGGGCCGGCCCCCCGCCTTGCACAAGGCTCCGGGCAGACCACAAACGAAAAGGGAAACGGACCGGCGAGGCCGGGTCGGGCCGTTACTGGCTCCTACCTGCGGACGCTGGCCGGCCCTGGCACGGCGCGGGGGTGCTGCTTCCCCGCACGACCCGCCAGCTCACCGGCGGCGCCCCCCTTGCGGCCTTGGCCGGACGCTATAATTTACGCACCACACGGTGGCTCGGCCGCGCGGGCCCGGGTAATTTATACCCGCACTGGCCGGCGGATTCACCCGGCCCCAGGCGGCCAGGGCTGGGAGGGGGAGGGGGAGGGGGAGGGGCGCCTCCACCCCCACTGGGAGTCACGGGCGGGGGGAGGGGAGGATAGGGAGGTGTTAGGAAGGAATGGACGACGACTGGCCCCGAGCCTTAAAAACAAAATTCACCTCCGGGACTGGCCCAACCCCTTTCCCACCTGGATTACAAGCTGCGGGGGGAGGGGAACAGCATGCAAATGAACCTCTCGCACCTGGCCGGGTAGACACCTAGGCCCCACCTCCAGGTCTCTCACCCGGACACGGTGCCACCACCTACTCCCTTCTTCCTTGGAGAGGCCCTTGGGCCAGGGGTGAAGGTGGGGTTAGGTTTCTCCACCTGTTTGAGCAGGACCACGACGGCCAACCACAAAAACGTGTGGAGTGGCCACTGGGAGGTGCATCACTCGGCTTTTTAGAGCCGGCCAATCCCTCCGGCGTATACATCTAGCTCCCCTGGATTGCGAGATGGGTGGTCTGGTCCCGTTTCACAGATGAGGAAGTTGAGGCCCTGAGTTGCTCAAGATCATGTGCACACAGGTGACATGCAAGCTGCGCCCCAAACTGCTCACACCTGGAAGTCACTCCCCTTCCCAACCCAGTAGGCCTAGGGGAGCGAGGCGCTGCCGGACACCCCGGCAACCGCCGGGGGGCAGCAGCGAGCCGCTCTGTGAGTCCTGGCCGGGAAACGCTGGCGGCCACCAGGCGGGCTGGCAAGGGGGAGATGGATGACACTCACTGTCAGTGCGCCCGGCCCCCGGAAATTAGTAATCCGGAGCACGGCCTCCGAGTTTAAGGGTGGGAATTGCTCTCCTGCAGCCGGCGCGCTCCTCGCTAACGAGGTTTGTCGCTTGACTCCTAATTTCCCAGCACTGGGGCTAAGGCTGGCCTCCCTCCATTTCCCTCCAGGCCTGCTCCTCCTCCTCTCTCTTCCTAAGCAGCGCCCTACCCACAGCCCCGCGCCCCCAGATAGTGCGAGCCCTTCCTGGGCACAGCTCTCTTTCCCTGGACCTCCTTCCCACCCTCCACTCCCATTTGCCTGGAAGGAGCTAGGTAGGTGCCAGGGCCAGGCCTACGGAGGCACCTCCCAGAGCAGGACACCTGCCCTGGGGATGCTGCACGCGGTGCTCCTTACCACGGACTGTGCTTTGTGCCAAGGCAACAGGATGCTGGTGCCTGGTGCGCGTTTGCTCACACCCTGAGGCCCCTGCCAAGCTAAACTGTGCCTCCAAGAGCGGAAGGCAGGCTCCCAGCCCCTCACCTGCCTCAGGTACCTGCTTCAGTGACACCTAGGTGCAAACTCTAGCCCTACCTCCACAAGCCCTGGAACCTATTAGACCTGCACCACAAAAGAGATTTAAAATTTAAAAGCTTTCCTAAGGGCATGGTAGCTCACGCCTGTAATCCCAGCACTTTGGGGGGGCCAAGATAGGCATATTGCTTGAGATCAGGAGTTCGAGACCGGCCTGGACAACATGGCAAAACCCTGTCTCTATTAAAAACAAAAAAAAATTAGCCCTGCATGGTGGCGTGTGCCTGTAGTCCCATCTACTTGGGAAAGTGAGGTAGGAGGATCCCTTGAGCCCAGGAGGCAGAGGTCGCAGTGAGCTGAGATTGTGCCACTACACTCTAGCCTGGGCGACAGAGTGAGACCCTGTTTCAAAGGAGGAAAAAAAAAAGAAAGCTTTCCATCTCAGATGAACATGAGACACCTTAAACCTACTCCCTGAGCTCAGGAACTAAGAGGGGTGTCTGGAGACGGGAGTCCTAGGAGGATCCACCAGAAAGAAAGGGACGCCTTGAACCACAGAGGGTGGGCGGTTTTTCACTCAACAAACACACTAAACCCTGGGCTGTGTTTCACACTTGGTTTTCCAGAAACAAAACTGAAAATTCCAGTAAGCCTTCAGCAAGCACCTCAGAGAGGCCAGGGTTAGCTGGGTGTGATGGCACAAGCCTGTGGTCCCAGCTACTCGCGAGACTGAGGCAGGAGGATCATTTGGGCCCAGGAGTCTGAGGCTGAGGTATGATTGTGCCACTGCACTCCAGCTTGAGCCACAGAGCAAGACCTTGTCTTTTTTTGGTTGTTTTTAAAGGTGGGGGCGGCAAGGGACAGACAGCAGAGGGCAGATGCTGACAGAGGGGACACTTCAAGGCAGCAAGGAAATTTGGAAGGCAAGGGGGCAGGATGACAGCACAGACCACCACCACCACTGCCTGGGCATCAACCTGGGCCACGTCAGGTGCTCAGGGGTGCGGGCGCCACCCGTGACTGTCACAACCTCACTAAGTCTGAGCACACGGCCTAGCCCTGGCGGAGGATGGATCCCGGACACGTTCTTTCTGGTTCTTGCTTCTTCTAGGGCTCAGCAGGACAGCACACAGCCTAACCCAAGGTCCTTCTCCATCCTGGCCAGTTGCTCCTAGCACGTAGGAACTGCATGTCACCTTCATTATGTTGCCTGGGCACCTTGTTCAGCGCCTGGATCCGCCAATAAGTATCAGGGACCTGGATGTCCGTGGGCCAGGAGGTAAAGATCACCTGTGCCATTCACCAAGCACCTAACAAGAGCCAGCGCTGCTCAGCGCATGTCACTGGAAGCCCTCCCGGCCCTGCAAGGCAGGCAGTGACCTCCATTACACAGCCCGAGTGGGGAGACCTGAGAAGGTTAATTGGCCTGCCTCAGGCACACACATTCCAGCACGAGTCTCATCCAGACGTGGCTCTTACACCTGGCAGCACTTCTCGGTAACCACCTGCCATGGTCACTCTGATTATTAAGAAAGATACACCTGCAGGGGTACGACAGGTCTCAAGCGGTTTCAGGTCTACGCTCTTACCTCTGGGCAGCTGTCCAGTGCCTGAAAACCATTTTGGTTGGGGGCCGGGGGAGGGAGCCGTTAGCTGCCTAGAGCTGAGCACCCTGGGATTCACCCAGCTCCCCTGTATGCACAGTCCACCCTCCCCAAGGCTACCAGCCCCGGTGCAGGGGCAAGGGGCGGGGGGCTAAGTCCACAGAGTGCACTGAATCCGGGGGGCACGAAGAGCTGAGGGGTGGAAGGCTGCCCAGCTACCCCATCTGCCCTCAGCCCCCAGCCCTGCCCTACGCATCGGTGAAGGTGCAAGCCCCCACCACTTAGATTCCACCCTCCTCTTTCTGTTTCCTGCCCTGCTATCACTGGCCCAGAAATCCTCCCCATTCTTCAAAGCCCGGCTTACATCTTATCTCTTGCAAGAAGGCTTTTCCCATCCCTGCCTCTGGAATTCATCTCTCCAGGTTGCGTCCCACTCTTAGATAGCAATCACACAGTGCAGTGGGTCTGAAATCATGGGGGGGAGGAATACAGATCCCCAGGCCCCTCCCCTTACGGAGCCAAGGTCTCCAAGCAGTGCCTGAGAAGAAGCATCCTCCACCAGCCACCCTGCAGGCCGGGCCACAGCGTGTCTGCTGGAGTCCCAGACTCCCTGCTCCAGAGTGGCAGTGGGGGCCTCAAGGGAAGAAGGCCCCTGTCTCCTAGCAGGGACACAGTCCCCAGACCCTGGGCAGGATTTAAGATTTAACCCAGATCTGCTGATTGGATAAAGGCTGGAGGGAGAGAGGGGAAAGCAGCGCCCGCCTCTCCCTGCCTGCCCCCTCTTGGGGAGGAACCAGATTCGCCAGGGATGCTGGGGGAGCCCCACCCCAGCAGCTCAGGTGGCCCTCAGTAGCCCAGGTCACCTCTAGGGGAACAGGAAAGGGTTAAGGCCCGGCTAACTCCCTTTGAGGAGTTTTCCTCTTAACCCCGGGCTGCCCCACACTTCCTGCCCTCTCAGCGCCTGGTTCCAATCCGCACCCCGCACACAGCTGCACTCCTTTACAATCAGTTAACAGCTGTTTTGCATAGATTTTCAATTCTAATTGCCTCGCTTTGTGAGCGCCGCCGAGCCCTGGTGAATGGGGACGCCGCCACCGCGGCTGGAAAGCGGGCGGGAGAGGGAGTAAAAGGAAGCCGTGTGCGTCGGGGCTGCTGGCTTTTATTTTTCTAAATCAGAAAAGAATACCCCTGCTACCAACCGCCCCCCAGCTCCTGCCTCTCCTACTGGAGCGGGGAAACCTGAAACGGGTGACCCCCACCTCTGGAGAGGCACCCACTCTATGACCTGGGCTCCCTGACCCCAACCCAGATACAGGTCCCAGAGGGCAGCTTCCAGCTCCAGAGCTGGCCCAGGAGCCATGGCTCTCCTCCCTCCTGCAGCTCCCCTCCCCCTCCTCCCTCCCGCCCCCCCCACCCCAGGCTCTCCAGTATCCAGATATGGGAAGCTAATTGGACAGTAAAGTTGAACAGCAAGGAAACGCACTCTCTGGAGACAGCTGGCATCTATAAAAGAAATATTTGCATTTAAAACCTTTAAACTTTATATGGCGGGGCCAGGCCGAGGCAGGGGAAGGGGGCTGGGGGAGCAGCGCTCGGACCCTTGATGGGGGGCAGAGAATCCTGGGAGTTTTGGACGCTTCTGCCACCAGTGAGCACCCCCCACACATACCCCTTGCCCTGTTACTGTCTGGGAGACAAGTTGGCCCCTGCTAGCCAGACGGCCCTGGCCAAGTCTAAGTGTCCCAGGTGTCTGAAATCCTGGGAAGAGCTTGCGTCCACTTGGGCTGCCACAGGCAAGCCACAGGGATCCCAGGGCATCCAGGCTGGGTCCTGCACCCTGGTGGTGGGCCTGGCTCAACTGCTGTCCACAACCTGTCCCTCTCCCGGGTCACCCAGAAGCTCCAGGACCCAGTGACGGGCAGACTCAGTGGCAAAGTGGCCCCTTCCTGGCAAGGAGACGTTCTGCCAGGAGCCGCCTCTGGTGGCCTGAAGCCCTCCGTTCCATCCCCTGCACATCCAGACAGTGCAGCTGTGTGAGGGCACCTGACCAGGTCCGCGTTCAGGGCCCTGCAGGCTGGCATCACTACACTGCACGGATGAGGTTGTGGAGCTCGGAGAAGTCCGCCCTGCCTTCCCAGCGCTCCTGCTGTCTGGGGTGGGGATGCCAGGTTTTCATTTCCTCACATGCCTAGTTCCCATTTTTCATATTTGAGAGAAACCTGGCCAAATTTTCCTACTGTCAACATGGGTGATGTAAAGCCGGGAGAGCATGTGTTCCGGAGTGGTCTGATTTTAGCAGGCTTTTATAAAATCCCAGGGCGCTGAGAACCCCGTCTACCTGGCAGGCCTGCTGGAGTGGGCTGTGCCACGGCAGACTTCAAGGGCAGGAGCCGAAACTTCTGTGGTGGAGGTGAGAAGGAGGGCAGGGGCTGGCGGCCAAGCCCGATGGGCACATGGGTAGCTTTCAATGATGTCAACTCAACAGAAACCACGGCAGAAACAGGTCCAGTTCACTGGCAGCAATCAGAGGGGAGCAGGGTCTCCTCCTTGCAACTTTTCTTCCCATCAGGAAACTATCTCCAGTCCAAGCAAGGCAGTCTCAGCTCCTGGGCCGCCCATGAGCCCAGCCTGCTGTTTGAGGCTTCTGATCACCTACAATGCGGTCTTCAGTTTATCCGGCTCGCTACGGGCAGCACCCTCTCTACCACTTACCTCTAAAAACACCCTGGGGCCAGACGTGTTAACCCCATTCAATGACCACCCAGACAGCAAACGTTAAAATGTGGCTTTGGAGAGCACAGCCGGTGGCCCCCCCGGGGGTGCAGGGGGAGGATGGACATGGCAGTCAAGCTGCCGGACTGGGCAAATCTCCACCCACTGCACACCCGTTTCCTTAGCTGCTGCCCTGCAAGGAACGTGTCCCCCTGCCCCCACTTTGGTGAGGACCAGACAAGACAATAGAGAGAGCCATGCCCAGTGCCTGGGACGAAGCTGGAGCTCAGAAGCATTCCCTTACATTTGCTGTGCGGAGGAAGTGGAAAGGTGGCAGCACAGACAAATAAAGTTTTACGAGGAAGCACTTCTCGGCGCCAGACCAGATGGGCAGGGAGGTCGGTCACTTAGACCACTTCTGCCCTGGGACATTGGGCCTAGAGTGAGAGCAGCGGAACTCTTTTCTCCTCCGACATTAGGAGAGGCCTTGGAATGTCACACACACTCCAAGAATCACACCAGCAACTTGCGTGAGCCCAGCCCCTGCCGGCCCCTGGCTGGTCACTAGGCAAGGGGAGCAGGACAGCGGGTGGGGCCCAGCCGGCCACCCAAGTCCCTGGCTTCTGTAAGTGTGAAGATACTGATAGCAGACCAGGCGCAGTGGCTCACATCTGTAATCCCAACACTTTGGGAGGCCGAGGCGGACGGATCACAAGGTCAGGAGATCGAGACCATCCTGGCTAACACGGTGAAACCCCATCTCTACTAAAAATACAAAAAACTAGCCGGGCGTGGTGGAGGGCGCCTGTAGTCCCAGCTACTCGGGAGGCTGAGGCAGGAGAATGGCGTGAACCCGGGAGGCGGAGCTTGCAGTGAGCCGAGATCCCGCCACTGCACTCCAGCCTGGGCGACAGAGCGAGACTCCATCTCAAAAAAAAAAAAAAAAAAAAAAAAAAAAAATATATATATATATATATATATATATATATATTTTTTTTTTTTTTTTTTTTTTTTTTTTTTTTTGACAGAATCTCACTCTGTTGCCCAGGCTGGAGCGCGGTAGTGCGATCATAGCTCACTGCAGTCTCGACCTCCTGGTCTCAAGGATCCTCCCGCCTCAGAAGGTGCATCTTTAAAAATTATCAAATCAGCCCATGTGACCATCAACGGGGGGAAGAGATAAACAAAATGTGGTCTCTGTGTACAATGGAATATTATTCAGCCACAGAAAGGAATGGGGCCTGATACACAGTGAGGCATGAAACATACCTTCGCGTCCACGCAAAACCTTGTACGGATGTTCCTATCAGCATGGCTCATCATAGCCAAAAAGTGAAAACCTACATGTCCATCAGATGATGGATAGATGAAGAAAACATGGTTTATCCATACAGTGAGTGGACTATTACTCAGCCATAAAAAGGACTGAGGTGCTAATCCACGCTACAACACAGATGAACCTTGAAGACACGATGCTGGATGGAAGAAGCCAGACAAACAAGGGGGATTCCATTTGTATGAAATGCCCGGAACAGGCAAATCCAGAGACAAAAAGCAGAGGAGTAGTTGCTTAGGGCTAGGGGAGGGGAGAGGGGAGTGGCTGCTAATGGATCTGAGTTTCCTTTTGGGGTGGTCCTTTTGGTCCCTCTGTCTTGCCCCTGCCTTTGCCACGTGATATGCTGGCTCCCTCTTTGCCTTCCCTCATGATTGTAAATTTCCTGGGGCCTCCCCCGAAGCTGAGCAGATGTGAGCACCATGCTTCCTGCAGGGCCTGCAGAACCATGAACCAATTATACCGCTTTTCTTTATAATTAAAAAGAAAAAAAGAAAATGATTTGGACCAGGACAGAGACGAGGGCTGCATATTAGGAATGTACTAAATGCCGCTGAACTGTACCCTTTAAAACGGCTAATTGTATGTTACATGAATTTCACCTCAATTAAAAACAATCCAATCTGGGCTGGGCCCAGTGGCTCACACCTGTAATCTCAGCATTTTGGGAGGCCAAGGAGGGAGGATCGCTTGAGCCCTGGAGTTGGAGACCAGCTCAGGCAATATAGTGAAACTCCATCTCTACAAAAAATAATAATAAAAAAATAACCAGGCTTGGGGGTACATGTCTGTGGTCCCAGTTACTCAGGAGGCTGAGGTGGGAGGACTGGCTTGAGCCTGAGAGGTTGAGGCTGCAGTGAGCCATGACCGCACCACTGCACCACAGCCTGGGCGACACAGTGAGACCCTGTCTCAAAACAAAACAAAAAAATCCAATCTGAAGGCCTCTGCCTGTCCCTGGGAGAGGCCAGATGCAGGGCAGGGCCTGTAGTTTCCAGAGAAGCCTCAAGAAGAGAAGCATCCCCTGGAAACTCCCTTTCGGGCTGTGCGGATGACCCTCGGGCACTGGGGGCTGAGCAGAGTCACGAGCGAAGCCAGTCATGACCCAGCACATTTTCCTCCCAGGGAACTTTCCCCACTCGGCGTCTCTCCCCCTTCCACGGACACGGTGCCCTCTCTGTGGACCCAAGCTCTGAGATGGAGGGGTTCACAATGTCCCCTCCCCCAGCTGAGCTCCCTCAAAGCTGCAGACCTATTTTTGTCCTCACTGACAATTCTCCCATGCAGGGGAAAGGCGGGTCTTGCTGCCTCGTGAGCTCTGAGCAGCTGGAGGTCGTGACACTGAAATGAACACACCTGTCTCCAAGCAGGGCTGCAAGGCAGCTCCTGCCACCTGGCCACTCGGCTGGAAAGCGGCCAGCTGTGACCCTGGCAGGCCTGGAGGGGATGGGATGGCAGCCCAGGCAGGGGCACAGGGAAGCAAGGCCTGCAGAGGTCACCAGCTGCCCACGGAGCGCCCCGCTCCGGTCCCAGACCCCTGACCTGAGACCAGTGTGTGGGCCCCTGCGGGGGAGGGCAAGGGCAGCCCCTGTAACCGGGTACATCGCTGGCAGCAGTGAGTACACTTCCACCTGCTGAGCCTGGACACCAGTGGACCGGAAATTTGGGTGATTCACTCAAAAGCCCGGGAGGAACTGTCTTCCTTCATAAAGATCAACCGGCTGTCCTCAGGCTGGGTGAGGGGCTTTCCTCTGGCTTCGTGGTCCATCCACTGGCTCAGAGGACACCTACACCTCAGGCCCCCACCAAGGCCACCACCCAGAGATAGGCTACATGCCCAGAGAGCACCCAGGAGGCCGGGTTCTGGAGCAGCGGGTCACCCTAGGCCCAGGACAGATGTGGGTCGGGCAGGGATCCGGCAAGGTCAGGGGAGCTCGCTCACACCGGCAGACCAGGAGCGGTTCTAGAACCCCAGGGCGGCCAGGGCCCAAGGGTCTCCATTAGCCCCCAAGAAGCCTCCCAGGGATCCTTAGAAACTTTTATTTCTGGGTCCCTGTTCCCTGATTTTCTACCACATGTTAAAAGCCTTCGAAGTTCTTTTCCGTATCAAGTAGCACTGGCTGGGGACACGCAGGCCTGTGAATCAGTCCACACGCTGCTCCCGCCCCGCCTCCTCCCTGCCTGGCCCCCGCCTCGGCCTCCAGGCAACCCCCTGGGCGCTGTGTGCTGCTAACCCGGCCCTGGCAGCAGTCCTGGCTGCTCAGAATCAGCATTCGTTAAGTGCCTACTGTGCCCGGCCTTCTGCCTTCATCCTTGCTGCAAACCTAGGAGAGGCCAACTTCCCTGGACGGTGGGGCTGGGATCTGAACCACGGAGGAGCTTCTTCTAGAACTGCACTCTCTCTTCCTCCAGGCCCGTCTTCTCCCTCTCCCTCCCCGCCGCCTCCCAGTGCTCCTGACAAATGTCTTGATTAATAACCTACTGCCGGTCATTAAGATCACAACTGTCACTCGGACAATCAAGTCCCAGTTGCCTTTATCACTCGCGGGCTCGACAAGCGATGCACGCAGACAGAGGAGACCCTGGTGTCCAGGGCAGCTCTGCCCTCACCCACCACAGGATAGGCGGGCCCTGGGGACGCGGGGTCAAGACCTGGGCCTCAGCTCCCTAGCTCACGTCGGCTGCAAGGAACCCTCTGCTGCGGCTCTTGTTGTGTTTATGTCCTTAAAATTTGGTCTCACAAAAATTAAAATAATCAAAAAGGAAAGGTTAGATGGACAAAGTTGTTTTCATCGCTCGAAGTTCCTGGTGTGGAGATTTTTAGTCAGCCGCCTGTGGCCCTTCTGGGTGTCTGCCGGCCCCGCGCTGAAGGTGAGCGTGGAGGCAGTGGGTCCCCAGGTCACCCCCCCACCTTGATTTCTACCTGATTGCCTCAGCTCTGCCTCTTGCCAGAGAGCCTCTTCCCGCCTGGCCTTCCTCTGGCCTGTCTTTGAGCTCCCATTCTGAAAGGCCTCCTCCCCACCAGCCTGGCCCCTGCAATCCCTCCCAGTGCCAGTAAAGTTGCTCCCACGTTCCCTGACTGCCGTGGGCCTGGCAGACACCCATGGCTGCCCCACCCCTGCTGCCTCCTCTCCTGGGGCTGCTCCCCTCCCACCCCTCACACGGCACCTCTCCCTCAGCCTGCCTCTGGGGTCTATTTCCCCTCTGAGACTCCCTCCTGGCCCTCACGACTGCACTAGGGGCGTCTGGAAGCGTCTCACAGTCTCTCTAGACTCGCCCAGCCCCACCACCCTTCCCTGGGCCTGCTGTATCCTCCCCCAGCAGAGCCCCATCTCCTTTATTCAAACCCTGACCTCTTCCTTCAAGCCCTGGCTTAAAATTCTGCCTCCTCCAGGGAGTCCTCCTGGATGGCAGCTCTAACCCCCCCACTGGTGGAAGCCGACCTTCCCTCCTCCCACCGAGGGGTTGCTTTGGCATTCTCACTTTCTTCCAGGCGCTCACTGAGCTGAGCCGTTGGAGAGGAGACTGAGCTAAATGAAATCAAGAAGCCCCTAGGAGGACACAAACCCTCATCAGCGCCAAACAGCCCTCCTGTCCCCAAAATAAACCCAGCCAAAAAAGGATGCGGGAACCTCCTGCAGGATCCGCACCATGCCGTCTTGTCCTGGATTGCTGAGTGCCTTTCCCCAGTTGACAAGGATGGGTTTATTTCATCAGCCTTCAGAGTCCCTACATCTGCGATGCTACGCCAGCCCCTCCCCTCTTCATAGCTGGAGTGTTTTGCAAAGAGCCACCAGGAAAACAAATGCTGGGTTTTTGGGGTGTGTGTGTGTGTGTGTGTGTGTTTGGGGTGTGTGTGTGTGTGTGTGTTTTTTAACAAGGCTCCCAAATGATCTTAAGACACACACACCACAGCCTTCTTAGCCACAGCCAGCCACTGCCTCTCAACACTAGCCTCTCACCCGGAGTTCAGACACTCTCCTCTCCCACGAAAGACAGTGGTCCTCGAGAGAGCCCTCAGCCTGGCCTTCCCCATCAGGCCTGGGTGACATCTTCCCAGCCCCTCCCCTTGGCCCACATGGAAGCATCGAGGAGGCCCAGCCCCCTCCTGCCTGGCCATTTGGGCACAGGGTGATCACAGCCCGGCTCAGGAGTTCTATTCCTGGCTCAGCCAGCAAACTGCTTTGTGACCTTGGGAAAGTCCCCACACCGCTCAGACCCCACCTGTGAGTGTTCCCGTGAATAACCCAAGGTGGCACCTTAAAAGCAGGCTCAGCTCAAAGAAGCCACGTGGATGGAGCGGGCCTGGAAGAGGAAGGACCCCGTGTCTCTCTGGCTGCAATGCATAGAGAATACCCGCAGCCGCCCTCGGAGGCCACAGAGACCCAGAGGGGTAGCCAGGCACGGCTTCAAGGGGCTCACACAGGAGGGACCTTGCCAGGTCCCCGTCACAGGGAGGACAGCTGCCGCCCTCCCATTTTAGAGAGGAAAAGTCTCAGAGCCTTGCCCATGACTGGGGTGACAGCCTCATCTGTCTTCCAGGTGGCAAGTCTCTGTTGCCCAGGCTGGCAGTGGTACGATCATAGCTCACTGCAGCCTCTAACTCCTGGGCTCAAGTAATCCTCCTGCCTCAGCTTCTCAAGTAGCTGGGGCGACACGCACACCACCGTGTCCAGCCAGGTTCAGGGATCTTAAGAGGGAGAGAAGGAGAAAGAGAAAGGAAGAGAGGGTAGGGCCTGTGATAAATGTCTCTTCCATCTCCTCCAACTGCCTCAGCCCATTTCTGGCAATTCTTCAGGTCCAGAGAAGGCCACAGAGGTGAGATGCAAGAGGCTTGTGATCACAGGTGGCCAGGGAAGCACGCGGCCAGGAAGCCAGATCCCAAGATGCACCCCACTGCCACTTCCGTTGACTCACGATCCCCAAACTTCACTCTGCACAAGAACCAGCTGGTCCCGTGTCACCACCCCCACCTCCCTCACCCACATTCCAGATTGGGGGCAGGTCCAGGGCGGAGCCCAGGAATCAGTATTGTCCACAGGTAGCCCCTGTCCCAGCTCTAAGGGGGTGTCTGCCGCTCAGCCCTGGGGAACCACCCCATGACACCAGCTCACCTCGTCATCTGACCTGTGGCGTGATCGTCTTTTAAAAATTAATTGTAATTTATTTCTTCTCCCCCGCCTCTCTCTCCAAAAGAACCTGAAGCAGCATCACCAACCTCTGATATCGAGATGTGTTTATTATTTTTATGGTTTCTCCAGGAAGCGCCGGGTAACTCAAAGGGGGAATTTTATTCAGAGAGAATTGGGTCCCCAGTGTAAGTCAACATTATTCATTTAACAACTTCTATCGGCGCACGAAGATGTGAGTGGGCCTTACCCGAAGACGTCTCCTGCGGTTACTGGAAGATTTAATTCACAACATCCAAGAAAAATAATTGAGGGGGAGTAGGAGAGAGGAGGGTATGGAGCAGGGCCTGTGGCTTGGCAGTTTCTTGTGCCAACCACTGCCCCGATGCTCCAATCACCGCCTGTGGGCTTTGTCATTGATCACAGACCACAGGTCCCTGCTCCAGCAAACAAGGGGCCATGTCCTCATCCAGAGGCTGCAGAACGGACGAGGGGGCCGCACCACAAAGCCCATCTGGACAGAACTTTTGGAAGAGGTGACAGCCAAGATCCGAGCAGCCAAGCCAGCCCTCCCAGCACTCAATGGTTGCGGGATGCAAACCCTTGCCCCATGCCTACTTGGGAGGCCCACGTGGCCTGGAGCCCCTCTTGGCCTGCCTGCCCAGAAGGCGTCTTCCCTTGCCTTTGCTGCAATGCTCCTTGGTGGCTGAGGGAGCCCGGGGTCCGGGCACTACGGATTAGAAGTTCCTGCTCAGCTATTTGGAGTGCTGGTGCTTTCTTAAGCACATTCGTTTTAAAGTACACTGGCAATCTCTGAAAGATCAAAGTTGGTTTCTAATATGCATCGTTTGGAGGCAGGATACCAAGCATGGAGGGCCAGACACGCGGCTCTGGGATGGGGCTGGGCATTCTCCTGAAAGCTGATGCCCACAGACAGGGTGCACCAAGGCACAGGGACCGGCTCTCGTGGGCAGCCCACCCGAACTGCCCTGCGCAGCTGGGTGCTGGCAAACCCAGGCACAGCACATGGGGTCCCAGAGAGCAGGAGCCAGCTGCAAAGAACCTTCTGGGCCCTCTTGTCCAGCCCTACTCTGCTGAGAGATGAGAAAGTGAAAAAAAAAAAAAAAAAAAAAAAACAACCAAACCTCAGGCCTGGGAGAGAAAGAGAGAGAGAAAAACGCCGATGCCTGCACACTGATTTTTGCAGATGGGATACACCTCCCTGAAACAGTCCAGGGTCAGGTTCCGAGGAATCGCTTCTTCAGTGCACCAGTCATTTTGGTATTTTATGTTCCATTTTCCACTCTCCTCTCTACCATTCCACAAGAAGCAGGACACCCTTCTGAATACCCTGAGGGCCGATCTCTACCCGTAAGAAAGGTTAAGCACCTGAACCCAAGTCACACAGCAGCAGAGAAGATCAAAGTTCAAATCAGATTCCCAGCTCATTCTCCTACAGAGCGAATGCAAAAAGATCTAACCTGAGACCAGTAATGGCTGAGGCTGGCCCATCTTTTAGTTATTGAAGAATCCAGCCAGGCGCAGTGGATCATGCCTGTAATCCCAGCACTTTGGGAGGCCAAGGCAGGCAGAACACTTGAGCCCAAGAGTTTGAGACCAGTCTAGGCAACATGGCGAAACCCCATCTCTACAAAAAAATACAAAAATCTGCCAGGTGTGGCGGTGCATACCTGTAGTCCTAGCTACTGGGGAGGCTGAGGTGGGAGGATTGCTTGAGGCCAGGAGGTTGAGGCTGCAGTGAACTATGATCTCACTACTGCACTCCAGCCTGGGGAACAGAATGAGATCCTGTCTCTCAAAACAAATTAATTAAATTTAATTTAAAAAGAGAATCTGTGTGAGTAAACTTGTAGAATACTGCTCTCTGACAGAACTTTCTTCTTCTTTTTTTTTTTTTTTTTTTTTTTTTGAGACAGAGTCTCACTCTGTTGCCCAGGCTGGAGTGCAGTGGGACGATCTCAGCTCACTGCAACCTCTGTCTCCTGGGTTCAAAGCAATTCTCCTGGCTGGGCACGGTGGCTCACGCCATTAATCCCAGCACTTTGGGAGGCCAAGGCAGGCAGATCACCTGAGGTCAGGAGTTCGAGACCAGCCTGGCCAACATGGCGAAACCCCTTCTCTACTGCAAATGCAAAAATTAGCCGGGCATGGTGGCGGGCGCCTGGAATCCCAGCTACTTGGGAGGCTGAGGCAGGGAGGATTGCTTGAACCCAGGAGGTGGAGATTGCAGTGAGCCAAGGTCATGCCACTGTACTCCAGCCTGGGTGACAGAGGGAGAGTTCATCTCAAAAACAAACAAACAAACAAACAAACAAAAAAACAACTACAAAGCCATTCTTCTGCCTCAGCCTCCCAAGTAGCTGGGATTACAGGTGTGTGCCACCACGCCCAGATAATTTTTGTATTTTTAGTAGAGACAGGGTTTTGCCACATTGGCCAGGCTGATCTCGAAGTCCTGGCTTCAAGCGATCTGCCCGCCTTGGCCTCCCAAAGTGCTGGGATTACAGCTGTGCGCTACCGTGCCTGGCTGAACTTTCCATGATGAAGAGAACGTTGTCCATCTGAACTGTCCAGTACTGGCACACATGGCCTCTAAGCACTTGAATTGTGGCCAGTGTGACAAAGGAACTGAATTCTAGATTTTATTTCATTAATTTAAAATTTTAAAATTAAGCATAAATAGATAGTGGCTACTGTATTGGGCAGCATAATGTTAGAATACAGAAACAACTTAAATTTTCTGAGCCAACGTTTATGATATTTGGTCTGTGAGGTGTATGTGGGCTTATGGAGAAAACAAGGTGGGCCACCTGAAGGCGGAATCTTCCTGGGAGGATTCCAGAACACACGAGCACACACATGATGAACACAGTGAGCCAGGTGCCCGGCTGCTGTCATGGGAGTCTCTCTGAAAGCTTGAGTCTAGAAGCGTCACAGAAGTCTGAGAACACTGCTCCTCCCCGGGGAACTATCTTGAGGCTTCATTTCCCAAGTCAGTGATGCGTTCTGCAGCTAAGGTGGGCCAGGCCCCCTCCCCTCACGTTAGGCGGACCATCATGCTGATGTGAGAAGAGCAGATGCATCCGTCCTTCGAGCTGCGATGCAGCGGTGGGGGAGGCAGCCACGTCTCTGCCAGAGAAAAGATCCTACCTTTAGACCAAATGTAGGGACCACGGATAGACAGTGGATGAGTGCATGGGTTGAGGGACAGATGGGTTCAGGGGTGGACGGAGGAATGGGTGGATGGGTAGATGGATGGGTGGGCAGATGGGAGAATGGGTGGGCGGATGGAGGAATGAGTGGGTGGATAGAGGAATGGGTGGGAGGGCGGAGGAATGGGTGGGTGGGTGGATCGGTGGGCAGATGGAAGAATGGGTGGGTGGATGGAGGAATGGGTGGGTGGGCAGATAGAAAAGTGGGTGGGTGGATGGATGTGTGGGTAGATGGAAGAGTGGGTGGGTGGGTGGGTGGGTGGGTGGGGGAATGGATGGATAGAGGGATGGATGGATAGATGGTTGGGTGGATGAGTGAATGGCTGGGTGTGGGGATAGAGAGAGGAATAGGTGCATGAATGAATGGGTGGGTGAGTGGATGGGAGGAAGGAAGGGAGGGAGGGAGAGAAATAGATGAAAGGTAGATGGGTAGATGATGGATGGAGGAATGTTAAAACACAGAAAAGATCTGGCATTACAAAGTCCCAACCACATGGAACGTGTCCTAGAGGCTCCTCAACAGGCATCAGAGGGTTTTCAGGAAGGAACATACCAGTGTTTCCTGATCAACAAGACCATGAGGACTCTGAGCCAGCTATCTGCCCTGAGGGGTTCTCAGCCAGGAGGCACAACCCTCTCCACCAGCCTAAGTCTCTAAGTCTCCGCAGAGGGGCCTTGGGCATTCAGGCTGTGTCTGTCAAACTGAAAAGGAGAAGCTGGGCCCCCAAAGAGAAAGGATGCAGAGAAAGGATGCTTCCTGAGTTTCTCCAGAGGAAAATGCTAGAAGACCCCAGGTAATAAAGACCCTTGGGGCAGCGTGTGAGGCCTGGGCAGGGCTTCCAGAACGCAGTCTGGAGGGGATGCAGGGGCCAGAGAGCAGGACCATGTGCTGGTCTGTACTCGAGAGAGACAGGAATGTCCCAGCCTGTGCGGGCCCCAGAGAACCTGCCGGTCTGTACTCAACAGAGACAGGAACGTCCTGGCCTGTGTGGGCTCCAGAGAACCTGCCAGTCCGAACTCAACAGAGACAGGAACGTCCTGGCCTGTGCAGGCCCCAGAGAACCTGCCCTTCCTTACCGCCCCTCTGCCTGTTCCCCTGGCCCCCTGGTTTCTTTCCAAGGCTCCTCATTCCTGGGCCCTTCCCATGGCACTGGTACCTCTTCCTTCAGCATGTTCAGCACAGCCTCGTGGGCCTCCAATGATGCCCAAGGTGAGCGGCGCTGGCGCCCTCCCCGGGAGCGGGCATGACCAGCAGTCACGCACTCACCAGCCACAGACACTGGGCCTGTGTTTCGTGCAGGTGTCACTCGACAGACTTTATCCACATTCTGTCCTTTGATCCTCCTAATAGGCCCAGAAGGCAGGGACAATAATGACTCCTGTGTTACAGAGGAAGAAACCTGCTCTGAGAGGCTGAGAAACTTGCTCACATCCCACAGCGGCCATCTGACCCACGGAGACCAAGTTCGAACCTGCACTCTGATGTAGGAAGAGGCTCCACGGGCGTTTGCTGAATGAATGAATGTGTGCGTGTATGCGTGAGGGAGCGAGTGAAGGAAGGACAATTTGAAACCGTTCCTGAAGTCTAGGAGCTAAGAGCTTGCTGGAAGGACAGCATGAAAGGCAGGCCAGCAGCCCCAAGGAAGGCCCTGGCCAGGCGACCGTCCAGCCAGGGAGCCACAATTCCCCTGGAGACTCAGGGCTCACAGATGGGGCCTGGGGCATGGAAAATAAAGGAGGCTTCGGTGGAGAGCAGATGGAGAAGCTGACCGCGGTGGGGCAGGGAGGTCTGGCGGTTCCAACCCCTGCCCGCCTGTCCCCTCCGCCCCCCCCCCCCAACCCCCCAGGGATCGGGCCCAGGCCCTCCACAGCAGGCCTCCTGCCCTGGCCCATCGGGGCCACCGACAACCGGCAGGCAGGCCAGGCCTTGGGCAGCCCTGGCTGGTCCCCCTCCTCCTCCAGGCCCCTTTCCTCCCTCCCTTTTCTGCAAAGAAGTCAAATTTGCCACTCTGATGCATTAACCAAGCCGGGTAATGAATGGCGAGTGTGTGGTGTGCCCGCTTGGAGAGAAAGAAGCGCAGGCCAGGCGCGGACCCCAGCAACCGGGCAATTTTCCAGGCACTGCTTCCGAGCCCCTCCATTCAGCCCCCTCCGGCCCCCCCAGAAGAGAGAAGCAGCATGCTCTGTCATCAGAACCGCATTGTTCTGGCCAGAAGAAAAAACGGGTCCAGCAGATGGCAGGTGTAACAAAAGCAGCTTGCTGTGGCCAAACCAATTATTTATCTAATTATGATTTACCACTTAACCACATGATCTTTCTGCAGAGTTGTGGGCAATTAAAACCAGGGTGACTGTGTGGATTATGCAAATGGGCTGGAGCCCAGCGAATAAAATTGGAGATTAGACATTCACACAGGCAGGCGCTAGCACAGGGCAGCCCTGGTAGGGGGGGAGTGAGGGGCCGGGAGGGAGGGGAGGCTAAGGGGCCGGGCTGGGGAGGGCCAGGGGGTCAGGACGTGGAAGCAGGAAGGAGAAGGAGAAGCAAGGGAAGGGGAGGGGAGGACGGGAGAAGGCAGTGGGAACTGCATCCTCCCTCAAGTCCCCAGGCTGCCCCTGAATGATGACATCAGGCCCCTGGGAGAGGGAAATCAAGGCAGCTGACCTGACCAGCCCTGCAGAGAGCCAGCCTTGCCAGGCCCTGGAGGGGAGGCACTCCTGTGGCCTCCAGAGCTTGTGCTGGGCCCCATGGAGCCAGGGCACTCTCTGCTGTGGAGGGGAGGGGCGGGGTGGGGCAAGCTGGCCCCGTCCCTCCAGCTGGCTGCCCCACAGTGAGAGCTGGCCCGTGGGACCAGGTTTGGTTAGGTAGGCGGCAGCCACCACAATGACCCACTCGATAGACCAGGATGCCCACGGTTGCCCCCAGCTCTGTGACTGACCCAGCAGCTGTGTGACCCCAGCCAGTTTGCTTGTGGTCTCTGGGCTCAGTTTCCAAACAAAAGGACTAGAGAGGATGATTCCTTCACTTCCCTGCAGCTTTAAAAGATGGGGTGACACTCTCCAATAGCCAAATGCAATCCAAGTCTCCCAGAGCTGGCTGAACAGAGGTGGCGGGGCCTGGAGAGAGAGGCAGCCATGAGGGAGTCCAGGCACCCTCGCCTAGAGCTGGTCTCCTCCACCCAGAGCGCCCCCACCCACACTGCTCCGAATGCTTAGGGTGACTCATCCAGTTAAGCCTTCCAAAAGGTCTGCAAGGGGTGCCGTCATCATCCCTATTGACTGAGGCACAGAGAGGTTCAGTAACTTGCCCAAGGTCACACAGCTTGTAAAGGGCAGAGCAGGAACTGTCACGCATTTGTGCCTTCAACTCAGGCTCCCCTGAAACGCCAAGCTCTGGGTGGAAGTTAAACATAAAAACCGATGTAACCAAGGCCCCCATCCTTGAGGGGCTGCATTCTGCTGGAGAGAAATTTCTGGATCTGCCGTGTGTTTAAGCAGAAGAAGGGGCCACGGGTAGAAATGCTCCTCCCACCCCACCCCTGCAAGTGCCCGGGCAAAACCCTCCCAGACACGTGTGAAGGCCTCTGTGACTTGGAAACAGCGTCAGTGAAGAAAATATGCACAGGCCGGGCAGAGTGGCTCACGCCTGTAATCCCAGCAGTTTGGGAGGCCAAGGTGGGTGGATCACTTGAGGTCAGGAGTTTGAGACCAACTTGGGCAACATGGAGAAACCCTGTCTCTACAAAAAATACAAAAATTAGCTGGGCATGGTGGTCCCAGCTACTTGGGAGGCTGAGACAGGAGGATCACTTGAACCCAGGAAGCGGAAGTTGCGGTGAGCCAAGATCATGCCACGGCACTCCAGCCTGGGCAACAGAGAGAGACTCCGTCTCAAAAAAAAAACAAAAACAAACAAACAAAAAAACCCGAAGAAAAAAAGAAAAAGAAAAAATCTGCACAGAAAAGCTCCTCCTCACACGGAGCTCTTCCCACTAGCTCTGTACTGACGGGAGCGGGGGGCGGGGGGTGCCCCTGGCCGCAGGTGCTACTTAGCCTTAAACTGACGTGAATTAAAATTAAATACAACGAGTGCATCCGATCCTCATTGCTCCAGCCACATTCTGAGCACTCTATAGCCACATGTGGCTGGAGGCTTCCGATTTGGGCATCGCGGATCTAGAACATTCCATCAGTGTAGAATGTTCCAGCAGACAGCGCTGCTCCGGAAAGTCAGCTCCAGGAACACGGGATTTTTGTCTTTTGTTGGTGATGAATTCCTAGCACCCAGAACCGTCCCTGGCTGTCCATTTATGGAATGAATGAAGAAATGAAACGCCTCTTCTACAAAGAACAACAGTTGATTTTGAAAAGGAGCCGACGGAGTCCCGGTGAGGTCCGGACCCTGAGTGGCTGGTCTGCCTGCAGCCAGGAGCCCCCAGCACCCCCAGCCCATGCCCATCTCAGGGTCAGAGGGGAGGCTGGTCTTGCCACGGGGGGCACTGCCGACAGCCAGGTGACTGCCTCCAGGACCCCTCCCCAGCACCGCTGAGCCCGCAAGGCTGTGAGGAGCAAAAGGTTGGCTGTTTGCAAAGAACCAGTTCCCACCAAGGCTCCATCCGCATCTGGGAGTCGGGAGAAAAGTTAGAGCCACTGGGCTCCCAAATCTCCCTTCTCTTGGCCCAAACTAACCAGCCTCATCTCCCCACTTTCTGAGTTGGGGCCCTCAGTTCTAATTCAGGCTGGGGGTGACAGGGTAGCAACTGGAGGGGAAACTAGAGTTAAACAATTAAACTCCTGGGTACCTCCAGGGGCCCTGGAAATAAACCAGGAGGGCCCGACAGAGGCCCCTACACCTCAACCCCAGGGTCAGGCGCTGTTCTCTGGATCCGATGAAAGCCGTGGACCTTCTGCTAGGACTACAGGGAAGGACCCCAATTTTGCCACCAATGTCAGGGGGTCTGTAAGTCCCGATGGCCTCTGCCCTAGCATCTCTTCCCACACGAACAAGAGTAAGGAGGAAAGGGCAGGGTGGCCCTCGGGACACAGGCACCTCAAATGCCCTGTGCCCTGCTCCCCAGGAGGGCACACAGCTGTGGGCTGTCCCTGGTCCAGCTCCGAGAGCACGTCTGGTCCCCCCCACCGCATGTCAGCACCGAGTGCGGCCCAAGCTTCATCCCAGGGATTCTCGGCTAGCCCTGGGGAAAACGGGGTTCCCATTTTACAGGACGGAAAAGAGGGGTCCCAAGAGGCAGAGTGAGCTGCGGAGGGTCACAGAGCCAAATGGTGGTGCAGCGTGGCCGGGCGGGAGCCCAACACCCACTTCTCCCACAAAGGGCCCGCCACACATGCTCCACACACACTCCATCCCTCCCACACGCACACGCTGTCTCAAACACATTCACATATCACACATGCTCAATCACACACGCTCACACACAGGCCCACGCATTCACACATGCACACAATGTCACACATGCTCAATCACACATGTTCATACTCATTCACACGCGGGCCCAGTCACACACGCAATGTCACACATGCTCACACAATCACACACACACTCATTCACACACAGGCCCATGCGTTCACACATGCACAAGATGTCACACACGCTCACACAATCACACATGCTCACACTCATTCACACGCGGGCCCACATGTTCACACACACAATGTCACACATGTTCACACAATCTCACACACTCACACTCATTCACAAGCAGGCCCACGCGTTAATCACACACACTCACATTCACACATGGGCCCATGCGTTCACACACACAGTCACACATGTTCACACAAGTTCACACTCATTCACACGCGGGCCCACACGTTCACACACGCACACAAGGTCACACATGTTCACACAATCACACACATTCATTCAGTGACATACACAATGTCACACACATTCACTCACACGCTCACAATCACAGGGTCATGATCACACACGTTCAATTGCACAAATGTTCAATCACACGCCTCACACACACCTTCACAATCAGATACATTCATAAACACACAGTTCACACATTCACACTCACGTCTCATGTTCATTCACACAGGTCACACAGTCTCACATTCACACATGCATTCACACACCACACGATCACTCTCACATTCCCACAATGTCACACACGTTCACATTCATGCTCAATCACTCAGGTTCACATCACACACATTCCTTCACACACAATGTCTCTGTCACATGTTCACAATATCTCACACATGTTCACACACATTCACACATATTCACACTCACATTCACACACGTCTCACACATATTCACACATACATTCACAATGTCACACAAGTTCACACATGTTCAGTCATCCACATTCACACAGTCACATTCACACGTTCACACACACACAATATCTCACGTTCACATTCCATACACCGCCATACATTTGCACACGTCACACATACACATTCACTGACATTCACACATATGCGCATACACACACACACTGGGTCACACATGCTCAGGCACGATGCTTCAGAAATGTTATTCACTTGGAGAGCTGGTAAACAAATACCAGGGACCCCCCGCCCCACCTTCCAGAGATGCCAGGGAAACTCAACCCACCAGGTTCCCGCCATGGCTCCTCTGGAGTTCTTCCAAAAGTGCCCAGGCTCCACCCGCGCCGTGTCAAAGCTCCCACCCAGCCCAGGCCCTGCCCACCCAGCATCCAGGCTCTGCCCAGCGTCCAGGGCTCTCAGGTCCACAGCCCTCTCCCTCTCCACCTGTGTGCACAGCTGAGAAACAGGGCCCTGCCCGACCTAGAAGCCACCCACAAACCCTCCCCACCCCAGCAGGTGCTCAGGTGGCATCCTGGGTCTCCCATGCCCCAGGCAGGAGGTCTGGGGTGCAGAGTGGTCACCAACGTTCCTTTCAGCTCCTGCTAGGAAGCCGGTGGGGGTGGGGCCTGAAAAGTCCCCAGCTGGGCAGAGAGGAGGGAGGGAGGGGAGAGGCGGGTACACGGGGATCCCGGGAAGGGGAGGATTTGGGGGCCTGGAAGTCAGCACAGCCCATGGCCCTCCTGGCATGCAGGAGTGTACCCCACCCGCAGATGTGTGAGTATATGTGTGAACATGTGTTAGTGTGAACGTGTGTGTGAATATGTGTGAGTGTGAACATGTGAAAGTCCCTGGGGGGACTCTCATTTCCCCAGAGCTGTGCGCACAGCTGCCCCCCAGGGCAGTAGGTACAGAGGCCGAGGGCCGTTTTGGGAGGCAGCAGGCCTCGGGTGCTTATCTGGGCTGTCCTCAGCCCTCCAGCGTCCCCGGGCCCCCTGACAAAGGCCCCCCTCCCTCCAGGAAAGTGCTCCTTGTTAATAACGGCCACGGCAGATTTCGCCGCCTGCCCAAGTTGATAGGAGATTTATGCAGCCCGCCAAGTCGGGAAATACAGAAATATTCCTGATAATACTTCTTGTCCCAGCAAAGGTCACAGACAGGGCCTATCAATCCCGAGAAATAAAGAAGCCCCCGGTTTTGCTTGTTCTCTGGCGAGGCAGGAGAAGAGCCCTTTCTTTAATCGCCTCATTTGGAGCACTGGCCGGGGTTGTATGTCATCCGAATTACAGATTCAGCATTAATTGACCAGATGTGGGGGGCTCTTTCAGGGCCCTTGAGGATCATAAAGCCGTTCCCACACTGGTAATTAGCAGCCTAGCAGGCCCAGGCTGGGACACGGGCCCCCCAAGGCCCGCAGCGGGGAAGGGGGGGCCAGTCAGCCAGTGAGCATGTGCTGCCTCTCTCAAGGCCCAGGGACCCCCTCAAGAGCGGCCAGGCTGGTGGCCGATGCCATGTAGGGAATGCAGCGTTCTGGGAAGCTGGTGGCAGCCAGCAGTGGGTGCATTCTTTGGCTGACCCTGCCCTCCTGGTGGGGAATCGAGCGAGATGCAAGAGGCCAGCTGGGGAGAGGGGCTCACCCCAGTGAAGTGAAGCTGGCAAGGACAGCGTCGCCCACCACCAAAGGGGTGGGTGCAGCAGTGAATCCCCTGGCCTCTGGAAAGAGGAGGACGAAGAGACACTGCCTCCCCTGTAGAGAGGCGGGGGACGGTGACAGCCAGGTGACCAATTACGATGACCGAGGGCATCCACAGGGGTGACGTTACATTTAACAACCAGCCCGGCAAGGCAGGGGCTGAAGCAAGGTGGTGCCTGCCTGTCCTGCAAAACCTTAACTCTTTCACCGTCCAGACACGGGAAGGGCTGGGGGAGGGGGCCCAAGGGTCCGGGAAGGCTTGGGGGTAGGGCGAGGAACAGCCTCTTTGCCAACCGGCAGGAAAGTCCTGTAACATTTTATCCGCCAACCCAGACTAAGTATCCCAGCCCTCTAGCACTGGCTCCCTGAGGAACAGCTGGGGCAGGAGAGGGTTCTCGGTGGCAGAACCTTCCTGGGGATCCTTGCAACCCATACTCCAGCCTCTGCTCAGTGATGGGGCAAAACCAACAGGGGGCCTGGGCTGAGCTGAGAAGCCCCCACCTCGCCCAGGATCGTACCTGGATGTACCTAGGCCGAAGGTGTGAAGCCCCCGCTGTGTCCCCAGGAGCCCAGCAGGTGCACGGTGTCCCTCCCCCTCCCCCTCTGAAGCCTGACCACCCACAGCCTCACATGCACACTGCCGTGATCAGTTCTGCTGTGATGTGTTTTATGAACATGCAGATGGTACGGCCAGGGCCGGGGGAAGGTTTTTACCTTGGGATAAGAAATTAACACTGGCTAATAGCAAATTTACTGCATGTATTTTCATTTTCCTAATACCAGCGCCATCTGCTAGCAATTGGGGCTCCACATCGCCGTTTCCCCCTTTATTTCTCCCGTCCGCTCTTTCCTGTTTTCATCTTCCACGGCCGGGCCCTCCAGACCATGGGGTCTGGTCTGGGGGGGGGGGGGTTTCGTCCTCAGACCAGAGCGCCCACACTGGGACCAGCACCCTGTACCCTCCCGCCAGAGGCCGAGGCCCATCCTACTATTGTCTCCTCCAGGCTACAAGAGATGGAGGTGCCCCCACCACACACACAATTCTGCATCTTAGAGGGGTGATGCGAGCCTAGCAAGGAACAGCCTGTAACCAACCCTCACTCTCAACCATGGTAGTGCAATCAAAACAGCTCCATCCAGCCCCCTGGCAGCTGCGGGCACTTACTCCTCTCGCGCTGCATGCTGGAATTATTTAAAATAAGAAAGTTAGCTACTGTGCCTTCTGCACTGAGCTCGCCTGAGCTGGGGGAGTAGGGAGGGGCTGCCAGGGGGCCTGGGGGCACGGAGGAGAGCCCACCGGCTCCGGGGTTTCCTGCAGCCCAGGAGAAAGAGGCCCTCCATGCCGGGGCTGTGGACGGGGGTCTCACACGGCTGCTCTCAGAGGTGGGAGGGGTGATACTTTCCACATGGGAAGCCATGGAGCACGGCAGTCGGGGGGGCGCGGGGGCCGGCGTCGGGCCCGTGAGCACGTTGTAGGAGCAGCTGCGACTCTTGGCCATGCGGCCTGGCAGTGGGACAGCTGGTGTGGCCCGGCTCCCGGGAGGGACTGGATCCATCCTGGGAGCCCCTGGAAGAACAAACATACCAGGGCCGACCGATGATGACGCTCATGAAACAGCCTTCGGGCTGAGCCCATGGGAAGGCGAGATCAGAGAGATGGGGCTGGAGGAGAGGGGCTGTCCCTCCCGGCACTCGGCACTCGGGAACCTCACGGACAAAGGCATCCAGGCCAGGGCTCCGCCGTCCGAGGCAACACCTATGTCATGGGCTAAACTGTGTCCCCCAAATTCTTACGCTGAAGTCCTAACCCCCAGTGCCACAAAATGTGCCCTCATCTGGAAATTGCAGATGTAATTAATTAGTTCAGATGAGGTCACACTGGGGTAGGGTGGGCCTGAACCCACTGACTGGAGTCCTTCTAACAAGGGGAAATCTGGACACAGAGACAGATGCAGACAGCAGAATGATGATGCGAAGAGACACAGGGAACGGACGGCCAAGTAGGGGAGAGAGGCCTGCCTGGACAGACCCTTCCCTCCCAGCCCTCAAAGGGAGCCAGCCTTGGGGTGAACCTGCACCTCCCACCAAGATGCAGGCTCTTCTATTACCCCCATTTACAAGTGAGGGAACTGAGGCACAGAGAGGTTGAGTAACTTGCCCAAGGTCACACAGCTAACAATTGTCAGAGGCAGGAAGTGACCCTAGGCAGGCTGGCTCCAAGTCCACACTCCTCACACAGGTCCCAAGTCGCACCCTGCAGCCAAAGGAAATGTATGTGGATCAGACACTTAAGACACTGGCTGGGAAGCTCTCAGAGTGGGATGATGCTCGTGTCATCGCCGTCAGCTCTATAAACAAGGAAAGTGAGGCCCAGAGAAGGGACGGCACTTGCCCATGGCCATGCAGGAAGAGTTCCAGAACCAGGATGGGCCCCTTGGGCCCTGCAGCAGACTGCAATGATGGGAGGGGTCTAGACTGGGGCTGGGACAGGGCAGGAAAGTCTCCCTCCCTCCTCCCCACATGGAGACCCAGCTGGGCAGAAAGACACCCCAAAGGCAACCACGTGCCAAAGCGAGTGTTTGGAGAAACGTAGGCGACACAGAGGAGAGTCCTGCTGTCCTGGGCGTACTCCATGGGGTCTCACGGCACGGGCCTCCAAGCTCAGGGGTCATGCCTGGGCACCCTGAAAATGCCCTCTCGGCTGCCATACAGAAGAACCGCCAAAAAGGGAAGAGAGAAGGAAAGCCCCAGGGCAGGGCTTGGAGCCATCCTGGATGGGCCTCTGGTTCCTGGAGCCCTTGGGGACCAATGGGTAGAAGCCTCTGGACCCCAGGACGCCGGTGACACACAGCAGGGCAGGCAGGGCTGCAGCAGGGGTTCCTGCAGGCCAGCACGTTTTTATTGTCCCATCCTCTGTGGCCTCGCCAGAGACAACAGCAGGTGGAAAGCGGCAAACGGCTCAGCAGCTGATCACGCCTTTTTTTTTCACCTTTTAGAAAATGTCCTCGCAACTTTTCTTTCCCGTCAGTGAAAGCTCCTGCCCCATACGCTGGATTTGGCCTTGGAAGACGAGGTCTTCGGACTTCCCTGGCCATCTCTGGCGCATCCCATTACCGTGACAACCCGGGCCACGTGGCCCCACGGTTTGCCTCCTTGGAGGTTGTGGATGGGGCTGGAGGGGTGGGGGAAGGAGTGCAGGGGGCGAGGGTCTTGGCAGCCTCCACCTTGGCACGCGTTTCCATCCTGCAGAGCCACCCCCACACCCTGCTCAGCCGTGCTGCTCCCACCAACTTTTCCGGCCAGAGGGAAGCCAATGCACGAGATTAGAGGATAAAATTTGATTTGAAAGAATTTTATCGTTCAGCCCAATGATGGTTTTAAATATTAAAAAGGCATAAAACGGAGGGGGAACGGAAAAGCAGTACCAAGTACCAGCCTCAGATGGCTTTCGCCAAATAACGCTGCCATCTGAGAAAGAACGCGTGCGGGGAGAGGGAGGGGTGGGGGAAACTGCTCCACCTCCCCGATCCTACTGCTTCGCAGGCGTTCTCAAAGCAGCATCCTGGATCTCCCAAACCTCACGGAGACAGGTAATACATTCACTATTGATGGATCAGTACCCGGAGAGTGTAAATTACTGAAACAAACACGGCATAATTAGGGCATTAGAGGCAGCGTGGAGGGAAGGCGGGGTGTGCTCCGCTTGGCTGTGGCTTTCATCTTTGCAGGTGTTCATCTTGGTGGTAGCCAGCATCCCAGCCTGCCTACCATATGCACATCCCAGCTAGCCAGTTCTCAGCTGGGAGGCCCACTGGGAACTCCCTCCTGCCCAAAAAGAGGGGAGCCAGGGGCCCCGAACCAGCCTGGCATCTTGGGGAACACGCAGAGGGGGAGGAAGGTCTCCAAACAGACAGGGGCCCACGCACCGGCACGCACGCACACAAAGACCCAAGGCCAGTCTGCGGGCTGTGCAGCTGGCGAGCCTGTGTCCCCGTCCCCATGCGTGCCCTCAGGATTTCATGACAAGAATGAAACTGATCAGGCAGCCTCCAGCTCCATAATTAGGGCCAATTGAAGGAGACAAAGAAATCTATGGAGATCACAGTGGGAAGTGGTAGTGATGAACGCTGGCTTTGAAACAGCGTTTTGTACTCACTGGACCATCACTGTCTTTACATAAAAGCTGCCTGCCTCCTTTCCCTCACTCCCCTCCCTGGGAGCAGAGGCCGCCGGGGAGGCAGGCTCCAGACAGCCCCTCCAGCAATTGCCTTTTCTGGGTCAGGCCTCATTTCTCGTGGCACGACAGGAGGAGGACGGGGGGCGGGTGAGGCCTCCTCTTTTGTTTTTTTGTGTTTTGGCAGTGGGTAAAGACAAAAGGCAGGCATGAAAAGCCCCCACTCTCACATGCATCTGAATATGGGGGTGCTGCAGGAAGGTGACTCACTCACTGGCATGCTGGGAGAGCACAGGGCCCGTGTGTGAGTTTGCGTGCGAATGTGTGAGCATGTGTGAGTTCCTGCGTGTGTGACTTCAGGCGTGTGTGTGTGTGTGTTTGTGTGTGTGTTGGAATGGGGGTGGGGGGCGGTCCTGGAAAGGCCGAGAGCCTTGGAATCTGAGGAGTCTGCAGCCCATTCTTGATACTGCTTTACTTTCCAAAAAGTTATGACAACAAAACCACCCTGGGGCCCAGACCTGGAAGCCGTCAGCTATGGAGGACCCTGGAAGCAGGCAGAGAAAGGTGAGTTTGAGGGAACAGGACCAGGGGCTGCTGGCAGAGCTGCAGGGCACAGGGCACACATGGCCAGGTCTGCCTGGGCAGACAGCTCACTCCCTGGGGATCCTAGAAGGAACCCCCAACTGAGAATCGCTGTATGTCCTGCCTATTACCCTTGTAATCGGGGGAACAGGGTTGGAATCAAAGACTGGGCCAGCGTTTCCTACCGTCCCCCAGAATTCCAGCGGGAGACCCCCAGGACACCACCCTCGCAGGAGGGTGTCCTCTGGAGAGCTGGGGGTGTACCCTGCGGGGAGGAATGAGTGGCTCCAGGAAGCCACCCTGGCTGGCATCCCCGAGACTGTGCCAGCCTGCTCAAGCACGCATGTGTGGCTTCCCTCCCCGTGCCCACAGTAATCCTCCGACTTTACAGCAAATTATTAAAACTCACTTATATTTAATCTGCCTTCTGGAATTAATTGAATTTTTACGCTCAGCAAATGCCACAGTTTGTGCTGCCTCCCGATCACTGGCTCGGAACAGCTAAATGACAAGGCGGCCGACCAACCGCAGGCTGTGCAGACAGGCTCTCAGGGGTGAAAAGGCATTAAGAGGCGAGGGGGGGTTGTGCAGGATGGCCCCGTCCCCACCCCGACGCCCTGAACCGTGGAGAAGAGAAGCTCAATTTATCAACACGGGGAGGACTGAGCTCCAGGCACCCCAGGCGGCTGCGTAAGGGGGAACTGGGTGTCAGCTCTGGGGATGCCACCAGTGCTGACTGAGGACCACCAGAGGGAGGAGCCACCCAGGAAGCAAGCCAGGCAGGGCTCCTCCCCTCGCCAAGGAGGGTCCTCCCAGGGGATGTCGGGTCCAAGGAAGCTTCACCCTTTCCCAAGTGACCGGGCTCTGGCCAGTCCCCAAAAAGGCCCCAAGAACACCATTTCCTCTCCTGCACTTAGCATTCCCAGGAACCCAGCACGTGGGGGCTTCCCCATCCCCCATGAACCGCAGCCAGCTTCTGCAGTGGAGTTCCACCCGAAGGCGAAGGGATGGAGGATCCAAGGTCACACTGAATACTGGCACGCTCCCTTCTCGCCGAGACACATTAATCCAGGGGGTGCCGACACCTCGGGGGAGGAGGGGCAATGTTTGCAGAGCCCCGTTCGGGTGCTAAGTGAATCCTCTTACATTTGCCAGGTTTGGAGTTTTCAGTGCGATGACACCAGCGTGCCTGCGGAAGTGGCTGTGTCTCCTCTTGCCTCCTTCCCCACCCAATTCCGCCCCAGGAGCCCAGGGATGGAGGCCCAGGAGACGGATCCCACAAGAGCCAGCACCCACTCCACCCCAGGTAGCTGGCAGTATCTGTCTCTTCAATCTGACTGATCACCCAACTTGGGGTGGGGAGCTTTGAAAAATGTAGACTCCCAGGCCCCACCCCAGATCCTCTGGCTGGGATTTGCTGGGTGGTAGAAACCCAAGGAAGTTTGTGTTTTCTAGAACCCCATAAGATTCGGATGCAGCCAGTGGGGGACAGGAACTTCAGCAGGGGAAGCCGCAGCCCTGGGTGTAGACCCCATCCACTCGTGCCTGATGCAGCCCTCCTCTCAAGGAAGGGCGAGCTCACTGAAGGGGACAGGTCACAGGTCAGCCCAATTCACCCTGAGCACAGAAATGCACACTGCATTTAGGACGGCCGGATTGCTGGACCAAACCTGTCTCTCTGTCCCCTGCACACATATGCACATGCGCATGCACAGAGACGCATGCTGAACTTCTACGGAAGAGGAGAGCGGTAGGACCAGGCTCTCCAGGGTCCTGCCTTGGGGTCTCTCCCCACAACTGTGGCATAAACCTCTCTCCAGAAACAGAGGGCCTGATAACCCGTCAGCTCCCCAGAATCCGAATCCTAAAAGGCTCTCCCCAGGGTTCGTCCGGCTTCAGCAGAGACCCTTCCCACCCAGGCCGGAGCCCTGCATTCAGTTGCCAGGGACACCGTGCAGTACGGCCCCCAGCAACCTGAAGACATCAAGGTCCCATCCCCCTGCTTCCAAGCTGCCAACCTTCCTCATTTCCTGGGTGGTGGGTAAGGGGCAGGGGGCATGGGGCAGAAAGAGATCCTCCCCCTCTCTTGGGGCTTCCTCCACCAGCCCCCTCCCCACTGAAGCTCCCTTCTGAAGGAGGCTGGAGAGCTGCTGCGGAGAGAGGAGCCCATGTGGGATGCCCTCCCAACACACACAGGCTGATCACCTCACCAAATCCTTATTAAAACCATCCCTGTTCAAAGGCAAAATCAGCCAACCACCAGTGTCCCTCTGACCTAATGTCCAGCAGGGCAAGAGCTCAATGCCTGGATGTCACCTCCAGGGCCTCAGCAACTGTGCATCTCTGCTCAGGCTACCAAACAAAACACCCCAGACTTCGTGGCTTAAACACAGAAATTTATTTTCTCATAGTTCTTAAGGCTGGAAGGCCAAGATCAAGGTGCTGGCAGGGTTGATTTCCGTGGAGGGCTCCCTGCTTGGATTGCAGACGGCTGCCTTCTGGCCGAGAGCTCACGTGACGGAGACAGCGCACTCTCTGGGGTCTCCTCCTGTGAGGACACTAATCCTAGCAGAGCAGGGGCCCACCCTGAGAACCTCACTTAACCATAACTATTTCCTTAGAGGCTCCATTTCCAAATACAGCCACCCTGAGGGTCGGGGCTTCCACATCTGAATTTGGGGGAGCACAAACATTCAGCCTGTGACAAGGATACCAACAGATGTCAGCCACCACAGCCAGGCCTTGTGACCCAACAGGAGGCTGCGGTGTCCCTGGGCATCGCTGGGGCATGTCTCAAATGGGTCTAAACCCAGTCTCTCTGGCTGAGAGCAGAGGTCTGAGAGGCTCAATGGCAGGAAGGAGCCCAGTTCAGTGGGGAGGCAGAGAGCACGCAGCCTCCCTCCTTGGCGGGGTTCGGATGCTGGCCAGCCTTCAGGGCTGGCCGGCTGCTGCCCAAGGCCTCCCGCTTCTCCAGGAAGGGCCCTCCCTTGCTCTCTCCCTCTCTGCACTCACCCCTTCTCCCTCTCCCTACACGCTTTTCCACTGTGAGACTGGAACATCATCGGGACAGCCCAGAATGTCCTCTTCCCCTGCAGGAGCTCAGCAAACATCCACAGAGTGAACATTCCAAGCAACATAGTCCAGGAGCCACGTTCCAGCCATGGGGCCTCTGCACTGCTGTTCTCTTCACATGGCCTGCCCTTCCCCCAGAAAGAGAGAAGAGGCCCTCTCTGGTTGTCCCATCAAAACTCCACCCTTCTCTCACCCTCCTCCCAGCTGTATCCCTTCTCTGCAGCCCTAACATGCATTCCACTTTATTTCCCTTGTCTACTGTCTGCCTCTCTAACTACTAAGTCAGTTCCAGCCGCTCCAGGATTTTTGTCTTTTCAGTTTAGCCCTGGTTCCTCAGGGCCTTAGTGACTAGTGTGTAGTGCCTAGCAGCCAGTAGATGCTCAATAACTGCTTGCTGATTGACTGGGGTGAGCTCCCCATCCATGGAGCTATTTCAAGCCAAGCCTAGACGATCTTTCAGGGCTAGTTCTAACCTAAGACTTGGTAGTTCCATGACTCTCTTCCTGGCCCAGACCGAAAAGGAACTTTCAGCAGGAACCCGGGACTGGGATCTGAGATGGGGCTCCTTGGAGGACTCTGACTAGGAAGAGAGACGGGAGGCCGCACCAAAAACACAAGCCCTTCATGGGTCTCCCAGGCGTAGGTCTGGGGAATCCCCCAGGCCCCTCAGGATCGACCCTGCTGGCCCTGGATCTCCAGGACGCGTCCCTCTGACCTGCCTGCCCGGCCTGTGAGTCCCCGGCAGCAACCGCTGCAGACACAGGCTGCCCAGCGCCAGGGCCAGGCCGGATTATCATACATTAAGACATAATTACTCTGCGGAAATTTACAATACAAAGCGCCCTCCCCAAGTTGGCTTCAGAAGGATTCCAAGGATACAAAGACCTGCTGTGTCTGCCACCGACCCAAGCTGGCCCCAGCCAGAATTTCAAAAGAAGTGGGTGGGTTAGTTTTTGGAAAAACCCCATTCTACCCTCCAGGCAGAAGCCCCGCCCCAAGGGTAGAGCCCTCTGATACCCCAAGCCCCACCCAGAGGGGAGGGTCCCCTCCACCCCGACCAGCGTTGCTCCTAAACCACTCGGGTTCCCCCAAGCCCAGAAGCTCCAAGCTGACACCACCAAGGTCACCCCACTTCTCCCAAGTTCTCTCTTTTTAGACTATTTAGGCCTAAGGGCAGAAAGAACCTTAAATCCCAAGATGCTAGCTTTTGACCTGCAGAGAGGTGTGGCAGCCCACTGACATTGATTAAGCGCCTGCTGTGTGCCTGGTACTGTGCCAGCATCAGGATGCCACAGAGAACAAGACAAACCAGATCGCTGTGCTGGGGGGAGCTTACAGTCCAGTTGAGGAGACGCAGTAAGATGCTAAAAAAAAAAAAAATGCACATCAGGTGTGCAGGATGGGTGAGTGACCGGGGTGCACGGTGGCCAGAGAGCCTCAAAGGTGGCATCTGAGCAGAGGCCTGAATGAGCAAGAGAGACTAGCCTGTGCAAAGGCCCTGAGGTGGGGCCATGTGTGGTGAGGGGTAGTGGAGGCAGAGAATGCTGGCTTTTACTCTCAAGAGGGTTTCCAGCAGGGAAGCTGCCTGATTCGGGGGACACTTGGCCTGCTGTTCTGTTAGATTCCTGCATCTACCACCTCCTGGCCCTGGGATGCTGGGCAAGTCAGTTAGCCCTTTAAGCTTTTGTTCCTCCCTGCAAAATAAAAACAGTAACCACAGCTAACACACGCTTGTTGCACAGAACAAGACAGAGAAAGTCGGGAAAGGGAGGGCCATGCATGTGAGGGGCGGGGGAGAAGCTCTCTGAGCCTTAGCTGCCCCACATGTGAAATGGGAACCAGCCCCTGCCAACAGAAGGACTAAAGGCCCAGTGACTTGTGCCTCTGTCGTCTGGGGAGCCCAGGCACTTGGAGCCTGGCGTTCGGGACAGGCTGCCACCGTTATCCATGGCATTCAGGTGAAAACGCTGATGAAGGGGTAATTTATCCCTCCAGCCATAAAACCTGGGGGAAGCCGCACAGCAAGCAGCTGTCCCGGTGCCGCCCTCCCAGGTGTCAGCGCACAATATCTGGGGCGGCTCAGGGGGTCCTGGGGAGAGGCCCTGCCAATCTCCTCCAGCCTGCTGGGTGCCAGCCAGAGTGGAGAGCTGGGAGGGGCCGGAATTCAACGGAAGAACTGCAGGCCTTTCAGCAGCCTCCTCGCAGGAGAACAAAGGCTGCAGCCTCCCAACACCAGGTGGCTGACAGCAAAGAAAGAGGCTCAGAGAGGGGAAGCAACTTGCCTGGAGCCACACAGCGCACAGCAGCAAGCCGGGCTCTGCAAAGGCACGGCCATCGGGCATCAGCACCTGTACTGCTGACTGGCTTGGAAGGCTCAGCTCAACTGAGAAATGCAAAATGCTGGAGCCCCTGGAGGACTGGAGTGGAAAAGGGGAAACCTGGAACCCAAGCCTTTATCTGCCCTGCTGGGGTGGGGGACCCGGGCTTCTTCCTAAAACTCCTGGGCAAGGGTAGAAAGAAACATCAGTTCCTGAGTCAAGGGTAGAGCCAGGCCACCCCTTCCTAGGATGGGTGATCAGGACCTGCCGGGTGACCCTCGACCTCTGTGCCACACTCACCCTGGGCAGGTGACTGTGCCTCTCTGGGGTCAGCCCCTCCTCTGTGAAAGGGGGATAATCGCAGCGCTGCCTCCTGGGCTAGTGCGAAGGAGAAATGAGCCCATGCAGGTACTGCATAGAGTAGGCGCTCAATAAGCTTCAGCTCTGGCTAGCCCAGGATGGAGGACTCTTTGGATGTCCTCCAGCTGCTGGGTGGGGTGGTGGGGTCCTTGTCACAGCAGACCTGCCCTGGCTGGCCCTGAAGCACTTCCTCCACCACCCTTGCAGGGACAGCAGAGAAAAACCCAAGTGCCCCGAATGCACACCCCACTTCCCTGAGAGGACCGCGTCCTCCCTCCTCGAGGTGATCACCACTGGGCAGGCTGGGCACCTCCACTTTCTGGGACCCCAACTTCAAGGGCATCAGCCACCACCTACCATGAAGAGAACCGCAGAGGAGAAGACCTGCCTCTGCCCCTGGCCGGGTGCCCAGGGACGGTCAGCTCACCTCCAGGACCCCAGCGTCCTGACTGTGATGCCCCTGGCCGGGTGCCCGGGGAAGGTCAGCTCACCTCCAGGACCCAAGTCCTGACTGTGATGCCCCTGGCCGGGTGCTTGGGGATGGTCAGCTCACCTCCAGGACCTCAGCGTCCTGACTGTGATAATCAAGACAGGGTCACCTAAAGCCCCCATGCAGGGCCTGCATTCAGGGAAGGGCCTGCCTGCTCTTGTAAACCAGGCAGTGTTGCAAAACTGGGGTGGGAGAAGCTGTGAGAGCCCAGTGATGACCCAGGGTCCCCGTGTCTAATCCACAGGCTTTGCAGTGGCAAAGCAAGACAGAAGCACCATGATCCCCAAGGACACACCAGGGCATCAGTCCCCAAGCAAGCCTGGAACCCAGATTTGCAACCCCAGGACACAACTGCTTTTAGTCCCTCCTGGACACTTGGGAAAGAAAAGCGTTTCTAAAACTCTACATCAAGAATAGGTGACCCTTCAAAAAATGCCCCGTAATACCCATAACATACCCCTGCTCTTGGCAGGGCTTAGTTAGGAAGAAAGGGTCTGGGGACAGCTTCTCCCGGGAGAGCAGACAGTCAATTCGGGACTTGCTAGAGGAAGACATGCGGCCCAGATGTCAGGTGATCCGAGCTCCAGCATCTACCCCAGGCCTCTAGCAGAGACCAATAAGGACGTCTAGGCTCCAAAAGTGTGGAAGGGGCAGCGTTTGGCTTCCCTTCGCTTTTCAAAAGCAAGCCCACCTCTATGCTCATTTCAAAGTCCTTCGTTAAGAGATAAACTATTTCCTCGTAGAGTCTGGAAAACCCATTTATTTTCAAATTCCAGTTACATCGGAGACCATGTCCCTTTAAATGTGCCTTTCCCTCTGGAATCCAAGAGACTCCGAAGCATTTGGTAATATTGTGTATTAAGGACGCACCATAAAAATAAATTGCATTGTAAAAGCTGGCCTCTTAACAGACAACCTTAGCTCCAGGGTTAAATGTCTAATTCCATACTATTACCCAGAGAGAGATCAGATAAATCAAAGGGCACCGGTATTCCTGGCCTTGCTCCTGTGGGCCTCTGGCCTGGCACAGAATGTGTTAAGCAGGGCCCAGGATAAGAAACCTCTTCCAGGTAATACTCCCCCGTCACTGCTCTAACACCAGGAGCACCTTCAAAACCAAATGCTCCCAAAGACAGCTGTCAGACACATTAAAAAACAGGAAGGGGAAAAAAAAAAAAAAAACAGAAACGAGGCAGCATACCAAATGCCAAAATATAATGAAAATTCAACAGCTAAAACAAATATAACCATAAAAAGACTGGAATCCTAGAAAAGCGATCTCTACAATTAAGCAGTTTTCTGCTATATAGTGATAATCACCTAATTATACTATTAATGACAGTTCAACCTGCTTTGAAATAAAAGGACATTCTTCCATAACAGGATGCCAGCTGTTAGTTACAGATGTCAAACATCTTTAAAGCATTATTATTAAGGGGGAGGAAAAAAACCCTATAAAATGAACACATCCATATGCCCCTCCCGCCCGTCATGAAAAAGAAATCGCAATTAGCCGTGTGTTTTTGCAGTGCCCAAGTGAAAAAATAAAAATAAAATGTGAAAGCCCAAGGAGGAGATCAGAAAAGAGGGGAGACGAGAGGGGAGACGAGAGGGAAGCCGGTCCCCACAGGGCACACAGCACCAGAGCGAAGCAAGGAGGGGTCTGTGTGTATTTTAACGGCATCCTTAATTCCTTCCAATGAAATAATCTCCGGAACCAGGATGTTTATGCCGGATAGCAGATCTCCTAGATTCCGCCAGAACTCCCCGGGTAAACACAAATCCTGGAGTGCCTCGTTTGAAAGCTGCTCGCCACAGCCAAAGCTGGGAGCACCGCAGGTTGCAGAGGTGGCTGCCACCTGCCTGCCCTGGCCCTGTGGACATATGCTCAGCCTCATTCCCTGCCAGTATTTCTTCAAACTGTGCGTGCCTCTGACATTCTGTAGCGCCAAGGTGTGATAAATATCCAACTTTGTCTTCTGACAATAGGCAGCCACATTTAATTAACTGGAGCGTAAAAAGCCGGGGGGCGGGGGAGAGGGGGAGCGGGGAGCCGCTCCCCAGCGAGGGGATTAACCTTTGAAGCAAGCCGCTGGCAGGGCAAGGGGGCTGCCCGGCCTTGTCGGGAGGGTGCGAAGACAAGCTGGCTCAATCTAAAGAGGGGACGCTCAGGGTTAAATCCCCCGCCTGCCTGGAGCGCAGATCCCAATATAACCAGGGCAGGCTCCAGCAGGGAGCCCCCAAGGGTCCGTGACCGATGCCTGCTGCCTCCCACCCTGGCTGTAGCTGGGTGAGGAGGAGACCCAGGGGACCTGAAGCACAGGAGGAGACCAGCCAAATCTCAGCAGAGCCACCAGCGGACAGGACACAGTGTTTTCCGAAGGAAAAAAAACATCTGGCACATTCCACACCAGCGCCTTCTTGGGCTCTTGGCATCACAGCCCAGGTGTCCTCTGGAGGCCGGGCGGAGAGGCCCAGAAAGGAATGACCTAGGCCCAGAAAGGAATGACCTGGCTTTGGGTGTGTTCTACGAGGTCACTTCCTGTAGCTTTCTGACCCCGGGGCCTCGTCCGAGGCGGAAGGGACAACTTCGCAGAGTTCGGCTACTGCTGACGCGCAGGGAGTAAGCCTCGGGTTTTGATGGGATAGCAGACAGGTGGATTGCAGAGCTCCGGAAAGACCCAGCCGGGTGTCAAGAAGAGCCCTCCTAGTTTGGCCTCTAACTGGCTGTGTGACCCCAGGCAGGTCACTTGTCCTCTCTGGGAAGCAGCTGAATAATGAACACTGGGATTTTCCCAGGCTGGCTTCTCACTGCAGAGCAGAGGAAAAGCATTCTGGGGGCCTGCTATGGAGGGTCATTTATCCAGTTTACAACTTCCACGGCCGGCCCTCAATGGCTTCCTTTCTCTCCCACAAGAGCGCTGGGCCAAGCCAGCTCTGCACCAGTTGGACGCCTTCCAAGAAAAACTCAGGCTCCGGGGGCTGCTTGTCAGGACCAGACGGGAGGCCTGGCGCCCCCGCCCGCCATGTGTGGGGAGCGGGCCTCTCCCAAGCCAGTCCCCGCGGGGGCTGAGCTGATGGGATGTCCTGCTTCTTCTCTGGCCAAAGAGACGGCGCCACGTCTGCCCGAGTTCTCCTGAAATTCCCACACAAGGAGGGTGGCAGCTGTCACCTGCCCTTCCCAGCTTTGGTCTCTTTTTCTATGGAATTCAGCTTTGGAAAACATTTTCTTGAGTTCCCAGGAAGTTCCCCAGAAACACAGGGAGGACACTCACTCACAATAACTCCAATCTGAGGCAACTGGTGGCCGGAGGAGGAGAAATGCTTCCCGGGCCCAGACTGGCACAAACCAGTGCGCCTGCCGGCTCCCCCTCCGGACGCGCCCACTGTGATGGCTGGGTGTTGCTATTAATAGCAGCAATGAAAGACATCATTCAGCTCCTTCAAGTTTCCAAATAAAATACGCTACTTGATACAGAAAACCAGCAGGACCCCAGGACACAGCTCCACTTCACAGCTGGGAAAACTGAGGCTCAGGAAGAGAGTCTGGCAGTTCCTCAAAAAGTTAAATAGACTTACCAGAAGGTGCAGCAGTCCCACTACAGATACATGCCCAAGAGAAATGAAAACATACAGACACACAAAAACATGCACGCCAGTGTTCACAACAGCATTATTCGTAATAACCAAAAAGTAGAAGCAAGCTGAACGTCATCAACAGATGCATGGAGAAACAGAACGTGGTCTATCCAGGCCAGGACAGACGACTTGGCTATGAAAAGGAATGAAGTACTAGCCCAGCACAGTGCAGCGCACCCGTAGTCACCGCTACTCAGAAAGTGAACATGGCTTGAGTCCAGGACTTCGAGGCCAGCCTGGACAACATAGCAAGACTTCATCCTTTAAAAAAAGAAAGGGATGGGCCGGGCGCAGTGGCTCAAGCCTGTAATCCCAGCACTTTGTGAGGCCGAGGCGGGCGGATCACCTGAGGTCAGGAGTTTAAGACCAGCCTGGCAAATATGGCAAAACCCTACTAAAAATACAAAAATTAGCTAGGTGTGGTGGCGTGCGCCTCTAATCCCAGCTACTCAGGAGGCTGAGACAGGAGAATCTCTTGAACCCAGGAGGCGGAGGTTGCAGCAAGCAGAGACAGCGCCACTGCACTCCAGTCTGGGCGACAGAGGGCTGCCGGCCCTCTGCATGTGTGATTCCTCTCTTGCAATGCCCTGACTTGATCATCTGCAGGTTCTCCAAAGTGGGCCTTCCTTTAGGTAATAGACAAGGCCCCACACCTCTTCCAGAAAGCCCACAATGACCCCTTGGCTCCCCTTTCCCGGATGAGGTCCTGGAGCAGCAGGGGCCCCTAGGGTTGGGGGAGCCCTCGGAAACCGAGGGAGGAGAACTGGGTTCCGGAGCAGCCCCTGCTGGGTTCTAAGCAGCCCATCCCAGGCACATCATTTAACCTGCTCTGGAAAAGAAGGCAAGGCACACTGTGCTCACACACAGCCTGGTGTGTGTGTGTATGTCGTGTTGTGTGTTGTGTGCACGTGTATGTGTGTGCGGTGTGTGTGTGGTGTGTGTGGTATGTGGTTGTGTGCATGTGGTGTGTGTGATGTGTGTTGTGTGTGTGGTATGTGCTGTGTGTTGTATGTGCTGTGTGTGTGTGGTGTGTAGTGTGTGTGGTGTGTTTGTGTGTGGGGGTATGTGGTGTGTGTGGTGTGTGATTGTGTGTTGTGTGTGGAGGGGTATGTGGTGTGTGTGGTGTGTTGTGTGGTATGTGGTGTGTGTTGTGTGTGGGGGTATGTGGTGTGTTGGTGTGTGTGTGGTTGTGTGTGGTGTGGTGTGTTTTGTACGTGTGGTATGTGGTGTGTGCGTGCTGTGTGTGTTGTGTGTGTAGTATGTGGTGTGTGTGTAGTATTCAGTGTGTGTGTGGTGTGTTGTGTGTGGTATGTGGTGTGTGTGTGTGCGTTGTGTGTGGTGTGTGTGTGGTATGTGGGGTGTGGGGGGGTGTGGTTGTGTGTATGGTGTGTGGTATGTGTTGTACGTGTGTGTGTGTGCTATGTGTTCTACGTATGCATCACTAGACACTAGTACTGATGTCCTCCAGGGTCCACCTGGTCCCCACATCCAATACCACTTGACAATGGAAACCACTCCTTCCTTCATGAAACTGCCACTTGGTGGTTTGTGCCCCCACGCCCAACTCACTTCCCCATTTCATGGACAGCCACCGTCTCTCAGATTCCAAACATGTCCCTTGCTGCCAGCTCCTCCCTGGGCCTGGCCACCGACAGGGACCCTCTGCAGCCTGAGCTCCGCCATGGCCTCTGCCCCCACGCCTCTGCCTCCCTTGCTGGGGCCTCCTGCAGTCTCTGACCTGTTTCTCCCCCTCAGTCCTTCCTGTGTTTAATGTCAAAAGGTCAGTCAGTCAGGTCCCTGCTCCAGGTCCCTGTGGCCCCAAACACGGCAAAGACCTCCCCACTAGGCTCTCAAGAGCCTCCCCGAGAAGACCCGGTGACGCTCCCAGGCCCGTGCCAGTATCGCTCCGAGGATTGCAGGCCCAGCCTTCCAGCTTCTGGGCTGAGGACTGGCACGGTCCGGTGGAACTTTCTGGAACAATGGAAATGCTCTCTATCTGCACTGTCCGACTGAGCAGCCTCCATCCGCACGTGGCTGTTGGGGGCTCAAGATGGAGCTGCTGTGATTGGGGCACTGAAGTTTTCATTTTCTTTAATTTTGATCAGTTCAGTTTTCAGGTCTGATAGCCACGGATCTATGCTAGTGGCCACCACATTAGGCGGTGCAGGTCCAGTGCCCTGGCTATCCAATGTGAGGCCTCTGGGCCAGCAGCACTGATGCCGCCCGGGCCTTGGAAGGGTGCACGTGACTCCGGGGCTCAAGGGAGGGAAGTTCCCCTGTGCCTTGTTAGAAAGGCAGAGCCTAGGGCCCCTCCCAGACCCGCTGAATCCGAACCTCCCCTTTAGCAAGATCCGGGTCACTGGAGTACACAGTACAGTTTGTGGCATGCTGAGATAAAAACCACTCTCCTCTTCACACCTCCCCCACCTTCCCTTTTCAAAAGTAACCAACGCTTCAGAATCTGCTTCAAGCACCACCTCCTGCAGGAAGTCCTCCCAGATCACTCCAGCCAAAAGGAAACTTTCCATCCTCCAAGCGCCTGGAGTTACCTGTATCCTTCCAACCCCCAGAAACTTGGAGTCAGTGGCTTGCGGCTGAGCTCCTGCCTCCTCCGGCGTCCGGCAGGGTCTTCGAGAGAATCCTGTGACAGACTTTCCACCCTCCCCCTCAGCCCCTCCAGGGCCTGGCACCAACAGGTGCTCAGGAACTGCCCTGGCAGTTGCACTTGCAAGAAGCCAACGTCTCTTTCCAAACCAGGGCAAGGAGAACAAAGTTGGTTGCGGGCTATTTGCGTTCCTATTCCTCCCACGCGGCTCACCCCACCGGTCTGACCCGCTGGCCACCTCTCTCCGAGAGCCCTAGAACCTGGGAGGTGACAGGGCCCTGAGTCAAAGGCATCAAAATCAGATGAAAAGCCAGGCAGGTGGAGTTATGGGTTTCAATAGCCAAATAAAACCGCACATGCTTTTCATGACTCTCTCTGCAGGCTGGGATCAAGTGCCACGACTTTGTCACACAGCAGGTGTCAGTTCTCGAAGTGCCTGCCAGCAGGCCACTTGCGGGAACCCCCAAAGCCCCAGAGAATCCCTGGCAGAGGCGGGTCAAGGGCCAGGTCTTTCCTCTCCCCATTGCACTCCCTCTCCTAAGCACAGACTTGACAGCCTCTCACATGCTGGGAGGCTCTGAGGACCTCCTCCAGCACCAAGGTCCTTGAAGATGGACACTGACCAAGGGCCAGGCCCATCCAGAACTCCCCCCACCTTGGAAGGGGCCCTCAGAACCAGCCTGTGTGCCTAGGACTCTGGCAGGCAACCTCTCATTCCATCTGGCCACTCAGCTAGCCCGACGGCTGCTTCTCCGAAAAGCTCACTGCAAGAAGTGGCCAGTTCAGCCTGGGAACTCAGGGCCGCAACTGTATCTTGGCTCTAATCCCGGAAGCCACCAGAAACCTCACTTTTCTCTGTCCTCCTCCGACAGAGGCGGGGATTGAAACCCCCACCTCCACCCCCTAGGGCTCAGGCAGGAAGTGGCCTCATCTCCACACAGAGGTGGGCGGTCTCCAGGGCTTGTATTACAAATGGGTCTGTCCAGGCGGTGGGCAGGTGCAAGGCCCCCCGGAGAGACTGGCAAAGCCCACACAGGCCTGATGCAGTGCAGAGGCTTTCCCCAACGCACGCCACGGCCACAGTGTAGTAAACTCTTCGGTTCCTGAGAAGCAGGGAAAACACACGTAACACGAGACGGCAGTCATCCGCATATACCCGTGTGTGCTGGCACTGAGCTAGGGAGTCCCAGGAGGTCCTGCGCTGGAGCTTCTCTCCCAGCAGGAAATCCAGTGATGATGACGATCACACAGACGATAATACCAAGAGCAAGTCCGCCCTTCCTGACAGCCTAGACACCACACTAAGCTCTTGAAATGTACAAAGCCTTTTAATTCTCACAGCAGCCTCAGGAAAATTATCCTCCACATTTACCACCCAAGTAAACTGAGGCCCAGAGAGTTTCAGTAACTTGCCCACAGTCTCATACACAAGGACTCAAGGCGGAGCAAGAATTCACATCCGACCACTTGGCCCCCAGGCCCAGGGGCTCAGCTACTAAATAAAGAGCTACAGTGGTAGGTCACGGTTGCTTACTATCTACCCAAGAGCACAGAGCAGGGAGCGGCCACTCCTAACAGGAGTGAGCACTGACCGTTCCCAGACACCTGGGCTCAGCGCTCTAGGCAGCAGGAACAGCCTGGCCAAAGGTGTGGAGGACAGGTAGAGAAGGGCAGGCTAGAGTGTTAGGCAGGGTTGGCCCTGTCGGGGAGAAAAGGATCCCAGCAGAACCATCTTGGAAAAAATGCAAACTTACTATTTCAAGAAGGCTTGAATTTGGGAGGAGGCTCCGTTGCATGCCACCCAGAAAGTGACCTCAATGACACTAACCATGATCATACTCCAGAACCAAAGATTATCTGTTAAAGGGACTCATTTCTAGGGGTCTCCATCCTTCCCAGGAGGCTCTAAGAGGGGAGTAGAGGCAGAGAAGTGGGAGCTTCCGGCTCCTTCTGCACAGACGTCACCCTCATCCACAGCAGCTCCAAAGTGAGAACAGACCGCTGTGAACCCAGGGTGATCCAGGGGGTCAAGAACCCTCTGATTTCTGCTCCCATCTTGAGCTGGCCCCAGCCCAGCCCTGGTCGAGCTTCAACTTTGCTAATGAGCTGTGAGTTACCAGCCCCACCTCTGGACCAAGAAACTAAGGGAGTGAATGGGGAAGGGTTTCCCAAGAGCCTCCGCCCTGGGTAATAAGCCCGTATCTGGGTCACGAGGCTGGCTGCCTGCTCTAGCCACTGATCAACCAACCCTGTACTGAAGTCAACGATGAATATTCATGAGCCTATCCAGTTCCACACTTTCATTTCTGGCCCAAATTAATAATTTACCATGGAGTTTCATAAAAATCAGACATAGCTCATTAGTAGCTCCCTAAAAGGCACTCCCATCTTCCCACTGATCCAGTGAGGGGCCCATCTTGCCTCTGTGACAAGAAACAACACCCTTATTTTCAGAGACAACCCTCACTATTATTTTCAGAGGGCTGGCGAACCTGAAATTGGGGGCCGCCATGACTGTGGAGGCCCACCCCGGAGGCCTACCAGCCTCCCCACCAGGGCACAAAGACCTCTGCCCTCAAAGCTCCATGTCACAGGTCTTCAGGAAACTCCAGAAGCAGACCCTGGAAGAAGATGGAACCTCTTTCCTTCCTCAAGGCAAGGCTACCACTCTCTGGAAACACATACTTCACAGAGGATGTGGGTGGGTGGAGCATGTGTAGCTGATGACATTTTCCAGAGAGGAAACATCAATTGCATCTCCCAAACCCCATGCCCTTCTAGAAGGGTACCATTCCCCCATTAAGAGGTGGAGCCCAGGCCAGGCACAGTGGCTCGTGTCTGTAATCCTAACACCACTGGGAGGCTGGGGCAGGAGGATCACTGGAGCCCAGGAATGCGAGATCAGCCTGGGCAACATAAGAAGACTCTGTCTCTACAAAAAAATTTAAAAATTAGCCAGGTGTGGTGGTGCATACGTGTGATCCCAGCTACTTGGGAGGCTGAGGCAGGAGGATCACTTGAGCCCAAGAGGTAGAGGCTGCAGTGAGCTGAGATCGCACCACTACACTCCAGCCCGAGCAACAGAGCGAGACCCTGTCTCAAACAAACAAAAAGAGATGAAGCCTAACTCCCCTCCAGTTGAAAATGGGCAGGCTTGTCCCTCACTTGCAACCAACAGAATGTGGTGTGGTACAGCCTTCCCTCCGAGGCTAGGCCCTAAAAGGCCGTGCAGCTTTCCGCTTGTGAGCTGGGACCACTGCCTTCGGAGCTCTGGGGCCGCCATGTTTTGAGGAAGCTCATGCCACACTGAGGGGCCACGAGGAGGCGTCCCAGCGTTGAGAGCCCCGGCTGCGGTCTGGCGAACAGCCAGCACCAACTGCCAGGCCTGAGTGAGAGGAGCCTTCAGACGACTCGGGACTCTGCACAGCAAATCACCTTGCCTCCCAGTCTTCCCAGCTGAGGCCCCAGGTGTAGCTGGGCAGAGACCGGCTCCACCCCACCACACCCTTTCTGAATTTCCAACGCACAGCAGCTGGGAGAATAAAACGATGTTTTATGACCACACACTTGCTCATGAAGTCTTCCTCCATGCCAGGAGCCCTGGTCCCCTGCAGACCCACCCACCAGCCGCCCCATCCCCTCCCCCGCAACGGTTGGTCTGACCTGCCCACCGACAGGCCGGCACCCTGTGGTGAGTGCTGTCATAAAGACAGCACAGGCGGTTGAAATCCGCCTGTGAGTGAAACTTTCCAGGAGAGAAATTGGGCGGAGGGGGGTGGGGGTGGGGGTGGGGGTGGGGGTGGGGGCGGGAGTAACACCTTGTCCCTGGGCCCTTAAGATCTAAGATAAAGGCCGTGACACTTCCGACAGTGACACAGGTTCTTGGAGCGGGTGAGAGGCCTACGTGACCGCCCCCTACTGCCCATGCAGTGGCCGGCCCTTCCGCTGCGGCCCCTCCACAGCAAGTTCAATTAAGACCCCGCCATTCTCTCCTCCTCCCTTCTTTTATGTTCCCTGCCGGCCCCCCTTTCTCTTGTCAGATAATCACGGGAAACCAGCAAACGGTTGACACAGTTACCAAGACGACAGAAGTTAGGACCAGCGAGGAGGTCTGAAAGCTAATCCTAAATGAATTACAGGACAAGAATGACAAGAGGTGGGGAGGGTTGGGGCCGGTTCAAAGGCCCCAGAGTCTGAGACAAGGTGCCATCGGCCTCGGGGCACTGGCTGTGGGCCTGTCACTCACTAAGGGTGACACTGAAGTCTTCTGGGGTTGGGGAGGTGGAAGAAGAAATCTATAACAAAGAAATTCTCCGCTGAGGCCGGGCTGGCCAATAGCGCCCTCCATCCAGTGACTCCTGGGGCCCAGGGTTCACCCAGTTCGGCTTTCCTTACATGGGACGCAGTGGAGAGAGGGCCAGGACGACCTCACCAGGACGATTCCGTTTCTTCTTTACTTATTCAGAACTTGCCGCCTTGTGACCACGGCGCTGTGCGTGGCCTGGGCTGGCGGACAGCCATTTCAGGAGTCTGGGCTTCTCAAAGACCCTCCCTGCCCAGCCCACTGCCTCCACCAGGAGTGACTTGGCCAGGTCTCCCAGGTGGGGTCCCCCTCTTCCAGGTCATTCTCAAATCCAAGATATGGACGGCGTGCAGCTGGGAGCATGACAGCTGGGAGCTATCAACCCAAATGGTAATTGCAGCTCAGGGTCCTACAGCGCTTGGTCCCTCCCTTCTGCCAGTTAACTCATCGAACACTGTCAGCAGCCCCAGGAGGCAGGCTCCGCTACTGGCCCCATTTAGCAGATGAGAAAACAGAGATCCAGAGAGGGTAAGGAACCTGCCCAGAGTCACACAGCCAGTAAGGAGCAGAGGCAGGATGGAACCCAGTGCTTAGGCAGCGCTGCAGCCTCAGAAAAGCCTGCTGCCCTGGAACCCACAGGGCCCACCAGAAGACTGGCAAGGACACCCGGGGAACCCTCGCCATCGGGACCCAACTCCTCCTGGAGCATGGCCGAGACCCAGGGTCCCTCCTGCTTCTTCTCACACCTTCTCTCAGGCTTTGGCCTGGTTCGAGCACCGCTCACCCCACAGCCTGCTCTCAAATCTCCTGCTGGTGTCCAGGGTCAGGTGAAGGGGTCAGGCCTGTTCTCTCACTCCAGTGGGCACTGGCATCCCCAGGAGGGCTCATGAACATGCAGACTCCACAGGAAACAGCCTTGGCACTCGCTGCCCTGGCTCTCTCACCCTTCCCCTTCTCTCCAGAGCTTCCCTCGAGGGACCCTTCGCCATGGGCCCCTCGCCGGTGTGGGCACTGCACGAGGATGCAGCTCTGGGGGCTTCTCAGGGGCATCTCCCTGTGCCTGGCCTGCGCTCCCTCTACACGTGTTAAACAAGCACAGGGGGTTGGTTGGTGGTTTTTTTGTTTTTTTTTGTTTTTTTTTTTGAGACAGAGTCTCACTCGCTCTGTCACCCAGGCTGGAGTGCAGTGGCACCATCTCGTCTCACTGCAACCTCCGCTCCCAGGTTCAAGTGATTCTCCTGCCTCAGCCTCCTGAGTAGCTGGGATTACAGGCACGCACCACCATGCCCGGCTAATTTTTTTGTATTTTTAGTAGAGACGGGGTTTCATCATGTTGGTCAGGCTGGTCTTGAACTCGTGACCTCGTGATCCACCTGCCTCGGGTTCCCAAAGTGCTGGGATAACAGGCGTGAGGCACCGTGCCCGGCCAAGTTGGTCGCTTTTAAGAACCCAGGTTCCCACTCACTGACAACAGAATCGAGTTCATGTGTCACCGGCTTGATGACATTCAAGACCCTCTTAAGACGTGGCTCCGACCCACTCCCCGGCTTCATTCCCACACTTCACCATCCCCTGGCCACACTCTCCCCACCCCTAAACTCTGGGCTCTGCTTCCTGCCAGAAGCTGTGAAGGGGCCCGTCCGCCACACTCCCGCACGCCTGGCTGTCTGAGGACAAGGACTGGGCCTAATGCATCTATCTCTCTGGCCTGCAGAGCCTGGGAGGAGCAGGGAACAGATTTGACAGGCACAGCTACCCCTTCCGCACAGGCTCCCTCTGCCTGCACATTCTCTCCTACTGTTCCTTGGCTTCTGGAAAGGGCCCTGCTGCCGGACACCCTCTGGTCCCCATGGTGCCTCTGAAGGACGCACAGGCTTCAGAGCCCCACCCCTAGAGGGTGCTGCTGAGCAACGGGGCAGGAGTGGTGGCCTTCCCTGCCAAGTCCCCACTGGTGAGGAATGTGGGTTTCCCCAGAGTAGAAAGGAGAGCTCAAATGTCACCTCCGCTCTGTGGCCTTCTTGGACACAGCCTTCACCCCCATCTCAAACCAAACTGTTTTCCTCTGCACGCCCAGAAAATTCTACACACACCTCTCAGCACCAGTACTTGTCACCCTGATTACTCAATCCATGCCCCCCACACACCACCACCAACACCACAACGTGGGCAGGGATGGCCCCATGCCCAGCTCCCGGCACACCTGACATGAACCTAATGTGCTGAGTCTTGTAAGAGCAGTTTCCCTATTTCTGTTCCTCCCTCCTCACTGTGTTAGCCTCCTTCCTCCCAGCCTCACTCACCTCGAAGCTCCATACTTCCAAAGCCTGCTTTTAGTGCCACCTCCTCCAGGAAGCCTTCCTGGATTCCCTCTGCCAGGATGCTTCTAAGAGTTTCCAGAGCAATCCATCTGTGCTCAGCTCTCTGTTTGCTCCCTAAGTGACTTACAGATAAAACATAGATCTCCTCTGCTGCTCCTGCCCAGTGGACTGACGCAGCGCAGTGCCCGGCACCCACTGGCGCAAGCCCTGCCCAGCTCACAGGGGGCCTGACGGGAGGTGCTTGGGAAGGGGAGGCTTGGTCTGTGTCCTCAGAGGACAGGACTAGGTCACAGGCACGTGTTCTGTGCGAAAAGCAACAACATCCTAGCTCGCCACAGTGGCACAGCCCGGTCCAACCCAGGAGCAGGACCTGCACGTGCCCAGCCTGAGGTGACCACGAGACCCCCAAATCCAGAGAAGGGAGGGACAGCCCGTCTGACCTCTGAGGTCCCTCCCAAGTCCAATGTTCCGTGACTTCCTGACCCCACAGGCCATTAAGCAAGCAGCCAAATGCCCACTGGGCGGCGGTCCAGGCCTGGTCAGAGGGCGCTTCCTGTCTCACTGTGGGAGGGAGCAGAGGATGGAGCTGCCCGGATCCTTCAGGGCCTGGGCTTCCGGCAGGGCTGAGCTCCAGAATGGGGTGGGATCACCCTCTGGAGATAAGACCTGGACCTGGCTTTACCCAAACCCCACCAGTGCCCTACTCCCGCAATCCCCCAGCCCCAGCACCCACTCCCAGCTTCCAGCACAGCTGTAATTGGGGCTGAGGGTAACGACCAGCGCCAACCCCAGCTGCGGAGGGCCTGGCATGTGTGGGAAAAAGCCGGAAAAATACATTTTCCCCTAAAGACTTGTAAGAAAATTCTCACTGATTTTTTTTCCTTTTACCCCAAGCTTTCACAGCACTAAATATGCCACACTTAGTAATTTTACGAGCAAACCAAACTATACATCACACGGTTTTATGTTCCTAAATTAACAAAAGGACTTTAAATCTATATGGCGCTCTTAAAAGAAAAAAAAAAAAAAAGGAAGAGGAGGAGGAGGAGGAGGAGGATACCATGTGGATGTTGATTCCCTCACCCCCGAACTCCCTCTTCCCTTCGAATACACGGTGCCCCTACAGCTTCAAAATTTCTGCTGATCCTGCAGCTAGACCACCAAAAGGGGACAATCCCAGACAGGGACAAGGATCTGTTTGGCTGAGGAGGTCCCCTAAGAGGGGATCCCATCATCCTTCCTGAAAGGCCACGTTAAGGGCCACAACAGTCTAATGATTTTCCCACAAAGAGTATGACAGGACGCAGCCTGGTTGATGGAGAGGCTGCCTCTACCACCCTAGTCTCCCCAAAAGTCTAAGGAAGAGAATTTGAAGTCAACAGGCCTGCGAGGTCTCCTGACCGCTGTGATCTCATCTACACAATGCCAGGGTAGACCAGGTGACTCCATCACACTTGACATTGGTGAGAGGGAACCCCCCTGGGACCGCTCCCCCCAACACGTGTCCATGTCCAGGAGGAAGATGGGCAAGCGACACGGAGCACCAGGCTCAAAGCAGGAGGCCAAGTCCAGACACGTCCTCCCCTTCCCGGCTCTGTCCAGGAGCTGTGTGGCTTGGGCCACCTGCCGCTCCCACCCTGCACTTTCCCCTGCGTAGAAGGACACGCATTCTTGCCCCGGAATCCAGGTAACATAATGACCATTTGCTCCCAGAGTACAAAGAAACCTCTTCTGTCTCCAGAGTCAAGGAGATAAGAAGAGAGTTTCCAGCGGGACTATATCAGGTTCCCACCCATGGCGTAACAACAACACATTTAAGCAAGAAAAAAACCTTAATGAGAACCAAATTGGGCAGGGGGGGTGGGAACCAGACCAGGCCCCTCGGAAAAGGGCTGGGCTGCAGCTGGGACAAAAGGGCCCCTGGCTTTCCCAGCCGACAGATGGAACCGTGGCGGCCTCCCCATCTCTCAGGGGTATCGGAAGATTAATTAGTGACTGCCTGGAAAGTGCTAGATGGAAGCCGAAATGCCTGTCCCCGCTGAGTTTCTGAGCTGTAAATAAGCAGCTTTCTCAATCACAACTAAAATAGCCATGTTTTCCTTTTATCTGAGTCAGATCCCATTAGGCCTAACCTGCGCCCAGAGTGGGTCTTGGGTGGCTCCGGCGCCACAGCTATGGTTTGCTAACGTCCCATGACAAGCCTGAGGCTATGCAAGACCTTGGTCCCTGCGGGTGCCCCGTCCCCGCCTCGGCTCCAAGCACCCTGGGAGTTGGGTTCCAGCCTGACCTCACCTCCAGACACCACCCCCAACCCAGGTGGGCCTGAGCCCCTGCCTCACACCTTGACTTTCTGGAAGCAGTTTAGATGGGTGGGAAATAGAACCCAGCGGCCCCCACAGGCCGAGCTTCACTCTGGGTACCCCAGCTCTCAGCAGGGGAAGCCTCAGCCTCCTGCAAGCCCCTCCCAGGATGGTCAAGAAAGGGGCCTAGGACAGGCCGGATGAGATATTTATGACTTGCTCTGGCCTCCGGGGGCAGCTGGGGCCGGGGAAATGTTCCAGGGGGACCCCGAGTCCTAGAGCAACCACCAGCAGGCTTCATGGCTATGGGCCAAGCCCCAGCTCTCTCTGGGCCTCAGTTTCCTCCCTGGAGGGCCGAGGGCAGCCTTTCTAGCAGTGGACAGTGATCCTGAGGGAAGGCCAGGGTCACCCAGAGTTCAGTGTGGGGCTGGGGTGGGGTCAGCTGATGGCTGAGGAGTCAGTCCTCCCTCCAGAAACGACAGGAACCAGATAAGGGGCTCGGAGGGCGCCGCTGCCAACGCCAGCGGCCAGCTCCCACTCAACACAGTCAACAAATATTTATGAAGCAGGGACTCTGGAGCCAGACTGCCCAGGATCGGCGCCCTGCTCCACCATTTAGCGCACATGTGACCTCAATCTCTCTGTACCTCAGTTTCCCTGGCTGTCAAGGGGGGTAAGAGTAGCCTCACCTCCAGAGCTGTTCTGAGGAAGCACCGTGTCTGGCGTGGAATGGGAATAGTAGACGAAGCAGCCACTGCCTCTTCCTCATGAATAATTTTTTTTTTTTTTTGAGACAAGGTCTCACTGTCACCCAGGTTGCAGTACAGTCGTGGAATCACAGCTCACTGCAGCCTCGACCTCCTGGGCCCAGGTGATCCTCTCACCTCAGCCTCCTGAGTAGCTGGGTCTACAGGCAGGCACCACCACGATCGACTAATTGTTTCTGCATTTTTTGTAGAGAGGGGTTCTTACCATGTTGCCCAGGCTGGTCTCGAGCTCCTGGGCTCAAGTGATCCACCCACCTCGGCCTCCCAAAGTGCTGGGACTACAGGTGTAAGATACCTCGCCCAGTCCTCGTTATTATTATTATTTTTTTTAGGATCGTTATTACTGGCCCGGCACTGAGTCTGGTAAAAAGGAGACACCCAGTCTGCGCCAGCATGGGGCTAGCAGCCTGGTGGAGTTCAGGAAAGGGGGGATCTAGGCATACATACATACATACAGAGGAAGGTTTGAGAAGGGACCCCCGTTTGAATTTCCCAGTCGCCCCATTTGCAGGAAGGTGGAGGCCACAGCTTGTGCCCTCCCACTCACCAGCCCCATCTCCTTTCACACATGCCCCTGCACCTTGCTCTCCCTGCAGCCAGCATCCCCTCACGGCTACCATTTCCCCCTGGCCAGTGAAGAAGCACTAAGAGGCAGACGCTACAACCATGGCGGCAAGAGGCCTGGTCCAAAGACAAGAGTTCAGGTCCCCACTAAGAAGCTCTATGACTTGGCCAGGTGCGGTGGCTCACACCTGTAATCCCAGCACTTTGGGAGGCCAAGGCAGGTCAAGAGATCGAGACCATCCTGGCTAACATGGTAAAACCCCGTCTCTACTAAAAATACAAAAAATTACTTGGGCGTGGTGGCGCACTCCCGTAGTCCCAGCTACTTGGGAGGCTGAGGCAGGACAATCGCTTGAACCCGGGAGGCGGAGGTTGCAGTGAGCCGAAATCTCGCCATTGCACTCGAGCCTGGCAAGAGAGAGAGACTCCGTCTCACATAAAAAAAAAAAAAAAAAAAAAAGAAGAAGAAGAAAAAAAAGCTCTGTGACTTGCTGCAAATAATTCTACCTCAATAACAATAATGACCGTGACAAAATAAGAATTATTATTATTACAGTTATCACTCGACAAGCGCTAACTTCATCCCAGGCACCATCTTCAGTGGACCTGCTCATTCTGTTTCTTGCAACAGAGCGTGGGCAAACTTTCTCTGTCCAGGACCAGACAATAACTAAAGATTTTAGGCGTGGCCAGTCCAGATGGTCTCTGCTCACAACTCAGCTTGGCCATTATAATGTGAAAGCTGCCAGAGGAACAGGCGTGGCTGTGTGCCAATCAAACTTGACTTACAATGGGCCGGGCCATGGATTGCTGACCCTTGCCTTACACTGATCCTGAGGGAGATACAATTATGGATCCCATCTTACAAATGGGAAAACAGACTCAATTGAGAGTATCAGTCACCCGCCCAAGGACACAGCTCAGGAGAGGCAGAGCCTGACTTCAAACCTACTGCCCAGCCTCAGTCCTCTCACCTGTCAAACAGGAGCAGCGGGTGCCTGATGCCAGCCTGACTGTGAACTGCCCCTGGGGCAATGGCTGGACAGGCGGGTTCTGGGCCCTTGCTCCCTGCAGTGTCTGGGATCTGGCATCAGGCATAGAAACCAAGTCCAAGAGGCTGCAGAGCACCATGGTGTCAGGCCTCTGTGGGGCAGGGTCAGCCTCTCATCCAGAACCACAGGCCCGAAGCAAGCCATGCTGGCTGCTGCACCTGGACCCCCTTATTCCCAGTTCAGTGTGGCAGACAGAAGCCAGCTTCATGTCCCAGCTCCGCCACTCCCAAGCTGGGCAATTGCTGAGCCCCTGGGTCTCACTTTGCTCATCTGATAAGTGGGTGGATGGCAGCAGCTACCTCAGAGAGAGGAAGTGAGATCTACAGAGAGCCCACAAAGCATTTGTAACAGGGCCTGAGAGCACTCAAGAGGACCAGGCCAGGGCTGGGCACGTAAAGCCTGTAATCCCAGCCCAAGGTGGGAGCCCAAAGTGGGTGGATCACCTGAGGTCAGGAGTTCGAGACCAGCCTGGCCAACATGGCGAAACCCCATCTCTACTAAAAATACACAAATTAGCCTGGCATGGTCGTGGGTGTCTGTAATACCAGCTACTCGGGAGGCTGAGGCAGGAGAACCTCTTGAACCTGGAAGGTGGAGGTTGCAGTGAGCCGAGATCACACCACTGCACTCCAGCCTGGGCGACACAGCAAGACTCCATCTCAAAAAATAAAGAGGACCAGGCCACTGCCGTTTCCATCACTCTCAATGCGTTAACCCCAGCCCTGGGAAGCCACTCCCTGACCATAGTTCTTCCCGGTAAGCCCTCACCCTGAATATTACACTAAGACAATAAAGTGTAAAACCCCAGTGGGGACTTTAAATACAACCACCAAAAAAACTATAATGCGGGGAAAGCCTGCATCCACAGGCTGAGATTTACTTGTGCCCCGACCTCCCCTCCCCTCACTTCTGACCTCTCTTAATCTCCCTGGGGGTCAGGACAAAAGTCACCCCTCCTGCCTACCCACTGGGGGCTTTACTCCAGCCTGGGCTGATCTTCCTTAATGGCTTTGAATTTCCCAGCCTGACACTTCCTCCTCCTCTTTCTGAGTCTCCCTGTGTAAACAGAAAATCGGTCACCTGATGAATAAATATGCACCAGCAGCCTCCAGTGGCAGGTGAAGAGGGGTGTAGATTACAAACACCTGTGCTTTGAAGACGCCCTGTACTTAAGAAGATTCATTCTTGGCACAAGCTGGTCCTGAGCGCCTCCAAGGCAGGCATAGCTGCCGGGGAGGCACAAGCTCTCTGCTTTCCCCAGCCACAGACCCGGGGGGAGACAGACGAGAAAAACCCAGATACAGCATGAGGATCTGTTTCATTTTGGGCTAAAGGGCTCTGATGAATGTCAGCGCGACTCAGACCCAGCCCTCATTTACCTGGAATCTTCCCATGGGAGAGATAGCTCTGAGTTCCCAAGGGCTCACTCCGCCCTCCCCTTACAACCTTTATTTTACTAAGTTGGGGATTCCCGGTTCTAATTTGGATTGGATCCGCTAGGGGAGGGAGGGAAAAGCGAAGCTTGCTGTTTGTTGTTGCTTTGCATTTCAGGCAGAGGAGGAGAAAAAAAAAAGATCAAGAATGGAATGGAAACGCTGGAAAATATTCAATATTCTTCCTATCAAAACGGCATACACACCAAGAAAAAAACATAGACCTGGTCAGTTACTGGGAACTAAAACAGACACCACGAAACTCAAAAAGAGTAAAAGTACAGATTTCCTCCAGGAGGAGTCTCTCCTGCCTTTTTTTTTTTTTTAAGTCAGTTGGACTCTGGTGACCCTCTGCCCTGCTCTGTTAACTCAGTGAAAACGTTTGCCCAGGTTAGGGCAGCAAAGGCCAGATCCAAGGGAGCTGGGTCCTGTCCAGGCCCCTTCCTGCCCCACACGCTCCTCCTGGGGACTCCAGAGAGGTGTGGAAGCCTCAGCAAAAGTGACAGGATCTTCTGAACAGAGGAAAAAAAAAAACCCGAAACCGAACACCGGGCCACGTGCACCCTTCCCCAGCAAAACAATTCAGAAATAAAGCTCCAGGGCAGCGTCTTCTGCAGAATTTTATAAAAGCCTCAACATGGGAAAACTAGGAACTTCCCCTCTCCTCCCTACACCCCCACATCACCCTCCCCACCCACACACACCCCACCTTCATTAGGTACCGTGTGTCAAAGCTCAAGGGAGATCAACTCGGAGGGAGGGAGGAATAAAATCAGCTCATTCCTAGAACCAGCAGTCACACGCAGCACAGCCTTCCTGACCTGCGTCACGTGGCCCCACCTGGGGCAGGCCTGTGCGTTTCTCCCCGACCCCAGGGGGCACAGGAGTGGGGGTGACGGCGCGCGGTGGGGAAGAACCCTGGGGTTCACCACCCAGGGCTCCCTCGCCTGAATTCCTGGATCACCAGCTTCCATGTAGCCTACACTTAATTTTTTTTAAGGTTTAGAAATCCAAATAAGGTGAATTCAGGAGGGGCTCCCCAAACCTCCAGCTGTCAACCCCCTCCCCTCCCCTCCCCTCCAGGCTGAAAGCGCGACTTGCCCCGAAACAGAAAGTTACAGGGCAAGCGGCTGTCACCGCGCAGGAAGGTTAAGGAAACAGGAAGCCACGCCAAATACCCTCCTGAGCTTCCCCGGCCCCCTCCTCCGACCTCGGCGGAACAAAACCTTCCAGGGAATCCCAGGCAGGAAGGGGGGCGGCGGGGGGGCCGGCGAGCCACGCTCGCGCCGAGACCGCGCAAGGGGGTTGGCTGGAGGGAGAGGGAAATAAACCCCAGGACTGGGGGGGGGGGGGGCATGCTACCCGATCGGGGCGGCCTGCAGGAAAGTAACTTCACACTCGGCGCTTACTTCACCTTGGAAGGTTTAAGTGCCTCGGCCGCTCGCTCCGCCGCCGCGGCGGAGCCGGCTCCCGGCAGACAAAAGGAGCGAGACGCGCAACCCCCGGCGGCGGCGCGATGGGGGCGGCGGGCCAGGTGGGCGCTCCCCGCCGCACGTAGCCGCGCACACCGCGGGCTTGACCGCAGCGGGAGGATCCGAGGCCGCGCGCGTCTGCGGGGGGCACCGGCGGACCCAATGCCCCGACCCTGGCTCGGGGGTCTGGCGGAGGGGGGTCGGGTGAGGGAGGGTCCCGGGCGCGCCGGCGCCGCGCGGGACCCAGGGAGGCGCACGGCTCGCTTACCTGGTAAGTAATACAGAGGCGGCTTCAATCCAAACATGGTTCAAATTAGAATTCCATAGTGGCCAGAGAGGGATGAAGAAGGAAAATAATATTAAAACCCAGGAATGAACAAAAAGCACCGTTCAAGCCACGGCGCTCAAAAATGTCCAAAACAATAAAATAAAGGCAGAAGAGCGATCCCGAGAGCGACGAAAAAAAAAAATCAGTCTTTCCCCCCCCCGCCCCGCAAGATGATCAAAAGGCTCTCTCTCCGACCAGCGCCCAGGCAATTTCGGCCACCTTGGCCCTGGCAGATCCACAATGAGGTAATTGACGACCAAGGACGGGCCGGAGCCTCCACGGCTGCCCGGGTGTCTTCGCCGCGTGTGTATTTTCTGCCTTTTGGACTTGAGATGCAAATAAAAAAAAGGAGGGGGGAGCGCGGCGGAGGGAAGCAGGCGGGGAAGAGGAGCGAGAGAAAAATAAAGGGGGGAGGTGAGGGTGATGAAATTGGGGGGTTAAGATCTTCAGGGATTACTCATTTGAAAGGAAAAGAGAGAGGGGGGAAAGAAAAAAAAAACAGCCCCCAGGACGTGCGAGTAGCAATCTCTCCTCCATTCAGCCATTTGAATGTCAAGGGCGAGGGTCAAGAGACCTGTTTCCAACAGGGTTTCACGTTCAGAACCAGAAGGAAAAAGGAAGGGGGGGGCGGCGGGAGGGGGTATCTCTTGTTGCCAAGGAGAAATCGGCTTTGTTTTGTTTCCCCTTAGCTACTGGGTGAGGAGGGGCGGGGTGGCGGGGAGAGGAGGAGGGGGCGAGCGGGAGAGGGGAGAGGAGAAAATTAATACCCAAACAGCCAAGAAGTACCGAGGGGGAGATTTCTTCTCGTAAATAAAAGAGGCGGCGATTGCAAACAAGTCTCCGGCAGGAGAAAGCAGGCTGGGGAGCCGGCTCCCCTCCCCCTCTCGCCACCAACACCCCTCCCCCCCCTTTTTTGGTTATCTCCCTGGCCCGGCGTCCCACCACTGACTCAGAGAGAGGGGGTGGAAGGAGGAGGAGAAAGAACTCGCGGGGGCTCTGGCGCCTGGGCAGAAGGAGGCAGGAGGAGAGCGGGGAGGCGAGAGCGCACGGCGGTGGAGAGCCCCTCGATCAATTTTCATGCAAGAATCATTATCGGTAAATTGGAAAGCTGGCTGCCTGACAGCAGATTTGTCTCCCCTAATGAAAGCGAAAGGGTAGGGGCGCAGCGGCGGGCGGCTGAAGGCGGCGGCGGCGGCGGCTCCTTCCGTCTCTACGCGGCATCTTCCAACAGCTCCATGCTTCGCAGGGCGATAATAATAGTTTCACTTGCGAGCTTCCCCCCGCGCGGCCGCCGAGCCGGGCGGCAGATCCATGCGGACGGGGAGCGGGGCGCAGGAAGCCGGGCTCGCCTCTCCAAACCCGGGGAGGGTGCCGCTGCCGAAGGCAGGGTGCTCCCCTTCGCTCCGAAGCGGGGGCCGTTTGCAAACAGTGGGCGGCTGCGGGCGCCGCTGGCCCCCCCTCCGGCTGCCCAACTCCGCGCTCTGGCCGCCCGCCCGCCCGCCCGTCCGTCCTCCCTCCCTCCCCCCCCACGACTGACAGCTGCGGGAGCCGGGAGTTCGCCCTCCGCCAGGACCCGGGAGGAGAATCCCCAAACCGTGACCCGGAGACTCGGGGCCGCCTTTTGTGGAACCCACGCGGGGTTGCGGCAACGCACACGCCGGCCGGCCCTGGTGAGCTCCTCGGGCGAGCGGTTTGTTTCCCTCCTTTCTTTTCCTCTCACCCCTCACCCCGCACCCCACCCCTTAAAAATCCCTGTTGCAAGTGTAATCAAATGCTTGATAGCATCTCCCACACTCTCCCTGCACTGGTGCATTATCAGATCCGGGAAGGCATGCTTCCAGGCAAATAGACCTAATAAATGCTATTACTGGGATTCTGCAAGCCCCGGCTGCACCATAGTAACGAAAGCCCCGGCTAATTTGGTTTAAGAAAACGATCAACTGCACAGAGAGTGTGAGTGTGGAGCCTGTATCTCTCCTCCCCACGCCGCCTCCCTTTCACACCAGCTCAAGAAGGCCCCATGTGATAATTCCCCAAATCGAAGGGGAAAAAACCCTGCCGCCAAACCACATCCTGTGCGCTCATTGTCCAGCCCAGCGATTTTAAAGAGACAGGATCCATTTACCCACGTCCCCCCACCCTCTCCTTAAACGCACGCTGCAAAGCTGCCTCTTGATGTGACAATTTATTTTCAAGCCCTTTTACCTCCTGAGGGGCCCCTCGGTGGCACAACCAGCCGGAATCACGACTTGGTGACACTAAGGGGTCACCTTTTGACCCCAGATACAATCATGGTTTGAGGAACAGACCTGAGCCCGCAGGTACACACGGCGGGGCACCGCGCTCACACCAGGCTTGGGTTCCTGCCAACGCTCTCCAACCACTGCGTAAATCAGGGGTCCCCAGCGGCAGCCCCGGGGTCCCTGCTAAATGCAGCGGCTTCAAATGACAGTTGAACTCCCGGAATACGATACCCTAGAGAAAAGCTACGGAGGGCAAATTGGAGGAGATGGGGGAGTGGGGGCAGCGGCGTGCCTTTTGACCTCTCCAAGCCACTTGCCAAACCCTCGCCTACCCCGCCAGAAAAATTCTTAAATGAGCTGGGCGGAGCGCTCGGAGCCAAGGGAGGGGTGGCGCTCTTCCCCGCCGCCGCCAGCAGCTCGGTGGCTGCGGCGTGCTGGCGGCCGCCTTCCTCCGGGGCTCGACCGCCGGGGTGCGAGGAGCGTCTTTGAGTCCCCAAGCTCGCTGCTGCGCCCCGCCTGGCGCCCCCTCCCAGCGGGCGGCCTAGCGCACGCGGGCGCAGGGGAGGGCGCCAGAGCTGCTGACCTGTAGGAAACCGGCCGCTCGGGGCCGCCCGCGCCCGCCGCCAACCTCTGGCTGCTCCGCCCCGCGCTGACCCTGGAGGTCGCGCCAGGCCCTCGGCGCCGGCGGCCCTTTGTTTCCGGAGCTGCGTGGCGGCGCGCTCTCTGCGCCTCCCCTTGCACCCGCCGGCAGCGGCGGCGGCGGCGGCCTGGCAAGCGGGGCGGCGGGGTCGGGGTCCGGCACCTGCCCTCCCTGCCCCCACCCCGCGCGCCCCGCCGGGCCTCCGCTCCAGCCCCCGCTTTCCCCTCCCACCCATTTATCACCCGCGAGCTGCATGATCTGTGCCCCTGGGGGGCGGGGCGGGGGGCGGCCAGAGCGCGGGTTAGACCGCCCACCCGCTAACCCCTCACAAACTGGAAAAATCTCCCATCTTACTTGGGGGAAAAAAAAAAGAAAACTATTTTTAAAAGACCCTAAACTATCAGTTTCTGTTGTCATTCTTATATTGGTTTTTAATTCTCCGGGATTACACGAACAACAGTAGTAATTAATACTAAACCTTCCTCCACTGTATATGCTAATGGCAGGAGCCATAAAAATTAATTTGCAAACATGTCATTACACAATAGCTGTACAGGCAATAAACCTGTAATTATGAGCCAATCACAGGCATGGTACAGAGGGAGGGGTGCTCCCCCAATCTGCTGGGTGCCCCCCTTCCCCTGCTGCAGTGGGGAAGACTATGCCAGAAAGAAGCTTGCCTCCTGGGAGCCACCTGTGGAGATTGGGAAAGGGGCCTTTAGTCTGGAGCTCCCATCAGCCTGGCTTCCAGGCAAGATCACTTGGAGACAGCCATCGAGGTCCACCTGAGACTGAGCGCGGTGGCTCACGCCTGTAATCCCAGCACTTTGGGAGGCCGAGACGGACGGATCACGAGGTCAGGAGATCGAGACCATCCTGGCTAACACGGTGAAACTCTGTCTCTACTAAAAACACAAAAAAATTAGCCGGGCGTGGTGACGGGCGCCTGTAGTCCCAGCTACTCGGGAGGCTGAGACAGGAGAATGGCGTGAACCCAGGAGGCGGAGGTTGCAGTGAGCCGAGATCGCGCCACTTCACTCCAGCCTGGGCACAGAGCGAGACTCCGTCTCAAAAAAAAAAAAAAAAAAAAAAGGAGGGGCGGGTGCGGTGGTTCACGCCTGTAATCCCAGCACTTTGGGAGGCCGAGGCGGACGGATCACGAGGTCAGGAGATCGAGACCATTCTGGCTAGCACGGTGAAACCCCGTCTCTACTAAAAATACAAAAAATTAGCTGGGTGTGGTGGTGGGCACCTGTAGTCCCAGCTTCTGGGGAGGCTGAGGCAAGAGAATGGTGTGAACCCTGAAGGCGGAGCTTGCAGTGAGCCAAGATCGCACCACTGCACTCCAGCCTGGGCGACAGAGCGAGACTCCGTCTCAAAGAAAAAAAAAAAAGAAAGAAAGAAATTGAGTGCACGGAGGCGAAGCAGGGGCTTGGAGAGCTCCCCAGGCCTGGCTGGCGGTGGGTAGGCCAGACCAGGAAGGAGAGGGCCAGAGAAGAGTGGGCATGCCGGTGGGCCAGCTCCTGGCTGATCTTTGCTTCCTAGTCAAAGGTAAACATCTCCCTCTAATAAGTATTTGAATGCCTGCATCGAATTACCTTAAAATGCTCAGGCCAAGCCCTAATTGCTTTTAGCCACATCCTCGGGAAGGAGAGCTGTAAAATTCTAGCGATAGCCCAGCCTCCTTTGGCCCTGGATCTGGGCGTCTCAAAGTAGGTTAGTGACATTTCCTGGTGACAGGGACCTTTGTAAGGGAGGAAAATATGAGACCCACTATGGGAGGGTGGTTACACCACAGCTGCCGACCTGATGCCGAAACAGCTGAGAAACAGAAAGCAACCCCACCGTGCCCCGCCGTGAGCCTCCCGGGCGGCCTTCCATTGAACGGCCCGGTTGTTTGCCACAGTGTGGCTGAACGGGGTAGCGGGAAGGATTTTCCCGTTCCCACTGTCCCTTGTGGCTTGGCTGTGGCTTTTGGAACCCATCACTACAGCCATTCATTCCCAGGGGAGCTGCAGCACCCCTGCCTCTGAGGGTGCCTATGGCCTGGCTAGGGGTGACAGGGGCCACCAGTCTAGGCCACACCAGGACAGACTGCCAGGTGCCCATGTGAGAAGGGCAGCGCTCTTCGTAAGACTTCACACCAGAGGGATTCTGTCCAAGGAAAGGATGTCTCTGTCTCTCTCCACCCACACTTCTCCGGAAAAGCCTGGTGGTGGCAATGCTCTCTGTCCCCATCCCTCAGCTCACCGCTGGGGAGGAGTCAGACATTTATGGAAAAGAGGTAGGAAACTGGGCAGGCTGGACCACCCAGACCTGAGCCTCCAGGTAGCCCTTGTTAAAGACTGGGGACGCCAAGGGGCAAACTCACCCCGCACCTCCCTGAAAAAGCCCTGCCCACGCTGCACACCCACCCAAGGTCAGAGGGAAGAATGGGCCCCAACAGCGCAGGGCCATGTTCTGGACACAGCAGAAAAAGAGAGAAAACTGCTTCATCTCTCAATGGGAGAAAACAAGCTGGGGGCTGCTGGGCTGCTTCCCAGGAGGCGGCATGCGGCCCGCCGGATCCCCAATCTGAAGATGCAGCCCCCCACCCAACACCAGCTGCACCTTCAAAATGGAGGGTCCCCAGACTCCCTCTAGCGGGGCTGTCTTTGCCACAGCACGGAGACAGCCTAGCTGGCCAAGAGAGTCAGCTGAGAGCAATAAAAATAGCCTCCCAGCACGTGCTGGGAAAACTGAGGCTGCAGGCTGGGGTCTGGAGTGCAGGCGGCGGGGTGCCTCGGCTGGGAGCTGTGCCCACTGGCATCTGGTGGCCCCCCAGGACCAGGCCACAACCCCCCCCTCTGGAGAGAGGCACTGCTCCCCAAATTCCAGGAAAGGGAGGGGCGGGGAAGCTGCGTGGCTAACCTGGAATGCCCCGTCTGTTCTCGGGTGGGCAGCCTCCGTTTCCCTCTTTAGGGTAATAATACCAGCTGATGCTTCCCGCCTGCTCAGTCTGTGCCAGCTGCTGTTCTAAGCACTTTTCCTGGATAGCGCATTGGATCCTCGTGACAATCTGGTTCAAGGTCACCATGAGTTCCATTTTCCAGATGAAGAACAGAGAGGTCGAGCAGCTTGCCCAAGGACACACAGCCAGTGGGTGGCAGAGCTGGGGTTGGAACCCAAGCTGGCTCCAGAGTGCATGTTCATTACCATCGGCAAAGGTTTGCAGTCAGACTTCAAATTCCGTCTCGCCCCCACCCTCTGTGTGCCCTCGGGCAGTGACATTAACATTTTGACCCTCAGTTTCCTTACCTGGAAAATGAGGCGAATCACCCCTGCACTCCAGGAAGATACGTGTAATCACACCGGTGCCTGGCACACAGAGACTCCATGAGCAGAGCAGCCATTAGTCCTGTGTTTCAGATAACAGTGGTAATAATGCTAATAGCAGCTCCCACTGATGGGGCCTTAGTGCACTGGGGCTCCACAATGCCTGCTTTCCTACGATGTCATCTTACTTACGACCTGCCCCAGCATCCCCTCCCCTTGAGATGGGCACCACAGTGACCATCACCCACTTTTGTGCATGAAGATGCTGAGGCCCAGAGAAGTGAAGTCGCTCAGCAAGGGCAAGGGCATACAAGGAGAGGACACACCCTCTTTCTCTTTCTGTCCGGCTCTAGTCCTTAGGTCCCTGGACCGTCTATGAACATTCCAAGTCTCAAGCCAGTCTGAGGTTGAAAGAAAAAAGGGAACCTCTGTGCGGTCACACCTCATGGTGACTTCTGCATATCCAGGTTTTGTTTTTACCTTTGCTTGGTGGGAGCTACAGGGCACACCCCACCCACGGGTGCTGTCTCCTCTCAGAGCATCTAACCAGGATCCTGGGACCGAGGCATCCCCAGCCTGCCCCTGTGCAGCAGGCAGAATGGTAATCTGCCAAAAGTGATGTCTACATGGCCAGGTGCAGTGGCTTATACCCATAATCCCAACACTTTGGGAGGCCGAGGTGGAAGGACTGCTTGAGCCCAGGAGTTCCAAGACCAGCCTGGGCAACACAGTGGGACTCCGTCGCTACAAAAAATAAAAATGCTAGCCAGGTTTAGTGGCGTGTGTGCCTATAGTCCCAGCTACATGGGAAGCTGAGGCAGCAGGATCTCTTGAGCCCAGGAAATTGAGGCTGTAGTGAGCTGTGTTTGTGCCACTGCATTCCAGCCTAGGCGACAGAGCAAAGACCCTGTCTCAAAAAAAAAAAAAGAAGAGAAAAAGAAAAAAGATATGTCTGCTTGGTACCTGTGAATGTGGCCTTATTTAGAAAGAATCTGTGAAGATGCAATTAAGAATCTCCAGGCCGGGCGCGGTGGCTCACGGCTGTAATCCTAGCACATTGGGAGGCCGAGGCGGGCGGATCATGAGGTCAAGAGATCAAGACCATCCTGGCCAAATGGTGAAACCCCGTCTCTACTAAAAATATAAAAATTAGCTGGACGTGGTGGCGCACGCCTGTAATCCCAGCTACTCGGGAGGCTGAGGCAGGAGAATCACTTGAACCCAGGAGGCGGAGGTTGCAGTGAGCCGAGATCGAGCCACTGCACTCCAGCCTGGTGACAGAGTGAGACTCCGTCTCCAACAAAAAAAGAATCCCCAGACCAGATCATCCTGGATGATTAGGGTGGGCCTAAACTCAATGGCAAGGGTCTTTATAACAAGAGGAAGCACCTGCACCCCCACGTTTATCACCACACTGTTCACCACAGCCAAAACATGGAATCAACCTCGGTGTCCAACACGGACGAAGGAATCTAGAGAATGTGGTACCTACACGCAATGGAATACTACTCACCCGTAAAAAAGAATGAAACCCTGTCATTTGCAGCAACACGTGTGGAATTGGAGATTCTTACGTTAAATGAAATAGGCCAGACATAGAAAGGCAAACACTGCATGATCTCACTAATATGTGGGAACTAAGAAAGTGGATCTCATGATGACAGAGGCGGGAGGGCAGAAGAGAAGTTGATTAATGGGTGCAAATATACAATTAGATAGAAATAAGACCTAGTTTAAAAAAAAAAAAGAAGACCTAGTGTTCTATAGATCAGTAGGGTGACTATAGTTTATAATAATCTATTGTACACTTCAAAATAGCTAGAATAATTCGAATATTTCTTTCTTTCTTTCTTTCTTTCTTTTTTTTTTTTTTTTTTTGAGAAAGAGTCTCACTCTGTCACCAGGCTGGAGTGCTGTGGCTCAATCTTGGCTCACTGCAACCTCTGACTCCCTGGTTCAAGTGATTCTCCTGCCTCAGCCTCCAGAGTAGCTGGCATTACAGGCATGCGCCACCACGCCCAGCTAATTTTTTTGGTATTTTTAGTAGAGACAGCGTTTCACCATGTTGGCCAGGATGGTCTCGATATCCTGACCTCGTGATCCGCCCGCCTCGGCCTCCCAAAGTCCTGGGATTACAGGCATGAGCCACCTCGCCCGGCCTCAAATATTTCTAGAATAAAGAAAAGAAAAATATACCAAGTACACTGATTTTTTTTTTTTTTTTTTTGAGACAGAGACTCATTCTGTCACCCAGGCTGGAGTGCAGTGGTGTCATCTCGGCTCACTACAGCCTCCGCCTCCAGGGTTCAAGTGAATCTTGTGCCTCAGCCTCCCAAGTAGCTGATTACAGGCACATGCCACCACGCCTGGCTAATTTTTGTATTTTTAGTAGAGACAGGGTTTCACCATGTTGCCCAGGCTGGTCTCGAACTCCTGACTTCAGGTGATACACCCTCCCCGGCCTCCCAAAGTGCTGGGATTACAGGCATGAGCCACCACACCTAGCCCCAGTATACTGGTTTGATCTGTACTAATTATACAAATGTATTAAATTATACATTAATTATATAAATTTATTAAACTATCACATTACCCCAAAAACATGTTTTTTAAAAGAGGAACAGACAAAAGACAAGACACACAGGAGAGATGGCCACGTGAAAATAGAGGCAGAAATTGGCGTGATATGGCCACAAGCCGAGGGATGTCTGGATTCCCCGGGTGCTGGAAGAGGCAGGAAGGAGCCTCCAGAGGGAGCATGGCCCCGCTGACACATGGATTTCAGTTTCATTCCGTGAGAGAATACATTTCTGTTGTTTTAAGCTGCCACCCAGTTTGCAGTAATTTGTTATAGCAGCCACAGGAAGCTAATACATCCTGTCACTTCTATCAAATGCCCTCTGTCCCACCAGCCCTGGGAAGCTCTGGGCATTGTCCAAGTCTGGAAGCCGCATGCCTTGGGCCACAGCTGGGTCAAGCCATCCTTCAGGTGTGTCACAGGGACTGAGATTGAGATAAAGTGTCCTGAGGCCCTGGACAGGGGTGTGGTGAGGCTGCCCGCCCTCCACAAAACTCACGTCCACACTCCACTGGGACCTGCCCGCCGTCTCATCTCACTCCCTCGTGACACACATTTACCAGCCAGGCTTTGGGTGGAAGCCTGGCCCCCGGAGATCATCGGACGTGGCCATCTGCCCGGGGAAGTGGCCCGCCAGCCTTCCTGAGGATCTACCTCTAACTGCTGGCCTTGGGCACACCTTCAGGCCCCACAGGGCCAGGGGTGACAGTAACGACAAGAATCCCTGGTGGCCAGCTTCTTACCAAGCCATGCCCTTTCATCCCAGCCTCTAGGGCAATTGGGTGGGGCCAGGTGACCAAGTTCTGGCCAAGAGAATGTGGGAGAAGGAATCACTGGCCGCGTCCAGGCCTGGCCCGGAAGAGCTGCCTGTGCGAGCCTCTGTTTTTCTCTTCCTAGGTCTTTGTTATGAATACCTTCTCCCAGGATGACTCTGAGTACAGATACTGAAGCCAGCAACACCTCCATCAACTCCCCAAATGATGCTCAGGGCAGAGGCCCCTGTTCTGGCTCCCCACCAATCCTACATTATATGGGTGTGTCCTTGAGAAATAAATATCTACTGTACAACTTCTAATATAATGCACCCCTGAGAGGTTGAGCCTCTTTGTTACGGGGGCTTGTGTGAGTTTAACTAACAACACAGGCCGGGCGGGGTGGCTCATGCCTGTAACCCCAGCACTTTGAGAGGCTGAGGCGGGTGGATCACTTAGGCCACAAGTTCGAGACCAGCCTGGCCAACATGGTGAAACCCCATCTCTACTAAGAAATACTAAAATTAGCTGGGCACAGTGGCGCACGTCTGTAATCCCAGCTACTCAGGAGGCTGAGGCACTAGAATTGCTTGAACCCGGGAGGCGGAAGGTGCAGTGAGCTGAGATCGGGCCACTGTACTCTAGCCTGGGCAACAGAGCTAGACTGTCTCAAGAAAAATAAAAAACTAATGGCTGGGCGCGGCGGCTCCCGCCTGTAATCCCAGCACTTTGGGAGGCCGAGGTGGGCAGATCACGAGGTCAGGAGATCGAGACCATCCTGGCTAACACAGTGAAACCCCGTCTCTACTAAAAATACAAAAAACAATTAGCCGAGTGTGGTGGCGGGCGCCTGTAGTCCCAGCTACTCGGGAGGCTGAGACAGAAGAATGGCGTGAACCCGGGAGGCGGAGCTTGCAGTGAGCCGAGATCACGCCACTGTACTCCAGCCTGGGCGACAGTGAGACTCTGTCTCCAAAAACAAACAAACAAACAAACAAACAAACCAAAAAAACAAACTAACAACACATACCCATAGGTCTCTAGGTCTCCTTTCCGGATGCTGACTTTCTGCCGAATACTGTGCTACATGCTTTAAGTACATTATCTTGTTACATCTTCACAACAAGAGCAAGTCTATTATTATCTCCATTTTTCAGATGAGGAAACTGAAAAGCCCTAGAAAAGTGAAGTGACTTGCCCAAGGTCACACAGCCAGTAAGAAGCAATGCTCAGACTGGAACTCAGAGAAGTCGGAAGCCAGGCCCTGTATTTTCAACTCTCTCATCTCTCTGTGGTAGGAGCTGGCAAAGACGCTTTACCCAGAAACCCTTCTTAATTAAAAGCAAAACAAACAAAAAACAGGAAGGGCAAGAACACCGCATCTGCAGTCTACATGCAGAACTGTGTGTCCGACCTCCATTTTGGGGCTGCCCCTGGAGCAAGCTGCCAGCAAGCTCAGTATTTGGGAACTCTTTAAAATAATGGTTTTACAAGATAGAGGCAGCAATATGACAAAAGGCCTTCCTTCCTATGACTACGGAGATGCCAGAGAAATCAGACAGCGACTGTGTTGGGGACTGCCCAGGCCACATAGCTCATCCCTGTGAAGGGACCCTCTGCCTGTCCTCGGAACGCCTCCTGGGACGCAGACGGGCCACTTTTGGAGGGAGTCCATTGGTAATCTCAGACAGCCCTGGTTGTCCACATTCTGCATTGTGCAGAGCCAATGGGGGCCTGGCAAGAGCTGTTGGAAGGCACCACGGAGGTCTCCCGAGGGGAGGAGAAATATGGGAATAAATGCGACTCTGCAGTCCCTGAACCAGTGGCTCACACACCATCTGTGGACACCGTGACAGCGCGGGCACGGCTGGCCTCCTCACATCCTGCTCCGGCCGCGGTCCTGTTCTGCTGCCTGGGGGCAAACCGACAAGGCTTTCTTCTCCCCAGGCACTCCAGAGACCAGGCGAGGCCCTGCTCCAGGAAAACAGGCATTGCGAACAGCCCTTCCCACTGTCCGCTGCTGGGGTCTGCTGGACAAGAAGTCACTGCCAGGGTTGTTAATTCCCCATTTGTGGATGACACGCAGATCTCGCTGTCTCCTCCTGGGCCTAACTGGTTCAGGTCCATGTAGCCCTCTGGCCAACAAGATGTGGTTTCTATGAGCGGCTTCATCCCTGTCTTTCCCCTCATGCTGGGTGCGAGCTTTTTAGTGCGACAGACCAGAGTGGGATGCCCGAGGGCCCTCTGTGTCCTTCTCTGCCTTTACCTTGCAAAGAAATCTGGAGTCAGCCCCAGCCACTTCCTTTCCTATTGCTCTTCCTCGCCTGCTCTTTCTGGACTGTCCCCGTGGCCTGAGCTGTCCTTTACTTGCCCTCCAGCGGGTCATGCCTGAACTGATGGGGGAATTCTCGATGTGTCCCCAGCATGGGGTATTCAGTAGAATGGCTCCTCTGTCCTGGCACTTACAAAGCATGGGCACAGCTCAAGGTTTCTCAGCCTCGGCAAAACTGACACTGGGGGCCGGATGATTCTTCGCTGCGGGGACTGTCCCGTGCATTGCAGGATGTTTAGCAACATCCCCGGCCTCGACCCACGAGATGTCAATAGAACGGCACAGTCATGACAATCAAAATATGTCTACAGGCTGGCGCAGTGGCTCACGCCTGTAATCCCAACACTGTGGGAAGCCGAGGTGGGTGGATCACTTGGGCCCAGGAGTTCGACATCAGCCTGAGCAATGTGGCGAAAACCCATCTCTACAAAAAATACAATTAACTAGGTGTGGTGGTGCACGCCTGTAGTCCCAGCTACTTGGGAGGCTGAGGCAGGAGGATTGCTTGAGCTTGGGTGGCAGAGGTTGCAGTGAGCTGAGATCATGCCACTGCCCTCCAGCCTGGATGACAGAGCAAGATACTGTCTCAAATTAGAAACAAGTTTCCAGATACGGCCAACTGTCCCCCAAGGAGCAAAACTGCCTCCGTAAAGAACCACTCGCATAGCCTAAATAATCCAGCCAGCACGCTGGGTGACACAAGTTTTAGACCTCCTACTATGGCTGGCCTTGAGCCAACAGCTGCCCTCTCTTGGCCCCAGCTTTACCACATACAAATTTAGAGGGGCTGAATGGGGTGCTCTGGTCTTCCAGCTGTCTCAGATTCTCCAGTGCTGCTTAGAACCAATGGTTCCAAGACAGGGATAAGCTTGTGACTCAGGACAACAGGATCAGAAGGGAAGGGACCCAGGGCCTGCCCCCCAGCAGGGCTCATGCAAAAAACATGGGGAATGGGGTGTGGACTCTATGGGGTGGGCAACCCTGGTGCCTCTGGCATCTCAGTGTTTATCCCTTTTCTCTGCAGTCCTCTTTCTCCCCAACCTAAACAAAACCTGCTCTGAAAAGAAATATCTACTATTAATCATTCACACTGTAGTATGACTTAGCCTTCCCTCTGCTATCTCTATAGAATCCAGGCTATGTCCGGTTGGGTCCATCTCCTAGCCCCTGGAACAGCTATAGGATATATTTGGGAAAAGCAAGGCAAAGGAGACTTTTTTTTTTTTTTTTTTTGAGATGGAGTCTTGCTCTGTCGCCCAGGCTGGAGTGCATGGCACAATCTCGGCTCACTGTAAGCTCTGCCTTCTGGGATCAAGCAATTCTCCTGCCTCAGCCTCCTACAGGCGCCTGCCACTGCACCTGGCTAATTTTTGTATTTTTAGTAGAGATGGAGTTTCACCATGTTGGTCAGGCTGGTCTTGAACTCCTGAACTCATGATCTACCCACCTTGGCCTCCCAAAGTGCTGGGATTACAGGCATGAGCCACCACGCCCGGCTACAAGGAGACATTCTTAAGGGCATTTACGCTAAAAACAGTGGCTTCCATTTCTCAGGTCATGTAATGAGGGAAACTACCGAGTACCCTGTATTGCAGCAGCTGCTGCAGGGAGGGAGAAGCCCCAGCCTGGTGCTGGACTTGGGAGGAGGTCATGTGACTCACAAGTATCATGGTGAAGAGGTGGGGCCAGCAGGGCCACCCACAAACCAGGTGCTGTGTGGACAGTCCCCCGGGCTTCACGACCATCAGTCTCATACAGCAAACGCTAGCTTGTGCTGAGCTGAACACAGCACCAAGGCCAGAGCACTCTTAGTTAGCAGTCACAGTCCCAACCCATGTGTCCCAAAGACAGCCTTTCCGGTTGTTTGTGGGGTGGAGCAACCCAGAAGCATCTCCGCTTCAGCTCTTCATTGGGAGGTAGGCTTGCTGCGCCTGGGCAGAGCGAGACACACCTGTTAAGTTCTGCACAGCGGAGGCTTATGGGTGTGGGAGAGGATGCTGGGTCCCAGCACGGTTCTGCCCCTGTGGCAGGTGCAGTGTGGCTCTGGCCTTCAGTCTCCTCCTCTGTAGGACACTTGGACGAAATGATCCCCCAGGCCCTCCAGCTCGGTAAGCCCATGATTAATAAAACTCAGACACACCATCTGCTCACTCTGACATTTAAGAAACAGAACGGGTTTCCAAAGAGAAAGCTGCCCTGTGCAGCCTGCTCCCCGCCTTCGCCTGCTGATCCAAATGTGGGTTCACACCCTCCCCGCATCCCAGCCCTGACTCTACAAATTCCAACATGCACACACACAATCACACGCAGAGCGGGCTCCCCCTCCTCCAACCCAGAAGGTCAAAACCGGATGGGGTGGGGGTGGGGCAGGGCAGCTGAAGGCAGAGGCCTGCCCTAATAAAACCCTGAAATGACTGATGTCTTCTGGGCCTCCCACCCTTTATACTGCCTTCTCTACCCCGAGGGCAAGGATGCATTTTGAAAACCACACATCTCCAAACTTCACAACTCCCCTGATGCCCAGACAGCCTTCCCTCATGCTCAGCCCGTTCCCAGTGCTGGGGAGGGAGACTGCTCTCCCCTTCTGCAGATGGAGAAAGTCAGCCCAAGGTCACACCAAGGACAAGCAGCGAGGCAGGGACGTGGCCCCTGACAGAGTACACGCATGTGGAATGTTCTGTGCCATGCAGGGCCCCTTCCCCCTGTACTGCTCATCAACACCATCCCTGCCGCTCTGTCCTCCAGACAGCCCTTCACCGTGCCCCGTGGCTTTGCCTCTTATGTGACAACTCAGAAACAGGACCTCAGGCCCACTCTGATCCCAGGCACAGAAGCGAACCCTCTGTGATGTGCCCGTGGCCCTGCCTTGTCCACGGAGTGGCTGGCAGGGGTCTGCTGGGCAAGAAGTGGGGGACAGTGTGGGCCCCCAGGTGAGACTTTCCCACCAGCCGGACTTAGAAAAGGGTTTTCACTTGGCCCAGGAGCTCAGCTGGGGCAGTGGGGACACGGTCAGGACAGTGAGGCCTGTGCCAGCCAGGTGGCTGCTGTGTGGCTTCCTCCGGGTACCCAGGCTCCGCCTCTGGCAGGGCACAGTGGAGAAAGTCCCTCGGGAAGGCCCTAGACTAGGGCCTGGCACTCTTTGTTGACTGTGTCTCGGTCACCCCCAACTCAAGCTGTCCTCTTGCAGCTGGCAGCCCTCCCGGGGAACCCCCAGGTGGTCAGCTCTCACCATCCCAGCCTTGGCCTATCAGCCTCCCTGGATGGCTTCTAGACTCTTCCTCCATGCTGGTCTCCTCCTGAACATTCCATGCAGCTGCCTACTCCCACCCTGACTGCGCTGGACAAAATGCCTGCTGCTCCCCACCATTCTCCCTGTCGAGCACAGCCCCCAGACCCTCCTCTCAGGCTCTGTCTCTGCCCCTACCCCCATCCCCGCCACACCACCCTGCTTGGCGAAGTGGCCTGAATGTCTCATAATGGCCAGTAAAACCAACCCAAAAAAACTAGATAAGAATGTACCCAAGGCTTCTTTTTTTTGAGACAGGGTCTCACTCTATTGCTCAGGCCGGAGTGCAGTGGTGCAATCACAGCTCACTGCAGCCTCAAACTCCTGGGCTCAAGGGATCCTCCTGCCTCAGCCTCCCTAGTATCAAGGACTACAGGCCCATGCCACTTCACCTGGCTAATTTTTTGAAGAGACAGGGTCTCACCATGTTGCTCAGGCTGGTCTCAAACTGCTGGGCTCAAGCGATCCTACCTCAGCCTCCCAAAAAGCTGGGATTACAGTGGTGAGCCACCACACCTGGGTACCTCCAGCACCAAAGAGCTGTCAAGACTAGAAGGGATCACCATGCCAAAAGGAATGGAAATAGGAAATCCTCAAGCTGACCTAGCTCAGAGGCCACATTTGCCCCAAGGGCATCTACAGGTCCTAGCAAATTTGAATTTCTGTTTTTATGGCCTTGAGGGTCAAGGGGAACACAAAGCCAAGCCTCAGGCACTTTGCACAAGTTGGGGATCCGATAGGAGACCCTCCCCACAATAAGCTGGGACTCCAAAGAACTACCTATTCCGTGTGAGTGAAGGGCAACTTGACCAGCCCCTGTGTGAAAGGACAGGCAGGGTGGAATCTCTAGTGCTGCCCATTGAACATCAAGGCCTGAACTGGATGAAGGGGGTCCAAAGCCCTGTCTCTAGGCACCTACCAGACGTGTACGTCCTCCTGAAGGAAAGCACCTTCCTTCTGGGCTTCAAAGTATGCCTACAAAAATGTTTCATATACAATGAGCTGTACACAATCAAAAATAACCAGGCAAACAACAAACCACACTTCCCAGTCGAGAATCAGCAGCCACAACAGCTGACAGAAGCAGACCTGCAGTGACTTTGGAAGCTGGAATTATAGGCACCTGTACAACAACCCTGCTGACTTCGATATAAAATAAAAGACGAGCCTGCAGCTGTCTGCAGAGAAGAGGAAATCATAACAAGAGAAGCGGCACAGTCTAACCTCTCACCAGGTCACAGGCCCCACGAGGGCCAGGACTCTCCTTTGTTCCCTGCCATGACCCCTAGAGCAATGCCCTGCCCACATGGGAGCTCAGTAGCAAACTAACTAAATGAACACACTGGACTAAGGCCTTCAGGGAGGGGACAGGGCAGCCATCCGCCTGTTCTGGGTGAGCCTGGTGAATCACTCTAGTCAGTGAGCAGATAGGTGAGAGGAGGTGATTAACCCCAAATTTCCCTTCAACGTGACATGTCTCTGTGTGAACGCAGGCGCTAATGAAAAAACAAACCCAGCCACAGAACGGCCTCCAACAGTGGAGAAAAACAACCCAGAGGTGTAATGACTATTGCAAAAAGCTGAATCCTTTAGGCCAAAACAAGCACCCCCCACCGTTATAATTTCGAGTTATCCATTCTTTATTACAACTCATAGCCTTGGCTCGAAAAGCCTGTACCAGGGATTCTTTCTGTGGGGGCAATTTTGGTGCCTGCAATTAGCTGAACAGGCAGCTTTTGTCCCTGCTAAAGCACTCAATTGCAGGTGTAATTAGGTTCCCTCACCCCTGAAATCTGCAGAGAGCCGCCCGCCTTGACTAACTGCACCCACAATTAAGTGCTTACGGGCATGTGGCTGGAGCCGGGAAACATGTGCATGCAGCTAATAGCAGGGGCACCAAGCAGGTTTGCAAAAATAGACACTGCGGTGGAGAGATCCAGGCTTTTTGCATTTGTTGTTCAAACGGCTCTGTCCAGCTGGGAATAACGAGGAAAGACAAACACACCAATTAGGCTGGGTCCATACATAAATAAACTGCACAGCTCCTTAATTAAGACACTTACAGGAGTGGGCAAAGCTGTGTGGAGGCAGGGGAAGGTGAGCCATGCCCCGCGGGGCTGGCACTGTGCAGGGGCACCGGCCTTGAAGAGCACCCAGGGCGGATGCCATGGTGGCCCGGATGGCAGAGTCAGTGGCAGACCCACTCCTGGTGAACACAGCTGTAGGCCACTCCAGCCAAGGGATACCGAGGTGGGTGGGGGAGATTTGGGGGCTGGAGAGGGACTGGTGGGAGATGGGGAGGAGCCCCAGAGGTCTTCCAGGGCAAGAGGGAGGTTAAAGCAGGAAAGGAAACGAAGGTGGCTTAAATCCTGGGTGTCCAGAGAGCGGCAGTGGGGCACCGAGCCTGCTCCCAGATCCTTTTCCAAGAGCTGGTTGGTCTGGTGGGTGACCTCCTCCCTGCAAGCAGCGGTACCTGCCCTCTCCTCCTCCACTTCCTCCCCACAGGGGCCTCCGAAGGTGGCAAGTCCCCAGTGAAACCACCGGCTGGCTTCCAAGGCTGGCTCCCCCAGGGCACCTTTAGTCGAGACCCAGGCCCTTGTCAAGCTCCCTGGCTACAAGCACCGTCAGAGAAAAGAAAGGACGCATGGGGCCGGCGACAAGACGGTACATGCCAGGAGGTGAAAGGCTGCTGGGGACTGAAGGGAATTTGTGTATTTCTGCTCCCCAGTACCCCCACACTTGTAAACTCCCTGCCGCACTGCTGTATTTCTTCTCACCAAGAAAACCAAGCAGATCATAGTCACTGCACTCAGGCCAGGGAGAAAAGCTTCCGTCTCTCCCCACAAGTTGAGCCACTGAAAGCGATTTGCCTTTTGCAGGGCTCAGCAGTCCTGGCTGAAAGCAAAGGGCAGAGGCAATATTTAGATAATTAAAAACCCATTGCTGGCGGGCCAGCCGGGCGGCCACAGGTGGCTCTAGGGTGGCCCGGCAACGGCTCAGAACGGCCAGCGTGCCTCTCTTCTCCCCTCCCCTTCTGGCCTGGGTCTCCTGATTCAGCTACGGCTGTGGGAGATGAGAGGCCAGCAATCCAGCCGGGTGGCCAGTGGGAAATGGTGCCCAGGGAGGGGTCCGGGCCCAAGGCTGCACTTCTGGCTCCATGGCCCTCACTCAAGAGCTGGCCTCAGCTGCCTTTCCGTCCACCCCTGCTCCAGCCACGCTCGCCTCCCTGCCTCAGGCCTCTGTCTGGCTATCCATGGCTCCTGGCTCTATCCCAGCCTGTACTCAAACACAAACTCCATAGAGAGGCCCACCCCAACCGCCCCAGCCTCCTTGACCCCTCACTCTGCTGCGGGGCTTTAGGGTACCATTTGATTTCTGAATTCACACCTGGCTTTTCTGTCCTTCATTCATCTTTCTCGCCAGGGCCTCTTCGGCCTTCACCATGGGATCAGCTATGCAGCAGACACACAGTGACTGGACAAGTCAGTGGCCAGGTACGAAGCCAACCAGGCGCCTCGGAAGGGGGCTGGGCACGAATCCACATGGGGACTGTGGCCTCTGTGAGCCCTATGGCTCTGGAAGCTTCCTCCCACAGGGGGTTCCTGCGCCATGGGAGCTTGAGCCCAGAACTCGAGCCCTGGCTGAGCTGGGCCCCAGCTTTCAGGCGCCTGGGCAGCCCCGTTGACCCCAGGTTGGGCCGGCCGGGCAGCCCTCAAGCCCTCACTTAGCTTCACCTTTGCATTTTTAAAGCTCGTCTCAGGTCCAGGAGTCACCGAGCTCCCAGGAGCGGGGCAGAGATCCCCCTGTCTCCACTGTCCCGCCCTCTCTCCACTCCCCTGCTCTTAGCAAATGCCTGTGAGAATCAAAATCAGGATCGGCTCCTCTTCACACAGCCCATCCTTGATGGTCTGTTGTCATGGGGACAGCCTGAGCATGGGCCACCACCATCCACAGCTAACCTGCAGCCCAGATTTTAGGCCCTGCGTCACCTGCCTTCCGACCAAACGCTGCTCAGAGCCACTAATGAGCCACAGAACGGGCAGCTGGAATCTCCCTCCTGTCTCGCTTCTGCATCTCGGCTTCACTGGAGCCTTCCTGGGCGAGGTGCTGGAGAGGGCAGGACCTGACCACTGCCCAGCCCACTCGTCGGGGTGGGGCCTGCTGGCCGGAAGGCTCAATGACCACGTCAGGCGTCCTGCTCTTTCTCCAAACTCCAGGGGCATGTGTCCCATGCACAGGGTCACCATTCCTCGCCGGTTCCATTCCAGGTCCTGAGTTTCTACAGACTTCCCCTGTGACCCATGATCTTTCCTGACAGCAGCCCCATCCCTTTGCCTGTAGCAGTGGCAAAATCAGCCACACCTGGCCCATCCCAGGAGGCCCCGGGCACCTCTTCCCTCCCTCTCACCCCTCAGAGACGGGAACAGTGACATGGCCATTCCAGGCCAGGCAGGCTCCTGGAGAGGGCAGGGGCTGGGAGCCAGAGGGCCTGGGTTCCAAGCCACTGCCATGCAGGGCCCGTGGCCTCGCGGTACCTCAGATCCTTGTCACACTGAGTGTGGGTGAAGAAGCTGCCACCCGACCGTGTGAAACACAGCGGAGGCCCAGCCCTCCGTTATCCGTGAGGTGTGACCGATGTCCCATGTGCTAGACGAGCCCTGCCCGCGGCCCACACAGGCAAGGACTGCAGAGGCGCCTGGCAAGCAGGGAACACCCTGGAGACCCTCCTCCTCCCTGGGAACTAGAGGCTGCTTGGCCGACCGTCCTGCCTCCTGGAGCTTCTGGATGGGGCTCTATTTCTTCTCACCCCCATGCAGCCAACTCCACTGTTACTTACTGAGAGAAGGTTCAGCCTCTCCTTTTCAGAGGAGCCCCAGTCGACACCTCCTGAGCACCACCCACTTCCCTAAAGGAAGCAAGCCAGGGAGGCCCCACGGAGAGAACTCAGAACTTCCTGGCCTTCAACCACAGAAGCCTTGTTGGTGACCTGGCCAAAACCCATTAATCGCTAGAGGTGGCTGGGCCTCCCTCCTGGGGACCGTTTCCCTGGGACATTCCCTCCAAGTTCTTCTGAATCTCTTTCTCGTGGCCTTCTGGGTCTGCTTTGCTACTGTCCCCTCTTGCAGCCCCTGTCCTGATGACTCAGCCCTTACTGTGTCTTCCATCTTTGAATCCCAAAGCCTAGGCCTAGAGCCTGTGTATGGCAGGTGCTCAATAAATGCTTTCCGGGTATACAGCAGGTGCCCAATGAATGCCCGTCAGAGACCACATGAGGTAGAGGTAGGGCCGGACAGGACAGGCCTTTGAAGCTGGAGGGAATTAAGAAAGAAGGTCCGCTGGCCCTGCGGCAACAGCTTTATTTCTGCAGGCAGAGTAGGGGTGAGGGTGGAAAAATGGTTCCCATTGGCGCCTAGCCAGGGATTTTGTGTTGCTCTCTCAGGCCCTGGGGCTGGTATCTTGACACATGCAGCTCCAGGTCAGTGATAGGACCTACTGGGGGTCCCACCCACTTCTCCTTTCACCCAGTATCACCCCAACCCCCAAGCAGCCTTCCTCTTATCAGCCAACTGTCACACCCAGAGGGCCGCGGTGGCTTTGCTTTTTAATCCCTCTCTCCCGGGCCCAGATAAGGAGGCCAACCTTTACCCTCTGCAGCTTCCCCTCAGCGGCCTGGAAAAGCTCCCGGGTCACACAGGCTGAGGGTGTCTGTAAAATCCCACTGACTCTGGAGGTAACCCAGGCGGGGTAGAGAAGGAAGGCCGAGGCCAGGGTTTCCCATCTGGGAGAATCTCATACCCCCCGGAGACCTGGCTGTGGCCGCAGACAAGGGGAGGCAAAGACGAGCACCTCGTTCCCCGAGGGCTCCGTAAGGATGCCTTGTTGTATGACTGTGGCTCTGAACTGGCTGCTCCACCATCTCGGCACCGTGAGGCAGGAACCAGAGTCAGCCGGGAGCACACAGGGCAAGCCTTCCTCATGCCTCCCCCAGGCTGGTGTGACCCTGCCCCACCTCACTGAGCCTGGAGCCCTTTGGGGCCGGGGCTGGGTCTCATTTCTGTCTGTATCCTGGCCCTGAGAAGGCCTGGGTCCCCTGCTCAGACCATCTCTGTGTATGTGAGACAGTCCCGCACAATCAGCTCTAAGAAACAGGTGTGTAAGGAGCTGCTGCCATGCCGTGCACACATGCCTCCAAGACCACGGGCTCCTCATTCCTCATTCACACAGCCCCAGCTGGAAGCAACCCAAGCATCTGTCCCAAAGCAAAAGACTGGACCAACAAATCGCTAAATCGCTACCACGGAACACCACGCAGCAGAAGGAACAGGCTATCAATACACGCAGCAACGCTGACGGACGTCACAGACAGGGGAGCAACGCTGTGTGACTGCATCTCCATGAGGTTCCACAGCAGGCAAAACTACCCCAGTACCCCAAAAGAAGCGACGGGAGGGCCCCAACAGACATTGCACACCCGAGCTCACGGCGGCACGACCAGCAGCGGCCAAGAGGCGGACACGACCCAGGAGTCTGCAGACAAACGACGAATAAACAAAATGTAGTACGCGCATACAGTGGAAGATGGCTCTGCCTTAAAAAGGAAGAAAATGTGGTTGCCACAGGCTGGAGGGACTCTGAGGATGCTGCACTGGGTAAAACGAGCCAGTCACAAAAAGGTACTGCAGGATTCCACGTAATGTTATGTATATTTTACCATAATGTTTTAAAAAAAGAAATTGGCCGGGCGTGGTGGCTCAGTCCTGTAATCCCAGCACTTTGGGAGGCCGAGGTGGGCGGATCACTTGAGGTCAGGAGTTCAAGACCAGCCTGGCCAACATGGTGAAACCTCATCTCTACTAAAAATACAAAAATTAGCCAGGTGTGGTGGCGCACACCTGTAATCCCAGCTATTTGGGAGGCTGAGGTGGGAGGATTGCTTGAGCCTGGGAGGTGGAGGTTGCAGTGAGCCGAGATCAGGCCACTGCACTCCAGCCTGGGCGACAGAGCAAAACTCCATCTCAAAAAAAAAAAGGAAGAAGAAATTTAAAAACTAGCCTAAAGGGATGTAAAGCAGATGACAGTTGCCAAGGCTTGGCTGTGGTGGAGAGATGATTGGGAAGGAATACCTGAGAAGGAACGTTCTGGAGTGACAGCATTATTCTAGACCTTAATGGGGTGGGGGTTACACAGACGTACGCATATGTCAGACACCAGTGAGCAGTCCCCTCACAGTGGGTACATTTTGTTGAATGCAAACCACCCCTCAATAATGCCGAGTTTATTTTATTTATTTTTAAGACAGGGTCTCCCTCTGTTGCCCAGGCTGAAGTGCGGTGACTGGATCACAGCTCACTGCAGCCTCCACCTCCCGGGCTCAAGCGATCCTCCCACCTCAGCCTCCCAAGTAGCTGGGATCACAGGTACGTGCCACTACGTCCAGATAGTTTTTAAAATTTTTTGTAGAGATGGGGTCCCTCTATGTTGCCCAGGCTGGTCTCAAACTCCTGGGCTGAAGTGATCCTCCTGCTTTGGCCTCCCAAAGTGCTGGGATTACAGTCATGAGCCACCATGCCTGGCCAATAACATTGATATTAAAAGCTAAAAACATACTTTGAACACCCATCTTCCAACATATGCATATTTATTTGAGTCATTTTTAGGTACTACATGTTAAAGATCTCTCCATTATAACACATATGCAAACAGAGATTTTTTGTTTGTTTGTTTTTTGTGTTTTTTTGAAACGGAGTCTCGCTGTGTCGCCCAGGCTGGAGTGCAATGGTGCGATCTCGGCTCATTGCAACCTCCGCCTCCCAGTTTCAAGCGATTCTCCTGCCTCAGCCTCCTGAGTAGTTGGGATTACAGGTGCTCACCACCATGCCCGGCTAATTTTTGTATTTTTTTTTTTTTTTAGTAGAGACAGGTTTTCGCCATGGTCAGGCTGGTCTCGAACTCCTGACTTCAGGTGATCCCCCTGCCTTGGCCTCCCAAAGTGCTGGGATTACAGGCGTGAGCCACCACGCCCGGCCAAACAGAGAAATTTCTAAAAGACAAGACACATTGAGTTCTAGCATTTTCTTCCAGAGCCCACTGGGTTGCTGTCCTCACCTTGGAGACCAGATCAACACTGTTGACAGGCAGCGGCCGACACCTCCGGCAGAACAGGAGGTAGGGAGCGGGCTGGTTTGTGCTGGTTTTGGAGTACGTGGGGCATGTTCTGGGGAAAATCTCAAGTCCCTGAAGTGTGCTGATGACAACCACCAAACCAGGGGCCACAGGCGCAGGACTTGCAGGGGCGGCCCACTTCACGGCACATGCACTTTGCAGGTTCTGGAGCCCTCTGCCTACACCCTCACATATAAGAACAGGCGTGACTCCAAAATACACATGTGGCAGGTATGCCAGAATTCTCCAAAGCAGACGGAGTCTCCACCTGGAGCCACAGGCCCATCCTGCCTTCCACCCGATGCTGGAGCCTGGGGGCTCTGCTCAGAATCCAGGCAGGGAGGAACAGTGCGGGGCGGTGGGAGGCGACCACTGCAGACACACAGACGTGGCATGTAGGGCAGTAATCAGGAAGGAGGGGTCCCCAGCGCTAGGCCAGACGTGGTGGTTCACACCTATGATCTCGGCACTCTGGGAGGCCAAGGCAGGAGGACTGCTTGAACCCATGAGTTTGAGGCCAGCCTGGCTACAAAGGGAGACTTCATCTCTGCAAAAATAAAAATAAGTTTAGCCTGGCGTGGTGGCGTATGCTTGTGGTTCCAGCTACTCGGGAGGCTGAGTCAGGAGGATTGCTTGAGCCCGGGAGGTCAAGGCTGCAGTGAGCCATGATTGTACCACAACACTGCAACCTGGGCAACAGAGCAAGACTCTGTCTTAAAAACAAACAAAATGATCCCAGCTCTACCACATTTTAGCTGTGCAGCCTTAGGCATACTCCTACGTGCCTCAGTTTCCCCATATAAAAATGTGGATGGTGCTATGTGCTTGGGGTTATCAAAGTTGTGAGGATGAAAAAGCTAATATACAGAACCAATACACAAACCATATTAAAATGGAGTGTCTGTGTCAATCTTTCTTCAAGGCTAACACTGTATACAACGCGCTCAGAGCAAGCCCTGTGCTGAAGACTTGTCACTGTTACTGTCTCCCTAGACACCCGGGTCCTGCCTCTGCCTGCCCCCCTACTCGCGCCCCTTCTCCATCAGCTCCCTGGGGAATCTGTGTTCTCTCTGAGGACACCAAGAGAGAGGGAGGAGAGCCTCAATCAGCCAAAATAGTCTCTTGTCTCTGCAGTCCAAGTTCAAGTCCACAGTTGGGTTTGTGTTTAAGTTGTCCTTTTCCTGTCCTGCGCCCAGCACCTGGCCCCTCCCTGAGCCCATTGTCTCAGGACCCGGGGCCATCCGGTCCATCCTGGGGGAGAACAAGGGAGCCCCCTGCCATTTCCTCAGACGTCAAGTCCCTTGGCCGAATAAACACAACTTCACACAAAAGACATCCCGGCGAGGCCATACAGCAGTGTGGGGCCGGGGCAGGGCGGAAGGGGGGCAGGCAGAAGCCACTGTTCCAGAACATTCTGTGTAAGGTGCCAGCGGGGCCATCCTTGGGTTCCAGGGTTTCTTTTAGCAGAGGCTGGGCCAAGAATGCCTGCCTGGAAAGCTGAGGCCCTCCGAGAGGGCTCCTTCCTCCCTCTCTCCTACCCGACACCACAGAGACATGCCCTATGAGAATCTATGGACGAGAGTCTGTGCTCATCCGTCTACCCAAGCAAGGGCCATGACAGGGGTCAGCGGCCCTGGACGACTTACTCCTACTCCCAAGCTGTCTACGGCCACCATCTGACCTCTCTGCCCCAGGACTGTGTTGTTTAGGGCCTCACAGGACACAGGACAGATGGGTACAAGCAGCTCAACACCCCAGCCGTCTCAGAGCTGTGCCCACAGTGGGGCTAAAGGACACACTCTCTATTGCTCCTTCCCTTCCCCATGTCCCCTTCCCACTTTCTCCTGCTATCTCCAGAGATCATTTCCCAAATAAAGCTCCTGCACTGAGGTCTGAATCCGGGCAACCGAACGAAGCCAGAGGCAAAGGTGTGTGCATGGCATCAGTTGGCAACTCCTTGGAGCCAGAGATCAGCCCCTGCTCCCAGCACAGAGCCAGGCTGGTGGGGTTCAGCCCAAGGTGACAACACAAACAACACCTGTCAGACAAAGGGAAGCCAGGGCAAGTCACTGTCCAGGGAGTGGCCAAGGGGGCTACGCCTCAGCTCTGGCACGGAGGCTGCAAGAAGAGAATCCTCCTCACTTGGGCCTCAAGGTTTCCCCTGGTCTCAGTCACGTTCAGATTTTCCCTCCTCCGATGACACCCAACTATCTCAGAAGGAACTGCCATGCAGGCTGTAATTGTTTCCTGTGTATTCCATCCATTAATGGGAACTTGGATTCCCCGGCTGGGTGCTCTGTGAGGCTTCAGGTAGCAATTTTCCATTTGTGTTTCAAATTTTAATGAACGCACCTGTCCCCTGGGCCCTCGTTGCAGGCTGTAATCCTCATGGAGTGGGTCGCAGGCATGTCACCCAAGGCTGGGCTCCAGCGGGATTTCTACAAGGGCTTGATTTCTCTAGGGAATAGCTCCGACGAAAAATGGTCCATGCCACAGCCTCCTCCACCCCCACCACCCCTCCCTGCTGGCTCAGTGTCGAGCTGGCTGCAAATCGTAAGATTATTATTTCTTTCCGACATCCCCAAAGTATCCTATATCCCAAGATGGAGAGTAAAGTTCAGCTCTGATAAGATTGCATCACCGGGGAGGAGATACATTCGCGCCCTTGCTCCCTCTGCCTCTGGCTAACATAATTCCTTTCTGATCTTACCCAGGGCATCCAGTCAGGCTGGGAGGCAAACAGGATAATCCATTTTAGAGAGATTGATCAATATCGTTAGGAGCTTTTTAAATGGTTCCACAGGCTTCAGGGAGCCAAGGCAGACGGCTGAGCTGGAAATCGGGGGCCGGAGGAGGCAGGACGGCAGGCGCTACCCTCACGGATTTCCAGACAGTCCTGCCATTTCCTACCAGGCTTCAAGAGCTGGTTCCAATCAGGGCAGGAACGCTGGGTACATGCGGGCAGGTTGTGCACTGCACAAGGGGCTGGGCAAAGGGGAACAGCAGGCTGAAGTCTAGCTGACCTTTCACTCATCTTGCCAGTGCCTGTCCACACACAGGAGGAACCCCTTTTCTAATGTGCAGCAAGGTGCCCTACAGGCCACGGCTGGTCCTGCTGGCAAAGGACAGAGGTGTTTCGTGGCTCCCAGCTGCCTAGCATTCTGGGTCCTGTTTCCCAGTAATCAGGAAGACAGCCTTTCTGGCAAACCTCCTCTAGCTAGACAGTCTAATCGGTGAGGTTCCGGAAGCCTCCCTGTTCCGTCTCCACCTACCCTCCCCTAGCCTACCCCCAAACAGGCCTCCATATTCCAGCCAGGGACACCTAAAGCCAGGGCTTAGAAACTCACGTGCTGGGAGGGCCAGTTAGGCAAGGAAAAGGGGCCCCGTAGTGGGGGTGGGGGGCTAGAGCAAATAGGAGGGTGCCTGCCCTCTCGGCATAGCAGGGGCTGCTCAGCTGCCCCCAACAGGTGCCAAGGGGGAGCACAGACCCAGGGTACCAGGAGTTTTAAAGAGAAGCTGGAACTCTGGGGTTTAAATGTGGGGAAGAAATTTCTTTGTTTTTAATTGTAAATATTGGCAATACATCTTAAAAAAATAAATAAAATACTGTGTAGGAGCTAAGAAAACATGGCTGCAGGCTGAGGCCTGCTGAGGCCTTCCACCAGCTGCAACCCAGAGACTCTGCCCCTGTCTCCTGGGCCGCTGCTCGCTTGCCACGGAGCCACCGACGTGGCCTTCCGGGCCACACACCGATGGCACAGCTTCTCTGCTGAAAACCTCCTGGCGGCTTGACACCCCCACCCCCACTCCAGTCCCACACACGATTAACCACCTGCACATCCGGAATTGGACCAAGTCTAACCCGGTCCGACCCCCCTGGACAACTGCAGGCGCCGCCTCACTGGCCTCCTGCTGCTACCCCTACAGTCAGTTCTCAGTACTGCAGCCTGAGGAGGCCGGTCCACCAAGATGAGGGTGCCTCTGCCCAGAACCCTCCATGGCTCCCATTTGATTCTGAGTAAAGGCCAAGTTCTTACAATGGCCTCTGGGGTCTTGAGCTATTTTCCTCCCACTCGCTGATCTCCTGGCTTTCACTCCCGCCCCAGGGCCTCTGCACCAGCTCTTCCCTTTTTGCCTGTCTTACCTCCTCCACGAGGCAGCCACATGACCAGAAAGGGCTTTATCAATAATCATGTTGGAACAAGAGGCATCAGCTTGCACTTCCCCCAGACGATAAGACATCCCACCACCCTTGGTTTCTTCTGTGCTCTGCCAAAGGGTATCAGAAGGCCCTTCCTGACCACCCCATCAAAAAACAAAACAAAACAAAACAAAACAAAACAAAACAAAACAAAAAACAGCAATCCACGGCTGGGTGCAGTGGGTCAGCCTGTAATCCCAGCACTTAAAAAGGAGGCTGGGGCAGGAGGATCGCTTAAAGCCAGAGTTTTGAGACCAGCTCTGGCAACATAGTGAGATCTCATCTCTACTAAAAATTAAAAAAAAAAAAAAAATTAGCCGGGGGTGGTGGTGCACACACCTGTAGTCCCGGCTACCCGGGAGGCTGAGGTGGGAGGATCCCATGAGCCCAGGAAGTTGAAGCTTTAGTGAGCTAGGGTTGTACCAGCTGGGTGACAGGAAAAAACTCCAACTCAAAACAAACAAACAAACAAACAAACAAAAACAACCCCAGCCATCCCTGCCCTGCTCCCCCAATCCTTACTCTTTTATATCTTCCCCACATCGCTTTTCAACATCCAACCTAACACATATTCATCTGTTGATCTGTTTGTTCGAGGCCCTCATTGCACTGCACGCTTCACGGGGGTGAGAATCTTGTCTGTCCAGCTCACGCCCACACACCCAGGTTAGAACAGTGCCAATGGCTGAAGGCCTCCTCCCTGTTTGCAGGGTTTGTGCAAGCTGCTTAGCCTGATGCTGGGGCCCCCCCACACCCCTGCCCACCTCTGCAGCTGTCCTCGTCTCTCCCTCTGCCGTGAACTGCTGGAGTGTGAGAACAGAACAGACACACATGCTCCTCTCTCTCTTCCAGGAACGGCCTTCTCCTCCCCACCTACCAGGCAAACTCCTATGCGTCCTTTAAAACCCAGTGAGGAAATCTCTTACTTCAGGAAATATTCCCTGACTCTGTTCCCATTCCACCAGTTAATCCCCCTCCTTCGACGGTCACTCCTGTATATGTCTGTGCTACCATTCACAGCTGTCCACGTCCATCGGTGTGGGCAAGCCCGTGCGCTCTCTTCCAGAGCACAGGCTGTGCAATCAGCCCACTTCCCCGGCCCGCTGCTGGCCCCACATTCCCCTGCCAGGGCTGCCGGCCCCGCTTCCCACCGGGGTAGGCTGCTGGTCCCGGAACTCCATTCACCCATTCACCGCTGCAAGCCCCTCCCGGGGCAGTGTGGCGCGGGTGCGTAGGAAGTAACCGCCTCCCCAGCACAGAGCAACTGCCTTTTTGGCAATGCCCGTGCAGCAGGGAAGAGGGTCAAGAGCCTGGCTCTGGCCCCAGCTCTGGGCATGTGGCCTTTGTCCTCAACCCCTGCCTCCCCGGTAATCCCGGTTCATCCCAGCCCAGCTTCTTCTCTGGGAGAGGTTCTTCTGAGGGCGAACCTCTTCAGCATGGTCCTTTCGGCTTCCCTCCCTCCCGGCAGGGGCAGTGGCCTTCTCATCAATCACCCGCCTCACATGACGCCCTTTAACACGCGCGTGTGCACAGGTGGGCGAGGCCGGAGCCAGCCCCTGCGCGCCCACGGACCAGTGGGGAGACAAGCCCAGGCAGCGGTTCCTCACGAGGGGGAAGCATGACAGGCCTCGCTGCAGCTCCCTGGGCTTCAAGTCAGGCCGCTGCTCAGGAAGACAGAGGAGGTGGGGCGCAGTCCACGGCCTCATCGGGATCATCCTGACCGGAGAGGTGAACGCAGGGAGAGGGCCACCCCCTCCCCAAATCCCTGCACCACGGACAATATTTTTACAACACTGTTTTGGCACTTCCACTGTGAACTTAATTTAACATCCATATTGCTGCTACTTAATTAAATAGATGAACTCATTTTACATTTACAAGTCTTAATTCATCCTGAACAAAATTGGCCATGTTTAGTTCTTTATACACTAGCAGCTCCCTGGAACAAATGGTGACCTTTTCCAGTTAACGGTGGGGACAGGTTAAAAGCTAATTATCGGCTCTGGTCGCCTGTAAGAGAGCGAGCGGACGTCTTTATCCATCATCAGAAGTGAGGGGAGAGGTGGCTGGTTTGAATTCTTTCTTATGCAGTCACAGGCAGCCAAGCTGGCAGGCGGCGTAGACCTTGCCCAGATCCCTGATAGTGGGCAGGTGGTCCCACCCCTCCCCATCCCTGCTCTCCACCCACATCCCACACTGCCTGTAACCACTGCCCTGTCTGTGCTGTGTCCCTTTGGCCTGCCCGGCTGACCCAGCCTTGCTCCCAGGCAGCCGCTGCCTTTGAAGATCCACCTCTCTCCCCACAGCCTGACCCTTCCAGACCACCCTGCCCTGGATTCCAGCAGTCCTGGCTGCTGGCGCGCGTGGGACTGGCCGTTCTTCTCACCCTGTGCAGACAGTGGGGCACGCACTCTACTTCTGCAGCTCCTGAGGGTCGGGGGCCAGTGGCACAGCGGCCTGGGTCCCCAACATTGCCTTGCACGCCCCATCACTACAGCTGGCAAAAGGGAACAGCGAGTCCCTATGTTGAGGGACTGTGGAGAGGGTTCTCGAGCTAATCCCTGGGGAGGAGCTGGGCCTGGCACACAGTAGGTGCTCAGTGAATGTGTCTTTTGCTGCTGAGCACAGGGTGGGGGTGCAGAGATGTCCGGCTGGTGGGCTGCGAGTCAGGTGTCAGGCTCAGGTGCCTGTCTCTCAGCAGCTGTACCAGGTGGGGACTGTCTGCACCCAGGAGCCATGAGCCAGGGGACAGGGAAAGTTGCACGGTCCCAGGACCCTTGCTGGAGGCATCTGGCAGGTCCCTGCCTTTCTACCCCGGCAGAGTCAATGCAGCCAGTCCAAGGCTGCTGGCTGGTGTCCGAAAAGGCTGATGGGAGGCTGGAGGGCCGCGAGCTCAGGCTCAGCCACCAGTGAGGTACCCAAGGCAGCCAGTGCTCCCTCTACTAGGCAGGCAGGTCCTATTACTACCCCTGTGGGATGTGGGTGGCATTATAGGAAGAAACTGGAGCCCAGCGAGGTTAAACAGCTTGTCTGGGGTCACACAGCTAGCAACTGTGGAGATAGGATTTGAGCCCAGACATACTGATGGCAAAGTCCATGGTCTAATCACAAAACACACTGCCCCCTGAGGGACAAATGGAGCCCCCTAAAGGCGGGTAACTCTGTAGTCTGGGCTCTGTGACGTTAACTGGTCCTCAGGCATGTGGGCAGTGACACCCCCCATTTGGGGGATCAGCTCCCACACCATGAGGTATTCACCCCCACAGGAAAGCCTGCCGGCTGGCTGGGCATCATGAGCAGGGTAGGAGGGAAACTGTGAAACAAGGAAGCCTAGGGCCAGCCTGGCCACCTCGCTCCTTCTCAGCATCCTGGATTTCCCCAACGCTGGGGAGATGACAGCCACGCCGACAGCTGCTCTCCCACAGCCGCCCTTCCCTCGGGCTGAGCCAGCCGCACTGGGCCCACAGCTAACAGAGGGGTGTTGATCCCAGGAGACGGGCTGTCTGTGCCCCCGGCGGTCACCTCACCATCAGTGGGGGGGGGACAAGTGAGCCAGAGGAGCCCAGCTGCAGGCAGAGGGGCAGCTGCTGCCAAGGTGCCCTCCCCGGCTGATGAAACCACTGGGCCGGCCAGGGGCCAGTTACCCCCTGGCCCACTGCCCTCAGGTTCCCTGTGGAGGCCAGGAGGCTGGCGAAACCCCCCGGGCCAGCAGACGTGGTGACGCAACCACGAGGGCCGATTGCAGCAGAGGCTGCGGGCAGCCAGTGAGACGGCCGGATCACCCCAGGGAGCAGGTTGTTTGTTTGGGGAAAGGGGAAGCGGGCATGGCGGGGACTCACTCATTCATGTTTAATCCTGCTGGGCTCACTAATGGCAGCCTCCATGGCCTCGGGGGCCTCGGGAGATCCCAGCAATGCAGAGATGAGGCAGGGCTGCTGCAGACAAGCCCAGGACCATGGACCGGCTGCCTCAGTTTCCCTAGGGTGTAAATGTCCTGCCCCTACCTCCCACCCATACGGGATGTGATGAGGCCATCAGATGCCCCTCGGGGGAAGTTGACTGGCCCCGGTGCCCTCTCCCCCTCGTGATTACAGGCCTGGCCTCAGGCTTCCTGGCCCAGGAATGCAAACAGGTCAGGACAGTGTACACACACCTGGCTTCCTGGCCGAGGCTGACAGCCCCTCCCGGCCCAGGGCATGAGGCCTCAGCACCCCTCGGCTCCCCCTGGACCCCACCCTCACCCTCCCACACGTGGCAAGCCCGAGATGCAGACTGCAAGACCCAGGGGCTGCTACTGGCTCTGGGAGCAGGGCCCCATCTGACAACCACCACAGCCACGGCAGCCGTGCTGGCATTTAGGAGCCCTTATGTCTCTGCTATCCCATTCTGAGCTTCGCAGGCAGCCCCATTACTAGATAAGTAGACAGAGGCCCAGAGAGGCAGAGTTCCTTTCCTGAAGCCACAGAGCCGGCAAGCAGCAGGACTGGGATGGCATCTGAGGTGCCCTGGGGGTCTCAAGTCCAGAGCTCTTACCATCCCCGCCACCCCGCGTCACCTCTGCTGACATCCAAAGGGCAGAGACCTGGCCACCTGACTGCCAGCCAGAGAGAGCCAGCCACCTGCAGCCACAGGAATCAGACGGGGAGGTTTGAACGTGTAGGTCCCCTGCACCCCACCGGCCCCCAGACCTGGGCCCCGGAAGTCAGAGGGATGAGGGGCTCCTGGCTGCAGCAGCTGGCCCTGGCCCCACCACCCGGGAGACAGGGCTCAAGGCAGGCACACAGGGGTCTCGGAAACAGCATCACCCCAAAAGCCCTCCCCTCCCCAAGGCGTTCCTCAGTGGGCCAGAAACCGAGGGAGTAAGCTGCCCCCTCCTGCGCCCTCCCACCTCTGCTCAGCCTGGGCCTGTTGACCCCGCCTCCCGCAGCACTGCCCTCCAGGCAAGAGCCCCGTGGTGTTGCTGGCTCTGAACCAGACCGCTGCGCCTGAGGGCCAGCCCCTCTCCTGGGGAAAACGTGACACCTAGACTGAGCTACCAGGCCAGGCAGCTAAGACTCTCAGTGTCTCCCAGTGTTCGGGGAGGCCGCCTGCAGTGACACTGGAACCCAGGGAAGGTTTGGGGGTGGAGGCAGGCACGAGGAGGGACCCCCTCTGTCCCTCAGCCCCCTGGAACTGCATCAGCTCCAGCCCCCACGGCTGGGGCCAGGAGTGGAGTGGGAGGCGGCTCCCAGGGGTTCCTTAGCCCTGCTTCCTTCCTGGCCCCAGCCCTGGCTCCTTCCACAGTCCCTGGAGACTCTCCCTGATCTGGGGAGTGTGGCCAACTCCTCCCAACCAGGACGCTGTTCCATCAGCCAGATGGCAATGTATTTACCCAGCACCTTCCTGAGCATGGAGGATGGAGATGGGGTTTAACGAAAGTGGGAGAGGGAGCTCTGCTGGACAGGCAGGATGCCCCATGCACGCACGCACACACAGGGCACGCACAACCACAGGCACACGCATACAACACACAGAGGTCTCACACACACAGGGCACACACAACACAGTCACACGCACACAACACACAGGGGACACACAGCCACAGGCACACGTGCACACACACAGGGCAGACACAACCACAGCCACATACACACAACACACACAGGTCTCACAGCCACACACACACAGGCCACACACAACCACAACCACACGCACACAACACACACAGGCCACACACAACACAGTCACATGCACACATAGCCACACAGCACACAAAAGACACACACGCATACACACAACACGTGCCCACATAGTCACATTCATACACAATGCACAATCATACACACAACATACACCCACACAGGTCATGCAGAGTCACATGCACATACAACATACATACACAAACACAAAGTCACACATACAACACACAGCCATGCACACAACAAAGTCACACACAACACACACCCATACACAACATACTCACTCCTGACACTTATACATATATCCAACACACATTCACACCCAACACATGCACACACCCATTTACACCACACAGCACAACACACATACACACAGTAAACTCCAACACTCTGCGCAACCATCACAGACACCCACACGAGCACCCACTCACGCCCTCACACTCACGGACTCGGAGCCGGCCTGCTGTGAACCTGGGGCAAGAGATGTCACCGCCAGGTGACTCAGTTTCCCCATCAGTAGGATGCAAATTATCCCCACTTTGTGAGCCACAGATGAGCTAAGGCCGGAGACACAGGCAGTTCTCAGAACAGCACCACTGGCTGGATCCAATCACTCTCACGAGAAACGCGGGGGTGAGTCGGTTGGATGAGGCGGGCAGGAAGGTCTCCTCTGGCAGGGAGGGAGTGCTACTGACCCTGGAAGGACATGGGGAGGGATGGGCTGGGGAGGGGAGGGAGAGCTGCATCCTGGGGGCAGGGGGCTATGGGGTGGGCCCTGGGCTGTGGACATCTTTTATACCTGACCCAGTCCTGACGGCCCTGACCACAGCTCAGGCAGGCTTTGGGAAGGGCGCAGTGCAGGGAAAGAGGTGGGATACTGGACAAGCCACGGCCCGGCCAATCCCACAACTCATCCAGGGCTGTGGGAGGAGGAGAGGAGGGAGCCCCACTTCATAAGGCATCCATTAAGGCTGGTTGGGTGGGGGCTGATGAATGTCTCATTAAATCCTTAGAGCAGCCATCCGCCCAGATATGCCTGCCTGGCTTCCAAAGACCGTCTTCCCATGGGGTCTCCTGGAGTTTCTAGGAGGCTCTGGAGAGGTTCCCATGGGAGGCTGGTTCCCCTGCCACCTTTGCCAGCTAGAAGATGCCCCTGGCTTCTGTGAGCGGGGCCCAGCTTCACGCTGGCACGCTCTGTCACGGGAACACTTGGCACTGCCGGGACCTCATTAGCAGAGGATCTTACAAGAGTCGTGTGGGAACCCTCCACGACCCCCTGGGCTGAGCGCCAGCGCGCTCCGGATTTTATGGGGTGAGAACACTCAGACAGAAAGAGGCTGGCCCCTCTCAGGGCGGCTCCAGTGCACAACCAGGCCCCTGCCCTCCACAGAGCAACACACTCCTGCTCCTCCAGGCGGGAGATGGAAACCCCTTAGCCGCTACTCAGATGCAGAGGGACAGGGAGGCTGCAAACACATGTTACTGACTGCAAGGGAAGGATGCCTGAGCAGGAAGGGGACTTCAGGGACACCACTGTAAAGAAGAAGATACCGAGGTCCACAGAGGACCCAAACGTGCCCAGAGCTGAACTGCTGCAGGTAAAGCTGGGCCTGAAACCCTGGCCTATTGATGCCCGCAGGCTGGGCCCTGGACAGGATTCTGCTGCAGGCAGGAGGAGAGTGAGTGTGCCCAAGGAGGCTGGGCTGGGAGGACGGCAGTGGATGGGAGACAGGAGCTTTGGACCCCATCCTGGCTGCTTCACAAGTTTGCTCTGAGCTCCAGTTCCTCCTCTACAAAGGTGAGCGCGAGGTGAGGTTTAAGTACAGGCACAGGGTCACTCTTTGGGTTTATGTCTCTAAATCTAAACAGAAAACCAGCTCCCACGCCTGGCGCCAGTGCCTCTGATCTCTGACCCTGCCCCGGGACCACATCAAGTATCAGCGGATGGCAATCGGTGGTCAGGAGTCCAAGGCCTCCCAGCACTAGTCAAGACGGAGGTGCAGCCCGGAGGTCAGGGTGTCAGCATGAGCATGTTGATCCCTGAGATCTTCACGAAGAACCCAGACAAACCGGCTCGTTGGGCTCCCAAAGGCTCCTCAACCCCGGCTGAGACTTTCCGGCCCCAAGCAAAGACCTGTTGGACCGGTCTGTCTGCCAAGCCACCTCCATCCAGGGCAGTGCTGGCCAGCTGTCAGAGGGTGGCGGGCGGGACCAGGCCCACTTGGTCCTTGGTCCTGTACTTAGGACGCTGCCCTGTTTCTCCTTCCCCCCAGGCTGGTCCCCATTGTGATCCACAAAATCTTTTTCTCTGGCAGAAAATCAGAAAAACAGAATGTGGGTGTGTGTTGGGTAGTCTTGGCTTCTGAAAGGTTGAGAATAAAAATAGGAGCAGGGGCTAGGCGCGGTGGCTCACTCCTGTAATCCCAGCATTTTGGGAGGCCGAGGCAGGTAGATTACCTGAGGTTAGGAGTTCAAGACCAGCCTGGCCAACATGGTGAAACCCCATCTCTACTAAAAAAAACAAAAATTAGCCAGGTGTGGTGGTGGGCGCCTGTAATCCCAGCTACCTGGGAGGCTGAGGCAGGAGAATCACTTGGGCCCGGGAGGCTGAGGTTGCAGTGAGCCGAGATCACACCAGCCTGGGTGACAAGAGTGACACTCCTTCTCAAAAAAAGAAAAAAAAAAAATAGGAGCAGGGCTGGAAAGATCCCTCCAAGACCCTGCATGTCTTCTCTCAGGGGTCTGCTACAATCCAAATGTTTGTGTCCCCGCCTCCAATTCCTGTGTTGAAATCCTCACCCCCAAAGTGATGGTGTTAGGAGTTGGGGCCTTTGGAGGTGATTAGGGCATGAGAGCGCGGCCCTCACGATGGGATTAAGCTCCTGTTAAAGGGTCCCCCCTTTCACCATGTGAGGATACAGCGAGAGGGCACCATCCAGGAACCACGAGGTGAGCCCTCACCAAACACCTCATCTGCCAGCACCTTGATCTTGGACTTTCAGCCTCCAGAAATTGAAGCAGTACATTTCGATGGTTGTTAAGCCACCTGGTCTATGGTATTTTGTTATAGCAGCCTGAGCTGACTAAGACAGGGTCCTGGGCCTCCCTATGCACCCAGAAGGGCCAGAAGCCCCAAAGCACCGTGGGTCATAAGGAGAAGCCTCTGGGACCCTTTCCCAAGTATAGAGGGCATGAGAGAAAGGTGCCTTCCTTCTCCTTACCCCCAGCCGGGCTTTCTAGAATCCCAGAGCACCAGTCTCAGGAAGGAAGGGGAGCACTTGGACTCCTTAGCCATGAATGACGATGACAGTGACCACAATTGCTGGTTGTGGTGATGACAACGGTGGTGATATGGTGGTGATGGTGATGCTGATGGTGGTGATGGTGATGGTGATGATGATGACAGTGATGGAGACTGTGGTGATGGTGGTGAAGGTGATGGAGACTGTGGTGATGGTGGTGAAGGTGATGATGATGGAGACTGGTGATGGTGGTGGTGATGGTGATGATGGTGGTGAAGGTGATGATGATGGAGACTGGTGATGGTGATGATGATAGTGATGGTGGTAATAGTGATGATGGTGGTGAAGGTGATGATGATGGAGACCGGTGATGGTGATGATGATAGTGATGGTGGTAAAAGTGATGATGGTGGTGAAGGTGATGATGATGGAGACCGGTGATGGTGATGATGATAGTGATGGTGGTAAAAGTGATGATGGTGGTGAAGGTGATGATGATGGAGACCGGTGATGGTGATGATGATAGTGATGGTGGTAAAAGTGATGATGGTGGTGAAGGTGATGATGATGGAGACCGGTGATGGTGGTGGTGATGGTGATGATGATAGTGATGGTGGTAAAAGTGACGATGGTGGTGATGGTGATGATACAGATGGTGGTGAAGGTGATGATGATGAGGGTCATAGGGGAAAACGTTTACAAATACCTAGAACCTAAGTGGTCCCACACTTGATACCCAGTACCTCATTTAGCCCTCACAAATCCCTATGAGGTAGTGGCTTCATTACTCCACTTGTCCAGAGGAGAAACTGAGGCACAAAATGCAAAGTGATCTGCAGCCATACATGGTGAGGGAGGCGCTGGGATCTGAACCGAGGCAGACGGGTCCAGAGTGCGCTTCTCAACACCATGTGGTCCTGCCTGGATCCAGGTCCAGAGAAGAAAAACACGAGCCAGCGGAGGACAAAACGGGGGTGTGTGTTGGGGGCCCAGGTGTGAGCCTGAGCTGGGTGGCAAGACAGGGCTTCCTTCCTGCGTGGGTATCTCACAGTGCCAGGTGTCAGTCTTGCGTAAGGATAGGTCCTTTTTATACCACAGGGGTGCTAAACCCACGGTGGCAGCTCTGGGCACACCTGAGAGCACGTCCCCTGCTTGCTGGGTGATTTAAAACAAGGCCATCCGCACACCACATTCTGGCTTTATAGACTGACTCTGAACCTCACCTATGCATAAGATGCAGCACTGAGGCGCTGCTGTCCCCATTTTACAGCTGGGGAAACTGAATCTCAGAGAGAGCAACTGCTGGCTGAAGGCAGAATTGGGGCCGGAAGCTGAATGTGACCCACCCTGAAGGCCCCTTCAGCAGCCCAGCCTTGGCTCCCAGCTGTGAGACCTTGGCCAAGTTACTTCTGCGCCTCGGTTTCCTCTGATGTAACACACACAGTTGCATCCCTGTGTGACAGCGAATGAGATGACACAGACACAGCACACAGGACGGTTCCGGCCACGCGGTCAGGGCACCGTCCTGTGGCTCCATTCCATATCTCCTTCCACAATCTGCCCCATCCATGGTGGGCACACTCATCACCCAGAGACCCCCTTCATTCTCTCTTGGGCCCTCACACCCAGAGAGAACTGACCCCGGGGGGCACACCCAAAGCCCCCCACCAAGGCGTCACTGGATCTGGGCCTGCAGGCACAGATGTCTGGGTGGCCGGGGATGGCGGGGCCGTGGCAGCAGCCTCTGCAGGGCAGTGATAGCCTGGCTGGCGCTGGCCGGCTGTGCCCAGTTCCAGCCGACGCGCCTGTCAGGGCATCTCGGGCCAGGAGCCGTGTCCCTGGTGCCCGGCTTGGGGCCGGCAGCAGGAAGCGACGGGGAGGCAGAGCCCCTGACAAAGCACACATCCTCTGTGAGCAGAGATAAACCTTGGAGGGGAGAGGGGCGCTCCATCAGCCCTGCCAGGCGCCACACACTGACGGGGCACACGCAAGGCCTTTCGCGACCACGCGGCTCCGCTTGTCGTTCTTCACGGCGGAGCCTGCTTTATCTCCCGCACAGCATGTGAGGCCATGAGGCGGACACTGGCTCCGTGCACGGGGCTCCCTTAGAAAATATTAATATGTAAATGTCACTCTCCGAAGACCAGAAATGAAATGGAATGACCGACTGCAAGATGCTCTGCTGGTGAGATAAAACGAGAAAAGAAAAGGAGAAAAGGCTGCCGGGGCTGGAGGTGGTGGCGAATGCTGAGCTTAGGCAGGCGGGGGGAGGGGAGCGTGGGATTCAGGGGCCGGTTGGTGGGGAGCAGGCAGCCACTTCCACTCTCTCCAGGCAAACCGCTTCAGCACAAGGCCTGAGAGCAGGTGGAAGCTTCTGGGCTGAGGCCCCAGTGTCTTCACCCCATCACAAGATCACACATACGGGCACTAATGTGTTACTGTCTCCAGGAGTCTGCTGGAAGCTTTTTATGTGCAGAACTCACTTGGTCACTGGCAGCTCTATTGCCCCATTTCACAGATGAGAAAGCTGTGGCACGGGGAGGTTAAGCAGCAGGACCAAGGACACATGGCTGTGCTAGAACCTAGGCCCCTGCGTGTGTCCTCAGGTAACCCATCTCCTCCCGCCTCCCACAGAGACACCAGGAGGGACCCATCTGATGGTCCCTGTGTGCTGTCGAACCCTAGGCTGCCTTCATCTCCCCAGCGAGGGGGGACACAGCCTGCCCACAACGAAGGCAGAAGCCCCCACCCACCAGGAACATCCAGAACCAAGACATGGCCGGGCGCGGTGGCTCACGCCTGTGATGCCAGCACTTTGGGAGGCCGAGATGGCTGGATCATGAGATCAGGAGATCGAGACCGTCCTGGCTAACACGGTGAAACCCCGTCTCTACTAAAAATACAAAAAATTAGCCGGGCGTGGTGACAGGCGCCTGTAGTCCCAGCTACTCGGGAGGCTGAGGCAGGAGAATGGCGTGAACCCGGGAGGCGGAGCTTGCAGTAAGTGGAGATCACGCCACTGCACTCCAGCCTGGGCGATAGAGCGAGACTCCGTCTCAAAAAAAAAAAAAAAAAGAACCAAGACACATCCCTGCCCCAAGCTGCACCCCATGGTTAGTAGGTTAGTAGGTAACGCTACGAATACCACCTGGCTCCTCAAATCAAGGTGGAAAAAATGGCAGGGGGGCCTTAGAAAGAATCCAGCCCACCTCCTGGCCCTCTAATGTTACAGCTGAGGAAACTGAGTCTCGGGTAATTTCTTAAATCTTTTTTTTTTTTTTTTTTTTGAGACAGGGTCTCCTCTGTTGCCTTGTAGAGTGAGGGCAATGGTGCCATCATGTCTCAGTGCAAACTCGACCTCCTGGGCTCAAGAGATCCTCCAAGCCTGGCTAATTTTTTTTTTTTTTTTTTTTTTTGTAGAGATGGGGGTCTCTCTATGCAGCCCAGGCTGATCTCCAGGGAATATTTAATCATTGTTGAAATATCCACCACCCCGGGCCACACCACACTCCAACATTCCCGCCCACCGCCCCCTTGAACTCTGGTGAGTGGGTGCCGGCTCTGTCTCCCAGTCACAGTCACAAGGTCACAGGTAGAGCAGCAGCCTGCCCAAGGTCCTGAGATCACAGGTGCTGGCACCAGATCACAGCCCAGCTCCGCCCCCTTCCCCAGGCCTCCCAGGAGTGAGTACTCCAGGGGTCTGGTCCCTGTGAGGCTCACGTGACACAATCTGTCCCCAGCAGGGACCACAGACTTAGCTCTGGGGAAGCTCTGTCAAGAGGGAAGACTGGAGTGAAGACCAGGGATGCCACTACCCCCAGGCCTCCTTTCCCAGCCTCGGCTGCTGCCAGGCACTGGCATTTTATTCCTCCTCCTGCCATCTCCTCTCTGCCCTTTCCCCTGCTTGCCCCCTGCCCAACGTGTGCGGTGCTGTGACAGCAGAGTGGAGTCCCAGGCTCCGGGTGGGAACAGCCACTGGCCAGAGCCGGTGGGGAAAGGCAGGCTTAAGGCCTTGGCAGAAGAGGCAGGAGGGGACCGGCTTTCTTCCCCCGTGTTTCTGGGGTGCTTAAAGGGCTCTGTCCACATGTGCTGGGGGCCACTGAAGAGCAGGTTCCAATGTGTTTCCACCCCACCCCATCCTAGCCTCAGACCTCAGGTCTGCACAGCCCAGCTGCAGGGTGCCCTGGAAGGCATCAGGGACATTTCCAACTCCAGCCCCCGCCCTCCACGCCCCCCGACCTGTTCAGGCGATCTCCCCCCACACAGAAAACTGCCTGGCCCAGTCTGGGCCCCTGGCGCCCCAGGGTCCTCAGAGGACACAGGCCAGGCTAAGACCAGCCTCTGGCCCTTCTTTCTGAGCTCCTGCCTTCCCCCACGTCCCTCCGCCCACCCGCTGCCAGATCTCATCAGCAGACTCTCAGGGTGACCCCAGGCCCCGAAGCTAAAGAAGCAGTTGTGTTTCTTCCTCACCCACTGCCAGCTCGCTACTTAACCCTGCTGAGCACGGAAGCCCCACGGCCCAGGAGGCTGGCAGGAGGAGCCTCAGGAGAGCGTGGGCTGAGACCAGGCCCCTCCTGGCTCCCCGGGCACTGCCTCCGGGCTGGAGTGCAGGACCCTGAGGACGGGGATGGGGGCAGAGGTGAGGCGGGTGCCCGCAGATGGAAACTGTGATTTCAGAAAGCTGGAATGCCGATTGGGAAACATCAGGGCTTGTTTGTCAAAGTGAGGCACACTGGGAGCAGCAAGATTGCCTCCTGGGCTCCCCGGAGGCGGAGCACCCCTGACACGTGTGCACACACATCCATAGGCATGCATTCATACACACACATGCACACACATCCACCCACACAGATATTCACATGTGCCCATGGGTACAACTGCACACACACACAAACATGCATGCACGCTCACATGCACACTCATAGGCAAACACACAAATACATGCCCACACACACGTACGGGCAAACACACGCACATGTGCATGCACACACACATCCCTGCCAAGCCTCTGACTCATCAGCGTGGCCTGCAGCTCCCAGGATCCCTGCAGGGACAGGGAGAGGAGCTATTGGGGGCTCAGGAACCTCCTGCCAAGGCCCTGACCAACCCCCTGGGGCAAGGGGCAGGCAGAGAGCAGGCACTCGGGGCCTGGACGTGTGATCTGGACTTGGGAAACCTCCATCCTGGAATGAGAGGTTTCTGGCAATAGAGGCCCTTCCCAGGGACAATGGGCGCAGAGCCTCTGAGCTCAGCCGCCTGTGTGACAAGCCCAGCAGGGTGAAGAGTGGGGCTGGCCGCCTTCCCGGAGGCCGTGCCAAGCTTCCAGCGGTGTCATTCTCCCAGGCAAGGGGGCTACACAGCCAAGCCCGCCACCTCCAGGCCTGACTGCCCTGTCCCTCCTCCAGAGCCAAGGATGCCCCAGGAGCTGCCCTGGGGTGGGGGGGGGGACTCGAGAGCATGCGGGCATCCTGGGGGCAGGACTCAGAGGGTGCAAAGGATGGGGGGGTGGTGTCCCACGAAGGAGGAAATGCAGGCAGCAGTGCAGAGGTGTTTCCAGGGAAGGCCTGGGGGTTCCTGGCCCTTCTCCCCTGAATCTCAACTGGAGGGAGAGGAAGAGCACAGAGGGAGAGGGGAAGAGAGAAACCGGGGAGGGGAGAGGGGAGACAGAAGAGGAGGAAGAGAGGGGAGGGGGGAAGATAAGAGGAGAAAGAGAGCAGGGGAAGAGGGCTGGGTGGGCAAGGGGTTCTTCCAGAAGGAGGCAGGGAGAGTGATCAGCCCTGACCTCTGCACCCAAGGGAGACTCCCTCTTTCTTCAGCCTGGAATCACCCGGGGAGCCTGGGGTCTTTTGTTTTCTTTAGGAGGCCCCAGGGATTCCAGTGTGGAGGGGTCTCAACAGGAGGATCCCACATAGCAGCAGTACCACCTGGGAGCAGAAATGCAGATGCAGATCCCGGGGCCCTGACCCAGAGTATCAGACACCGCGGTGGGGTCCCGATTTCTGCATTGTACACGTGCCCTGCCCCGGGGGGATTCTGATGTTTGAAGGAATGTGGGACCCCCCCTCCCCGGTCTGCAGTGTGCACCGGGGGTGGGGGGCTCCAAGAGCAGCCCTTTCTCAGGAGCAGGACAGGGAAGGAGTGGCCCAGGGGCCTTGCACCAGGCAGGAGGTACAGGGCCCAGGAGAGCTGTGGAGATTCAGGCGGGATTCCTTCTGCTTCCTGGAGGAGGAGGGTGAGGCCTGGAGGCAGCAGATTCCCCCAAGTCCTTCTAGAAGCTGGACAGACAAAGAAGGGGCTGGCCCAGTGAAGCCTGGGAATGTGTTTTGAGGTTGAGGAGCAGCAGAGGGGGAAGAGAAGAGAGGACGTTGGGTGCGTGAGCGGTGAGGGGGGTAGCCTGCAGGAGCCCCCCACAGTGGGGACGGCTAGTGCTTCTAGGCACTGTTTCAACCACTGTGGGAAGCTGTTCTTCCCACAATACTCAGGAGCAAATGGGGGCACAGAGACGGTAGGGCAGTGGCCTTAGGTCACCCAGCTGCAAAGTGGCTGAGCTGGGAGAGGAGGAACCAGATAGGCTAGAGTCCGGGTTCATGCTCCCAGCTGCCATCTCTGAGCCGGGAGGGAAAACCCAGGCGGGCTGGAGTCTGGGTTCATGCTCCCAGCTGCCATCTCTGAGCCGGGAGAGGGAGAGGCAGGACACAGAGGCAGCAGGAGTCAGGTGTGGCTGGGGGGTCCCTGCTGGGCCAGGTGAGGAGCTCCCCAGATGGGCTGATGGACCACAGAGCAGAGTGATGGAGACGCCCACAGGGCTCAAAACTCAGGCTGTGGGTCCCGAGAAAGCAGACAGCGGCAAGCGTACAGGACTGTTTTCAGGGATTCCAGAGCTCCCCATGGCAGCTGGGGTTTAGGGTCAGATAAAGTGTGGTGGGCAGAACACCATGGTTGTAGCTAGCCCTTCCAACTCTCTCAAGGCCTTGTCTGGTGATGCACCGCTGCCCAGCTGTCCCTGTGAGTCAGCAGGCCGGAAATACACAGGCAAGATTGGGGTCCCCCTATACCCGACCCTCTCGGACCTGCGATTAAATTAGCTTCTGTCTCCACCAACATCACTGGCTAATCAGCCCCCACCGCTCCCGTTCCCTGGGTGATGGGAGCGCTTTGATATCGGAGTGGACTCTAATGCGTGTGGTGTGAGGGACCCTTAATTTATTACGTGCCTGTAATTGATGTTTATATAAAGTAGCTCTTACAGCTACTCAAAGTAGGAGATGAAAAGCAATCAATCAGCCATTTGCCTCAGAAGAGAGGGAAGAAAACACCACACATATCAAAAGCAGTCCCCGAAAAAATCTTGGGGAAGGGGCAGGATTAGCCCGTGAGCACTTTGAAGCGTGGGGTTCCCATCAGGCAGACGGATGGCACAGCCAGGATTTGGGGAGTAGCACAGGCTGTCCTGGCTCGCAGAAGCACGGCGAGTGTGGAGTCCCTTCTGGAGAACCCAGGCCTCGCTGCAAGACGCTGTCCTGGGGCCCGACAGCTGTCCTGGGTGCCTGGCTGGTCCTGCTACCTACTCTAACTGCTTCACAGCCACCTGCTGTGTTCCCTCTGGGTCACAGCTGCGGTGAATACTGCCTGGGTCCAGGCTTGGCGTTGAGGGGGCTCTGCTGAGAGGATGACCCCAGGGCCACACCCCTGCCTCACAGCCAGGGTTTAATAATGCCCATGGTGGGCCCAGCCAGGCTGTGGACTCGCAGAACAGTGCTCCTTACACCTTGTGCAAATTCTCTCTCCTCTGCTCCCACCCACACATTGCATCCAGCCCCCGGACCCTCACAACACTGCGATGCACCTCCCTCCACTCCTGCGTGGAGACCCTGACTACAGAGCAGTGGGAGAGGCTGGGGATCGAGCCCTCCAAGCAGCCTGCAGGGGTCTCTGCCCTGCAGTGGCTTAAAACAACAGAATAGCTTCTCTCACAGATCTGGAGGCCAAAAGTTGGACATCAGTAGCACTGGGCTGAAATCAAGGCAGAGGCAGGGCCCTGCTCCCTCTGGAGGCTCTAGGGAGGCTCCTTCCTGCCTCTTCCAGCTCCTGGAGTTCCAGGTGTTCCTTGGCTTGTGGCTGCATCACTCCAGCCCCTGCGTGTCTCAAATCTCCCTCTGCCTGTCTCTTCTGAAGACACTTGAGATTGCATTTAGGCCACCTGGATACCCCAGGACAATCCCATCTCCAAATCCTTAACATAATCCCCTCTGCAAAACCCCTTTTCCAAATAAGTTCACATACACAGGTTCAGGGCATCAGGACCTGGGCATCATTTGCCAGGCCATCTTTTTTTTTTTTTTTTTGAGATGGAGTTTTGCTCTTGTTGCCCAGGCTGGAGTGCAATGGCACAATCTCGACTCACTGCAACCTCCGCCTCCTGGGTTCAAGCGATTCTCCTGCCTCAGCCTCCCGAGTAGCTGGGATTACAGCCATGCACTACCATGCCCGGCTGATTTTTTGTATTTTTAGTAGAGACAGGGTTTCTCCATGTTGGTCGGGCTGGTCTCGAACTCCTGATCTCAGGTGATCCACCCGCCTTGGCCTCCCAAAGTGCTGGGATTACAGGCGTGAGCCACTGAACCCAGCCTGGAGGGGGGAGGCATTTTTCAGCCTACCACACATAGAAAGGGAAAAGCCTTCCAGGTTCTTGCTTCTCTGAGTCCAGCTCAGATGGCCACAGAAAGCCAGGCACTTGGTCAGCACCTCTTCCATCCGTCTAATGTTCACTGAGTGCCAGGCACTGTTCTGGGCACTGAGGACATAGGAGTGAAGAAACAAGAGCGCAGCCCTTGTCTTCATGGAGCTTTACGGGTACGTGCTATTAAAGAGCAACGCATGCAAGTGGAAAAATAAAGCCAGAGAGGAACGGGGTGCTTTTTGACCCAGTTTTTGACAGAGTGGTCAAGGTTGGCTGCTTTTGGATAAAGGAGGAGCCGGGAGCATGAGCTTGTGCAGACCTGGGAACAGCGCTTCAGGGAAAGGGAACGGCAGGTGCAGAGGCCCTGAGGCTGGAGCCATGAGGCCTGTGAGGCAGGAGTAGGGCACATGGTGCAGGGAGCAGGTTGAGCAGGAGGCCTGCAGGGGTCGCGGGGGGCTCTGGGGTTCCAGGGGCAACTCTGACTTTCACTCTTCATGCATGGGAGCCGTGGGAGGGTTCCTACAACAAGGCCAAAGCTACGTGCACCCACACTTGGGGGGCAGCCTCCCTAAAAAGGCTGGGTTCCCCCTCCCTTCCAGTGTTTTCCAGCAGAGAGCCTCAGAAACAGCCCCGGCCCCTGCTGAGGTACCAAGCCCAGGGCCTGTTCTCACACACACAGCTGCAGGCACAAAGCAAGGCTGCCAGGTGTGCCCCCGCCAAGGCGGGTGCACGCAGGCCACACCGACACACACACACTGACACACACACACACAGACACACACACACGCACGCTCGGGCCCTGGTCCTGGGCTGCGGGGAAGCGGTGGGTGAGCCCAGGGGATGCTGGAGTACAGCCCCATTAAGAATTTATCAGCCCAGAGGGAAGGAGTCTTTCGTGCTGGGCCTCACACAGTGGGGTCCTCGTGGCAGCAAAACTTTGCTTCTGGGAATAAAATGGAAATTCAGCCCCCAGAGTATAATGAAAAGCCGGCTCACAAAGCACTTTCTTTCTGAGCAGCTGAGCGGCCCCCTAATGATGGGAGAGCCGAGGGGCAGGCAGGGAGCCCTGAGGGCTCCAGGGCGGGTACATCTGATGGTGGCGGCATGGGGGTGCTTGGCCCCCGGGGCCCCACCTGCTCAGCGCGGCTTGGCCTAATAAAGCCTCTCTCTTTGGAGTCACATTCAATGCGGTTCCAACAGGGAGCCATACGTCACCAAATCCGGCAAAAATTTGTGCTAAATTGAATCAATCCATCTTGGAAATGGCTCTTGTCAGCTTCTGTCAGAGGAACCGTCTGCAGGGGACGAAGGGATCAGGACGTGGGGGCTGGGGGGGTCTCCTATCCCTTCCAAACACCTCCAAGGTTCCTGCAGTCTCTGACAGAGGCGAGGAAGGGACTCACACACACACATTTACCCTCACGAATGTGGCTCATGGCACACAGTCAGGGAGAAGGCAGGCAGCCGAGGTGTGCCGTGAACAGCACACACGTCTCCCACCCGGCATGGCCATTCGGCTCTTGTTCCCCACGCTGGCCTTCAGGGCCAGCATACATCCTCAGATGGAGCCTCCTGGCCTTTCCATTCAACGTCACTCCACAGTCATCAGGCACCCGCAAAGCACCAGGCAAGCTGATGACAGCGAGGGCCAGGGGTCGCTGGCCAAACGGAGCTCGGACCCTCCAGGTGGGTGACCAAGGACGATGACCCCTTCGTACTCTGGAGCTGGCTGGGAGGGCCTTGGCCTTGGCCTCCTCGTATCTGTACCTGGAGCTGGGGGCTCCTGAGATGAACAGGACACCAGATGGGAGCCAGCCACTCCCCCATTGTTCTGAGGAGAAACTTAGTGAGACTCAGGCAGCCTCTGAAGACCGCAGCCCCGGTCCCCCACCAACACTGCCTTCCCACGACCAGGACTCTTGTTACCGCCGCCCAAAGCTGTCCCTGGCATGGATCCAACCCTTCCTGCCCCCTTGCGTCCACGTGCACCCACACATACCCACACGCCCATCAGGTGGGCAGGCCACTTTCTCCGTCACACGATAACCCCGCTCTGCCCGGCCTTCCAGCCTTTGTCCGTGTCTCGCCCCTCACCAGGTGAGCGTTTCTTCTCTACAGAGGCCACCTGGATCCCTCCTCTTCCTCAGGTCCTGGTTCAAGTCCCTCTCCCTGCTGTTCCCACCTTTGCCCAGCCCTACCAGACATATCCACTGTGACCCAGCCAGCCAGTCGCCAGTGACCAGCAGCGCTGTTGTCCAACGAACCATGTGTGCCTGCCCAGTGCACATACGCTGAGGGGGAAAGACCCTGACACACACGTTTGTACATCCCCCAGGACCTGACACCAGGCTGGGCACACAGTTACGAACCTTTCTCCTGGATGTGAAGTTCAAGGACCCCAGTTCAGGTAAAAGACAAAGCGTGATTAGCTTCCTGCTAATTTCAGTCTCTACAGAAAAACAGACCAGCACACCAGTCTCCACCAGCATACTGAGCACAAGCAGCAGCCTCCCCTCCGAGGCTGTATCTGGGTAACTATTGCCACGTGTCCACGAGGCACCTCCCCGAGGATGTTTTAGAGGCCGCGGGCCCTGCCCTGACACCCATCCAGGCCACAGCTGAGGGGGTGGACGGCTGGAGGCCCAGGCTGAAGCTCAACCACCTCTCACCCATGCAGGCAGCCCCTCCTGGCTCCCTACCCTCCATGGCGTGTGCTCCTCCTGGAGCTGCTGGCTTCTCCTCCATCCTGTCCCAACTCACCTCTCGCCCCTGGTGGTGTGGAAACAGAGCAGGGGCTAGGTAGAAGCTACCTGCGTATGTCACTCTGGAACATCACCTGTTCCGAAAAATAAGTGAGGGAGGCCGGGCGTGGTGGCTCCTGCCTGTAATCCCAGCACTTTGGGAGGCCGAAGCGGGTGGATCACCTGAGGTCAGGAGTTGCAGACCAGCCTGGCCAACATGGTGAAACCCCATCTCTACTAAAAACACAAAAATTAGCTGGGCGTGGTGACGCATGCCTGTAATCCCAGCTACTCGGGAGGCTGAGACATGAGAATCACTTGAACCCGAGGACGGACATTGCAGTGAGCCGAGATCGAGTCACTCCACCCCAGCCTGAGCGACACAGCAAGACTCCATCTCAAAAGACAAAAAAATAAGTGACGGAGTTAGAAGTCGGGGCACTGGCCACCTCGGCAGGGGGCCACAGGGGGCTTCTGGGGGACTGGGCACACTCTTTGTCATGCAGGGGCCCATTACATGGTGAGCTCAGCCCATAGAAACACACGAGGCGTGTGCTCGCAACTCTTCTGATGAATATGACGCATCCATTTCAAATTGAAAAAGAGGGAAAATGACACCTATTATAGGCTGATTTGTGTCCTGCGAAAATTGACACGCTGACATCCCAGCCCCCGGGCCTCAGAATGTGACTGTATTTGGAGACAGAGCCTTTGGAGAGGTGATTAAGGTCAAATGAGGTCACCCGGGTGGCCCTAATCCAATAGGACTGGTGTCCCCATAAGAAGAAGAGGTGTGGACACAGACCTGCACCCAGAGGGAACACGGCGTTCACACACCAAGGCGAGGGGCCCCAGAGGAAAGCAACCCTGCTCACACCTTGACTTCAGGCTCCTGGCCTCCAGAACTGCAAGGAAATGGATTTCTATTGTTCAAGCCAGAGTGTGGCATTTTGCCATGGCAGCCCCAACAGAAGAATGCAGCACCCACTGGGCAAGGGCGAGTAACCCTGCGGTCCCAAATGGGAATCCCAGCCTTCTGGGCTGCCCTCCCCACCCCGGCCCAGGAGCCTGGGTGAGGCCAGAGGAAGAGAGAGACGAGTGGGGTTTGGCCTTGTGGGGTCGCCTACCACAGCCCCCCGCTCAGTTTCCAAACCGGATACCACGTAAGCAGAATGCCGAGGACGGAGCTCTGCAGAGGGATTTATGAGCAGACAGAGAAGACAAAAGCAATCTCGCTTGACACAAATCTAGATGAATACATGGATAGGAAACCCACAGACTGGCAAATTAAAACGTGGTTCAGGGCCGGCGAGCGTCGACGACGCCCGCTGATGGATCTTCTCAGCCACACAGCCACGCCAACCAAATATGTCACCACGACATGCTCGGGAGAAACCGCAACCCCACACGGTTACCCCAGGAGGGAGGCAGAGCCACTGGTCGGCATACCACAGGCCACCAAGGCTACGGACTCCAAGCTTGCGGGGTGGCGTGCATGCAACTATGGACCATGCCTTGGAAGGAGGGGGCTGTCGGGGCCTCCCTGGCTCAACAGGGGAGGGTGGCTGAGCGATTGCTGGGTTGCTGGCACTGTCCCCTCACTAAGCTATAAGGTTTGGGGGAACAAAGGCTTCGTCTGCTATGATCACTTCCCCCAGCAAGTAGCAGGAGCTCACGGATCGGCTGATGAATGAATGAATGAATGAATGAATGACAGTGGCTGGCACAGGGCTAATCGACGTTAGCAGTTGTTATGATTACGGCGCTGCCCCCACCTCCCCAGGTTGAAATGCATTGAAATCACACCCCCTCTACATATAAGAAAACACCCGACCCATGAGAGTGCGTTTTCCCCTACCTGGGCCAACCTCCTCTTCCATCCTCAAAACACGCCTTCTGCACTAGCCACTCCAGAAGCTCCCCTGATCGTCAGCGGGCCCTGCTCTTCTGGCTCCTTCTTCGCTTGTCTTGCCCCCTTTTCCTGGAAGAACCCTTCCCTCCCTCCCTGGTGGACCCACCAGATCCCTCAGGGCTACGCTTGGACGCCATCCATCAGCTGAGCCTTCCCCACGTGCCTGCTCCTCCCCACCCCCACATACAGCCAAGCCATCCATACGGTAGCCACATGTGGCTATTTACATTTAAATTATTGAAATAAAATCAAAGGAAAAATTCAGTTCCTGGGCCTCACGGACCACATTCCAAATGCTGGAGAGCCACATGTGGCTGGCGGTGACCGTCAGGGACGCACCACACACAGGACATTGCTCCATGGATGCAGGAAGTTCCGCTGGCCAGAGCTACCATAGGAAGCTCTGCTGCACAACTGCACACAATAGCTGGTGTCTGCAGGTCACCTCCCCGGGGGTGGGTGCCTGGTTCGACTCACTGTGGAGTCCCTCTTGGAACGCGCCATTCAGGAGGCACTCCAAACCTGCACACAAACTGGAGATGTTTAGGGTGGCACCAGGTCTTTTTTTTTTTTTTGGAGACAGGGTCTCCCCCAGGCTGGAATGCAGTGGTGCAGTCACAGGTCACTACAGCCTTGACCTCCTGGGCTCATCCTCCCAAGTGGCTTGCACCACGATGCTCAGCTAGTTTATTTTTATTTTTTATAGAGATGGGGGTCTCCCTATGTTGCCCAAGCTGGTCTTGAACTCCTGGCCTCAGCCTCCCAAAGTGCTGGGGTTGCAGGTGTGAGTTACCGCACCCGGCCTACCTTTTGTTCTTAATTCCAGGGAGGCAGAGTTTCCAGAAGATTCTGTGATCATGATCACAATCATGTATTAGGGGTGTCTATACACGCCAGACCCTGAGCATGTGCCCCCCGCCGGCACTCCCAACTTCACCCTGTAATGTCCTATTTCACAGCGATGGACACTGATGCCCACACAGGTGGCACAGCTGGCACTGGAATGGTGGGTCTGACACCACAGCGGCACCTTCAAATCATGCTCTCAGGGCCTGGGCTCTATTTTGAATTCTTTGTAAGATAGGTAAGGACCATCTTCTGTGACCCTCCCCAGCCCCCAGGCAGAGTGACAGGCACCATCACAGTCCCAGGAGCACTCGCTGTGACTGATGTGGGCATGTGTGGAAGGCCTCCCGGGTGGGACTCCCACGTGCATGGGAGGTTGGGGCTGGAAGTGGTCTCGGGTGTCCCTGATCGCATGGCAGGCCCTGAAAAGTGAGGGAAAGGCCTCAGGTGACATGAACATCAGCAGATGCAGCTCATCACCCTATCACCCTGCTCTTGGGGCACCTCCCACCCACAGCACCATCCTCCCCTGGGCGCCAGAGAGTCCATCCCTAGGCACACGACAGGGCCAGGCCCAACATTGAACAAACCAGGATCCAAACCGGAAAAGGAGAAGGCAAATTTGGCCTAAGTGAGGGATGGGAGTGCTGGGTCACGTGGGGCTGTGTGTGCGTGCACATGTGTGTGCACATGTGATGCTGACGAGGAGAATGGTTGGGAACAGAAGGAACTCTCGATGCAGCGACTTCATCGTCATAACTTCCTTTCAGACCTTCATCTTCCTATAAATTATTCATGCACCAACAAGCAAGGCCAAGGACAATGCTCACATAGAGGGGCAGAGCCAAGGCCAGAGCCACCGGCCTGGAGCACCCCCCATCCACCCTAGCTCTGTACCCCCTTGTTCTGGGATATTAAAAATTCCCAGATGGGTTAAGCCAATTTGAGTCAACGTTTTCTGTAACCTGCAGCCCCAGACATCCCGACAAATAAATTTACTTAATATTTATCTAAATTGGCTCACTTGCCATTTTTTTCCTTAAATTTCTTATTTGTGTTTAAAAATTGTTTTCTTTCATCTCTTTATTTCCCAATTCTAACTATGTGGCAATCACTCACTATTTAACCCAATTGTCCCTGAGCCCAGACCCCAAAGACTCGTCGGCTTCACACTAACCGTATGCTACCTGGAAACACCTTAAAATAGCCATCAGGTGGCTGGTGAGTCAGAAGACACACACGTGTGTGCCCCTGTCACCGCTCTGCGGGCTGCAGCTGTCCTCACACCCAGCTTTGGAAAGCCAGACCTCTGGGTCTCAAAAGATCTTTCCAGATCAGGGCTCCACAATTCTGCCTCTAAGGGGAAAGTGTGTGGCCCGCAGCACGAGTCCAAACCCACCTGCTCACAATAGGCTTTGCAAACCTTCAAGTGCCCATCTTACATCGTGGGCTTTGGGGGTGGCCCTCAGGGACGGTCCACACCCACCCTCCTCAGCCCACTTCACCAAGATTCCCTCTGCTGAGCGGGGTACCTGTTCCACGCAACCTCTCTTCACACATGGACTCCTGCAGAACACTACCAGCTGGTAGGGATCAGCAGTAAACACAGGCCTGGAAGAGAGGTGCGGGCAGCACCGTGGGAGGCAGAGGGCGGGCGGAGGATGGCGCTTTTCTGCAGGGTCGGCAGCCCGGGCTCCGGTGACCACCGCCACACCTGACCCTCCCTCCTAATGAAGGGAGCAAAAAGGATGACCATCTATCTTCCGCACTGCCGGTCCTAATTAAGCGCCGGCGAATTCCCCAGCCTGGCTGCTTTCCGTCCCTGGCATAATATGTTATTTACCTGCAGCTAATGGGTTCACGGGTGATGATAGTCTTGTATCAAATGACGGCCGCTTGGCTTCTGACAGTTTTAAAGACCAGTCTCGGGGACACTACAGTTTCTAATTACAGGGTCTGTCATCGGCGAGGTTTGCTTCGACACTGCCTTTTTCTCCCTCGGGTGACACTTCTGTCCAGATAGGAAATTTAAGTTCAGCCCCGACAGTTAAGGTTAAAAATACTGCTTGGTACAAGGCAAGAGATCATAATTTGGGTCGCTGCGGTGTTTAATTAATTGGACTGCGGCAATCAGAGCTCCGTGGGCCGTAATTACCAGCAGGGCCAGAGGCCCCGCTCCCCTCGCCGTGTCTCACAGCTGTAATTTTGTGGAGGCTCTGACCTGGCTCAGAGCAAGAGGCCCCAGAGTTCTCTCAAGGCCGAGGTCCTTCACTAGGTGGTCATGATTTGTGAGGAGGAGGAGGAGGAGCGGCAGCTGAGGGCAGGTGGAGGCTGGGGAGTTAGGGCAGGAAGGACTGCACCTGCCCACACCCTTCCCTCCTGGGGGCTGCCTCTCCACCAGGTCATTTTGGCAGCTGACCCTCCGTGAGACACCCGTGTGGTGACCCCTGGATGCTGGAGAAAGTCACGGGGAATGGAAATCCTGGCTTCAGCGTCTCACTTAATCCCGTCAGTGGCTCCCACCCACTCTGGCCTCCTGCTGTTCTACCAATGGTCTGGGTGAGCTCAGACCTCAGGGCCTTGGCACTGGCCGTGCCCTCTGCCCGGGGCACCCCTCAATGTCAACAGGGTTTCCTGCCACTGTCTTTCCTCAAATACAAGCTCAGTGTGGTCTCCTCATGGGGCCTTTCCCAGCCTTCTTACCCTCATCGCCCTCCAGCCCTGGACCTTGTCTGTCTCCTCCGATAATCCTCCTCCCGCCACGCATTCTGTCTTCCGTGGGCACCCAGCCCTGGCCTCCTGGAACAGGCAGCTCTTTTTCACCCCCCTGCTTGCTCCTGGTCCCCAGGGCCACTGCTGCTCTCCAGTCCAGGTTGATCTTGTTCAAGTTTCAGAGGATCCCTGGACAAGCCAGAGTAAACGCAGTCCTTCCCGGCTCCACGGACACCAAGATGGCCCTGCCCAGCTCACTCCTTGAACTTGACCCCAGGCTCCCCTGCAGGTCGGCGGTAGCCTTGCCTCTGACCCTGTAGGGTTCCTTCTCCAGCTTCTTTCAGCTCATGATCTCAAGAGCAGAGGCCTCGCAGCCACCATGGCAGACACAGACCAAGAACTCGGACCACCAGGTGGAGGCCTTGGCTCAGGCCTGGCCCAGCGCTGGCTGAGTTCCAGAAGCCCGGTTGCCCTCAGAATCTCACTCACCGGTAATAGCGGGAACTTTGGAACCAGACTGCTCCCTGCTGAGCCTCAGTTTCCCCATTGGTAAAATGGGAGGAGTCCTGCTTCCTCCCTCCTGGGAGCTGTCCTTCTGAGCAGATGAGCTGACGGTGCTCAGGGCGGCACACACAGGGCCATGAACCTGCGCTACCCACGGCGCTACCCACAGCACAGGCTGATCTCCTGGGGAAGCTGCCAGGATCGAACTCCACTGTGCGCACCTAGGTCCTACAACCTCACGCACGAGGTGTCACCAAGGCTCTCTCGGGACGCAGCCCATATGGTCCCCCTGGCTGTCCCAAGCTCAGCTGGGCAGTTCCATCCCATCTCACCCAACCTCCAGCTGCCTTCCCTCAGGCTCAGCGCCTGCAGCCAGCACAGTCCCTTCCCACGGACCCCCATCGAGTGCCCCTGACACCCACTCCCCTCCTCCCGGGATCTTCCTGCAAGAGAGAGCTCTTGGTGGACATCTGGCTCCCCGGCTGAGCCTCCTGTGAGGAGAGCAGCCCCTCCAACCCTGCCCCCCAACAAAATATTCTTAGATGACAGCTCTGCCAGGGCCTGAGGGAAATTCAGAAATAAAATTACTCGTGTGAAGGAGATCCAGTCTGCAACTGTTGTAGAATGAGGGGTGGAGGCAGGGCCCTGTCGGGGCTGGGTTCCCATTCTAAAGCCACACAGCCAAGGGGCAGCCTCTGTGGGCAGCAGCCTGACCCGAGCGGTTCTCACCCAAAAGGGGGTGTTGTGGGCTGAACTGGTACCTCCAAAAGATATGCTGAAGTTTTGGCAAGGCACAGTGGCTCACGCCTGTAATCCTAGCGCTTTGGGAGGCCGAGGTGGGAGGGTTGCCGAGGCCAGGGGTTCGAGACCAGCCTGGGCAACATAGCGAAACCTAGTCTCTGCAAAAAATTTTTAAAAAATTAGCTGGGCATGGTGGCACACGCCTGTAGTCTCAGCTATTTAGGAGGCTGAGGCGGGAGATCGCTTGAACCCAGGAGTTGAAGCTGCAGTGAGCTATGATTTGCATCACTACACTCCAGCCTGGGCAACACAGTAAGACTCCATCCCCTAAAAAAAAAAAAAAAAAAAAAGGTGAAGTCCTAATCCCAGAACCGTGTATGTGACCTTATTTGGAAACAGGATCTTTGCAGATATTAGTTAAGAAGAGGCCATACTTGGCTGGGTGCGGTGGCTCACGCCTGTAATCCCAGCACTTTGGGAGGCCGAGGCAGGTGGATCACGAGGTCAGGAGATTGAGACTATCCTGGCTAACACGGTGAAAGCCCGTCTCTACTAAAAAAGTACAAAAAATTAGCTGGGCGTGGTGGGGGGCGCCTGTAGTCCCAACTGCTCGGGAGGCTGAGGCAGGAGAATGGTGTGCACCCGGGAGGCGGAGCTTGCAGTGAGCCGAGATCGTGCCACTCCAGCCTGGGCAACAGAGTGAGACTCCGTCTCAAAAAAAAAAAAAAAAAAAAAAAAACAGAACAGGCCATACTGGAGTAGGGTGGGCCTTTAATCCCAAGACTGGAGTCTCTAGCAGAAGAGGAAAAGGGACTCAGACACACACACGGAAGACAGCCACGTGCTGACAGAGGCAGAGACTGTGAGGAAGCTGGAAGGGGCGAAGAAGGATCCTCCCTTGGGGCCTTTAGAGGGAGCATGGCTCTGCAGACACCTCGATCTGGGACTTCGGGCCTTTATGACATAAGAGAATACATTTCTGTTGTTTCAAGCCCCCTCTCCATCCCCCGGTTTTGGTACTTTGTGTCTGCAGCCATGGGACACTGATGGGGGGAGGGGGTGAAATGGAGGAGGAAGGGTGACATGGAGAAGAGGGGCAGAGCAGAGCGGCTGGCCGATGCCCTGGCACACCCCACTCGGGTGCCCTCTGCAGCGTGCCCAAATCCATCACTGCCACGACGTGCCTCTCCTCCCAGACCCTTGGTGCGCAGTTCCCATGGAGATCGGGGACCCAGGGGCTGGGGGACAAATGCGCCTGTTTATTAGGAATCGAAGGCTGGGCTGTGCACATGTCAGTGGGGAGCTGCTTTTGAAGTGCCGAGTGATTTATTTTAGCCAATTACTGGTGCACTTCCCCTTCCCCAAGACCACACGTAATTGATTGAAACCTATTGAAAACAAATTAGCCAGCACCAGGATGCAAAGATCTGTTTATCACTTCTCTGGAGGTTTGCAGGAAATCCACGTGAACTACAAAACACGTTCCCATTTGTTTTTCCCTTCCCCAGAATGACAGGAGGAGAAAAAAGAACAAACCTTTTCCAGACTGAGCGGGCCTCGCTCTGCACCTGGCAGCCGGTTATTTTCTAGCTCTTGCAATATTGGGGATGATGATATGGAGGGGGCCCTAATATTCCACAGTACTAACACCACTGCTCCGTGGTGGGGTGTTTAGGGTGGTCTCATGATTTTACTGCAGAAACAAACATCTGCATTCTCCCACTTGTGTGTCTGTTTGCTATGACTTGCTTTCTTACAATAAATTCCCCAGCATGGGATTTCTGGAATCCAAATGAAGAAACGTCTCCATGGGTCTTGCTTCCACTTTTGCCTTTTTGCTTTTCCAAAAAGGTTTTTCCCATGTACGTGATGCTTGGGCTGTAACAGTCTGTCCATTTCACCACAACTGTGCCAGCAACATATGTTATCTTTTTATGTTTGGGGGCTGACCTAGCAGGTATAAAATGGTACTGGAGGGTGGGTTGAAATTTTACCTTTTATGTAAATTTTTAAAAATTATTTTTAATTGCAGTAAAATGCACATAAAATTTGCCATCTTTGCCATTTCTAAGTGCACAGTTCTGGGATATTAAGTACATTCACGCTGAGGTGCATTCTTAAAGACGACTTTCTGCTGGGTGTGGTGGCTCACGCCTGTAATCCCAGTACTTTGGGAGGCTGAGGCGGGCGGATCACAAGGCCAGGAGATCGAGACCATCCTAACACGGTGAAATCCCGTCTCTACTAAAAATACAAAAAATTAGCCGGGCGTGGTGGCGGGTGCCTGTAGTCACAGCTACTTGGGAGGCTGAGGCAGGAGAATGGTGTGAACCTGGGAGGCGGAGCTTGCAGTGAGCCGAGATCACGCCACTGCACTCCGGCCTAGGCGACTGAGTGAGACTCTGTCTCAAAAAAAAAAAAAAAAAAAAAAAAAAAAAAAAAGGTGACTTTCCTGCCTTCTCTCTGACAGCTGGCAGGCGCCCTCTCGCTGATGCCCATCTGGGTTGTCCTTCATGCCGCAGATCCTATGAGCTTCACTGTGCCCAGGCCTTGGCCTCAGAAGCCACTCCCAGGAGTGTCCCAAGTCCTAGAGTCCTACTCATACTCAGGGGATACCAAGGGGCTTCCTCCCCTGCTCAGAACCTGCAGTCTCACTCCTCTGCACTTCCCATCTGGCCTCAACTCCTCCTGGAAAAAGCCCTGCCTTCCACCAAATGCAGGTCCCATGGTGGCCCTAGCCCTGCCCTTCTCCCCACTCTGGCATCAAGCTTCCAATTGCTGGAGCTGGCATCTTCTCTCCCCGGTCTGTGCAATGCCGCTCACGGCCTGTCAGCCCAGGCCAGGTGCAAGTTGCTCTAACCACAATGGCCCTGCCACTCTGCAGGGGGAAGGGTGGCTGGGCCAGACAGCTGTTCCTTCAACTGGAGCCCAAGTGAGGCCTGCCTGTGCCACCCCTGGCCAGCTGCACCACTGCCCAAGCCGAAGAAGGTGAAAGCTCCCAGGCCCTGGGGAACCCCAGACCTCTCCCCTGCGGTCACAGCCACCACTGTGTGCTGTCGTGTGCATACACGTGTGAGTGTGGGGGGTGTCTAGGTTGTAGGTGCGCATGTGTGGATGTGTGTGGTATGTACATATATACACATGTGTTTATATATATGTAAGGTATGCATGGGGTGTATGCGTGAGTCTATATGCATGGATGTCTGTGTACATGCATGTATCTCTGTGTATGTTTGTGTGTCTGTATGCATGTGTGTACACATCTATGCATGTATATGCACATCCGTATGCATGGGTATCTGTGTGTCCGTGTGTGTCTGTGTGTCTGGATGTATGTGCATGTGTGTACATGTCTATGTGTGTATATGTTCATCTGTATGTGTGGGTATCTGTGTGTCCGTGTGTGTCTGTGTGTCTGGATGTATATGCATGTGTATATCTGTGTAGCCATCTATGCATGTGTGTTGGTGGGGAAGGGGACTCACTGAGGACACCCCAGCAGTTCAGTGCCGTGGAAGGATGGGCACAGGCTGGGAGGATCCCAGGAGAGGAATCGCAGCCTGCAGAACAAACGGGGGAGTGTGCACTGTGCTTCCCTCCTCCCGCCAGCTCCACTCTCCTTCATCAGCCAGCACGGCCCTGCCCACACACCCCTCTGGGGCCAGATCCAGGCACCCACCCCACCCCCACCCCACTGAGGTGTGGTGCTCCTGCGGAGCACACAGGCACGGTGGTCAGGGCGTGGGGTCCCTCGTCGCCCGCTCCCCCACCTCCCAGCTGACAGACTTCTGGTAAAAGCGATGTCAGCTCCCCAGGCTTTGGTTTCCCATCTGTAAAAAGGGGATAACAAGAGCGCCACCCTCCCAGGGAGGCTGTGGGGACTAACAGAGTTGCCACGTCAGGTGCTGAGATGGTGCTGGCTGTGGGCCGGGGGTGCAGAAAAGCAGTCTGCCCCACCCCGGGTTCCCCAGTCCCAGACCTTGAAGAAAGTGCTGGTTGTGTCCCCCAAGAAGTTGTGTCCATGTCCCCATCCCAGGACCATGCATAGGACATTATGTAGAGATGGGGTCTTTGTAGATGTGACAAAGGTGTAAGTTCACGCCACACCATACTGCTGCACAGACATAGGAGGCCTGGTCCCTTTCAGCAGTTTGCTGTGAGATGGCAGTTAGGAGAAAAATAGGTTCCCATTAGAAAGAATAACTAAAAATAAGAGCGGGGTGCCTCTCAGGGAACCGTGACCCTGTGCTGGGCACTGGGCTGAAGAATTCACGCACACGACCTTGTCTATCCCAACCATCCCGTGGGCCCCTGGAGGGCTCTACAGCCCCATTCTATAGATGAGGAAACTGAGGCACAGGGCTGAAGCCTCTCACTCCAGGTCCCACATGTGCTAGGATCTGGGAATCCCTGCTGCCACGAGAGTCCCAATGTAAAACGCAGGAGGCAGAGAAGGAGGTCTAACACCAGAGGTGCGCCCACCCACTCCGCCTTCAGGAGACCCAGCAGCTTCAGTGGGACCAGAAAGGCCCAGATCAGGGCCAGGCATGGTGGCTCACGCCTGTAATCCCAGCACTTTGGGAGGCTGAGGCGGGTGGATCACCTGAGGTCAGGAGTTCAAGACCAGCCTGGCCAACATGGCGAAACCCTGTTTCTACTAAAAATACAAAACTTAGCGGGGCGTGGTGGCACGTGCCTGTGATCCCAGCTACTCGGGAGGCTGAGGCAGGAGAATCGCTTGAACCTGGGAGGCAGAGGTTGCAATGAGCCGAGATAGAGCCACTGCACTCCAGCCTGGATGACAGAGTGAGACTCCATTTCAAGAAAAAAAAAACAACAAAGACCCAGACCAAAAGGGGGCACGTGGAAACCCTCCTGCCACAGGGGCTGCCCTGAGCCCCAAACGGGCCAGTGACAGGAGCAGGTGAGGGGCACTTTACAGCCCTGCCTGTCCTGGGTCCCTGGCAACAGCATCTCTCTGCTCCTGCCCCTCCCTCTCGTGCACCCCCGACCATCACTCACACCCTCCAAGGAACCCGGCCTCGAATCCTGTTTTGAATCTTCCTGAGCGCTCTCTATATGTCGTGACAGCATGGTCCCAGCTCCCTGCAAACAAGTCAGTTTCTCCCCAATTCCACTTCTGCCCTCAGCCTGCAAAAGCTGCCAGCGGTGGGTGGGTCGGCCCCCCTGCCCACAGCTGGCCTGGCTGCCACTCCGCAGACACGCCGCACCGAGGCCACCCGGGCTGCCCGCCTCGCCAGCACCCTTTGCTGGTCTCCCGGGCACAGTAATGGTTCCCTCTCTGGAAGCTTCCACTCAGTGCTTATCGCTCTGCTCTCTGTGAATCTCGTTTTCAACACTGTTGGGTCCCAGCGGTGCTCGGCGTCAGCCATGCAAACGCCATCGCTCACGCAGCATAAACCTGTTGTAACCATCCCGGTCGGGCCCGCGAGGGGCGGCCCATCGCTCATCCCTGACGACGGCCTTGGAGGCACGGGGTGGCGGGAGATGGATGGTTCTGGGAATTGCCATTGGCTGCAAAGTGGGCACCTCTCACCTCTGGGGAGCGAGGTCAAGTCACTGTCACCGCAGGCTCGGGCCCTGGGGAAATGAAGCCGGAGACCCTGCTCCGAGCTGTGCCCCCATACAGAGTGCTCGGATGGATTCTGCACCCGGGATCCAGCTCTGGCTTGCAGAACAATCGATTCCCGAGGTTCCCTGTGACGCTCTGAGGCAGGTCCCCCCGCGGCTTTTGACAAATGAGGAGTCTGAGACCGAGGGATGCTCGATGAATCACCCCAGGTCTCCAGGCTCTGGCATCCTTTCTATCAGGACAAGCTGCTCTGGCAGGCCTCAAACTCAGCCTCCCCACCTCCAGCCTCCTGGAGGCCTTGATTAGGCCTTAACTGCCCTGGCAGGGGTTTAAAATGTCCCCAGCATGGCTGGGCGTAGTGGCTCATGCCTGTAATCCCAGCACTTTGGGAGGCCAAGGTGGGCAGATCACCTGAGGCCAGGAGTTTTGAGACCAGCCTGGCCAACACAGTGAAACCCCATCTCTACTAAAAATTTTTTTTAAAAAATTAGCTAGACGTGGTAGTGCGCACCTGTAATCCCAGCTTATTGAGAGGCGTAAGAATTGCTTGAACCCTGGAGGTAGAGGCTGCAGGGAGCTGAGATCCCACCACTGCACCCCAGCCTGGGCCCGACAGAGTAAGACTCTGTCTCAAATAAAATAAAACATAAATGAATAAATAAATACACAAATAAATAAATAAATAAATAAATAAATAAATAAATAAATAAATAAAATGTTCCCAGCATGTTCTCATCTGAGCTTCAAACCCAGCAAGACAGTATCGGCCTTTGTCGGTGTCCTGAGCAACCTAGCAGGGCTCACGCTGCCGCTACCGAACCACAGGCCGGGACTCCCACTCCAGTGCTCCCTCCTCGCCCCCACACCACCCTTTGCCTCAGAAAACATTACGGGCAGGGTCTTCCAAACTAGCTTGACTTGGGGTCAGTATTTTCAGGGACCCCAACCTTGGCTTTCGGGGAACAGGCCCAGCCATCCTGAGCTTTTCTCTCCCTTTCTCCCCTCCTCCCGAAGGACAAAGAACACTAGAATAACCACACGTTAAATAATTTAGTGCTGGAAACAGCCCAGCATGATCATAGCCCATAGGAAGGCTACCAGCCTGACCTAGAAACTCCTGGGCCGGGCCGGACCCAGCAGGGCTCTGCCCCTGTGCCCAGTGGTTGACCTCTCCACAGCCCACCTGTTTCCAAGCAGCAGGAGTCCGATGCAGAAAGCCTGCACCGGCAGAGGCAGGGGACAGGGCCCGGCACCTCCTTTCTGTGTGGGGGCTGCCACAGAGGCACCTCGCCCTTCTGGGCTTGGCTTCCTCATCAGAAGAACAGGGGGTCACACTTGGTGAGCTGTAAAGCCCCTTCTAGCTCCTGAGTCTGCACTAGATTTAATAGAGTTCCCCCCAAATTTATATCCACCCAGAATCTCAGAATGTGACCTTATTTGGGGCCAGGTGTAGTTGCTCATACCTGCAGTCCCAGCACTTTGGGAGGCCAAGGAGGGAGGGTTGCTTGAGTCCAGGAGTTTGAGACCAGTTTGGGCAACATGGCAAAACCCTCTCTCTACAAAAATACAAAAAATTAGCTGGGCGTGGTGGGGCATGCCTGGAAGTGGAGGCTGCAGTGAGCTGGGATTGCACCACTGAACTCCAGCCTGGGCAACAGAGTGAGACCCTGTCTTGGAAAAAAAAAAAAAAAGGTGACCTTATTTGGAAATGGGATCTTTGCAGATGTTATTAGTTACTAAGGATAAGGTCATTTTGGAATAGGGTGGGCCCCAAGTCCAACATGACTGGGGTCCTTACAAGAAGACACTCAAAGCCAGAGGAAGAGACTGTAGTGAAGCGGCCACAAGCCAAAGGTCACCAGGAGCCACCAGAAGCCACCAGAAGTTGGGAGGCGCAGGGAAACTATTCCCCTAGAGCCTGCACAGGGAGCACGGCCCTGCTGATGCCTTGACTTCAGACTTGTGGCCTCCAGAACTGGGAGAGAATATGCTTCTGTTGTTATAAGCCCCTCTGTTCGGGGTAAGTTCTTAATGGCAGCTTTAGGGAACGAATACACTGACTTTTTTGTTTGAGACAGAGTCTTACTTTATCGCCCAGGCGGGAGTGCAATGTTGTGACTGTAGCCTCAAACTCCTGGGCCCAAGCGATCCTCCCACCTCAGCCTCCCAAGGTAGCTGGGACTACAGGCAACCACTACCATGTCAAGCTAATTTTTTTTTTCTTTTTGTAGAGACAAGGTCTCACTTATATTGCGCAGGCTGGTTTTGAACTCCTGAGCTCAAGCGAGGAGCTCCCAAGTAGCTGGGACTACAGATGTGTACCACCACAGCTGGCTTTTTTTTTTTTTTTTTTTGAGACGGAGTCTCACTCTCGTTGCCCAGGCTAGAGTGCAATGGCATGATCTCGGCTTACCACAACCTCTACCTCCCGGGTTCAAGCGATTCTCCACCTCCACCTCCGCCTCCCGGGTTCAAGCGATTCTCCTGCCTCAGCCTCCCAAGTAGCTGGGATGACAGGCATGTGCCACCACGCCCGGCTAATTTTGAATTTTTAGTAGAGACGGGGTTTCTCCATGTTGGTCAGGCTGGTCTTGAACTCCCGACCTCAGGAGATCCGCCTGCCTCGGCCTCCCAAAGTGCTGGGATTACAGGTGTGAGCCACTGTGCCCGGCCACAGCTGGCTAATATAATTTTTTGTAAAGATGGGGTTTGCCTCTGTTGGCCATGCTGGAGTACAGCAGTGTGATCATAGTTTACTGCAGCCTCCAACTCCTGGACTCAAGCAATCCTCCTGCCTTGGCCTCCCAAGTAGAAGACTACAGATGTGCACCACCCTGCCCAGCTAATATTATTTTGTTATAGAAATGGGGTCTCACTATGTCACTCAGGCTGGTCTTGAACTCCTGGCTTCAAGCAATCCCCCTGCCTCAGCTAATACAGAGTCTTAAACCTCAAGCCAGGTGCAATGGGAATTTGCCACAGCAAAGTTCTGCCTGGGGCCTCTGCATCGCCCCTCCCTGGAGAACACAGGGCTCACCAGCTCCCTTCCTCCAGGCCTCTGCTCCAACATCCCCCCACCAGCCTCCGCTGTCCCCCACTGGCACCAGCCCTGTGGCTCCATACCCTGCACTAGCTCTGAGCTCTTTTAGTGCGCATTCCCACAGACCGATCACATACTCTCAGGACGTGTATCGCCAACCCCAACACACACAGAGACGATAAGCTCCTCCAGGGCAGGGGTGTCTACCTCTGTCCCTGCTCTGTCACCTGCTCCAGGCTCATAGCAGATGCTCAGCAAATACTCCTAGGATGAACATGTGTGATCTGAGCCCAGCACCACTCCAGGCAAACTCAGGAAGGAACAGAAAGGCACCGTGAGGTCATGTGTCAGAATCCCCCAGGGACGGCTCCCTCTGGGAGGGAAGAGGCCTGACTGTGTCATCTCTGGTAGGCAGTGTGGCTACTTAAGGGCGCTGAATCTGGAAACTACCTGTGTTGAAATCCAACCTCTGCCACTTCGGAGCTGTGGAGCCTCAGACAAGCTGTTCGGCCTCTCTGGGCCCTAGTCGTCCATCTGTAAAGTGGTGATATGAAAGTACCTCCCCTCATTGAACTCTTGTGGATATTAAACAAGTGAACGTGGGTGAGGCCCTCAGAACAGGGGCTGGTATTTCGTAAGCACCAGGTAAGCATTTACTGCTGTTGCCATCATTGCTGGAATTCCAGGGAAAGAATTCCTAAGAAAGTAGCGTGCAGCAAGGGGGAGGGGATTCGATTTGAGAGGGGGACTCAAACAGGGATGGGGCCTGCTGGCGGGGACAGAATCTGAGTCCCCGAACTGCTAGAGATGGAACCCCAGAAACCTCAGCACAGGCCGACGGGGGCGGCTCCCAGCCAGTGCAGCCTCCGGCAGCCTCTAGTCTATTTATAGATCAAACACGCTCACCATCAAGGTCCCTGTGTCCCCGCCAAAAAGCTGGTTCTGACAAGCAGGAAAAGCAAGTCAACCGGAGGCTCCGGCCAAGCCTGTCTGGCACCCGCTGCCTCGGAGGGGCGGGCGTGTCCAGTGGTAGCCAGCTCTCCAGGCCTGGCTGCCCGTGTCCAGGGGTCAGCTTCCCAGCACCTCGGTGGTGGTGGTGGTGCCCAGGTAAGCAGAAAGATGCCCCAGCCCACAGGGTGCTCAGAGCACCAGGCGGGGACAGGGACAGGCAGACAGAAGGCACCTCCTGTCCACATGAATGGAGCCATGTGGTGTCAACACAGGCCACAGCCACCCCCTGGCTGACCTCGCAAGGGGCGCTGTGTCTCCCAAGAAAGGGGCACCCTCCAGGCTGCATCCAGCCAGGCCCAGTGTCACCCCCACTCTGCCCCTCTCCTCATCAGACTGTGGCGCTGAGACCTGGCTTTCAGGCTCCCAGGAGGACTCGGGGTACCAGCTGCCCCTTCCTGAAAGGAGACCAGGCTCGGCCACTTTTCTCACCTCCTCCACCATCATGTCTGACTCCTCAGGCGGGCCATGACCCCGCCTGAGCCCAAGCTCCTTCCAGCTGCCACACAGCCGTCTCGCCCTCCTTGCCCACAGGCCAGGCCTCCCTGCGCCCCAGCACCCCTGCCAGAGGGCAGCTTCTGAGCTCACACCCTGGCCCCCCAAGTCATCTGGCACATATCACCTTCTCATAAAGCCCCTCCCAACCCACTCTCTTCTAAAGCCACCACCCAGCCCCCCAGAATACCCTGCATCTTCCAACACCCCACCTCTCCTGTTCCTGTAGGGAGCTTCCTGTCTGTCTCCAAGGGCAGGGACTGTTCCTCGTGGCTCCAGGGCACCCCAGGTGCTGGTAGGTGCTCAGTGAACATTGGGTGAAGAAACAGATTGATCCTGGGTCCCTTCTCGTGGCCCCAGGTGGCACCCAGAGGCCTGAATTGAGGCCTGATGCTGCGTGAACACAACAGTGCCTACTAGCGGCTCCGGGCTGACCTGCAGCTGAGAAGGCTCAAAAGCTCTTTCCATCTGCTCTGGTGCCGCCCCCTGCGACAGGGCTTGGGGGGCCCAGCTGTACCCCTCCCCCGGCGCCTGCAGGACCTACCTCAAGGAGGGCTTTGGGGTACCCTGGCGGCCAGAGGCAGGGGGAGAGATCGGGGTGTGGAGTCCAGCCCCGCGTTGGGGAGGCTCCCGGGGCCGCTAATGGCTATGCCCCCATCCAGCAGACTTGGCCGGCATTAATTTGACCATACATACACACGCTAATCAGCTGTAACCGTGGCACCCAGCTCAATTCAAATTGATTTACTGAGCCTGGAAATGGATACAAATGTGATTAAAGGCTTTTTATTTTACATAGGTTCTCTATAAAATGATTTAAATCAATTGCCCGGCAGGCCCCACGCTACTGCTGCACAAAGCCTTCCTCTTCTATTGACGGACATGGTGCTCCGAGCCAGGGCTGGAGTCACAGTGCTCTCCGTTCCCGCCCTGGGATCAAAGTCGGGGCAGCCACAGCATCCACTCGTGGTGTGGCCGCCTCCACTCGGGGTGCCTCTCTGCGGTGACCGGGCACCTCCTCAGGAGCAGCAGGAGCTAGCGAGCGAGGGGCTGGCCTGGGAGCCAGGCAGGCGGACCATGGTGACAGCCTCCTACATCATCATTCCTTCTGGCTACGATGCCCTGGGCCTGGGAGGTCAAGTTGAGGATCTAGACCTCTGAAGGGGGTGCAGGAATGGGCGCTTCTGCGGACATCACCTGCTCTACCCTGCTGCCCCTTTTACACATGAGGAGACGAAGGCCCAGGGGTGTGCCCCAGGGCAGCAGAATCAGGGATAGACGGGTCCCAGCTCCTGGCATCCGTGAAGGCCCCACCTGCCCACATGAGCACCTAGCAGCTCTTGTTGATTTATAGAACGTTGTCTCCTCCAGGGAACACAGAAAACATGAGGTGCTCCTGGGCCCCTCAGCCTCTCAACATCTAGCGCAAGGGAGGCTGGAGCAGCAGCCAGCAGGCCAAGGCAGGTATCTGCCACCACCCCCACCTGTATGTCTCCAGGGCCCACCATAACACAGGACTGCAAATAGCATAAAGCCACAGATCTTTCTTCTCTCTCAGTTCTGAAGCCCAGAAGTCTGAAATCCAGGGGTGGGCAGGGCTGTGCCCCCACAGAAGGCTCTAAAGGAGGTAGGTCCTTCCTGCCTCATTCCCACTCCCGGTGGGTGTGGGCGCTGCGTGGCTGTGGCTGCCACGGCTACACTCTCGCCTGTCTTCACGTGGCCTTTCCTGCCTGTCTCTCCTCTTCTCCTAAAAACTACCAATCAGATTGGATTTAGGGCCCACCCTAGTCCCATGTGACCTCATCTCAACTCGATGACATCTGCAAAAACCCAATTTCCAAATAGGGTCACGTTCTGAGGTTCTGGGCAGACATGACGTTTGAGGGGACGCTATATTCACCCCAGTTCAGACGGGGTCTGAGTCACCACACTGGGGGTTCAGCTGGGAAGAGCCCATCCTCTTGTGAAGGAGGCGCGGGCCGCGTAGCAACTTCACGAATGAAGCACGGCTTGTGGGGTGGGTGCTATGGGGCGGGGGCTGTGGGGCAGGCGCTGCGGGGTGGGCACTGGCTGTGTGTCTGGGTCCGATGGCTGCACAGTCCCTGCTCCTTGGAAGGGCGATATGCCACTGCCTGTCTCTGCTTGAGAGCTTCTGCAGCGGTTCTGAGAACTGCAGAGGCAGATGGTGCTGGAGCCATGTACCACCTGGTTTCTAGGCAGCCCCCCAGCCCCCAGTGCCCACTGACAGGCAGGGGCCACTAGCCTCTTGCATCTTGGTGGCAGGGACGTTGCTCAGAAAATTCTCACCGGCCCGGCTCAACAGCCCATCCAGGATGGGGAGGGGCTGGCTGGGGGCAGGGAGAGGGTCTCTGACTCCAGACCTGAGCTGTCCAGTAGAATAGCCACAGGTGATGATTTCAATTCAAAGTTAAGCTAATTAACATGAAATAAAATTAAAATTCCATTCCTGCGTTGCCCAGGCTGTGGGTAGCTCATTGGTAGCACACGGGACGCTGCAGACATGGATACTTCCCAGCATGACAGAAAGGTCTGCGGACGGCAGCTCTGGACCCGCTTCTCCTGGTGTAATTTGTACCATGTTGCCTCATGGAGCGGGAAAGAATCACTGCAAACACTAACAACTTAAAAACGAAAGGCCAGGGCTGTTGATGGCCCTCATCCCAAATCTGACCCCCGGGGGGCTGTTAGAATGGGGGGGTCTTCTGCTGTTTCACCTTCCCTCTCTGGCCACACTGTCCAGGAAATCACCCACCTCTGATCCCCCCGGTCCCCAGACGAAGAGGCCCTTGCCTAATTCTCTGGTGTGCTCAAGCTTCTCCCAGAGGCAGCTCAAGGTCCTCCTCCAGTCTCCATCACTCTGTCCTCTGCTCTCCACCTCACAACTCCTGCACATCCTTCGAAACCCAAGTCCAACTTCATGACCTCCGGAAAGACTGTTCCTGAGGCACCTTGAACTTCCTCTCTTGTGGCACTTTTCACCGAGAACCTGAGTGCCTGGTGCCTCTGCCCTTCCCTGTCTGGCTGTGAGCATTTCGTAACCAGTCAGTTCAGTACCTGGCAGGAACAGGGAGCTTGGACCTGCTGAGAGAGGAATAAGCCAGACTTGCAACAAGACCCTGCGTTTCTAGAGCTTAGCCATGCAGAGAGCCCCGTAGGCTGTAACGTGCTGGCTGTGCGAATAAATGAATGTGCGACAACCACAGATGGGAACCAGGTCCCATCCTCTGTTTGTACTCTGAGCATACTCCTAAGCACACAATAGGAGCTTAATAAACGGAGGCGGGCAGACAAGCTGAATTAAGTGGAGAAAAGACTGCAAGAGGACGAGGATGCTAGATGGGGAAACTGAAGAGCTGGAAGGACCAAGAAGAAGATGAGGCAGCAGGGCCCATGTCCCCTGGGAGGAAGGACAGGCCCTCCAGAAGCCAACCCCATCACTCGGGTTTTCCTCCGCTTCCTTCCTGGCTGCAGAGGGAAGCATGGCCCTGCAAGGTCACAGCGAGGACAGCCACAGACTCCAAGACGTTCCCCCAGATTCCCCTTGTCTGGTCCTGCTAGGAGCCTCCATGGCCAGGCAGTGGGGCTACCACTGCTCTGCAGAGCCCAGAGGAGTGACTAGTGGCACTGGGGTATAGCCCTAGAGGTGCCAGGGGCATCAGTGATGGGTGGGTCACCCTTGCCCCGAACCACCCTTTGTGAGGCCAGGAGCCACGGCCTTGAGGGACCACCAACTGAGGCGGAAAGGGCACGTTAACCGTGCAAGGTCACACAGATGCCTGCCTTGAGCTCCACCATTCCAGAATGAGCAGTGGCCTGGACGACCCACCTCCTTCCCCCACCACCGCCCATTTCCCGAGGGCACAGCCCTGGCCCCAAGCCCCCAGCTCCCTGCTTCTATTCTGGGGTCGCCATCAAGGTTGTATCGCGGGGTGATTCCCATCCTGGACTTGGGGACCTGGATTCGAGAGCCTGGCTCTGCCGTTCTCAGCTGTGTGACCTGGGCGGGTCACCTAGCCTCTCCGTGCCTGTTTCCCATCTATAACACAGATAGAAATAAGGGGAATAATGTGGTCACTGTGGGCTCACATCTTCCTGGCTCATAACGAGGCCTCAGTGTTTATGAAATCGGCCTGCCCAGGTGCGAACGTAGACCATGCGAGGGTTCTCAGGCCCTCGACATGCCTGTCACAGCCAGGAACACTCTACAGACCCCAGAGCTCAGTTCTGCAAAACCTGAGCTCTAAAACACTCCTCTGTATCCACGGGACGTAGCTCGCCACGTGACGGGAGGAGACGCAAGGCTGTGAGTGCAAGGCAGACTCAGTCATTTTTGTAAATGCAGAATTTTTCCTGGGGGGGTGAGGAGGTGACACCCAGTGAGAGGCTATTTGTATCCATGCTCACCTCGAGCAGGACAATCTCTTCTGCTCCCGTTTTGCTTCCCCTCTTTTCCCAACTGGACAGAGAGCCCATCCGCTGGGGCACGGCAGCCTCTGGAAGCTTCTGGAATTCTTGCCTTCCAGCATGGCCCAAGGCCTCCCTGTATCAGAACCCCCTGGGGTACATAGCAACCACCCGTGAACCCCAAGTCCCTGGGGTGCCTATACTGAGGTGGGCACAGGGCTAGGCACAAAATGACCACTCATCAGTAAAAAACTATACTTTCGCCTGAATCCTGCAGCCTATGTTTAGCAACAGCTAAACTCATCCCAAGAAATGCGCACTGAGCACCAGGCACCGGCGAGGCCCCAGCCATGCCGGGAGGGAGGGAGAGGGCTCTTCTCACAAGCCACGAACGGGGGGCTGGGGGAACCCCCGAGAACAGCCTGTGCAACAGGACAGATGCCCGCTCCGTCCCGGGCATGGAGAGGCTGCTGGAGGCGGCAGGAGAGAGGGCGGGACGGCGCTCCCACCATCCTCGCCAGGGCAGGAGTGGGACGAGGCTGGGGACCAGGGCAGGCCTCTCAGGGAGAGAGGAGACTCCACACCACAGGAGCCGTGGACGGTTCCACACAGAGGCAAGGCCTTATCAGTTTGGAATCCTGAAATTCTAAGACAGGAGACATGCCACCCCCGAACGGAGCCACCTAGTGCCACTTAGCGGCTGCAATGTCTTTTTGATGCCTGCCATGCCAAGGGGTGGGAGCTGTGCTGCCAGGTAACGGCGGCCCTGGGCAACGCCGGGGAGAACAGGGGAGGGTCCCTGCTGCCCTTGGAAGGCTTCCCGGGCTCGTGTGCACGTGACAACATGCGTGCAAGAGCAGGAGTGTGCGTACGTGTGTGTGAGAGCAGGTGACAGCGTCCACCTGTGAGTATAAGGGAGCATGTGAATGAGTGTGTGAGTGTGCAAGCGTGTTATGTGTGAGTACAGAGAGAAGGGGAGAGGGAGAGAGGCAGGCAGGGAGGAAGGGAGTAGGGAGGGAGAGAAGAGGAAGAGGAGGTGAGGACAGAAGCTGCAATTGGAGGGACTGGGCATGGGGTGCCCCCAGTTGGCAGGGCTGCACCTGAGGTGGGCACCCTCACTGCACTGAGCTGCCGTTACGTCCCCATCTGTAGAATGGGGCCATGACACCCCCTAGCAGGCTTCTGGGCCAGAACAGGGCCCCTATGGAGGAGAGGCAGCGGCCAGTGCAGGCTCATGGCCTCAGGGCCGGGGTGAAGGGGCCTGTGCTCCCTCTCTGTGTGTGTTTGGGGGAAGAACATCGGTGTTTCCCGGAGCAGCAGCTCCCAGCTCCTACCTGGGGCCCGGGTTGGGTAGGGGCTGCAGGGGGAGGGCTGCTTCTGCCTGCCTGCCATCCCTAGGGAGGGTGGCATCAGGCTCCCCAGGAGCGAGGCGGCCCAATTACAGGAACAATTACGGGCACACTGATGCACAGCCGGCCGCCTCGGCGCCCACCTCGCGAGTGACAAGCTGGCCCGGCGGGCTGCGCACGGCTTTAATCCGAGGAAGGCTCTCGAGTGCTAATGGTGCGAGCAGGCTCATTAGCTGTAATCCATCTGTCCTTAACGCGGCGGCGGCGGCAGCCGGGCCTGCGGGATGAAGGATGATGCCCTCCCAGAACGGCAGGCGGCAGGCGCCACAGGCAGAGCCTGAGCAGGGGCCATGCCTGGCTCCCTCCTTTGCCGCCCAGGAACATGAAATAAAGGCAGAAGTGAAGGCACAGGGGAGGAAGAGGAGGAGGACAGGGCTCCCCACCGCCCCTGGTGTGACAGTAGCTGTACAACGGCTGCACGGGACCTGGCCCACCCTGCTGTGTGACTGCAGGCTCCTGTCTCTCCCTCTCCGGACCAACGCCATTCTCTGGGAAAATGCAGGGCCTGGGATCCATGCCTCTGGGCGCGGGAAACCGTGAGTGGGTGGCCCTGGGGTGCCTATCTCCGGGCACAGGCTGTCGCTCCACTTCCTTGGGAGGTGTGGTGGCGTGAACGCTGCCCGGAATGTTCCAGATGGTTTTCTGACAACCATAAATCCTGCTTTTGTCTGTGGTGGCGGAAGTGGCCCTACCGCACCATCTGGACAACGGGTAGCCTGGCAAGGGGCGATCACTGTTGGGTCCCCAGGGCCTGGCCCCGGGCCTAGGACAGGTGCTGAGGAATCAAGGCTGAATGAGGGCTGAGCAGGCAGGTTCCTCAGGCTAGATTCGGGGTGCAGCCCATGCCCAGGGCAGGCACAGGGTGAGGCAGCACCCACATGGCCATCACAGTGGAGGCCAAAGACCGTGAACTGGAAACGGGGCCCAAGGAGACAGGTAAGGCAGGGGAGCTGGCTACAGAAGAGGGGCCACCCCAGGCACAGAGCCGGCGCATGGAGCAGAGGTGGAGTGGCTGAGAGGGACTCTGTGCCAGGGCCCTGGTTTTGAGTCGGGGCTCTGCTGTGCAATTGAAGGAGGTTACTGAGCTTCTCTGCGCCTACTTCCCCAGCTGTAAAAATGTGGGAAATAACAGCCCCTCCCTCAGGAGACACGTAAGCTGCTGTGCAGAAAATCTGTTCCAATGGGCCTGGCCCCTGAAGCACCAATGGTGGCCCCTGCTGTGTCGCGGAGGCGTCTCCCTGGCTTCGTCACTCAAGGGCCACTTCTGTGGTTTCCGCCACGGCTGTGTACACCCTGCCCTGTATTATTTACTTACTCCTTCAACTCCATCTGTTGTTTCTGGTCTGGGTTTTGGAGGGATAATTTATATCAACTAATTTTTAAAAACTAATTTATCTCCAGAAGGAACCTGTCGATCACTGGCAGAAATGGGAATCCAGGCTCCCATCTGAGTCCTGCTGGCTATGCTGGCTCTGAGCGCAGACCCCTCTCCTGGTTCCCAGGGGACCCGCGGAGGAGAAAGGCAGAGAGGCAGGTGTGTGGGACCCACTGGCCCCTGGCCACGTCTTGCTCACCGTCCCAGTTGGAAGACTGTTAGGATGGAAAAACCTCACTGCGGTTCTATGAAGGGGCATATTCCTGCACGGCATAACTGGTCCGGGAGCCACATAAAGTCACCAAGTGTGGGACGTCATCCTACCGCGAATCTGAGGGTCTTCTGGGGTAACCCCAGCTCTGCCTCAGTTTCCCCATCTGGAAAACAGGGACGCACCTCTCGGGGAGGGTCGCTGAGGAGGTTTCCTCCAACGCTTAGGTCTGAAAGTCCCCCACTGTCCCAGCTGAGAGGATGGCAGCAGAGTTGTACCCGTGACGGGCAGGGCCCAGAGGCCTGCTGGCAGGGGACGGTACACCGAGGACTGCAAGCTCCCCAACATTCTTCAATTATTCACACAATAATCACACCCTTATTTAAAGTCTAGCCTTGCATTCGCAGCATCCCGGCGGCAAGCACCGAGCCTGCTGCTAGGTTTACACGGGGACGGGCTCCCTCGCTCAAAGTCAATTAATTAAGCAAACGCTTTTGCCAGCATGTTCTCAGGTGTGCGGCCAGGAGGCCCATCCGTCTCAGCCCGCCGCCTCGGAGACACTTGATCCCACAGGGCCTACCAAGAGGGCGGAGACAGTGGCCGGGGGCCTGGGCATCGCCTGGTGGAAGAGAAGGGAGCAGAAACAACTGTTCATAGGCTTCATGGAGCACTTGCTGTGTGCTGGGCTGCGCTGGGCCACGGGAACTAGACAGGCTCTCACAACCCTCGTGGCCAGCCCCTTAGCACCCCAGGGTACAGGTGGGGAAACTGAGGCACAGAGTGGGTGAGGGACTTGCCCAAGGTTGAAGGTCACAGAGAAGGGGACTCAACTCCACGTACTCCCCTCTGCCCCGTTTCTGTTCTCGCTCTCCCATGACCCACCCAGGCAGGGAACAGCGGGAACGACAGCTGAGGCTTCCTCCTCTGAAAGCTCGGGACAGAGAGCCTCGCTTTTTCAGGTTTCAGAATGTTTGCATGTATTAATACACAGTGAGATGTCTTGGGGATGGGACCCAAGTGTAAACAGGAAATTCATTTCTGCTTCATATACACCTGATCCACATAGCCAGAGGTAACTTACACAATACTTTGAATAATTTGTACATGAAATAAAGTTCATGTGAAGTCCTTATGTGTGGAATCTTCCAGATGTAGCGTCGCACTGCTACACAGAGAGTTTGGTATTTTTTTTTTTTTTTTTTTTGAGACGGAGTCTCACTCTGTCATCCTGGCTGGAGTGCAATGGCGCAATCTTGGCTCACTGCAACCTCTGCCTCCTGGGTTCAAGCGATTCTCCTGCCTCAGCCTCCCAAGGAGCTGAGATTACAGGCACCCTCCACCATGCCTGGCTAATCTTTGTATTTTTAGTAGGGACAGGGTTTCGCCATGTTGGTCAGGCTGGTCTCGAACTCCTGACCTCAGGTGATCCGCCCTCCTTGGCCTCCCAAAGTGCTGGGATTACAGGGGTGAGCCACTGTGCTCGCCTGAGCTTTGTATTTTGGAACACCTTGGATGCTGGATTTGCAGACGGGGGTGCCTGATCTGTACATACAAGCAAAACACACACTTCAAAACAGAGGCTGGCACTGAAGACAGATGTCCCATCCACGTCACTCACGTCGGTTCTCATATTAAGCCCCCAGGTAAGGACTGTTGTTACCAGGATTTTATTTGGGGGGGGAACTGAGTCACGTGGAGGCTGAGGGACCCGCTGCAGGTCGCGGGTCGCTCGAGTTGTCAGAGATGGGCTGGGGGTCTGAATCCAGACCACCTGACCTGGTCCCTGCTCTGAAGCCAAGTAGAGCCTTTCTAATCCCCTTGCAGGGCAGCTTGAAGCACCCACGCCCTCCTCCAGGAAGCACGCAAGTGCGATCTCTCACCTGGCAGGACTGGGCACACATCCGAGCACCCCCAGTGCCAGTGAGTCCCAGCATGTTCTGGAGGGTCCTGGAGCTGGACCCTCACCCACTGTCTCCCATCACCCACGGCTCTTCTCCAGCCGACAGCACTGGGCATCACCTGGAGACACTGAGCATCATGCCAAGGCCTCCCTCCTACAGCCGCCTGGGTCCCGAACAAACATGACAAGTTGGGTCGTCCACAACAGCGGCTCCCTTCATGGGTGGGGACATGAAATCCAAAGGCCGAATGACTGAGGCCAGATGGCCCGCCTGCAAGGGGCGTAGTCCCGGCGAGGGCATCGGCCACCCTGCCCCCAGGGCCTTGAGGAGCAGGCCGGTATGGTCCGTCGGCGGCTGAGAATGTGGATGCCGGCTGGAGGGCTGCCCTGCACCCCAGCTCTGCCACCTCTGCGCCGTGTGACCTTTTAGGTACATCACAAATAACATCTCTGGGCCCCAAAACATGGTCTCACAGGACTATCTTCTCACCTTTTCCACGCTTCTCACCACATCTCCCAAAGTGCCGGGCATTGGGCAGAGTCCTCCTAAATGCATTTGCTCTGGCGGCAGAATTAGCGACACCCAAGGTCAAAAGGAGCTGCTGGGCCCTGTGTCCACCTGCTCGTCTCAGCTCCTGGAAAGTGACCACATCAAGCACTTCCAGAAAACGGACATCAATTGCCCAAACCATGGCACACACACAGGACAGAAGATTCCAGCCAAACAAAAGCATCTCAATCAACTCCCCACCTGGAAGGAAGAGGAGCCATCCACAAAGAACTAACTTCAATTCCTTGGCAAGGTTCCTCTTACATGGATTGCCCTTCTCTCCCTACCACCTCCTTCTAGAAAACTCCTATACACCCCTCAAAACCCTTCCTAAGCATCAAGCTCCTCTGTCCCCAGAGTTAACCCCTGCCTCTTCCCCTCTGAGCCTGGTACAAGCTCTCCCATGACAAAAACCACTGACTGTGCTATGCGCTTTACATGGTTTATCTCAGGAAATTTTTCAAAAAAAGGAGGTGTCTTTTATCTCCATTTTACAGAGAAAGAAACTGAGGCACAGAGTGGCTACACCAGGTGCTGAGGCTGGGTGTAAACCTGGGAAGCCTGGCTCTGACCTCAGCTGCTTGGGGATGGACCGGGTGGGGAGAGAAGCGAGGCGTGGCTGTCCCAGGAAGAGCAGGTGTCAGGGCCGGTTGGAGAAAAACGCCGAAACCGAGGCCGGAGGCCGAGCGGCCCAGAGAGGGAGCAAGGGCAGATTAAAAAATAAAACTGAAATCAGAGCAAAGGCAGCACACGCTGTCCCAGGAGGGGGTGGAAGACCTGCGGTTCTGCACGCGCTGCTCCCTGGGGGCACCGCCGGTGCTTGCTCAGCGTGGAGCCCAGCTGCTCCGGAGTATTATTTCAGGAGTGCAGGGAGGCAAGCAGAGGTCTCTGGGCCTCAGGTCAAAACTTCAGGGAGCAGGCGCTGGGATGTCAGGCAGAAAAATCAGACGGTGGGGATGGGGGCCCTGGACCTGACCGACAGTGCTGGCCACCCAGTCTGGCCCCACATCTTCTCAGGGACCTTGGCCACCCCTGCCGCCCGCCACACCTGCTGGGAAGGCAACACCCAGGGTGGATTGTCCCTGCTCTGTCTCCCAGGAGGGCAATCGGACACCAAGCAGAGGAACAGGTCCGATGGGCCATGTGATTTGTTCTGGGTGGCGGGGGAAGGTGGGGGCTCCACTGGGCCTCCCAGGACAAAGAACGGGTGTCCCTTCAGCAGCTGCAGTCACAGGAGTGTCGAGGCCCAAGAGGGCTCAGAAACAGGGTGGAGTGGAGGTGGCGGCAGAGCTCACCAGGGACCCTGGAGCAGGCAGAGGGGGGTGGAGGCTCACACTGGTGCCACGCGCGCCCCCTGCCGCAAGGCCAGGAAGCAAGCGAGATGCAGAAGACGTCGCCCAGGAAAACTCCCAGTCCCGCCTCACCCAATGGGGCCCTGGAATTTCCCTCCATCCCCATCGAAACACTGCCTCTCATGCAAGTGGTACAATGTCAGGGTCACGCTGTAGATTCTGGAGCCAAACTGCCTGAGTCTTACTCCTGGCTGGGGCCCTTGAGGCCGATGACCCTGGCTCCTTACTTCACCTCTCCGTGCCTCAGTTTCATCATCTAGTAAATGGGAACAGGACGTTGAGGATGTTGTGAGAGTCAGTGATTTCAACCAAGTGCTGGGGACCGGCCAGGAACACGGGCAATGGCAGAGAAACATCACCCGTCGTGCATCATGGCCGCTGTGTGGCCTCAAGCACCTTGGGTCCTTTCTGAGCTTTGGGTCCTCAGATCTGAATCTGAACACCAGGCATGGAGAGCTTTGAGGAGAAAACAAACCTCGATGCTGCAGAACTATAAGCCACTGGGCCCGGGCCTCAGTTTCCCCACTCTGTACTAGGAATTATGACAGCCCCACTGCAGAGCTGCTTGGGCTTCTGTGAAGGGTTCAGGCCGGCACCTGGCACACAGTGACACATGGAAAATGTTCACACGGCAATGGGACGTCCCCAGCCAGCCCCTCGCTGCGCTCAGTGTCCCAGCACCAACAGGAGGTTTCCTGCACAGAGAAGGGTTGGTGAGCTAAAAACCTCGACACTCAGCGAATTGAAAACATAACGCCCACACACAAACTCATATAAGCCAGGCACGGTGGCTCACACCTGTAATCCCAGCACTTTGGGAGGCAAAGGCAGGCAGATCACCTGAAGTCAGGAGCTTGAGACCAGCCTGGTCAACGTGGAGAAACCCCATCTCTACTAAAAATACAAAAATTGGCCAGGCATGGTGGCTCATGCCTGTAACCTCGGCACTTTGGGAGGCTGAGACGTGCAGATCACCTGAGGTCAGGAGTTTGAGACCAGCCTGGCCAACATGATGAAACCCCATCTCTACTAAAAATACAAAAACTAAGGCCGGACACAGTGGCTCACGCCTGTAATCCTAGCACTTTGGGAGGCCGAGGTGGGTGGATCACGGGGTCAGGAGATCAAGACCATCCTGGCTAACACGGTGAAACCCCGTCTCTACTAAAAAAAAAAAAAAAAAAAAAAAAATTAGCCGGGCATGGTGGCGGGCGCCTATAGTCCCAGCTACTTGGGAGGCTGAGGCAGAAGAATGGTGTGAACCCGGGAGGCAGAGTTTGCAATGAGCCGAGATCGTGCCACTGCACTCCAGCCTGGGCGACAGAGCGAGACTCCATCTGGAAGGAAGGAAGGAAGGAAGGAGGTAGGGAGGGAGGGAGGGAAAGAAGGAAGGAAGGAAGGAAGGAAGGAAGGAAAGAAAGAAAGAAAAAAAAAGAAAGAAAGAAAGAAAGAGAAAGAAAGAAAGAAAGAAAGAAAGAAAGAAAGAAAGAAAGAAAGAAAGAAAGAAAGAAAGAAAGAAAGAAAGAAAGAAAGAAAGAAAATAAATGAGCGGGGCATGGTGGTGCATGGTTGTAATTCCAACTACTTCGGAGGCTGAGGCAGGATAATAACTTGAACTTGGGAGGCAGAGGTTGCAGTGAGCTGAGATGGAGCCACTGCACTCCAGCCTGGGCGACAGAGCCAGACTCCACCTCAAAAAAAGGAGAAAAAAAGAAGAAAAACCTTATGCAAGAACGTTCATGCCAGCATCATTCTTGATACCCAAATGGTAGAGCTAGCCCACATGGCCACCAACTGAAGAATGGACACACTGGTCTGTCCATGGCAGGCCATGGAATTTTTTTTTTTTTTTTTTGAGACAGTTTCGTGCTGTCACCCAGGCTGCAGTGCAATGGCACGATCTCAGCTCACTGCAACCTCTGCCTCCCACATTCAGGTGATTCTCCTGCTTCAGCCTCCCGAGTAGCTGGGACTACAGGTGCCCGCAACCATACCTGGCTAATTTTTGTATTTTTAGTAGGGACGGGGTTTCACCATGTTGGCCAGGCTGGTCTTGAACTCCTGGTCTCAAGTGATCTGCCCGCCTCGGCCTCCCAAGGTGCTGCGATGACAGGCATGAGCCACCGTGCCTGGCCCCATGCCATGGAATATTCCTCAGCCATAGGAAGGTAGGAAGTACTGACGCACGCTGCTGCACGGACGAACCGTGAAGATGCAATGCTTCCTGGAAGAAGCTGGACACAAAAGGTCACACAGTGTGGGAGGTCCATTTCTCTGAAATGACCAGAACAGGGAAATCCACAGACAGAAAGCGGATGAGTGGATGTCCGAGGCCAGGGTGCAGAAATGAGGAGCGCGGAGTGACCGCTAATGGGGAGGGGGATTCTTTCTGGAGTGACGGGAACGTTCTGAAATGAGGTCGTGATGACTCAACACCATGGGCCTGTACACTTGAAAAGGGTGAAATGCATGATATGAGAACTTCATCTCAATAAAGCTGTTTGAAAAAACAAAACCCTAGGCCGGGCGCGGTGGTTCACACCTGTAATCTCAACACTTTGGGAGGCCGAGGCGGGCGGATCACAAGGTCAGGAGTTCGAGACCAGCCTGGCCAGCATAGTGAAACCCCGTCTCTACTAAAAATACAAAAAATTAGCCGGGCATGGTGGCGGGTGCCTCTAATCCCAATTACTCAGGAGGCTGAAGCAGGAGAATCACTTGAACCCAGCAGGTGGAGGTTGCGGTGAGCCGAGATCGCGCCACTGCACTCCAGCCTGGGCGACAGAGCGAGACTCCATCTCAAAAAAAAAAAACAAAAAAAAAACCTAAGACCTTTTTCTGCAGCTGGAAAGTGACCACCGAGAGCCCAGTAGGCCGGAGGGGCTCACAGCATTCACAATAAGGAGGTGAGGGGTGCCGAGCAGACCCAGCTGGCTGTGGGCATGTTTGACTGTGGCTGGGGGGCACCCTCCTAGGTGGGCAGCACACACAGGAAGGGTTCCTAGGGTTTTAGTTTTGGCCAAAGACTCAGGATGTACATTAAACAAAACGCATATTCGGAATCTTCACTGAGCAGCTCCTGTATACGTGTTTTGGGCACCCGGGACAGGCTGTGGAGCCAAAGCCCACCCAGTGCCCCCCGGGGTCAGCTCCAACTCAGCAAGAAGTTGCACAGGAATCAAGAACCACATATACATCCCAGCACTTTGGGAGGCCAAGGCAGGCGGATCACCCGACCACCCTGGCCAACATGGCGAAACCCCGTTTCTACTAAAAATACAAAAATTAGCCAGGCATGGTGGTGCGTACACCTGTCATCCCAGCTACTAGGGAGGCTGAGGCAGGTTCAATCACTCGAACCTGGGAAGTGGAGGTTGCAGTTAGTAGAGATCACACCACTGCACTCCAGTTGGTCAACAAAGCAAGACCCCAGCTCAAAAAAAAAAAAAAAAAAGAACCACATACGATGCCAGGCATGGTAGCTCACACCTGTAGCCTCGACACTTTGGAAGGCCAAGGTGAGAGGATCACTTGAGCCCAGGAGTTCAAGGCCAGCTGGGGCAACACAGTGAAACCCTGTCTCTGCTTAAAAAAAAAAAAAAAAATGGTCAGGCGTGGTGGTGCACGCCTATAGTCCCAGCTACTGGGGAGGCTGCGGTGGGAAGATCGACTGAGCTGTGATTGTGCCAGTCAACTCCAGCCTGGATGCCAGAGTGACCCTGTCTCAAAAATAAATAAATAAATGAAAGAATTACATCATCACAGTGGGTCAGCCAGGAACAGCATTCCAGGCAGTGGGAACAGCACGTACAAAGGCCACAAGGCGGATGGAATATAATGAACCAAAAACGGCTGGTGACCCAGGGAACAGAAGGCATGGGCAGCAACCGCCATGAAGCCATGATACACGGAGTTTAAAGCAGACGTGAGTTCCAGGATTGCTGGCTGCCTGCCTTATCTGGGACTGTCATATGCACGTGTATGGGGGGATTAGAAGACCCCCAGAAACCTCACCATCCCTGAACGTCAACCCAGCCTCGGCAGGTGCCTGCAAGTTGCCACAGGAACTCCCACCCGATTCCACTGAGCGCCATCCCAGGTCTCCGGGAGCCCATCGTGTTCTTAAAAGCCCGCAGGCCTCAACAAAAGGTGAGGCACGGTGGCTGACGCCTGTAATCCCAGCACTCTGGGAGGCCCAGGCAGGAGGATCACTTGAGCTCAGCAGTTCGAGGCCAGCCTAGGCAACATGGCGAAATCCCGTCTCTACAAAAAATTTTAAAAATTAGCTGGGCGTGGTGGCACGCAACTGTCGTCCCGGCTCCTGGGGAGGCTGAGGCGGGAGAATCATCTTAGCCTGGGAGGCAGCAGTTGCAGTGAGCCAAGATCGTGTCACTGCACTCCAACTCGGGTGACAGAGAGAGACCATGTCTCAATAATAACAACGATAATAAAGAAGTGGCCGCTGCGATGGCTCACACCTGTAATGCTAGCGCTTAGGGAGGCTGAGGTGGAACGATCACTTGAGCCCAGGAGCTTGAGACCAACCTGGGCAACAGAGTGAAACCCGGTCTCTAGTATTAAAAAAAAAAAAAAAAAAAAAAAAGAAAAACAATTAGAAGAAACATTCCCCCAAAGCTCCTGCCTCCTCTTTCTTCCCAGTACAAGCAAGATGCTCCAGTTCCCTCTGGAGAGGGCCCCTGGCCTGGGAAATTTCAGGCCTCGACCCCTGGACAGAGGCCCTGTCACTAGATTTACAAGGCCCAGAATTGCCCAGGCACTGCAGACAAAACTGAGGCATGCTACAAATAATCCAGCTTCTGAAGGCTGGAGCCAGCATCGTGATAAATCATCACTCTTTGGCACAATTACAGGATCCAGGCAGCAGACCATCTCCACCTCGGCATGGCCAGGCTGGAGGGACAGCCTGCCCTTGCCTGCTTCAGGACACCAGGTGCCTCTACAGGACAAACACGGTCCGCCTGCCTGCATCCCGCCCTAGCCTTTGGGCTATGGGCTGGTGATGTCCCACCCCACCCAGGTACAGGCAGCCCTGAGGGGCCCCCAGCACTGATCACAGATTCAGCGACGCACTTGTCTGTACTTGCACTGCTCTGCAAAGCGTCCCTCCCCTGCTGCCCCTGGTTTACAGGAGGTGGGGTGGGGTCTGGGCTGGTGGAGGCAGGGAGAAAGAGAAGGAAAGGAGATGGAAAAGTTGGGGCCTTGTCTGAGAGGGGCAGGAAGAGAAGGGGGCCAGCAGGGACTGCCCGTCAGAGCAGGGTCAATTAACCCATCGGGGAGTGTTATTACAAGGCACAATTTATCGTCCCTGGGCCACATTAGTGGTAGCACAGAGGACATGGGGTCGCCCTGACTGCATCAGGAGATAAACTGGAGACGTCTGGAGAACAGGGTGGAGGGGCAGATTACAGTGAAATTCAGACGCCAAGGTCCTGGCCACGAATCTGTCAGTACCACGGGGTCTGTCCAATAAATTAGAGAAGATAAGGATTGAAGGGTGAAGTATGAAAAGCAACATTCTTTTCGGAAACTGGCACAAGGGCTTCATGGCATCTTTCTTCTCCAGGCTCCCCCTTCCAGGGGTCCTGGAGGCTCAGTTTCCAGGCAGAGAGGAGCTTGTTGGGGAGGAGAAGGTGGGAGTGGGGAGAGGGAGGAGGGGAAGGGGCACAGGGAAAGAGGAAACAAAAGGAGAGGAGGGGGAAGAGGGGGGGCAAGAGGAAAGAGAGAGGGAGGTGGTAAGAGCAAGGGGGACTGGGGGAGGAGACAGGGTGATGGGGACACAGCCCAGGCAAGCACGTTCCCCAAGGCTGGGTCAGGTCATCAGCACAGGCACCCGGGTTTAATTGTGGGAAGTGCCGCAGAGAGGAAAATGAAATGTGACTCCCCGCCGGGGCTGGCATGGCCCCTCTGGCATCCCCACTGCCCGAGGTCCCCCACCCGCCTCCCTCCGTGCACCTCCAGCTGTTCTCCTCTGGCTCCCAGCAACAGCAGCTGCCAACGTGGCAGGATGCGGAGGAGGGCAGAGGGCAGGGCAGGCTGTTTGGGAGAAAGACAAGACAATCAGAAGCCCATTGGAGCACGGGCCGGCGGGGTGGAGGCTGCACTGAGATGCCGGCTCTCCCTGCATGGAGAGCCCAAACCTCTGCCCCCCTTCTCTGTCCCAGGTCCCTGGCCTGGCCTGGCCCAGCACCTCTCGTCTGGACTGGTGCAGGAGCCAGCTCACTGCCATCCCTGCTTCCGCCTCAACCCTCACGTCTCATCCTCCATGTGGCAGCAGAGGACCCATCAGAAGATGGGTCAGCTCATGTTTCTCCTCTGCTGGGAGCCTCCCTATGTCACACCCTGCCCGCCTGTGCTGGTTTCAGGCCTGCTGCCCCCCAGGGCCTTCGGCCCCCAGGCTGTTCGTCTGTCTGGAGCTCTCTCCCAGGCATTGGACCAGCTCCGGCTCTTTTTTCGGAGCTGGTCATGCTAGTGCCTGGGAGAGTGCTACAGACAGACGCTCCCCTGCAGCGCCCTGCTCCCCACCAGACTTCTCAGAGAGGTCTCTGCTGTCCTCCTGTAGTGCTGAATGGTGACCCCCCCTCCGCCCCGCAAAAGACAGGACCATGATCTGTCCTTGGAACCTGTGCGTGTGACTTATTTGGAAAAAGGCTCTTTGCAGATGTGGTTAAGTGAGGGCTCCTGCAATGAGGTGGTCCTGGATTATCTGGGCAGGTCCTAAATCCCACGATGTGTGTCCTTACAAGAAAAGGAGACAAAGCGCAAAGGCAACATGAAGACAGAGCAGGGACATGCGGCCACAAGCCAAGGACCGTGGCAGCCAGGGGGAGCCGGCAGAGGCAGGGAGGGTCTTCTCTCGGAGCCCTGGAGAGAGCCCGGCCCTGCCAGATTTCACACTTCCAGCCTCCTGAACTCGGAGAGAACAAACATCTGTGGTTTTAAGCCCCTCAGTTTGTGATGCTTTGATCTGGCAGCCCCAGGACTCCAACCACCCCCTCAAATCCTGCAGCCTGCCCACTCCCCCACCAGCTCCTGGCCCTGCCCCTGCACTAACTTGGTTTCCACAGCACTTTGCACCTTTCCACTCATCACTTTTATGGTTTATTGCCTGAAACAAGCTCCCCAGGCCAGGGACCTGTACCTTTTACTCAATGCTGTCTCAGTGCACAGGACAGCAAATGGTGCAGTCAGTGACCAGCAAATAGGCCGTGGAACAAAGGACAGTTTCTGCGTGGCCCTCCCGCTTCCTGCTGATCTCCATTCAAATGTCCTCCCTCGAGAGGCCTCCCTTGTGCCCTGCTCCTGGCATCTTGGTGCCGGGCGCACCTCCTGTGCCCCCACCCCAAAACTCCTCAGCCTCCCTCGCCTGTGCCCATGTGGAGAGGAGCCCAGTGGGCTTGGGCCAAAAGCTCTCTGCAGACACACATAGAGTGAGCCTCAGTTGGAGGAGCCATGGCATGGCAGGGTCTGCAGGGAGCCCAGGAGAGGCTGCAGCCCCTGCCCCCTGCCACCACTGCTCTGCAGCACCCTGCTCCCTACCAGAGGTGCCAAAGTCATCTCACTTGGATCCATGTCATGGTGACAGCTTCCCGGATCTTGTCCTTAGCCTTTAGGCCGTTTAAAGTCATTTCCCGGTGGCAGAAGCAGACAGAGCCGCAGACAGCAGCAGGGTCAGACTGAGCAAGGCCTGGGGCTCCAACAGGGGGAGGCCAGACCGGGTCCTGAGCCGCTGCTGAACTTGGAGCTGTGCCGGGCTGCGCTATGCCTCCCATAATGCATGGTCACCCCGTAATATGGCCTTATTTGTAAACAGAGCCTTTGCAGATATAATTAGGTAAGATGAGGCCACACGGGAATAAGGTGGGTCCTAAGGCCAATGAGCTGTCCTTCTGAGAAGGAAATTTGGACACAGAATAGCACAAAGACAGACACTCAGAAAGAAGGCCGCGGGAGGAGAAGGCAGGGACCACGGCAGTGTGGCCAGAAGCCAAGGAACGCCCGGAGCTACCAGAGGCTGGAAGAGGCAGGAAGCTTCCTCCCCCCAGGCCTCCAGAGGGAGCACAGCCCTGCGCACACCTTGATTTTGGACTCCTGGTCTGTAAAGCTATCAAATAATACATTCCTGTGGTTTTAGGCTACCCAGTTTATGGTCATTTATCATGGCAGCCCCAGGAAACATACACACACCTTAAGCAAGGATTTCTCAACAGGGACATTTGGATGGTCTGAGATCCCCCAGGAGACACCTGGCAATGTCTGGGCAGGTGTCTGGTTGTCACACTGGGACAACCAGTATTACTGGTATCTCGTGAGCAGAGGACAAGGCCAACCTACAAAGCACAGGACAGCTCCCAGGACAAAGAAGTATCTGGCCCCAAACCTCAACGGTCTTACGGTGCCTTAAGGTGTAAACACTCATCAGATTTCCCCCATGAGGGGCCACCACAGGTGCCAGCCACAAGTGGGCACTTAACAAATGTGGGCTTAGCCAGGCACGACAGTGTGTGTCTGCAGTCCCAGCTGCTCGGGAGGCTGAGGCGGGAAGATCATTGGGGCCCCAGGAGTTCAAGGCTGCAGTGAGCTATGATCACACCACTGTACTCCACCCTGGGCAACAGAGCGAGATCATCGAAAAAAAGTAAATTAAGAAATAAATGGGCTGGGTGCAGTGGCTCATGTCTGTAATCCTTGTACTTTGGTAGGGCAGATTGCTTAAGCCCAAGAGTTCAAGACCAGTCTGGGCAACATAGCGAGACCCTGTGTCTACAAAAAATGCAAAAAAATTATCTGGGCATGGTGGTGTGCCTGTAGTCCCAGCTACTCTGGGAGGCTGAGGTAGGAGGATCATCTGAGACAGGGAATGGAGGCTGCAGTGAGCTATGGTCTCACCACTGCACTCCAGCCTGGGTGATGGAGTGAGACTTTGCCTCAACAAGTAATAAAGAAAGAAAACTAAATAAATGTGGGCTGAAAGGCCTATGAGCCTGACCTATGGTACCATGCAACCAACATTTACTATCTTCATCTTAAACTGTGACTAAATGAGGTTGGAGCTACGAAATCCTCACATGAAATAAGGTGGCATTGGGACTGGCAGATCCCTACACTCAGCCACCCCTGGAGCTGGGGACCTGCCCCCACCAGAAATGCTGAGAGCCCAGCCTCTTCTTCAGGGCAGCAGGGACTGGGCGTCTCTGGGCAGGGGTCGGGCTGAGAGCACCCAGGGCGAATGGGGGAGGACCGAGCCGTGCACCTCTCACGTGGCTGGGCTCAAGGACATGCCACGGAGGCGTCCATGGAGAGAATGCCTGGCACCTCCTGCTCTGGGGTGGCAGTAGGAGCCCCCAGCGCCCTCCTCCCCACCAGCACCAAGCTTCAGTGGGCCGCGTGTCTGCCAGATGGCAACGCGCTATGTGTCAGGAGATAATCACTATTAAAAATTCACTGGGTTTTATTTTATCTTTGTATTTTTTTCAGGTTCTGTTTGGGCTCTCTGCTTCCTCCTAAAGAAGCTACCAAACTGCCACGGTTACACTGTTTTAATCGCCGCTCATTAAAAGAAACACTGACTGGGTCACAGCGTTTCTCCACCCCAGCAGCTGTGGGGGTAAGGGAAGTGGGCAGGGGGCGGGGGCTGGCTCTCCTGGGCAGCCCGATGGCTGCAAGCGCACCTGCTCACCCCTGTGGAGGAGACCCACAAGGTGCAGCCCTTCCCGGGGCACCCATACAACCCTCCCAGACCCCAAGCTCCCTTGAGGTGCAGAGCAATTGCATTGGGAAGGAATCTGGCCCCATCGGGTGAAGGTTACCAGGGAGATGAGTTTAGCACCCCAACAAGGGGCACCCAAGAAGCCACACATAGAGCATCCCAGGTGCAGTGGCCGGGCATGAAGGGGACCCCAAGGGGCCATGTCACTCGGGAAAGAGACACGGATCCCAGCTCTGCGTCCGGGGCCTCGGGCAAGTCCTGACTTCTCCAGGCCTGAGCCCCAGCTCTGCCCAGTGGTGTGCTGAGCTTAGTCTGGCTGCGGCTGGATCACTGAGGGGCGCCGAGCCCCACAGAGGCACTCCAAGTCAGTGGGAAGACCCCCGCTGGCTGGCCCCAGGTGCCCTCTCACATCAACCGAGGATTCAGGCACCTCCTTGTTCCAGCAAGTTCTGGGTGCCGTGGGCACAGCATGAACAGCCCAGCTGGCTCGAGCTGCCGACTTTCTAGAGGGGTGGGAGGTGATAAAAAGCGGAACATGGATGGGGGCTCCCGCACCCTGGAGCGTGGCCCTCACCCTCAGAGTGAGCACATCCCAGGGAGGGGCCTCTGGGCAGTGGAGGGGGTGGCATTGAGATGCCTGAGGGCCTGGGGTGAGTGGGAGCAGCCCTCCATTTCCACGGTTGCCACTGCGGGGAACCACAGTGAGGATGGGGTCCTGGGGTACCCCGTGCCTGGTCGGGGACTCTGACGGGCCAAGGGCCCTGGCTCCCCCTCCCACCTTGCCTCCCACTCGTGGTGTCCCTAATCCTCTGAGGTTAGGGGACCCGCTTCAGCAGCTGCTGGGGAAAAGGCTGGATTTTTGCAAGGCGCATTTCAGACGGGAAAATGACCTTCCTCCAGTCAGCCTGGCTGATTTCTCCCACCTGAACTGGGGACAAGAGAGGGAAAGTGACTTTCCAGCCTCAGGGAGCAGCAGGACCCAGGTCCCCAAAGCTATGCCCCACAGTACTGGGGGCCTCAGAGTCCACAAGGAACACTAGACAGAATTTTTAACCATCACACATTTTTAAAACATGTAAGGTGGGGAAAAGGTGATGCCCGTGTCCTAGTATTGCCTTAACAAACGGCGACAAACTGGGTGACTAAAAACAAAGAAATGCCCTCCCTCACAGTCCCAGAGGCCAGATGTCCAACCCCGCTCCCACAAGAAGCTCTTCAGGAGGGTCCTTCCTGCCCCTTCCAGCATCTGGTGGGCGCCAGCGCATCCTGGCTTGTGGCCACACCACTCCCATCTCTGCCTCCATCTTCACGTGGCCGCCCCTGTGTCTGTGTTTTCTCCTCTTCTGTCTCTCATAAGGGCCCCTGTCATTGAATTTCGGGCCCACTTCTTTTTTTTTTTTAGATGGAGTTTTGCTCTTGTGCAGGCTGCAGTGCAATGGCACGATCTCGGCTCACTGCAACCTCCACATCCCAGGTTCAAGAGATTCTCCTGCCTCAGCCTCCCGAGTGGCTGGGATTACAGGCCCGTGTCACCACACCCAGCTAACTTTTTGTATTTTTAGTAGAGATGGGATTTTGCCACATTGGCCGGGCTGGTCTTGAACTCCTGACCTCAGGTGATCCACCTGCCTCGGCCTCCCAAAGTGCTGGGATTACAGGTGTAAGCCACCACGCCCAGCCTCTGGCCCACTTTAATACAAGATGATTTTAGCTCAAGAGGCTTAATTAATTACACCTGCAAAGAAACTATTTCCAAATAAGTTCACATTCTGAGGTTCCTGGTAGACGTGAATTTTGGGGGTGGCCCTATTCAACCCAGTGTAGATGGTCAATGCCATCAGCACACTAAGATTAGCTATTCTTCTTCCAGCTCATACTCTTAGACATCAGGAGATGGGGAAAGGCAGCCACTCTTGCCAACATCTGTTCTGCGTGGCTCCAGGCAGGGAGGGGAGAGACATGGCCCTCCTGTTCTCAAAGCTCTCCAAGATGACATCTCTGGGTGGCACAGGCACAGAAGGGCCCTACGAGGGCTGGGGGTGGTGTCTCACACCTGTAATCCCAGCACTTTGGGAGGCTGAGGGGGGCTGGTGGATCACAGGAGGTCAGGAGTTCAAGACCAGCCTGGCCAACATGGTGAAAACCCTATCTCTACTAAGAATACAAAAACTAGCTGGGCATGGTGGCACTCACCTGTAATGTCAGCTACTCAGGAGGCTGAGGCAGAATAATCACTTGAACCCAGGAGGTGGAGGTTGCAGTGAGTTAAGGTCGCGTCACCGCACTCCAGCCTGGGTGACAGAGTGAGACCCCACCTCAAAAAAAAAAAAAAAAAAAAAAGGAAAGAAGGGCCCTACAAGAAGAAGCTGGTCCAGCCCTTCAAGGAGTTAGGGAGGCTGAGGCTCTGAGAGCTTCATACCTTGCCCAAGGTTCTCGAATATTCCCTGTTCCTCTAAGGGCTTTCCCACCTTCTTGTGGTTCAAGGAACCCCAAGTACAGAAACACCTGAGACCCAAAAGGTGGGAATCCATCTCCCATCGGGACCTCTGTCAAGGCTGAGGTGGGCTGTGGCTCTTGGGAGGAGGCCAGGGGGTCACTCCAGGGACACAGTGAGGGATGGGCAGAGAAGGAGCCCTCACTGGCTCGAGAGAAGGCAAGTCTGCAACCCCTGACCCCTCCCACGCCCCATTCTCTTCTGTCCCTCTGTGTAGCTTTCGATGCAGACGATGTCTCAGGTCCCAGCTCAGAGATGTGCTAACATTCACTAAGTTCTCCCTATGCTGTAAGCACACTTCACACGAATCAACTGTCAACTCCAACACCCCTAGCAGGTATGTGGCAGTCCTGAAAAACATCCACAAATTCTTTGACACTCTTCCCATCTGGAGGGGGTATCTCCGTACCTTCCCCTTGAACCCGGGCAGCCTTTGGTGGCTACCACCATAGAAGTGATGCTGCGTGATCCCTTTGGCTAGGTCAGGAAAGGCCACACAGCTTCTACTGGCCTCTCTTGGGACACTGGCTCTGGGAGCCAAGTAAGATGTCCAGCCACCAGGTTGAGAGATGGGGGGATGAAACCAACCCAGCATTCTCACCCCACCCATTTGAGTCTTCCCAGCACAAACACCAGGCACAAGTAGGGAATCGGCAAGATGCTCCCCAACCCAGCCCCCGTCTAATACAACAACATGAGATCCCAGGCGAGAGCTGCTAGCTGCACCCCCAGATTCACCAGCAAACAAAATTTGTGTTCTTGTTTTACGCCAATGTCTTGGGGTAGTTTGTTACATAGCAATAGCTGGCTGGAACAAGACAGGTGCCACCATATTTATTTCCCCTTTTAGAGATGAGGAAACTGAGGCACAGAGAGGCCAAGTGTCTTGCGCACAACCCGTAAGAGGCAGCAGCAGGATGCGAACCCAGGCTGGCTCGCTCCGGCCCCTCGCTCCTTATGGTTCAGTCAGGCAAGGGTGAAGACGCGGGTGCCCACACCATCCAGCAGAGGTCTGCATGCTCGCCCAGCTGCTGGAGGCCAGGGCCCAGGCCATCTACCGCCTACCCTGCCCCACTTCCTACCTGGCCTCTTCCTTTTTATTTATTTTTAAGATGGAGTCGCCCAGGCTGGAGTGCAGTGGCGCTATCTCAGCTCACTACAACCTGAGCCTCTGGGGTTCAGATGATTCTCTTGCCTAACCCTATCAAGTAACTGGGATTACAGGGGCCTGCCACCACGCCTGGCTAATTTTTATATTTTCAGTAGAGATGAGGCTTCGCCATTTCGGCCAGGCTGGTCTCGAACTCCTCACCCCAAGTGATCTGCCTGCCTTGGCCTCCCAAAGTGCTGGGATTACAGGTGTGAGCCACTGCGTTCAGCCATCTTCCTCCCTTCCTTTCTCTCTCTTGCTCTCTTGTGCGCTCTCCCTCTCTCTCCCTCTCTCCCTCTCTCTCTCTATATATATATATTTCTTTTTTTTTTTAATTTGCAAACCTGGAAACTCTGCACGCTTTCCTTACTGGAAGACAAAAGCACAAATGATACCACCGTCATTGCCACCCGCAGTGAGTCTTCAAGAATGCCAAAGGCATGGCCACCTGGCCCTATCTATAAGGCACCCAAATGCCATCCTCACCTCCCAGGGCTGCTAACTCCTCAGGACCGACGAGCTCAGCTGCCAGTGTGCGCCAGGAGGGCCCCTCTGAGGCCATGGAATCTCAGGGGCAGAGCCTGGCCTGGGCCCACGGGCGCTGGCAGCCATGACAGGGATCCGCAGGGTTCACACAGCCCCTGCCCACTCCCCAGGGGGTCCTGGGGGCCACTCCTCCTTGGGGAGTAATCACATCACCACGCCTGCGTGGCAACTGCTCCATAGCCCTTAATTTCCAAGCACAATGAGAGCACTCCTGGCTACCAGAGCCTGGGCCCTGGCAGAGCAGGTCAGCTGGCAGGCAGCCAGGTTACCACGACCTGGCTTTGGGGATGAGCCGCCCTTGTCCTTTCAACACTGACCACGTGTTCCACTCAAAGTGCCCGTGTTCTCACATTCCCACAGCCGGCTGCTGTCACTGAGATGTGAACCTGCCCTCTGGGCCCCAAAGGAAAAGCTAAGCTCTTAGGCTGGGTCCACACCGCTGCCAATGAGCTCATCCACCCACAGGACTTGGAAACAATTTTAAGGCATCCCAAAGTACAGACTGACTTCGGATGTGACTCCACTAATCATTAGAACAAAGTGCTCACTGAATAGCTGGGAAGTGAAGCCACTCATTGGTCTGGCAAGAAAAATGGTTACTCTCTAGTCATATGACAAACATTTATTGGGCACCTACTACATACTCAGTAGCTTGGAAGATTCTGAGATCAGAGTGTAAAGGATCTTCCCTTGAGGAACGTCTGTCTGATAGGGAGAGAAAATAGGTACAAATGTATGAATTCCACTGAGAAAAACAACAACATAGACCATGAGGAGGCAGGAGAGATGACTTATGGCTGGGTGGAGTCTGGAAGGCTTCTTGGAGGAGGTGGCATTTAAGCTAGGCCTTGAAGTATGGGGAGACGGTAGGGAGAGGCAGGAAGGGACTTCCAGGTGGAAGAAAAAATAGCAGCTGACATTTATGACACTGACAGTGTGCAGTCATTAACTGGACTGATGCACTTACCCCTAGCAGGGCAGTCCTGCCATCCCCATGGAACGAATGGGAGAATGTGGCACAGAGAGGTGAGGTCACTTGCCCCAAGTCACACAGCAGTAATGAAGGAGAACCCAGATGGGAGCCCAGGCCTGGCGCTGTTCATGGTTCTATTACATGCTTCCCTTACAGCCCAGGCACCAAGCAGAGATGCGAAGGGCCAGGGCGTGGCACAGAAGCAGCATGAGATTCGGTTGGCAGGAGAGCTGGGGAGGCAGGAGCTCCAGGTGGGCGGGGGCAGCCCATGGAGGAGCCCAGGATTCCCACCCAACCGCTGCATGCAGCCGGGAACCAGGGGCCGTCCCACACTCCTGGATATCGGAGTGACCGGATCTTTCTGGAGCTGAAGGAAGAGATGCCAGTGGCCACAGATGGCTGGCTGGGGGCGTGACCCTGAGTGGGACTGCCCAGGCTCCCACCAGCCTCTCCCGTCTGCACCTCACTAGCTGTGTGACCCTGAAAAACGAGCACACTGTTTCCTCACCTGCAAAAACGAGAGGGCACGAAGCCAGTGCCCTCCCCCTGATGCTGCCATGAGGACTGAGGCGTGACCACAGGTAAAGGACATAGGGAGGGCCCATTCTGTCTGCAAGGGGCCCCTACCAGCCCCTGTGGGCAGTCAACCCAGCACTTAACACAGGCCTCTCCAGCCGGCATCCTCCTCCCGGCCTCACTAGCTGGCCTTTGGAAACAAAGTGAGGGCCCTTCCAGCTCCACGCAGGTGGCCTCTGCACCTGGACAGGGGAGTTGGTGTGGCAGAGGAGGAGCAGCACAGGATCCAACCACCACACCCTGCAGGCCAGGTATACCCTCCGCCCGGGAGATGGTGGCACATTCCCGAGGCTTCGTGAGTACCCTGTGCAACCGGCATGACCATCACCCCTCGGGGGAAACAGAGACTCCCAGACACCGCATGACCAGGCCAAGGTCACACAGCTGGTGAGGCCGTCTGGGGGCTGCCGAGGCCCTCCTCCACCAGCCGGGCACCCGGAGGAAGGGCGATCAGAGGAAGCCAGGCAGAGGGGAGCCGTGATCAAACACCCAAATAAGAAGAGAGTTTTGCAGGTTCACTTAGCTTCAAGGAAAAAAGCCTCCCCTTTTCTCTAAGCGGCTGCCCCCCACCCCGGCCCCCCAGGAGAGCGCTGGAAACCACCTAAGCCGACATCTGATGGACAGGGATTTGTTTTAAGCTCTTTCTACCCACTGGACTATAATCATCAACCGTTCGCGACCTCTCCACAAATGACTCTTTCTCCCCCTGAGTTTTCAAAAGGCAAAAAGCTTTAAAAGCTGCAGTTCAAACAGGCAGAGAGGTGCACACAGAGAGAGGAGGGGTGGGCGGGCAGGCGAGGCAGCCAGGAGGGGCCAGGCATGGGGGATGGCGTCGTCCCCCCGCTGCTGGCCTGGCTCACCTGGAAGAAAAGGCCCGCAGGTAAGGGGCCCGAAGGTCAGGATGGGAAGAAGCAGTCCTGAGGCCAGCGTCCCCGCCCATTCTCTGTCACTGGAGCCACCCCAAAGGGACCTTGGTAGCCTGAGTTGCTGTTCATGGAAGGCTTCTCTCCATCCCTCACTCTGGCCGCCCCTCAGCCTGAGGACCTCAGTGGCCCACCGCCAGCTTCACACCCGCACCTGTGGCACTGCCCCAGGCCTCAGAGTCCCGCTCACCCTCTCTCCGATGGGACTCATGGCGCTCCCCACCCTCGGCGGGCTCTGTGACTCTTACCCTCTCGCTGCCTAACTGTGCCAGTGATGCGAGGCCTTGATGCCAGGAGTTCTCCCCAGAGAGCTGATGGGGCCAGGGAGGTGATCGGGCAGTTTGGGGAGGGGTAGGTTGAGAGTTCCAGTCCCACAACCCACCCCAGGTCCCACCTGTGCAAGCAAGAGGGCACGAAGTCCACACACAAGCAGCCCCATTTCCCACCTCCCGGGTCACTGCAGGCACGAGGGGCCCTGCCAGGGTTGGACCCACCTCCAGGAGCCGCATGGCCAGGCTAAGGCAGAGCCCTGCGGTGCAGCAAGCCCGGTGCCCGCCGGCCACTTCCCTACACGGGGTCTGAGGGCAGCCTCCCCCGGCTGCCTAGAGTTGGCCCAGGCACAGCCAGACCGCGGGGGTCAAGGGTTTTCTACTTGAGGAAACCAACCCAGGGCTTCTCTTCTGAGTTGACAGCATGAGGAGGCGGCGCTGGGGAGCACGTGCGTGGCCTGAAGGTGATGGGGCTGGAGGGCGAGGCTGGGTGAGTGCGGGGCCAGGTTCCAGCCCCGGGTGGGTGGCGCGCCCCAGAAAGTTCCATCCCGGACCCCCCACCCTCCCGTCCACGGGGCGGTGAGCTGGGCACTTACTGAGGTTCTGGAGCAGAGACGACCAGGTCTTCATGCCCAGCATCCTGCGCCGCCCCCCGGGCCGCGGGACCCGGGGCCTCTAGGAGGGGCTGCCCAGCATGGCCCGCGGCGGAGGCGAGCAGTAGGGGCGTCACGGGGCGGCAGAAGACGGGCCCGGAGGGGGCGGGGGAGACGGGGATGGAGCCCCGGGATTCTGCGGGGCGGCACGGAGCAGCCGGGGCGTCCCTGCGCGGTGCGCCCTGCCCGCGGCGTGGAGCCCGGGGAGGGGCCGGGGCGCCTGGGGGCCCCGCAGCCGCTCACGCCGCCCCCCGGCCCCGCGCCCCCGGCTTCACGCACCGCCAGCCGTGGCGGCGCGGCTGCCTCGCAGCCACCACCTCGTCCCCCGCCCGGCCGGCGCCGCCTCCCGCCTCCCGCCTCCCTCCCGCGCCGCGGCGCCCCCGCCGCCCTCCCCCGCCCGCGCTCCCCGGGCAGCCTCCGCTCCCCTGCACTTGATAACGCGCTTGTCAAGACTGCTGAGTTGTCCTGACCTCTCCCCGCCGCTGCTAATTAAGGCTCCGCCGTGACAGTTCAAGTGCCGAGCATCAAGTTTGCAGAACCAAAGCCTCTAATTGGGGCCGCTTTTCATTTCTCCATCCCCAGGGCTGGGGCTCCCCAGACCTGGGCACTGGCGCATTTTCTTTTGTATTTTTCATCAGGGAGGAGGGGGAGAAGGAAGACAGGCACCAGGAGAGGAGGGCAGGCAACCAACCAACAAGCTGAGGGTAGGGAGGGTGGAGGGCCCCCTCCTGCCCAGCAAAAGCCAGGTGGCGGCCACAGGACACCTCCCTACCAGACGACCTGACATCGCTTCTAACCCAGGGGTCTCTGAGCTCCCTGACCTAGGGCTTTAAGGAGCTGAGCCCATCCCCCAGGAGGAGACTGCAGGGGGACCTCCTGACACCGTGTGCTCTGGCAAGGAGGGGCAGACCCGAGACTGGGTGCTGGGGACAGAGGGTGTGTGTAGCTCCGGTGCCCACAGCCCTGCAGAGCACAGCCTCCCTGCCCCTGTGGGGAGGTGTGCTCAGCCTCGCGCCCCACTCCCCGGGGGCCTGCTGGCCTCTCCTTTCCAGATAAGTGCTGTGAGCACCGAGGCTCTAAGTGACTCTTCAAGCTGCCTTTCTCCTCCACCGCCTACTAAATCAAGCTGCGCTGAGAGCCATGGGCTGGGAGGAGAGCAGGAAGGAGGGGCAGGGCTGCCTGCCGCTCTCAGGAGCTGGGGAGGGGTGAGGGCTGGGAGAAGGTCCGGGAGGAGGGGAGGTGAGGAGGGGGCCCAGCCGCGGGGATGGAATAGGGGAGCTGCAGGAGATCTAGTGAGGCTGGCTGGCCAGGCCTCTCAGCTCTGAATCCTGGAGCTTCACGCAGCACGGGGATTATGGCTATCCCAGCCCACCGACTGCAGCCTGAGAATTCCAGGTGATCCTAATTAAAGGGGTGGGGGCTTTCATTTGAGCCACTACCCAGGCGATTCTTATGACAAGTCAAGTTTGAGAAACAACCATGTACACCAGGGGGTCTCGAACCCCTCGCAACAGATTAGAACCACCTGGGTGCTTTTAAACCACAGCGCCCCCTCCCCCCCTTGCGTGGGCCTGCCCCCAGACCAATGACATCACACCTCTGGGCATGGACCCAGCCATTGGTAGTTTCTAAAGCTCCCTGGGGGCTTCCAGTGCGCAGCCAAGGTAGAGATCCTTTGTTCCAAACCAGTGGCTCTCAAAGGGGGAGTGGGGGTTGTCCCCCAGGGCATAGTTAGCAACCAGTGTCTGCAGACATTTTTGATTGACACAACTGGGGGTCACAGCGCTGCTGGCACCTGGTGGGTAGAGGCCAGGGATGCTTCTCAACACCCTCCAGCAGACAGAACAGCCTCCAAACCAATGAATCAGCCAACCCCAAATGTCAACAGTCCCAAGGTTAAGAAACCCAGGGTGAGCCAATCCCCCACCAGGCAAAGGCCCTTCAGGAACTGTCCTCCACTGCGCCCAGCTCAGGGCTTGCCCGAAGCAGGTGCTCCCTAAGGGTGTGGGGAGAGAGGGTCCCTGGGTCTCCCTTCCCACTCCAGAGCTCACTCCTTCCCACCCGGCTGGCTGCCGTCAGCCTGTGACTGTTACAATTGCTTCCTGTGTTGAGCTGAAATCTCTTAACTTCTACCCCACTGGACCAAGCCCTTTCCCATCTGTCATCAGACTTCACGTCCTGATTTGCAGCCCACTCTCACGGTCCCCTGGGTCTGAACTGCTCTGGCAGACTCTCCCCACCCCCACCCTGGCTTCCTCAGCTCCTTCTCCATTGCCGTCCCTGGTTATGGGACGTTCTTTGGCCTGTAAACAACCTCCTTAAAGTGCAAGACCACAGGACCGTGTCTGCGCATGGGTGCTCCGCCCTGGCCTCCCACAGCCCCCGTCTCTTCAAGTCTTGGAAGTGACATTAGCTCGGGCAAGGAGAGGTCACTGCCGGCTCTTGCCCAGCTTGGAGCAGCCGAGGCCTCATTCACCCGAACCCCTAACAAGTGACGTCGCCCACTTTCTGCCTGTCAGTTTACTTTTGAAACGAAGTGCTGGGCTTTACATGAACTACCTTACATTTTGCCAAGTGCTTTCTTCCCATTGTCTAGCAGATTAGCAAGATAATGTGGTTTCCAAGGCCAAATCGTCCAGCGTCCCTCTCTTGAGGGTAAGCCCTGGTGGTCACCCCTGCTCGACGGGACAATTCGGGAAGTTTAAGAAAATACCAGGCTGGGCCGCACCCCTGAGCAGTTGTATCAGAATCTCTGGAGAAGGGGGTCCAGGTATCAGTGTGTCTCAAAGCCCCCCGGGTGGTTCCAAGATGCAGCTACGGCTGAGAAGGCTGCTGGAAGGATCAGGGACTCAAGGCCTCCTCCAGGCCAGCCCGTTTGACCTTGAACACACTTGGTGTTTCAGGCTGGAGTGTCTGTAGGGGAGTGTTTATCTGGTCAAGGGATGTGGGCCAGGAGATTGCATCCCCCAGGACATCGTGTCCTTGCTCATCGGAGGCCAGGCGCTGGGTGAAGGTATGTGCACTGCGGGGCCCTGGGGGCTCATGCACCCCAGCAGAAGGACAGGATCACAGGGAACAGGGTCTGCTTTCTGGCAGAAATGCTTTGAGAAGCTCCTGAGAGGAGCCAGGAGCCTGGACTGAGATCCAACCAGGCCATCCACTCACTGCGTGAGCTGGGGGAATCGCTCAGCTTCCCTGGGCGTCAGCAACCCCCTCTGTGAAGGAGGGGTGAATGCCTGTTCAGCCTTGCACAAAACAAGTGCTCAAGACCAAAGAGAGAAAGCCTCTGGGAAGGGAAAACAAGTCTTAACAGTGACTTGCCCGAGGCCACGTAACTTTCAGGGCCTCAATATACTCCTCTGCAGGGTGGGCAGACTGGGTTCAGTGACTCCGTGGAGTCCTCTACCTCTAATCCAGCCCTTGGCATGAACTAACAGATCTTAGCCACTCCACACTAAGCACATAGGCAAAAGGGACCAGGCAGAGCATGGAAATGGATGCCCTGGTCTCTCTGGAGTGAAAGGGCAGCTGAGTGGTTTGTGCTTTAAGCCCCTAACAGCCAATGGGATGGTGATGGGAGCCAACAAGAGCCCAGGGAAAAGGGCTGCCAAGTATAGTCGTCCAGATTGTTCACTGCACAAGAGCTCCTGGAGGAAATGGCAAGCGGGAGCTGAAACCCAAAGTCACTCTACTCTTCAACAACCAGCTGGGCACGGGATGGGTCTGCCTGAAGCAAGGGGTGCCTTCTAATTTGCACAAAGGAGCCATATGGGCTGGTGGTGGCTCTGTGGAGGGGCACCCACAACTCCTGCCTGCATGCATGTGGAGACACAGAGGGTGCCTGGGGGTGGCGTTTGCAATTGGCACGGTGGTTGTTCTAGATAGAATCTGCCTGCCTCTGACTTCACCCCGATGCCATCTTTCTGGGTGAATGAGCACAGGCGGCGTCAGAGGCCACTGTGTAAGCAGAGGATGATGAGCCGAGGCACCACAGGCAGCAGCCGACGGAAAGTCTCAGTCCCTGCCAAGGCCCTAGGCACAGGGTGGCAGGAGCGAAAGCGGCCAATACTCCTGAGAGTGGGGAGGGCACTGCTTGCCCCACCCAGACCTGCGGGCAGGTGGCACGGTTTATCCAGAGCAGGGAGATAGGTACCTCCTTGCTGAAGGTGAAGGAACACAGCTCCCCTCTGGCCTTAGATGGAGGGTTAGCAGTAGAAAGAGGAGGCCCCAGGCTCCCTGAACCCAAAGTGACTCTATCCCTCCTGCAGCACAGGGGACCTCATACTTTAAGAAGCACCAGGATCCCCAGCAGTGCTGGGGAGGACACAGCCTTGCTCTGCCACCCAGCGTTTCTCATTTAGCAGGTCTGGGGCGGGGCCTGAGAATCTGCATTCCTAATGAGTTCCCAGGACAACCCCACTTTGGGAACTGCTGCTGTGGTGTGATAGCCACCCGCAATGTGGAAGCCCCTGCCACTGGCCAGTAGGGCATCAACAGGAGATTCCCCTGGCCCCTGGGCCTCCATGCCCAGCTCAACCAGCCTCTCCATCTGGGCATCCTGGTACCTGGGACAGGGCCTCCATCTCTCCATGCCCCCTTCCAATGCCCTCCTGCTAGGGCAGTGTCTGCTCAGCTCTGGCTGCCCTGGGGTGCATCCTTCAGCTCCAGCTGTCGAGGGCTCCCCTCCAGGCACCTGCACCTGAAGGCCCATTCCTCCAAGCAGGGCCTCATTTACCTGTGGCCTTGAAGCTTCTACCTCAGCTGTGTCCTTGGGCTGCACTCCTCCCTGCTCCTTGAGGGCAGGACTGTCTGCCTTTTCTGAAGTGTCCCACGGCATCCAGCCGGGAGCGAGGCAGGGGGTCCCCAGAGCTGCAGGGGGTCCAGAAATGGCTGGCCCACTTCCAAGTGCTGGGAGGCCAGGTCAGTGCCGGCTGGTGCTGCAGAGGGGCCTCTGAGGAAGCCCGGAGCAGATTGTAGGGTTTGGGGAGTCAGATCACACCTGAGCACCTCACTAGAAGACAGCAACCAGGGTGCACCAGGATGGGGTCACTGCTGTGTGCCTCAGTCTCCTTACATGTAAAATGGGGTCAATAATAGCTACTTCAATCTCAGAGAAGGTATGAAAATTACACACCACCAATGCTACCACATCTCAGGATCGAATGAGGCAGTGTATGGAAAGCCTCCGCACAGGGCCCTGCACACTGCCAGTCCTTAATAAATGTTGGTTGCTGTTATTTTTACTGGAAAGCAGGGTTACCACCAAGCCTTGGTTATATTCTCCCCACATTCAGGGTGGCTCCCTCCACCCCTACAGCCTGCCACTCTGCCCAGCCGGGCTGAAGCTGGATGCCCGTAGGACAGAGGGTGGGGGTGCAATCACCCCCAAGTCTCCTTCCTGGGGCATGAGGACCTGGCTGGCAGCTTCACCCAACGAGGCAGGGGGTGCTGTGTGCAGGTAGCCTGGGGCCCTGGAGGAGCCCGTCCAGCCCTTGCCCTGCTCTCTGCATGCCTGAGCTCAGCCTCCACCAGGTCCTGGGACGATGACACATCTCATCACCACGAGGGAGACTGTGAAGCCTGCTGTGCCAACCCTACCGGACAGAGAAACCCAGGATGATCTGTATCCCTGCCCCAGGTCAGGGACCATCAGAGACAGCCTCTCCCCTGCAGTGGGCAAATGCTGGGACTCATGGCCAGGCTGACAGCTGCGGTCCAGTCTGGGGGGAGTCTCGCTGTCCCCCATCTGCCAGCTCAGGGTGGAGATGGACATGCTCCCTTCTCTCCTCCCAGAGCATCTTCCTTGCTCTGGGTTCCTGACCTTGCCCAGATAAGCTCTGACGGGGCCTCTGCCCTTCCACTCTCCTCATCCTTATCTGGCTATGTGCAATGCAATCCTGGCAGCCTCTAGGGCAGACCCCGCTGCCCTTTCTTTTGGGGTCAGAGGAAAGCGGGAGGCAGGAACTGCCTGGCTTACCCCCACAGCCACCCCGAGCAGGCAGTGATCTCAGGATGCCTACTGCTGAGGTTCATTTATCAGAAGATTCTTTCGAGCCCCCAGAAAGGAGGCTGCGGAAGCCCTTGGTCAGCTCTTCTGTCGGGAGTTGGTCTCTTGTGACTTAGCAAGGCAAGGCCCGTTTTGTCCTGGGCTGTGCTGTGAATGGCATCTTCTTTGAAAACACAGCCTGCCGGTGTCTCTCCTGTGAGTCCCACCGTCCCTGGCAATGGCGGGGCTTGGGAGTGTGGCGGGGCACAGAGGGCAGGTTCTCCCCGCCAGGACCCTGAGTCGCCACAGCAGCCTCCTAGCGGGCCTCTCACCCACCAGCGCTCACCCTGCTGCAGCCTCCCTCCCTGGAAATGCTTAATCTTCTTTAAATACCACTTAGCTGCCTCAAGTCCCTTCTGGAAGCAGAGCAAAAATGGCAGACCACACACACACACACACACACACACACACACACACACACACACACACACACACACACACACGGCAGGAAAATGACCCTCCCCTCCCTGTCCTCAGGGTGCTTGGGGATTTGCAGCGGGGTCCTGGTCCCTACCACACCACCCCGGACTTCGTGGCAGTGTGAAATGGTGGGCTGCGTGCTGCTGAAGGTACAAGCAATTTGGAAATCCCAGAGCATAATCTGGAAGGCAGAGGGTGGTAGAGATGGCTGAGCTCTCATGTTCCAGAACAAGCTCAAAGGGTCCCACCTCCAAGCGCTTCCTCTCACAGGGCCTCCCCACTGGAATGCCCTCTCTCTCTCCCACTTTGCCTCACTGGATTCTGATGCCCCAGCTCCACTGCTTCTCAAAGCCAAATGTAATGCTGATGACAGACCCCCTTTGCACCCCACGACAATATACCAGGGGTCTGGCCCAGGTGTCCTCCAAAATACTGTCCTACCCCTCGGTGACCCTCCTCTGAACCAGGACTGGGTGAACTCAGGGAGGCACAGCTTCCTCTGGACACAGATGAGGATGAGTTGAGAGGGAGGGCCAGCCACTCAAGTTCAAATCCTAGCTCTGTTACTTACAACTGGGTATCCTGGGGCAAGTCATTAACCTCTCTGAGCCTTAGTTTCCTCGTCTCTAAAATAAGGATGCTATGAGTTTATTCGCATTTGTAAGGCACACAAAGCGGGGCCTGACCCCAGAGGTGGGGGTGGGTCCCTGGGAGGGAAGGGCATTAGGCCAGGATGGGAGTTAGGCAGCAGGATGGGCTCCATGCAGGCGTGAGAGTGGAGAGAGAGCGTGACGCTTTCACCCCCAGACAGCTGCCTGCACGTGGATGGGTCACATTCCCCCCAAGCTTGTCAGAAACTGAGAGCAGAACTCCCCAATGTGGGAAGTCTTGGCCACCTGAAGTCTCGTGCGGGGGAGGCAGCTTGCAGCGCGCCAGGCTCCCTGAGTCTGTCTCTGATCTGAGACTGAGCCATCAATTCCAAACGGGGCTGAGTTGCAGCCCAGATAATCGGGGTCCCCCAAATGAGCAGAGGCTCTGCTTGCCCTTCTGTTTCCTGGGTAGCCGCTATAAACCCACACCGGCCTGAGCATGGGGTGTGAGGAGGGGACCATGGGGTCTGCTGTTACAACACCCCAGCTTCATCCCCAGCCCTACACTGGGTGGAGTTTCTTTTTTCTTTTCTTTTCTTTTCTTTCTTTCTCTCTCTCTCTCTCTCTCTCTTTTGTAATGCCAGGTCTTGCTCTGTCTCCCAGGCTGGAGTGGCAGTGGCACAATCTTGGCTTACTGCAGCCTCAAACTCAAGCGATCCTCCCGCCTGCCTCCCCAGTAGCTGGGATTACAGGCATGTGCCACCACGCCAGGCTGAGTGGAGCTTCAGAGTCTCTGTTTCCTCTCCTGTGAAGAGGGACCCTGGGTCACCTTGGAGGAGAATGAGGCCCTGCTCTGAATAACCATCCAATCTGCAGGTGTTTATTGCAGCCGCAGGGCGCTGCTCAGGCCATCACCCCAACCCGCTCCTCTGATGCTTACGAAGCCTCGTGGGATGCACCCGTGTCCCCATTTACGGAGGAGGAAACAGAACATAAGGTGCCTGCACAGAACCTGGCACCCAGGAGGTTGAGTTACGGCTCTCCAGAAAGATCTGTCCATACCCTCACCCTCCGCACCTGGGCAGGCGACCTTATTTGGAGGCAGGGGCTTTGCAGATGTGATTAACTTAAGGCTCCTGAGATGAGCTCATCCTAGATTAGGGTGGGCCCTAAACCTAGGGAGGAGTGCCGTTCTAAGAAACAGAGAAGGAGACGTGGACCCATAGAAGGCTGCATGATGATGGAGGCAGAGCCTGGAGTGACGCGTCTACACGGCAAGGAGTGCCAAGCCTCCTTGCCAAGCATGGCCGGCACCGCCAGCAGCTGGGAGGAAGGCTGGAACAGATCCTCCGCCAGGGCCTCCACAAGGAACGCGTCCTGCCGACACCTTGACTTTGGACGTCTCCAGAACTGTGGGAGAGTCAGTGTGTGTTGTTTTGAGGCCCCTGGTTTAGGGTGATTCATTATGGCAGCCCCGGGAAACTCATCCGGCATCTGCCCAGGAGCCTGGCTGCATGGATGCTCCAGGGAAAATGAGCCCAGCCAAAAGGGCACTGTGGGCTCAGCAGGGGAAACTAAGGCCCACTGGCAAGCCTGGCTGGCCACCCCTCCTGAGCCGTTCTGCCTTGGCTTGGAGCCATCTGCTGGCCGCTCCCCTGCCGCATGGGTAGCCCTCCAGGGCCACTGCCACCACCAGGGCTGAGGGCGAGGAACCAAGGGCCTGGGGCAGCCTCGGAGAAGCTCGGAGGGTATGAAAATTACACACCACCAATGCTACCACATCTCAGGATCGAATGAGGCAGTGTATGGAAAGGCTCCACACAGGGCCCTGCACGCTGCCAGTCCTTAATAAATGTTGGTTGCTCTTATTTTTACTGGAAAGCAGGGTTACCACCAGGCCTTGGTTATATTCTCCCCACGTTCAGGGTGGCTCCCTCCACTCCTAGAGCCTGCCACTCTGCCCAGCTGGGCTGAAGCTGGATGCCCGTGGGGCAGGGGGCGGGGGTGGAATCGCCCCCAAGTCTCCTTCCTGGGGCATGAGGACCTGGCTGGCAGCTTCACCCAAGGAGGCAGGGGGTGCTGTGTGCAGGTGGCCTGGGGCCCTGGAGGAGCTCATCCAGCCCTTGCTCTGCTCTCTGCATGCCTCAGCTGAGCCCCCACCAGGTCCAAGAGTGCCAAGCAAGTGGGGCCGGCCGAGGTCAGACACCTGGGGGTCCGCCCAGAGCTGGATGGGGTGCGACCGCCTTGTGCAGAGGGAAAAGGAGGTCTAGAGAGGGAGGGCGCTGGATGAAGTAGGATCCCCCCACAGGAAAGGCAGTGGCGCCCCCTCTTCTCAGCCCCCTGAGCTCTAGACTTCAGGACAGGAACTGCCCACCTGAGCCTGGTCTCATGGGGTGAGGGGCACAAACCAAGCCCTGCCCTCAACAGCTGGGGCTCCAGGAGCCACACCCAGCCCCAGGGTCACCACCTGAGGGACCTGCTACTTCCACCCACCGACCTCCTCCTGATGAAAGAGGTGCCCTCACACCTAAGCTGGGACCCAGCCCCCACAAGCAGCCCCATACCCCAACCCTCCCTGCTGCCTTGCTTCCTACGTCCAGCCACCCCGGCATGCACTGTCACTGCCTGGCACGCCCCAGCGCCCGATGCTGAGTCCTTTGTACACACTGCGTCCATGCACCGAGCAATCTGCCCAGCCTCCGCGGAGGGAAGGGAGGTAGAGGAGGGTGGGCGGGCTGCTCAGGGTCCCCGAGCCACCGTGTGACTTTACCACAGAGCTCCCCAAAACAGCTTTCCTTCACACCCCCATCAGCCGTGCCAATGTCTAAATCTAGAACCTTCCCCCGATACGGGAGCTGGAAAGGACTGCCTGGCAGTTGCTAACCCCCTGCCCCCATTTTACAGGTGGGGGACCCAGGCCCAGGAGCTTCCGTGACTCATCTATCCAAGATCACACAAAATCCTGGTGTCCCTCCGCCCTGGACCGGCAGCGTCGGGGACAGAAAACCAAAACACAGGCAAATTGCCAAACCACACAGCCAGAGAAGCCAGAAAGCTCCAGGGAGGACCCTCAGTGCCCACAGGGTGGGGTTGGAGGCACCGAGCGACCACCCAGTCCCCCACCCAGCACTGCAGCACTCACCTAGCCCAGCGCCTGGCAGAGGGAAGGGCCCAATCCCTGTTTGTTCACAGAACGAACGGGGGAGAGAGAACGCCAATCCACTACCACTGCTGGGAAAGACACCCGGAGTTCTGCACCGCCCACCAGGGGTCTCTCTCCCAGGACCTGTGCTGAGGGTCTCTGGGTTCAAATCCTTCCCTGAATTTCAGTGAGGCCTTAAGGAGGAGAAGACCACAGGCCTCCCACAGGTGGGAACAGCCTGGGCCCACTGGGGCAGGGGATTCCGAGGAAGGAGGCCCTTTGAGATGCAGCAGCACCCCAGGCTTCCAGGAGAATCTGCGTCCTTTAGACCAGGGGCTTCTGGGCCCCGCCGGGGTAGCTTTGAAAAATCCCAGTGGCCTTGCCACAGTCCCAGATCAACCAACTTAAAAGTCTGCGTGAGTATGGCCTGGCCATCTGCATTTGTTAGAGTCTGTCCCTAGGTGATGCCCTGAGCTGCCAGACAGAGGGAGAGGTGGGGGCCAGAGTGGGAACACACAGGCTCAGCACCCGCTGTTAATTACCGGGGCCCACTGGCACGTCCCAGCTCATGAGGGTTGGGTAAATAAATAAATAACCGCGCTGGCAGGGCCATCAAACATCATCACATTAGGGACGCGAGGAGTCAGACAGCTTGACTCTCAAAACATAATCGGCTTAATTGCGGGGCCCCGATGCAGGCCAGGGTGGCAAACGGCTTCAGCACTCCCATTCGTTTCATTAAAATCCAATTATTCGCGCCGGACACGGGTCTCTCTGGCGGGGACAAAGATGCATCTTCAGCCATGGTCTAACCTGACACCGAGACACGGACCTTGGGTGGGGACGCTTCTTGCTTACAGCACATGGACCCAGTCTCCCTGGAACCAGAAACTCGGTGAGGGGGGGAGGCAGGCAGAGACGGGCCTCTTGGGTGGCCTCTCAAGCCAGGTGGCCTGTTATGAGGAGCCTAGCAGTGTGACTGTGGGCTTCAGTGTCTCCACCGGGCAAACCATTTGTGGTGCATCCATACAGTGGTGCACTGCTCTAAAACAGGAAGGAACCAACCACCAGCGCAGGCACCAACCACCACCAGCGCACGCACCAACCACCACCAGCGCACGCACCAACCACCAGCACACACACCAACCACCACCAGCGCACGCACCAACCACCAGCACACACACCAACCACCACCAGCGCACGCACCAACCACCAGCACACACACCAACCACCACAAGCGCACGCACCAACCACCAGCACACACACCAACCACCACCAGCGCACGCACCAACCACCAGCACACACACCAACCACCACCAGCGCACGCACCAACCACCAGCACACACACCAACCACCACCAGCGCACGCACCAACCACCAGCACACACACCAACCACCACCAGCGCACGCACCAACCACCAGCACACACACCAACCACCACCAGCGCACGCACCAACCACCAGCTCACGCACCAACTTAGATGGGTCTCAACCCTGGCACACTCAGCACAGGAGTCTTTGTACTGAACGCCTCCGCCTACATGACATCCTAGCAAAGGTGAAACAATCAAGTCAGAAAACAGACCCGTGGGTGCAGGGGCTGGAGGTGGGGAATGACCACAAAAGGACACCATGGAATTTTCTGCAGTTGGAGGCAAAATTTTGTAAATTATGGTGGTGGTTTTGCTGTATATGATTGTGAGAATTCACCAACTGGTACGCTCTAAAAAGACTGAACGCTCTTGTGCGTAAGCTATATCTGAATAAACCTGGCTTTTTTTTTTTTTTTTTTTTTTTTGAGATGGCGTTTTGCTCTTGTCACCCAGGCTTGAGTGCAGTGGTGCGATCTTGGCTCACTGCAACCTCTGCTTCCTGGTTTCAAGCAATTCTCCTGCCTTGGCCTCCCTAGTAGCTGGGATTATAGGCACACACCACCATGCCCAGCTAATTTTTGTATTTTTAGTAGAGACAGGGGGCAGGGGGATGGTTTCACCATATTGGCCAGGCTGGTCTCGAACGCCTAACCTTAGGTGATCGGCCCACCTCGGCCTCCCAAAGTGCTGGGATCACAGATGTGAACCACCGTGCCCGGCCAAACCTGGCTTTTAAAAAATATGTAAGGTGGGCCGGGCGAGGTGGCTCATGCCTGTAATCCCAGCACTTTGGGAGGCCAAGGCGGGTGGATCACAAGGTCAGGAATTCAAGACCAGCCTGGCCAAGATGGTGAAACCCCATCTCTACTAAAAATACAAAAAAAGTAGCTGGGCATGGTAGCGGGCGCCTGTAATCCCAGCTACTTGGGAGGCTGAGGCAGAGAATTGCTTGAACCTGGGGAGTGAAGTCTGCAGTGAGCCGAGATCAGGCCACTGCACTCCAGCCTGAGTGACAGAGTGCGACTCTGTCTCAAAAATAAAAATAAAAAATAAAAAATAAAGAAATAAAAAAACAGTAAGGTGGCTGGGCACGGTGGCTCATGCCTATAATCCCTGTACTTTGGGAGGCCAAGGCGGGCAGATCACCTGAAGTCGGGAGTTCGAGACCAGCCTGACCAACATGGAGAAACCCCATCTCTACTAAAAATACAAAATTAGCCAGGCATGGTGGCATATGCCTGTAATCCCAGCTACTTGGGAGGCTGAGGCAGAACTGCTTGAACCCGGGAGGTGGAGGTTGTGGTGAGCCGAGATCACACTATTGCACTCCAACCTGGGCGACAAGAGCGAAATTCCGTCTCAAAAAAAAAAAAAAAAAAAAAGTCAGCTGCCTAAAATAGAACTGGCCACAAAGTACCCACCATGGTAACAGGGTTCCCATTACATGGGGACAGCTGGGTGCAGCTGTGTGGTTCCGATTCTACACCAAGGGGCTGAAGACAGAAGGCCACTGGGGCTGAGACTAGGCCCTTCCTTTTGGGCCAAGCTGGGAGCCCTGGTGGGCATGGTGTGGCAGGAAGGGCAGCGGCAGGCAGAAGAGGCACAGCACAACTTTCTGTGTTTTATTCCCCACCAGGGAAATGATGATTATTGTTGTCATCATCAGATTTGCAAGGTGGATCTTCAAATGCAACCCTTCTATTTTGCAGGAGACAGGATCAGAGAAGTCAAGCGATCTCTCCAAAGTCACACAGCAGCGATCCAAACCCCAGGCATGCTGGCCCCAGTGCCCCCAGCTCACAACCACTACACCTGGCCCCTCCTCAAAGGCTACCAGTGTTTCCTGAATGCATCTCAGCTGGGCTGGGAACAAGGCATTTGGGCTTCATAAGCGTCCATTCCGGAAGAGAGGGCAGGAGCTGCCGCCCACTCCGATTTCCAATCAATCTCACTTGGCAAGCGTTGCTTACTTCATCTGGGCCTATGGAAATTGGATTCTCAGGTGACCCTGTGGCCAAAGGTGGCCAGACAGGGCCACGACCGCAGCCGGATCTGGGAGCCGGGGCTCTGATCTTCCCCGCCCCCCATGCGGCCTCGGCCCAGCTGCCGGCTGCCATCCCAGGGAGGCCCTGAGGTTTCCCAGCCATCCCTTGGCTTTGTTTTTCTGGGCCCTTCCAGGCCCAGAACCATCCAGAAAAGTCGGTTAGGCCAGGAACAGCTGCCTGGCGCCTCTTGAATGGCTCAGATGTGGTGCGCGGTGGGGCCCCAAGCCAATACACTGCCACTAGGTGAAACGGGCACCATTAGAGTCACAAAGACCAATTAAAATGAGAGGAAAAACAGCCTTCCGTTCTCCCAGGGCACCCCGGCCAGCTGCTCCCTGCTCCCACCTCACTGGCCCCAGGGGCTGCTCCCGGCCCGGTTTCCAGCCCGGCTCCCTCCTGCGCCCGGCCACCTGCCTTTGACAGAGTCAATATTGACGCCTGAGAGGCCTCCTGCTCAGGCGAGTGAGGGCTGAGCGGGTGGAGGGGCGGGGAGAGGCAAACAGCTCCTGGATTTTCGACTCAATTGCTGCGCGTAGAGATGAGAAATTGCCTTTCTGACCCAAAACCGGAGTTCACAGCTGCACTTCATTACCGATTTCTCCAGGAGGCCCTGGGAGAGGCTCGGCTCGGGAAGGGCTCACCTGTTAGCAGCAGCTGCCGCCTGCCTCTTTCATAAACACGTTGGTGGTTTCCTGCCCCGGGTTGCAGGGCCGGGGATGTGGGCGGCGTGGGGCGGGCTGCCAGTGGTGCCCCCGGAGCCCCCCTCCATCGCCCCTGCCAGTTTGCATTAACTTGGCAGATGGAGGGAGGAAGAGGCGCCAGATAAGCGTGCAGGAGGGACAGGAAATGGCCACAGGGTCGGCTCTGCTCACTTTAGAAGGGACCAGAAGGTGAGAGCACATCTTCCCCCTGGGGTCCCGCCTCATCTCTCAGTCTCATGTCCACTGCACAGGGCTAACAATAGCATGACAGGTGACTGGAGCATCTCCAGGTACACAGTAGGCACTCAGCAAGCACTCTCTCCCCTCCTGGCTTGCAGCTGGCCTCTCTGCTTTTGAAACACCACCGTTCGGTATCTGGTCATCACTCAAAGAGCACAGGGTCTTGCACCCCAGGGGTCTTCCACCCTGGCTGCACAGCAGAATCATCTGGAGAGCTTCCGGAAAGATCCCGAAGCCCAGCTGTACCCCAGAATCCCTAAGCTTGGGCCCAGGTATGTTTCCAGAGCTCCTGGGCAGCTGGAACACAAAGCGAGGCTGAGACTCTCCGTCTGGGATCATTATTATCTGGATCTTCAAGTCTGCACATCCTTTTCCAGAGAAGGTGATGCGGGCAGGGCAGGCGGAGGAGCCCAGAGCTGGGTACACGACTGGGAGGAGGCAGAGGGCTGATGAGCCCTCGCTGGCTGCCAGGTGCCCTACGCTTCCTTCCCAGCTCTGCTTCTCCCTCTGCCATTAAGATTTGCAATCCTGTCCCCTACACTAAGCCACAGCAAGCCCTGAGGTATCAGCAGCTGCCTCGAGTCGCCCACCAGGAGCTGGCAGTGAGAAGCTGTGTGACCCTGGGCAAGTCACTTGAGCTCTCTGGACCTTTGCTGATGAGGCTGGAGACTGAACCAGATGGCCACTGAGCTGTGTGAAAGGCACCTCAGGGTCTGACCTCACACCTAAAGGTGCAGGTGGCTGCTCCCTTTGGAAGCCTCAGCAGCTCACTGCCAGTCTTTCTTCTCAATTCAGCCTCCACTGCTGGGTACCTGGGTGATCCTACAGAAGCTCCGAGCCCCACAGAGCCTCCGTGGCCTCATCTGGTTAGTGGGAAGATGTGACACCTCACAGGGTTGCTGTGAGGGTGAAATGAGGAAACAGGCACGGAGCAGGCGCCTGGCCCATGATGGTGACAGCTGGTGACAGCTGGTATGTGCTGAGCACCTGCGTGAGCCAGCTCCGTAGCCAACCTGAGTCCTCCGTCCTCACAGCGCACCAGTGTGGCTGGTTCCTTTAACTGCCCCGTTTTTCAGATGAGAAAGTCAAAGTCCAGAGAGGTCATCTGCCCAAGGTCAAGTGGTGAATCTGGGACTTGAACCCTGAACTGTGAACCCCAGCTCCTGGCCACCACGTGTTTATATGAGCCTTCTTCCAGTGCCTTCTCAGGGCCACTGGGGCCTCAGAGTAGCCAAAAGAGTGGTCCAAGAAAGAATCCTTGTGCGGAAACAGGGCCCAGACCACGGAGGGCTGGGGGTGCTGCACACTCCTAACTAGTGCCTTCTTGCTTGCAAAGCAGGCAAGGTGGGCCCGGCATGGCCCCAGGTGCTGGGAGGGCCCATGACACGGAGGCCCAGAAAGCAGCAGGGCAGAGGGCCCAGAGTGAGAGGCCCGAGCAGGGTCACTGCTCAGGGCAGGCTGCTTTGTGTCCTGGCTCAAAATAGAGGCTCAGCTCAAGGCGTGTGGCCCATGGAGCACCCGACATTGTGCTGGAGGGGTCGGACGAGCCAAGCTGAAGGGCATGGGGGTGCAGGGAGCAGGCACACAGAGCAGGAGGAGGGTGTGCCCGTGCAGAGGGAACGGAAGGCCAGATGGGGACAGCGGGAGCGGGGTTGCGGGCCCTGGGAGGAACCTCGGGAAGCTCCAGTGAGGAAACGGAGCCTAAGACAGATGAGCCAACCTGCCCAACGCACCCAGGAAGCCAAGCGGAACAGGACGCAGGCTACCGCCTCCACCATGCCCGCTCTTCCCTTGTTCCTCCGTTCCCCAGGGCTGAGCTCCAACACACGGTAGGTCTCCCTGCCATGCAGGCAGAGAACCCGCTCGATGGCGTCTACTGAGCCACCCACACCCCATAGGGGTCGAGCCCCACCCCGGGCTACCCTCTGCTCTCCACTCCTGCTGCCGTCCTTCCACATGAGCCCGGTCATCGCAGAACCCAGAGCCAACGCTGGGCCCACCGGGGGCTCCTGGCAAACAGGAGAGCCACCAGCAATGCCGAGTGGGGGGACATCACCCACCCATGCCTATCACGTGCCAGGCGTTGGTCCAAGAGCTTACAGCAGATCGTCTCCAGCACTATGAGGTTCAGTTCTGTTTTTATCCCTGCTTGACAGAAGGGGAAACCGAGGCAGAGAGCATTGCAGCTACCGCCCAAGGTCTCACAGCTGAGAGACCATGAGGTAGTCAGACCATCTGGTCCCAGAGCTCCCACGTTCAACTGATGAGTGGAGGACACAGCAGAGGCCTTGTTGTCCTGGGAAATACAGGTCCTCCGGGGAACAGGCCCCGACGTCGCAGAGCTGAGGCCAAACAGCTCCCTGCCTGGTGGGATGCCAGGGCCAGGCGGGGCTCTCTGGAAGCAATCATACTACCAATCAGGCTGCTCATGGCGCTGATACCAGCAGCTAATGTTTACAGAACGCTCACTGTGTGTGCACCCAGGCACTCTTCCAAATGCTACACGCACAGCCGTTACCCGTGGAACCTCCCAAGCCTGTTAGGTAAATGCCATTATTTGCCCATTTCACAGATGGGGCACTGGCAGCACAGAGAGGTTAGGACACCCGCCTGAAGACACACAGTTACTAGGTGACAGTGCCGGGATGTGAACTCATCAGCCTGACCCCAGCGAGCTGCAAGGCGGGCCCCCAGCAGAAATCCCACAAGGGCAGCATGGCTGCAGGGGCCAATGGGAGCAGGCCAGCCACCCACCAGGGCGGCTGGGGGGAGCTCTCCCTCGAGCCAGGAGAGGGCTGCTGCTGCTGGCGCGCTCCCCGAGAGGCCAGGCCTTGCAAGGGAAGCAGAAATCTGTCGTTAACACAGTGCCAAACCCAAAGTGGCTGCTCCCAAACTGCAATCCAATAAAAGTGCGACTTGTCTATTTATCATCCTCAGGGCTTTTTATCACAGTGCAGATGGCTGCTACCTTTGGAAGGCTCAGCAGATCGCTGCCAGCCGCCCGCCACGCAAAGCTTAGCTCAACAGAATCTGGGCCTGCACCTGTGAGGGGTCTGGGGACTGGCCGCCCCCCCTCGCTGTGCGTGGCCGCCAGCGAGCACTCTGAGGGCTGGTCCAGCCCACCTTTCCTCAGCCTCTCCCGCCCCCCATGTTCACGGTCTGCCTCCTTTGCAGAGTGGGGGGGTTCGCTGGAGCAGGTAGCAGCACACTCGCCTCTCCACTGTGCTAGCAGCAGTGGCGGCCACACCTGGTGTCAGCCTCTAATTACCGCACGTGGCAGCTGCTCCCGGGAGAGGAGAGCAAGCAGCAAGGGGCCCCATGGGGGAGGGCAGTCAGGTGTGTGGCACCCCGATGCCCAGTCTCAGGTGGCTCAGAACAAGGGGGCCCTGTGGGGTGCCACCAGCGATTCAGGCTGGAAGATAAAGCCAGGGAAGATCAAGGGCAAGGCGTGCAGAAAAGACAGCCCCCGCTCCCCTGCCTGCGTGCGGCGGGAAACCTGAAGCATGAAAAGCGGCTCAAGATCTGGCTGCTGCGGAGCCGGCGACACACCTGGGCCTCCTGTGACAACGTGGGCAGTGGGGAGGCGGGGGAGGCACAGCCAGCGCCGCGGGAAGGGGCATGGGCGGGACACCCCAGGGTCAGCAATCCTGAGCTTCTGCTCCCACAGTGGAAACAGTCCCTTGGAGGCTGGAGGGGGCGGAGGAGAGGGACTGGGGCAGGGGCCCAGCACAGCGATGGCATGAGAGATCAGGCCTGTGCTGGATGCTGGTTCAGTGGGTCACAGGAGGCAGCTTTTCTAGCAACACGGAGCCCGGCTATAGCGTGTGTGCACGTGTGCATGTGTGCACATGCATGGAGAGGGTTGAAGGACTTACCCCAAGCAGACGGCAGAGGTCCTGGGGACACCTGCAACCAGGGCACTGCCAAGCTGGCAGGCCGTGACCTTTGCCCTCTGGACCATAACCCAGGAAACAGAATGCCCCAGAAGCCCCTCCCCAGGGTTCCTCAGGCTGTCCGGTGTTGCCTCTCCAACTAAACCAGACTCGGCAGCTCTCAACGCCAGCGGCCTCCTGCAGTGCGAACTCAGGCCTGGCTGAGCTGGAAACGGCACCTATGAACTTCCTGCCATCTCTCTCGCCTCCCTGGACAAAGCCCTTCAGAGCCTCTTGAGACACTGTCCCCTGGTTGCCTTTGCTTATGTCCTTTGGGCTGGCTAGAAAGCACCCCCCTGACCGGGCATAATGGCTTACGCCTGTAATCCCAGCACTTTGGGAGGCCGAGGCGGGAGGGTCACGAGGTCAAGAGATCGAGACCATCCTGGCCGACATGGTGAAAGCCTGTCTCTACCAAAAAATACAAAAATTAGCTGGACTTGGTGGCATGTGCCTGTAGTCCCATCTACTCCGGAGGCTGAGGCAGGAGAATCGCTTGAACCCGGGAGGCGGAGGTCGCAGTGAGCCAAGATCACGCCACTGTACTCCAGCCTGGCGACAGATCAAGACTCCGTCTCAAAAAAAAAAAAAAAAAAAAAGCGCCCCCTTGTCTCCCGGAACGTGGCAGCCACCCCCAGGGCCCCCTTTATCACAGGTGGGCCGGCCCACAGCTTCTGCAGATGTGCTTTCTGGTCGCCATAGGTCACTGAGAGTGGGCGCGATCTCATCCTGTAGCTGGGCTGGGAGCTGAAGCTCCGAGAGGCTGGGGCACCCAGGCAGAGGGACCTGCCTGGCACTTTCCCCGCTGGGCTATCCGGCTCCGAGGTCCCTCTGTCAGCCAAACGCTAGGCCCCTCTGGTGCGAGGACTCTCCAGCAGGGAAGGCAGGTGGGTGGGGATGTGGCATTGCACCTCCTGCTGCCAGGCCTCGGTTCCCCGCTGCACTCGGCACACGCCACGGGAACAGCAGGAAGCATCTGAACCTATGCTTCTCTGAGTTTTTACTTTTTGTATTAATACTACTTAAGTTTCTACCCAGAATAATAACAGTTAACGCTTATATAAACATTACCATGGGCCAGGTGGAAGCGCCTTCCATCCATTTCCTCACTGGATCTCAGTAACATGAGGAGGAAGGTCATTGTCCTAGCTCTGTTTTACAGGTGGAGAAGTGGCCACATGGAGGTGAAGACACTGGCCCGAGGTCAGCCAGTGGGAGCCAGGCCAGGCTCTGGGCCATGCGCTGCACTGCGCTGCCTCTTGGGGTACAGGGACCAAAGGGAGAAACGGGCGAGATGGGCCTGGAGAGGGTGGTCTGGGGCCTGGCGGGCCATGGTGTGCTGAGGACAGCCCCTCACGGAGCAGGCAGCAGCACGCTGGGGAGGAAATGGGGGCTGCACCGGGCTGGCCGGTGCCCCCCCAACCACATTCACTTCCACCTCAAACCTTAGGCTAGGACCTTACTGGGAAGAGGATCTTCGCAGATGTCATCAATCAGAGATCTCAGATGAGACCATGCCACTGTAGGGTGGGCCCTCGATCCAATGACAGGTGTCCTTAAAAGAAGACACAGAGCTCACAGGGAGGACGCCATGGGCGGACGGAGCCAGGGGTCAGGGTGATGCAGCCACTAGCTGCGGGACACCACGGGTCACCAACGGCCACCGGAGCTCGGAAGGGACAAGGATGGATTTCCTCCGGGGACCTCCAGGAGAAATCAACCCCACCAACACCTTGATGTCGGACTTCCGGCCTCTGGAACCGTGAGAGATGCATTCCTGTCATTTCCAACCACGGCATTTGTGGTAATATGTTACTGCAGCCACTAATACGGGAGCTAAGGGGGCAGCTGCTGTCAAGCAAGGGGGCCAGGGGCTGCCTCTCCACCTGATGGGTCGCCTGGCTCACGATGCCACCTGGGTGCCCTCTGGGTTTGCAGCAGCAGGCACAAAATCTAACAGCAGTCACGTCACACCTGTCTCCTGCCAAAAATTCCCAATGACCACTTGGCCAGATCCTAGATGCTGTGCAACACCCAGCCTCAGTTTACCTCCTGTGCTTCCCAACACATCATCCCCTCTAGCCTGCCCGAGGCTCCCCTCTCTCTATCCCTTCATTCATTCATTCATTCATTCATTCATCCATTCATTCAATAAACATTTGTCCACCACCTGCTGGACACCCAGCGCTGGGCCAGGATGCAGCAGGGAACAGGATAGAAGTCCCTGCCCATGTGGGGCTGATGCTGAGATGGGGCCAGGACGGTAAACAAGCACGCAAACAAGGAACAGTGTTGCAGCAACTGGGGGCCCCATAACAGAAACAAAGCCAGTGAAGGAGGCAGCAGAACAGCTATTTAAGGAGGAGGGGGGCAGCAAAGGCCTCTCTGAGGAGGTGATACCTGAGCTGAGGCCTGAAACGACGGCAGGACTAAGTTCTGGGAATATTTGGCAGAAGGATCTCCAGGCCATCCACAACAGCAGGTGCAAAGGCCCTGAGGCAGAAACAGATCTGGCTGTTTGGAGACCAGCAAGGTGGTCAGTGTGGCTGCAGCAGGGGCCCACGTGGAGGTGGAGATGAAGCTGGACAAGGCCGCTAGAAGCCACAGCACGCAAGGCTTTTAGGCCATCGTGAAGAGTTGGGATTTTATTGCAAGCGGCACAGGGAGCTGCTATGATGTAGGGGGTTTTGGCGAGGGAAGTGAAATGGGCTCTCGGATGTTCTAAAATGGTCCCTCTGGCTGCTGCGAGGAGAAAGCATTGCAGGGGTTAGAGGGGAGGCAGGGAGGCCAAGGAGGAGCCCACTGCCATCAATCCTGGTGTCTTTCTCTGATCCTTCCTTCTATCACAACAGCCTTTCCTGGAAAACTCCTACACACCCCTCAAGACCCAGCTCAAATGTCCTATGTTTTGTTTTGTTTTTTGTTTTTGTGTTTTGAGACGGAGTCTCACTCTGACACCCAGGCTGGAGTGCAGTGGTGAGATCTTGGCTCACTGCAACCTCTGCCTCCCAGGTTGAAGCGATTTCAGCCTCCTGAGTAGCTGGGATTACAGGCGCACACCACTACGCCCAGCTAATTTTCGCATTTTTAGTAGAGGTGGGGTTTCACCATGTTGGTCAGGCTGGTCTCAAACTCCTGACCTCAGGTGATCCACCCACCTCAGCCTCCCAAAGTGCTGGGACCGCAGGCGTGAGCCACCACGCCAGACCACGTCCCCTGTTTTGTGAGTGTCCCTTAACCCCGTGATTCTCAACTAGGAGGTGACTGTGCCCCCCAGCGGACAAATGGCAATGTCTGCAGACATTTTTGGTTTTGACAATTGGGGGGTGCTACTGACATCTGGTGGGTCGAGGCCAGAGATGGTGCTAAACGTCCTACAATCCACAGGACAGCCCCCACCACAAAGGAGGAGCCAGCCCAAATGCCAACAGTGCCGAGGCTGAGAAACCCCAGCCTATCCCCATCCCGCAGCCCCCAGGGAATTCCCTGAAGTCCACACTCTGCTGCCACAGCACTGGGATCAGCTGCCACCCATCTCCCCGCCAGCCCCTCGTTCCTCAGGTGTGGCCCAGCATATGCGTTGGCCTCCCGGGAGCTGGCTGGACGTGTGCATTTCAGGCCCACCCCCGGCAAGTGGCCCAGGGCTCGAATTGCCACGAGGCCCCGCATGATGGGTGAGGACTCCGGTGGGACCGCGTCCTCGGGAAGCCAGGCCGGGGCTGAGCCAGTTGGCCTCCCAGGGCACAGATGTGGCCTGCCTGGCTTCACTGCAGCCCACAGTTTCCAAAGCTGCAGGAAAAGCTCCCAGCAAGGCCCCACCTCCACGGGCATATTCCAGGCCGCGCTGTGCCCCCGTGATGGTTCCTGGGGCCTCAGCACCAGAACTTACCCAACCTGAAAAAAGTAAAAGCTGCAGGGAATGAGACCCAGTCAGGTTAGCATCCAGCTGACCAGTGACCACTGACCCCAGCCAGGGAATCTGGTGTGGCCCTTGGCAAAGTTAACCCCAGGTCCTCCCAGTGTCGGCTGAAGATCAGCAGCCGAGTCCTCATTCTGGGGTGGGTGTGAGAAAGACGATGTTTAGGACTGGCCAGCTGTCCGTCTCCTGCTGCAGCAGGTTCATCTCAGATGCACGTGAAACTTCTGGAACCCAAGGAAGCGCCTCCCCCAGATGGCAAGTGCTTAGTCCAGCAGCTGGCTATCTCTGGGCAGTGGAAAGGAACACGGTACAAGGAATCCTGAGGCCTCAATCCAGGCTTGTGATTTGCTAGAGCAAGTTGTGCCTGCAGCTGTCCTTCTCTGAATGTCCTAAAGGTGTTCCCCAGTCTCCAGCAAAGCAGAGGGCTGACTGTCTCCTGATCCTCACCTCCAGACCCCACTGGTCCCGGTGTTGCTGAGTCAAGACACGGTTCGAGCCATCCATGCATTCACTGACTCGACAAACATTTACCACACCCAGCCCCATGCTTGGCACTGGAGACACTGTGGAGAACAAGACACGGGATGTCAATTTGCTCAGGGCTTAAACCCGAAGGTGCAAGTGTATGTCTGTGGAGCTCTGTGCAGTCTGTGTACTGTGCATATTTGCATATGCATGCATGTGCACATATGTAATAATGTGTGTCTGTGTACCTGAGTGTCTCTGCGTATGCCTGTGTGCATGCATGTATGTATCTGTGGGTGTGCATGCCTGTGTGTACCTGTGTACACATATGTGTGCATGCCTGTGAGTTTATGTGTCTGTGTGTGCATGCATGCATCTGTGCCTGTGGATCTGTAATCTCTGTGCACATGTGTGCACTCACTTTTGTGTGTGTGTCTGTGTGTGTGCATGCATGTGGATCTGTGGCTCTCTGAGCACCTGTGTGTGCACTTTTGTTGCATGTATGTGTGTGCACATGCATGTCTGTGTGTGTTGGGGAGTGTCTTCACCAGGCGAGGCTGGACCTGCAGGCCCATCAGAAGCCCACCCCCCACTGACACAGGCCGAGAATTACAAAGCACCTCAGTGTGACGCCTGGGGTGTGTGTGTGTGTGTGTGTGTGTGACAGACCGTGTGTTTCCCCGCCTGTGAGTGCCTCTGAACAAAGTACACCCTCTACCTCTGTGAGCCCACTGCCATCTGTCTCTCCCCCTCCTGCTCGGCCATTTGAGCCAGTGGTGGAGGGGCACCCCCAGCCTCCAAGGCTGAGAGAGCCAGATGGCAGGAATCAAGGCCTCATCTTGCCCCAGGGAGGCCAGCGCCCGAGGCCGCCCCCACTGCCCCTCTCTGGCCACCTGGGTCATGGGGCAGGCCACCACCCTCATTCTTGGTGCCTCCTGGCTGTCCTAACCCCTGTTCCCGGGCCCCACCTCAGTGGCTTTTTGCCTCAGCCACATAAATCACCATCCAGGTCAGTGCCGGGTGAGGGGCCAGGGCAGGCAGGGCACGTCCCCCGGGTCTGCAGACAGAGTGGCTGCTGAATGACCCCTGACAGCCCTGGCTGGGGGCCTCAGAGGGCCAGAGGGCAGGTCAGGAGGCTCTCATGTTCCCCTGGGCTTTGTGGGTGATCTTGGCTTTGCCTCACCGTGTGGGGAGGTTGACTCTGATCACAGGGCCTGGGGCAGAGGTGCAGGCCCACACCTGCTCAGGTGGCCCCTGGAGGCAGGCAGGAGGCCGCGGGGGGATCCCTACCCTAGGACTGCACGGGTAGATTCCCAGGACGCAGTGGTCAGTACGGGAGCTGCACAGACAGTGCCCACAGACCTGAGGGCTGGTCCCAGCTCTGCCAGCCACAGCTGAGTGTCCCAGCACCCTTTGCTTCTTCACCCCTGAAACTCAGGTGCTCACACCTACTTTATACAAAGTTCCCCAAGAACTCAAGGCAGCGATCACTCGCTCAAGCAGTCATTCAAAAAACAGAGGCCCAAGAGGCTGTGGCTGGGACACGCAGGCTCTGGAAGCAACTGCTTGGTGTGAATTCTGGTGACTCCCTTCCGAGCTGTAAGAGCATGGGCAAGTGACTCCACTGCTGTGGGTCTCAGTTTCCCCATCTGTAAAAGAAGAGGCTGACAGCACCTACCTTCTAGATTGTCCCGAGGATTAAGTGAGGCAGCGTTTAGAGCAGGTCCACCACCACAGAGCCTCTCCAGGCGGCAGCTGATGTTGCCCACGAAGGACCTCTGGGCAGGCGCGGGTACCAAGAACAGAGCGGGGTGCGCCCCTCCGCCTCCTGTCCCTCCCCAGAGGCCACCACTCCCCACTTTCCCCAGCAAGGAGCAGCACAGACCCGGAAAGACACCACCGCATGGCCTTGCAAGGTCCCCCGGGCTGGGCTGAATCCTCCAGCATCTGGAGTATCAAGTCTTCATTCATTCACTCTCTCATTCCACACACTCTACAGAGTGTCTACCTGTGTTAGGTACCCCGTGGGGGCTCACAGACTGACGGGGGAGGCAGAGACGAAAACACAGTATCCTATCCGGGGGACACAGAGAAAGGTAGGCAGCCCCTGGGGTGCTGAGAACAGAACCCCTCTCCCGCCTCCCCCAGATGAGCCTGGAAGAGCTTCGGACACGGAACTAGCTCCTGAGCAGTAATAACACTAGTTAGAATAGCTGTTATTTATGCACCTTCCACACATAAGTGACTTAATCCCCATGCAACCCTATGATGGGAGGCAGGTACTATTGTCATCAAGGAGGCAGGCTCAGAAAGGTTCAGCAACATGCCTGACACCACACAGCGAAAGGGTGGGAGGGAGATTTAAACCCAGAGCCGGTCCAACCACTGAACATAGCCCCTGCTAGCTCTAGGCGGTGGTGTTCGGCCTCCTGGATCCCCCAGCCCTGATCTGTGGATTCCTAGACAGGAGGAAGGTAACTAGGAGGCAGATTGACTTTTTTAAGTGGGGAAACAGGTCCAGGTGGGGCAGGAGACAGGTAGGACAGGCGGCTCCTGCGCAGGCTGAGGCTCCAGCCCAGATCCCTTCCTGGTCTCCGATCCCAATCCCCCGAGCATGTGGCTGCCCCTCCTCGTCCTTCTCCTTGGTAGAACCCGCAGGGCTGTGCAAACACGTAGCTCCCTCCTCCCCCAGGGTGGGTGTGGGTGCCGCCTCCCTAGATGTCATTATTTCCTTATTTCTCCTCCCAGGCACCATACGGCTGCCTCCCGGTCCAGCAGGAGGCCCCGGGTCTTGGCAACATCCTGCTTTCTAGAAATAAAAATGAGAAGAGGGAAAAAAGCCTTCCAGGAGGCCAGTTCTTCTATTTACATGTAAAAAGGCCTCCTCGGCACTCCTCGCCCCTCCCCCACTTCTTTTGGGGGTTGAAGATTGTTTGGAGGGCGTGCAGGGGGCCTCTGTGACCCCAGGAGCCTCCTTGGGGAGCCCGGCGGCGGAGGCGTCCGCAGGGAGGGAGATCAGATGGCCTCAGAGGGTTGGGGGACTGTGGGGAGGGGCAGGCCGCCTCGTCGCCCCACCTCCCTTAATGGGAAATTTCATGGGTGTGGTAGCTTGTGAGACCGGCCGGCTGCGCCCATGCCCCCGCCCCCGCCATCTGCTCAGAGGCCAAAAGTCGCTGGGGAGGGGAGTAGGCCTCTGCCCGGGCTCCGCCGCGTCGACCTCGACGGTAACCTCCCCTCCCCATCCCCACATTTTTTAAGCAGATGTCTCCCACTGATGAGCTCAAGGTTGCCTCCAGCCCGCCCCCACAGTCCCGGGCCGCCCACTGCGTGGGATGGGGGAACCGAGCCCAGCCCACACTCTGGCCTGCGGGCTCCCACCACCAGCCCGGCAGCCTGGCAGCGCGCGTGGGGTCCCAGCCCGGAACCAGGCACCTGGCCAGCGGGGACTCTGCCAGGCAGCTGGCCCGCCCCTCGGGCAGGAGACAGGCGCCCACGGGCCCTTCGGGGTTTGGGCCTTGCCCAGTTGGCCGGGCCTGGGGCTAGAGCTGCCTCCCGGGACTCTCTGGGAGGTCAAATCCTAACCCCACTGGGGCTACCGAGGTCCCCGCCTTCACACTCTGGGCCGAGTTTCACTGTTAGCCCCCACAGAGGAAGGGAGGCCCCCTGTTCCTGGGAAAAACAAATTCCACCTCCTGCATTCTAGGCTAAGAGTTACCCCAAGTAAAATGAAAGATCAACCAGGGAGAGGGCAGATTGGCAGAATCGCACTGGAGTGTGGCTGACTGAGCAGAGACGCCGGGATGCTGGGGCTGGACTCAGGGCTAGGATGGGCTGGGCCAGGATCCACAGTGGCCGGAGACAGTGTCTTGAGCTCTCTGGGCAAATTCCCTACCTGCAGAACTGGAATAAGAAAAGCTGGCTTGCAGGACTCCTGCGCTCTGATACCTTCACGGGCTGCTTTGCTAAGAGCAAGGGAAGGAGAGGAGAGGAGTTTAGGGGTGAACTTTTGGAGGAGAGAACAGGAAGTTCAAGGAGCTACCCCATTAACCCAGGGCTGGGCAAGGCCACTCAGTGACCCCTGACTCCTAACGTTTCTGGAAGGCTGTAGAGGTTGGGGGGTACGATGATGCAGACAGCTTAAAGAAGCTTCTGGAAGCTGCCCAGCAGGGTTCTGGCCCTGGAAATGCAGACCCACGCCAACCACACTGGTGAGATCCGGGAGCCCCAGACCCCACCTGCCTTCTGGGGTGACTACATGGGGCTGGTGGGGTACCAAGGACTTAGGCACACACAAGTCCCCTGTGGCCTCAGCTTCCTGCCTGGGGAACATGGGACCCACAGATCCACCTACAGCCGAAGGGCCCACTGGGTGCACGGCCCCTGGTCAACCCTCAGCCCAGGCCTCTTGCACAGATGAGGAAATTGAGGTACACACAGGCAGGGATGGAGTCACAGAGCTGCGTGGAGACGTCAGGAGAGGGAATTTCTGCTGCCCATTCCCAGGCCATCCTCATCCTACACCGTCTCTCCCTCTCCCCTTCCCTCTCAGACATTCCCATCAAGCCCAGATCCCCCCTCAAAACCCACTCAAGGGGAGGAGTTGCAGGGGCAGCAGGAAAGCAACAGACCCCTCCCCTCCCTCAGCCCCCAGCCCCTCCCCCAGGACCCGCCCCAGAAGTCAGATGGGCGCACCTGCTGCGGGGGGCTGTGACAGATCTAGGGCACAGGCTCAGAGGAATTTCCGCTGCAGTCGAGGGAGAGGGAGGGAGGGTGCAGGTCTCGATCTCTAGAGCTGGGCAGAGGGAGGACCCAGGCCGGGCCCCCTGGAAGGCTGCTCCTCCATGGAGGGCACAGTCTAAGAGGAATTTCTACCACAGTGGGGGAGGGGGTGGTGGGAGGGCACAGGTCTCCATCTCTAGAGCTGGGGAGAAGGAGGACCCAGGCCAGGCCCCCCAGGAGGCTGCTCCATAAAGGGCACCTCCTGGCGTGTGCAGGGCCGAGGCTCTGGGCATCTAGGCCCTGCTGCCACATCTCAGCCTGCCTGGGCCTCTGCCTGACCTGGACAGGGAATCGGGGCTATGGGGCTGGAGGGACCCCAGTGCAAAATGAAAATGGGGACCTCCTGTTCCAAAATGATTAAGCGCATCAAGATGGCAACACCAGGGCAATAAAACCAAGCGTAGGCCCTCCTGAGTGTGGGGCCTGTGTGACTGCTGAGGCTGCACAGCCACGAAGCCGCCTTGCTGCCAGTTTGGGGAGGGGACAGGGAAAGGCTGCGACCACAGGGGCCCACCCCAGTAGGACGGGGCAGCAGACCAAGATGGGCAAGCCCAGCCCCTGGCCTGTCTTTCCATTCTGGCTCTGATACTTCCTTTTATTTTTTGAGGCAGAGTCTCACTGTCTCCCAGGCTGGAGTGCAGAAGCACGATCTTGGCTACTGCAACCTCTGCCTCCCGGGTTCAAGCCACTCTCCTGCCTCAGCCTCCCCGGTAGCTGGGATTACAGATGCGTGCCACCATGCCTGGCTAATTTTTGTGTTTTTAGTAGAGAAGGGGTTTTACCATGTTGGCCAGGCTGGTCTTGAACTCCTGACCTCAAGTGATCCGCCTGTCTCAGCCTCCCCAAGTGCTGGGATTACAGGCATGAGCTGCCGTGACCAGCCTGGCTCTGACACTTTCTAACTGGAGCCTTGGGCAAACAGCTCAACCTCTTTGTGCCTCAATTTCCTCATCTGTAACATGCAGGTAATAACACAGCAGTCCTTCCCTTACTGGATTACTGGGGAAATAAAAGGAGTTACACATACAAGTAAAGCGCTGACACCGGGTATACAGGAGGCGGACGGCACTGATTATTATTATTATTATTATTATTATTATTATTATTATTAGACCACCATCCTAGTGACTCCTAGGCCATGCCCTAGATGGTGCTCATGGGGCAGGAGGGGCTGTAAGGCGTTCCTTGGGACCCTTAGTATGTCACAGAAATGAGGCTGCAGTCCCCAGCCCTGTGGGAAATAAATCCTGGGACCATGGCAAGTCTCCTCCCATCTTTGAGTCTCAGTTTCTTTCCTGGTGAGGAGTTGGGCCACAGTCCTTCAGACTTTGATACTGGAGAATTTCTGCTGCCCCTTTGGGTGGGAGATTGGTGCCCACAGGCCCTCAGGTTTGGGTTGTGCCCAGCTGAGCAGGCCTAGGGCTGGAGCTAGTTAGTCCCCCTTTCCACTAGGGATATGAGGAATTATGGCTCTTGCTTCCCCTCCCAGAGCCAGAGATTTCCATCCTTCCATCTAGTCATCTAACCAACATCCATCCATCCATCCAAACCACTTCCATCCATCTGTACAACCAACATCTATCCACCATCCATTCATCCATTCTCTACCCATCCAAAATCCATCCATCTATCCAACATCCATCTATCCAGCATCCATCCATCCAGCATCCATTGATCCATCTGACCCTCCATCCACCATCTATCCAACATCCACTGGCCCATCTATCCTTCTGCTCATCCAATCCCATGCAAGTATCTATCCATTCAACATTCACCCAATCATCTCTCCATCCATCCATCCATCCATCCATCCATCCATCCATCCATCCAGGATCCTTCTCTTCATCCATCCATCTACACAGCCTTCATCTGGTCAGAGATACAGACACCAATGCCAAACAGCAGGGCCCAGAGTTGTCAGGACGCTACAGTGAGTGGGCAGCAGAGGTCCCTGGGGGTGGCCAGGGATCACGGCCAGTGGTGTGCACTCCTGCTTCTCTCTCTAAGGCTGGCCGAGGGCAGGGAAAGTAATTTGTGGGAAAGTAAAGGATTGAAGTCAAATCACAACTCTACTTTTATAATCTGGTAACTGGACCCAGGTGACTTAACCTCTCTGTGCCTCAGTTCCTTTGCCTGTAAAATGGGCATAAGAGATGTTTCTTTGGGGTTCTTATGAAGATTAAATGAAAATGACAATGTAAACCAAGCAAGAGAATGTCTGGGGCCAGTGTTGAACCCAAGGCTGGTTGCATCACTCGCCCACAGCTCGAGGCCCTCTGTTGAACAAGAGAGCACCTGCCTGGGGCTGGTGCTGAGCCTCCCTGAACCCCTGAGCCCCATTCCAAGTTGCCCCAGGGAAGTCTCTGGGGGGGACTTATCATCACCTGATCCCCCAAGCAGATCTGAAAAAGCACAAGATAAAAACGGGGCTCTTCCATCCACAGTGTGACCGCTCTAGGCCTCTGGATGCCAGATCAGTCCCTATCTGCCACCCCAGTAAGTCCTGGAGCCACAGGATGACCCGTATAGAGCTGCAGAGAGTGCCGGGGTAGGCAAAAATCCCCAACCAGACAGACCGAGGTTCAAATCCCAGCTCCATCCTCACCTGTGCACCTGGGGCCTGCTGCTGAAGCATCCCAGCCTTGCTTTTCCTATCTGTCAACTGGGGGCATTTCAGGACTGTTGGAAGCATTGCAGAGAATACCTGGAAAACACCTGATACACAGTGGTCCCTCAAGAATGCCTGTTTTTTCATTAGAAATGGGGGAAGAGGAGAGATGCTGAGAACCGTGGAAACACACAAAGGTGGCATAAAATATGCCCCACAAATGACACCTGCCACGACGTGCAACATATGTGCTTGCAGGCAGGGCCCTGAAGAGAACACGCAAGCAAAGCGTGGAAAGAACCCTGTGCAGTTGTGTGTTCTGGGATGTGCAGCTCAGCTGCTCGGCACCTGGGAGACAGTGGGCTGGGTCAGAGCTTCAAGCTCATTCTCTCCCTCTTCCCACCCAGTCTCTCGTTGCCTGTGAAGTGAACGCTACTGAGAATTCCCACCTCTGGGGAGGAGGTTTCACTTCAATACGGACTTGACTGTTGATTTCAAGTGCATCCTCAGTTCCCTAAAATTACTTGGAAGGGATGGCTGTGTACAGACCCTCTCCCTCCTCCATCTGGGCGTGCCCGTCTTGGCCAATGGCAGAATGTTCTGGAAGCACGGCAATCCATTCTGCATGCATAGAACCTAACCTTATGACACTCTAAGGGCTTTATTAATAGCCTATTAGCGGGTAATTCATGCATTTTGATGAGAAGTCAGCCAGTGGTCGTTTATGGGGGAAGAGGGGTGAGGGGTGAGTTCGGGGGCGTGCAGCTAGACGGTCACCTCCGGTGTGCGTCCCAGCACTCGCCCAGGCGGCGAGGATTCCACCAGGCGCCCATGCCGTGCTGTGCCTGGGATGCCCCTCCCACAGCCCCGCCACTCATTAATCTTGATGAGTTTTCTGCTGAGTATTCTTCCAGGGCTTTCAAACCGCTAGCTAATTGCAATTAATCACTTACTGAAACAGATGTCAGGAACAATGGGATTGGGAAGGCTGGAGGCTTGATAAAGCTGTCAGGAGAGGGTGCGTGGGTGGCTGGGGGGCCAGGGAGGCAAGGCGGCCCAGATACCCTCTGGGCCCTGGGTGCTCAGAGTGCCAGACAGGCCAGCTCCTGTCCAGGTGGGCTGGGTGGAGCTTCGCTCCGAAGGAGGACGGAAGGCCAATGGCGGGAGGCAGGTGCCATGGCCAAGTGTCTCGGGGAGCACGGGCAGAAACCTCTGAGGCTGCCACGGCCACCACCCCGGAGGCGACTTTCCAGCCCTGATGCTCAAAGGATCAGATCTGGGGACAGCAGGCGTTGGATCAGAGACGCGCTCTGCAAGTGTGGCCTGCAAACACGGTAGGGGCGTTGTGTGTTTTTCGCCCCGCGGTAACGTAAGAATTGTATTTTCGCATTAGTTGCCAACATTTAAAAATCAGATTTGACAGAAAAATCTGGACTTCTGGCTTCTCTTTGAAAACACAAAGATTTTGCCATACGCCATCATGCGGCACCGCGGGCTGGGCCTGAGCGAGCTCCCGTATGGACAGGGCCTGGAGGCTGGCTTCTGCCAGCAGCTCCTCCACATTCACCCCAGGGGCTTCCCTCCTTGGGTCTCTGGCTCCTGCGCGCCCCTCACGTTGCCTGCCGCCCTATCAGGCTAGACTGAGAGGTTTTGCAGATTAACACCCCTGGAGCTTGGTGCAATTCTGAGCCAAGCTCAGGAGGGCTTGAATCCAGGATGTGAGAAATCCGCCCCCCGAGGCAGTGGCTTTCAACCTGAGCTGCACTCAAAAATCACTTGGGGAGCTTTAAAAAACCCTCAGCCCAGGGCCTTGCGGCGGGGCTGGAAATGTTCTGTATCAGCGGCTCTCAAAGTGCAGAGTCTTAAGCAGCGGCAGCCTCTCCTGGGAGCTGGGTGGGAACGCAGGCTCCCAGGCCTCACGCTGACCTGCAGTGTCTGAGACCCCGGGGCAGGGCCCGGCAACCTGCATTTGCCTTCAGGGGATTCTGCTGCCCGCTAAGTGGGGGGACCTCCGCTCCAGGCCCTGATGGAGGCGGGCAGGTCATGCACGTGTGTGCCTACGTCAGGATTTCCCCAGCGGTGCCCTTCAGACGAATGCCCTAGACTGCCGCCGCCCTGTGCCCAGCCCGTACCTGGGGACTATCAAGCCAGAGCCTCTGGGGGTGGCACCAGGCGTCCCCGTTCCATGCAGCTCCCAAGTGACTGCCGTGTGGAGAGGGCTGAACGCCGCTGTGTGGCTCCATGCTCACCCCTCCGCCCCCTGGCCTGGCCTTCGAGGTGCAGGGCAAGTTTTCCAAGGTCATTCCCAGGCCGGGCTCCCTTGGCCACCCTCCCAGCACAGTTCCCACCTGTGTCCCTCTTGGAGTTGGCTCTGGCCCTACCGGGCTGGGTGACCTTAGGCAAGTTGCTGAACCTCTCTGTGGTTCTTCCCCCATCTGTGACTGGGAATGAGGACTGCACGGGAGGCTGTCTGGGTGTCCGGCCATTATCATGGCTGATCTCGGTTCTTCCTTCTGTGTGTTTCTTTGCTCCAAACTGCTTCTGGGGCTGGCCTCATCCTTCACTGCATTCTATCTGTTTCCTCTTCTGTCAAATGGGCTTCATGACCCATGAGGTTGTGAGGATTAAATGTGCTCACGGGCAACGTTCCTAGCCTCGCCCCTGGGATGTTGTAAGTGCTCAAAAAGTGCTAGATATTGCAGGGACCCTGCTCACACATCACTGGGCTCCGACTGAACCCCCGATGGATTCCCCGAGGACTAGGAGGTGAAGAGACAGGAGAATGAATGAAATTCCCTGACCTGTGCTTACTGCACGTTTTTACCGAGCCCCCGCAGAATGCCAGGCTCTGTTCACAGTCCTGGGAACTGCACGGAGGAGAACAGGTCACTGGTGGAGCTGACAGCTCAGCAAGGAGACAGAGAATAACCACACACACACATCCATGAGTAAGCTCGCTGTGACCCAGAGCTCTGGAGAAAAATGGAAAATCGAGGAATGGAAGGAGGCCATGTGGAGGCTGTGCGGGAAGCAAGGGGGCTCAGAGCCACATGCAGGGCTGTGCAGGTGGGAGCAGCGTTCCAGGCAGAGGGAACAGTGGGGGCAAAGGCCCTGGGGCAGGTCTGAGGACAGGGGAGGAGGCCTGTGGGGCTGGAGCAGAGCCAGCAAGGGAGATCTTGGGAGGAGGTGAGGACAGGAGATGCTGGGGGCCATGGAACAGATCACACCAGGCTTTGAGGCCAGGCTAAGGACTCTGGCTTTTGTCCCCAGGGACATGGGAGCCACAGGAAGGTTCTGGGCAAGGAGGGACATGATGACGCCTCACTAGCAGATTCGCACTTGTCACAGCTGTGCCTGCCTCTGCCACCAGAGCCCCCGTCCTTGGTTCCTCTGCACTCGGCTTCCAGGGAGGATGTTTCGGGGCAGCAGCGCAACTCCTGCATGGAGAAGCTCTGCCCCCAGACAGAAGACCCTGCGGGGAGCTCCTCCATGCACATGCCCGTGGCAGAACATGCCAGTGATGCATGCCACACAGAATGTGACCGTGGCACCTGGCATTGCCGGGCATCCTGGGGGGTGCTCCGGACACAGGTCCTGGGCGGGGGCTGTGTGTCCTGAGAAGGCGTGCATGCCCTGGGCTGTCTCCCCACCTGCACCTCTGCATGTATGTTGCATGTGCTTGTGATGAGCAGGCACCTGCTGCTCCTGCGGCTGTTTACCGTGAGTGATGCAGCGTGCGGAGGCTTCGGAGCTGTAGGCGCCCCATGTATGTGCACGTGTTGTATGTGTGCGTTGTGCACGCTGCTGTGTTATGAAGCTGAGATTCTCCAAGGTGGCTGGGCAGAAGGAGTACCTTACAAATGTTACTGCTCACTCCAGCTGCCCAGGACGGTGGCCACAGCTCACCGGCCAGTGACAAAGACAGTTTACTGGTCTGCTGTCAACACCAGGGACCCCCCAGGCGTTTGTCTACTGGAAGCAGAATCGATTTTCCCCTAACTGCCAAGGATCCCCCAGCCCGCTCCCACCCACTGGACCCCTGGTAACTAGAATGGGGGGTGGGAGGTGAATTCAAACAGGAGCCAACAGTGAAATTCATCTTCTGGGGCTGTGGACAGTCCAGTTCAGGGGAGGGCTTACCTTTCAGCCAGGTGTCCCCATCAGAGGACCGCCCTCAGGGGCTGGCCTGCAGCCTCACTCACCTGCCCACTCCAGAAACCCCACAGGGACCCAAAACACCTTGTCTTAGTGAGGCAGGGGAATAAACTGCTAGCAGTGCTGGTTCCAAGCGCTACGTCACTGCCTCAGCACCCCGTGAGGCAGGGGCGATTATCGCCCCATTTTACAGCTAAGCAAGCTGAGGCTTGGTAAGGTTCAATCACTTACACAGCGTTACAGGGCCAGCAGGTGGCAGAGCTGAGCTCTGAAGCCAGACGGTCGGCTCCGAAGTTAGAGCCATGCCATGCCTGACACCTACCTGCCTCTGCCCATCGTTGCCCCTCACAGCTCTCACCAAGGCACGAGGGAATCCTGGGTGGTGCAGGAAGCCCAGGTCAGGAGCCCAGGGCCGGGGCTGGACCTTGTCTCGGGCCCTCAGCCTGCCCTGCTAATGAGGGGCCAGCCCCTGCTCTCCCTCCTGCCTGGGATCTGGAGAGGCTCAAAGAGACAAGGGTGGGCGAGATGCACCAGTTCCCAGCACCGAAGCCCCTTGAACAAGGGGTCTATCTGGGTCCTGTCCAATGCAGCAGGTCCTGTCCAATACAGCAGCCACGGGCCACGCATGGCCATGGAGCACTTGAAATGTGGCTGGGTCCAACTGTAATGTGCTCTAGGTTCAAATTCACACTGGCTTTTGAAGATTTAGGACAAAAATAAGGATATGGAATATCTCACTGATATTTTTTAATATTGTCCATGTGCTGAAATAGTAACAGGATATATGGGGTTTGTTAAAACATATTATTTATTTATTTATTTTTGAGACGGAGTCTTGCTCTGTCGCCCAGGCTGGAGTGCAGTGGCGCGATCTGGGCTCACTGCAACCTCCACCTCCTGGGTTCAAGCGATTCCCCTGCCTCAGCTTCCTGAGTAGCTGGGACTACAGGCGCATGCCACCACGCCCAGCTAATTTTTGTATTTTTAGTAGAGATGGGGTTTCACCATTTTTTTGAGATGGAGTGCTGCTCTGTCGCCCAGACTGGAGTGCAGTGGCGCGATCTTGGTTCACTGCAACCTCCACCTCCCGAGTTCAAGCGATTCTCCTGCCTCAGGCTCCCGAGTAGCTGGGATTACAGGTGCCTGCCACCATGCCCGGCTGATTTTTGTATTTTTACTAGAGACGGGGTTTCACCATGTTGCCTAGGCTAGTTTCAAACTCCTGGTCTCAGGTGCTCCACCCACCTCAGCCTCCCAAAGTGCTGGGATTATAGGCCTGAGCCCCTGCGCCCGGCCTAAAACATATTGTTAAAATCAATTTCACTCTTTCTTCTTTTTTAAAGGTGACTACTGGAAATAAAACCTAAGCCAGCACGTGGCTCACATTTGTGCCTGAGTTGTATAATCCGTAGACAGTGTTGCTTTGCTTTGAACTCAGGCACCCTGGAGGGTCTGGGAGATACTTCTCCAAGGGCTGAATTTGCCTGAACCTGCGGGCAGCTGCTGTCCCACTCCCAGGACCCCAGGACTCACAGTGCTGGTGCTGGGGTTGACACTGCATAGCCACCACATACTGAGCCTGTTCCCAATGTGAGGTCTGGGCTCATAGGTGGGGACAGAAGCGGGGACAGCCTCATAGCTCCATTTCCTAGGCAGGCAAACTGAGGCCCCCAGGTCACTCAACAGTAAGGGGCACAGTCAGGATTCAAACCAAGGTCTATGGGACACACCACAGTCCATGTTCTGTTCTACCCTCACCAGACATTTTTCAAGCACTTCTCCCTACAAAATAAAAGATGAGGATGCATGAGCCACCAGAAGTGGGCTGAAGCCAGGGTTAATTTAGCACACTCCCAGTGACTGGAAATAACATAGCTTAAGAGGATATTTTTCTGTGGTTCATTCATCCATCCATCCTTCCATCTACCATCCATCCATCCATCCATCCATCCACCCACCCATCTACCCATCCTCCCTTCTTCTTTCCTTCCTTCCATTCACCCATCCACCCACCTACCCATCTACCTACATCTGTCCTTCTTCCATTTATCCATCCATCCATTCATTCACCCATCCACATTCATTCACCCCCCATCCATCCACCATTCAATCATCCATCCATCCACCCACCCTTCCACCCACTCTTCCATCCATCCATCCATATACACATCTACCCTCCCTCCCTCCCTCCCTTTCTCCCTTCCTTCCTTCCTTCCACCCACCCATTCATCCATTCACTCATCCATCCATCCACATTCATTCACCCACCATCTATCATCCATTCATCCACCAGCCCACCCACCCTTCTTCCATCCATCCATATATACATCTACCCACCCACCCTTCCTTCCTTCCTCCCATTCACCCACCCATCTATCCATCCATTCATCCATTCACTCATCCATCCATCCACATTCATTCACCCACCATCTACCATCCATCCATCCATCCATCCAGCCATCCATCTATCCACTATACATCCATCCACCCCACCCACCCATCCATTCATCCATCCATACATACATCTACCCTTCCTTCCTTCCTTCCTTCCTCCCTCCCTCTCATTCACCCATCCATCTACCCATCCATCCATCCATCCATCCATCCATCCATCCATCCATCCATCCATTTTCCATTCATTCTTAGAGAGTGGTGGTTAAAAGTGTGGATTCCAGAGCATGACTGTCTAAAGTTTGAATCCCGGCCTCGCCACTGACAAGCTGAACAACTGTGGGCAGGAAACTCCACCGCTCCATGCCTTAGTTTCCCCATCTAAAAGAAAGGGATGATATTGTGAGGTCTCAGTCTAGGATGTTCAGATTCTTCCTTGCCTTTTACTTGCCATGGATTTTTAACCAAAGTAAAAGTTACTTCGTCTCTCAGCCTCAGTCTCCTGTAAAATGGGAACAAAATTGCTTCTTCCTAGTGGTAAGTGGTCAGGAGATAAGACTGCTCAGTGCGATGGGTAAGCGGGGCTGCATGACTTTCTGGGTGGGCAGGGCAGGCTTGCCTTGGAGGGTGGGTGGGGTGGCCATGTTTGGGTGACAACATCCTTTACTGCGCCTCTTCCCTGCGGCTCAGTCTCCGCCAAAGCGTGCATCGGTGTGGCTCCGCTCCAAATCCCGCTAGGAGGAGACCAGCCCCTTTTTGCCACCACAAGATGGGTTTTGTCTCATGAGCATCACGGGCGACTTCCCTTCCCCTGACACTCGCAGCTCCAGCCCGGCAGCACACCTGCCTCCAAGGTCAGTCCCAGATCCATCCTCCACCAAGCCTCTGGGTCCAGCAACTCCACCCTTTCCCTTGGCCCTGGGGGTGGGGCTGCTTCCTGCTGTCACCACCTCACATCACCCGTGCATCCCCTCCTGCCTTCTGGGTCCTCCAGCACCTGCTCAGCAGTGCCAAGAGTCAAATCCTCTCTGTTGAAATGCCTCAAGCAGCTTCTATCGTGGCTGGCCCCTAACTGAGATGGTACAGAACAGGCAGCTGGGACAATGCAGGGACAGCCAGGGATGCAAGTGGCTGCTGGGACAACCCCCCGCCCCAGGGCGCCCAGGGAGGGCCGACCGGAGTCCTGGGTGAGTGGCCCGGGGCCCCCAGCCCAGTCCAGTCCAGCCCAGCCTGCTCGGAGCTTGCTCTCCACCCTGGCCCTCTGCCTGCCCTGCTCCAGCTGCCTGGCATGGGAGGCAGAGCTCTGCCTGCAACCCGAAGAGGCCCTGACACATGTTAAAATAAATATTCTGCAAATATGATGTTCCATATGTATGACTTCGTGGGGTGATGATTTTTCCACTGATCGCTGTAAGTGACAGCTGCGCGGGCAGCGCTGGAAACACAGGCTCCAGCGGCCCTCGCCATGCCACGCAGAGGGGGTGGTGAGGGGGGTGCCATGGCGCAGAGCATCTGGCGACTCGGGGCGTGAGGAGCCCTCGCGCCTGTCAGTGCTGGGCGCAGGAACATTAGCGATTCCGAGGGACGGCGGGAGCAGGTGTTCCCAAGCAGCCTGTTTGTAATAATTACTTTTAGATTGTTTTAAAGTATGTGAGCAAGATCCTGGCGGGCTGGGAGAGAAGGAAGAGGGCGGAGGCTGCAGGCGGCCAGGCCAGCTCAGGGGCAGCCTTGCACATGCCCAGGGCCAGGCAGGGCTAGAGGCATGGCTGGCGGGTTCCCATGTGGCTTGTCCCCACGTGTCCAGCCAGGCTGGTTAACTGACACCCTGCCATTGCATCCTGTGGCCCCAGCAAGCTGCTTCCAGAAGGTCTGGCCTCTCACCAGGAAGCCCCCAGCCTCCCCATGAGCCCCGGGCCGAACAGGTGAAATGTTTTAAGCGGCGACCCTGCCGTCGCCAAGAACCTCAAGCCTCGACTTCTGGGTAAGATGTCTGTACGCTGGCACCGGAGGGGCGGGGGCTTTGTGCCCTGTTCCATCCCAGTCCTGTGAACACAGTGCTCAGTAAGTCCCCCAATGAACGAACAAATGCATTAAAGCGGGTTGTCATTATTAGGAGGACAAGAGCTTTCTTTCTGGTTCCTTCAAGAGACCCCAGAACACTCTTCTTCTGAACACACTTGCTCCAAAGAGCATCCTGAGGTCTGGGCTGTGGGGCATGGATGGAGGAGGCTCTGGCCTCCCTGGTGGATGCAGGTGAGGGCTGAGGAGGGACTCGAGGAGAGCAGGCAGTGCCAGCCTCCAGGAAGTGGCCTCACGTCACTCCTTCAGGTGGGGTGCAGGTACTGGGGCTGACATCCTGGATGGGGCCTCAGGGGGTCTTCCCCGAAGATGTCCCACGAGGCTGGGGCTGCAGGGGCCCTGCCTGTGAGCGGCAGAGGCCAGGACCGTGGGGAGAGCATTCCAGGAGAAGGGAGAGCAAGTGCAGCGGTGGGTGGGAGAGTGGATGGATGGACAGGTGGATGGATGCGGCGACAGAGAGAGGGATACACGCTTGCCACGGTTTGGTCTGCTTGGTGGAGTAAGACTCCCACTCTGGACACCAGGCCACACCCCACCCACCCAGGTCCCACCCCTACCCCACTGCGCATTCTCTTTTCTACAGCCCCCTAACTCCTCTCTCGTTGGGGTTCCCATGTTAGTGCATGGTGGCTCTCCAGGGGCTCAGCGGCCCCCCAGCCTGTGTTGAGGCCCTGGCTGCACACTGGAATCGCCAGCTTTAAGCAAGCCAAACCCTGCCACCCCAGACCAGCTGGATGGGAACAGCAGCTGGGACTCTGGCTGGGGGTGACTTCCGAAGCCCTCCAGGGATCTCAGGTGCAGCAGAATGAGGCCACGGCAGAGCAGCAGCTGGGTGGAGCCCCCGAGGCAGCGATGGGTGAGGCCATTGGACATCTCCGGCTGGAGCCTGACCCAGGGCCTGGCCTTGCCACTCAGGGAGGACGTCCATGCAGGTCTGGAAATGGCTCTCCAGCTTGGCTGGGCGTTTGCCCCTTCCCTGCAGAGAAGGGTTCCCCTGACCATTTCCAGCACAAAAGGTGAGCAGAGAAGGTTTCGCTCATCAGGGGTGGGGCAAATGATGAGGATCTGGTTCCTGGGGAGCTGACTCTGCTCCACTTCAGTGCTTGCGAGGCAGTGCCTGGGGCCAGCCTCACCTCAATGCCTCCTTGGGCAGGGATGTGTGGACCAGGGGCTGGGAGTAGTGGTGTTTACAGGTGCTATTTAAAAGCCAGGCAAGTTCAATATTAGCTCTGGGGTTTGTGCAATCTGTTGTCAAGATAAAGCAGCCAGGCAGGTGAGCAAGCGGGGTGCGGCCCCACCCCTGGAGCCCCGAGCGTCAGGCCTGGTTAATGAGCAGCCAGAGGGTTCAGCCGCCCTTCCTCCAATGCCTGCTTTCCAGAGTCTGCTGAGTCCAAACCCAGGGCAGCAGCGCCCCCAAACCCCTCTCTCCTCACTCCCTGGCTCCGGCCTCCCAAGTCCCCAAGCGGCTTCTGCACCTGCAGGGCCTCTGCCTGGATCTCTCTCCTCTCGCCTCCTTCAGGTCAGAATGCCGCTTCTTGCGGCCAGAACGCCCCCTCTCTCCTGCCCCTTTCTCTCTCCTACTGTCTGCTTTTTTTTTTTTTTCTTTTGGCCAGAACAGGGCAAGGCCCACAGTGGCTGCTCCGTGAACGTGTGTACAAGGGGACTCCCGCACGCTGCTCCTCCTCCTCCTCCCTTCCTTGCTCAGCCCCACCCCACACTGCCTCCCGCGTGGGCCCCAGGCTTCTCCCATCCACCAGGCCTCCGGGGGAGGAACCGACATCCCTCATTTAGTGGCTCCACAGGGGCACCCCCCCCCGCCCCGCCCAGCTCCTTCCCGCAGAGCCTCTTACTGTCAGTCTTGCCGGGAGCCTCGCCTGTGCGGGGAGGATCCTGACAGCCACCCCTAGCAGATCTCATCTTTTATTCATGCCGATAATGTCAACGGGATTGTGTCTGATGCAAAGTCACTTAACCCATTAGAAGAAGCTGTGGCTGCAGCCCAGCCAGGGACCAGGGGAGGAGGGGGCCGAGGTGGGGTGCGAGGATGACCCGGGCACACCCTGGGGACATGGGGGTTCGATGATGGCCTGCCTGGGTCAGAGGTGCAGCTTTTCCATGCTGGGCTGTTCCTGTACATGGGCCGTGGGGCGGGAGTTCTGCCCACTATGAGCCTACATGGGAGAGGGGCCCCCGGAAAGACAATGATCACACCTACCTCAAGGGGGGTGCTGTGGGGCTGAACGGGATCCCTTCGAAAGCCCTCAGCATGGGCCTGCCAGAGGAGGCCGGCCTTGAAGCTTCTTTTAGGAAAAAGGCCCTGAAGTCGGCCCCTCACCCCGGAAGCCATTCCCCCCAAAAATACAAGCATGGAAACACAGCTACCCTCTCCCCATCTACCTCTCTGGGGTTCCTGGTGGGAGGCCCTAAGCCTCCACCCAGGACGACCGGAAGCCACCAGCCCTTGGTTCCCCGAGGGAAGGGGCTCCCTCCAGGCAGGAACAAATGGTACCTGGAAGCACCCCCGACGCCCCCAGGTGGAAACCGTTCACAAGCTCGGGCCTGCAAATGAGCAGCTGCCAGCAGCCCCGAAAACCTGCCTTCTCCTCCCCGCCTGGTCAGAAAATCGCTGTGCAGCTGTTTGTTGAATTAACAAGTCATGAAGGAGTTGGGGCTGCTGTTTGAGACCCAGCTTGGGCTGAGCATCCTGGGGCCAGGCCCTGCCCCTCTCTGTGCCCCAGCTTTCTCCTGGTTGAATGAGGCGGTGGAGCCCCTGCTTGCTGTGCTCTTTTCTGGGGTGCATCTCCCGGTGCTGAGTGTCCAGAGGGTGTGGAAATTGGGGTGACCCTGTGGAAAGCAGGACCCCCGCAGGATGCCCTAGGCTCCCATCCCCCTGCAATCTGGGGCCAGGGCCCGAGAGACCCCCCCAGGGACCCCAGTCTTGGGCCCAAATCGCTGGCGGGGGTCCCCGTCCAGGAGACAGGAGGGTGCCTGCTTGCACTCCGAACTGCCCAGCCCTGCCCTTCCTGTTTCTCTTGGTTTAACACACACTTTCACAGCGCCCACTGCGTGCCGGGCTCTGTGCTCAACACCAAACATATCAATTCATTTAATCCTCCCAACGCCCCCGGGTAATAACAGTAGGCTCTGTTATGATTCCCATTTTACAGAGGGGGCCACTGAGGCCTAGAGCGTCACGTGGCACAGGCGGTGGCGGCGCAGACGCTGCAGCCCGACTGCAGCGCGCCCCCTGCAGGACAGCGCGGTCTCACACCGCGGGTGAAGCCGCCATCGCCGCCGCAGCCGGTAGGGGCGCCCCCGTGTGGAGGCCCGCGGCACTGCAGCTCCAGGCTGCGGCCGGGTGCCCTGCAGCCTCTCTAGAGGTCCTGGTGGGAGGCCCTTACACTCCACCCAGGGCGAGAGGAAGCCACCTGCCCTTGGCTCCCCAAGGGAAGGCAGCTGCTGGCTAGCCACCCCTGAGAGTGCTGACGGATCACAGGTGTGGTCATAGTGGAATCTGAGCACCAGCATGCCCGGTGGGCCGAGTGGGCTGGCCTCATCTGCTGCAGGCCCTCCAGTGTTTGTGAGTCGCGTCACTGGAGGACGCATGGTGGTGACACAAAGGAGGCACATGGGCCCTGAGTGACCAGAGAGCAATGGTGCCACCCCCCTTGGCCCTGGAAGCCCCAGGGTCCTCCGCAGCGGGGACTTCCTCCGAGGAGACATGGCGATGGGGAGGGAGGACAAGACAGAAGCAAATCCTGCCTGATCCTGTGTTAGCTTTCCAGGGCTGCCAGAGCTACAAACTGCGTGGCTTAGATCAACAGAAGTACGTTCCCTCACGATCCTGGACACCCAAAGTTGGAAATCAAGGTGTCCGCAGGGCCACACTCCCTCCAGAGGTACTAGGGCGACAACCTGGGCGACAGGGCAAAACCCTGTCTCAAAAAACAAAAAGCACACAAAAAGAAATGGGGTCTCGCTGTGTTGCCCAGGCTGGTTTCGAACTCCTGGCTTCAAGCAGTCCTCCTACTTCAGCCTCCCAAAGCACTGGGATTATAGGCATGAGCCACCACCCGTCTGGCCTGAGCACACTGCTCAGTGTCTGCCAGGGCACCCGTCAGACCCCTCTAGACACTTTAGGGCAGGGACTTGTTCTGTTCAGCATCCCTGGCCCCGATGTCAAGCTCAGCATTCACAGACCCATGATAACTGCCAGCTGGGCCTCAGAGGGGCCTTCCTAGCTCAGACTTTGCCCCTGCTGTCCCTCAGTTCTGTTCCAGCCCAGTCCCCCCGACTCTGACCCTCCCAGAGCAGTGGTGGTCAGCCCTGGCTGCCCACTCCACTTCACCTGTGGAGTTCCTGGCTGGCCCTGCAGAAGCCCTACTCGGACCATTTCCATCAGAGTCTTGGAGGGGTGGGGGCGGGGCGGGGGAGGCAGGCATCAGAGGGGTTTTTAGAGATCCCCAGCTGATTCCAACGTGCATTCACCGTTGCACACGACTGCACCCGAGGCATGAGAAAGGCTGGCATGTTCTGGCATAATGTTATTTTTTGTTTTTTGTTTTTTGTTTTTTTTTTTTGAGACACAGCCTTGCTCTATTGCCCAGGCTGGAGTACAGTGATGCAGTCATGGCTCACTGCAGCCTCGATTTCCCAGGGTCAGGCGATCCTCCCACCTCAGCCTCCCGAGTAGCTAGGACCACAGATGTGCACCACCACGCCTGGCTAACTTTTGTTCGTAGACAGGGTCTCACTATGTTGCTCAGGCTGGTCTCAAACTCCTGGGCTCAAGCAGTCCTCCCATCTCAGCCTCCCAAAGTGCTGGGATTATAGGCACGAGCCACCACGCCCGGCCATCTGGTATATTCTCAAACCCTGACCCCGACTCTAAATGTTGCCTCCTGAGGTGGCCTCTAGCGCCCTCTATGAGGTGAACCTTTTGTAAGGGCAGGGCCCGGGCACCCTCACTGCTGTCCCTGCAGAGACTAAGGCAGCCTCTGACTGTCAGAATCCCCAGGCTCGGTGCCTGGGCTCCCATCACGTCACTCACTCCCAAGGTGTCTCCCCAGTCTCCCAGCTTTACACGCCATCTGTGCGCTGGGACGCCCACATTCATAGCTCCAGACTCAAATATCCAACTGCCAGTTGGATCTCCGCACAGTGTCTCACGGCAGCTCTCACATGGCCAGGACGGAGCTCCAGCGCCTCTCCCACCCCCAAACCTGCTCCTCCTGGCAACACTAACCTTCCAGCCGCTCAAGTCAACAGACTTGGAGATGTTCTAAGGTTCTCTCTCTCTCCTATCCCACCTCTGCTCCGCCAGCAAATCCTGACAGCTCTATGCTCAAAACGTTTCCCAAATCCAATCCCTCCCTACAAAGCTGCCACCCTGGTCCTGCCTGGATCCCTGCAGCAGTCTTCTGGTGGCTCCCTGCTTGCCGGCTTGTCCCCCTTTTTCTATTCCTCATATAGTGGCCAGGGGGATCCTGCATCAGTACCTTGGAAGGACTCTCTCTCCTTTTGGCACTAGACTGTGTCCTCTTGATGGTGCCTGTCCCCAACGTCCCACAGACAGCAGTGGCTTCTCTATGCTGAGAGGCTGGGTCTGGCTCCTGGGAGGGGCAGGAAGGCTGCTGGCCTGTGTGTGCCTGTTCCTGAGCAGGCTGGGCTACAGCAGTCAGAGAGGGCTTCCTGGAGGAGGCGGGGCTTGTGCTAAGGGCTGATCTGGATGGGCAGCCAGGAGAAACACAGGAGATGGCCAAAGAGCAGTAGACGAGACAAGCAGTGTGCCAGGAAAGGCAGCGAGTGGGCTGCATCATCCTCTGCTTCTGAGGGAGCCGTGCCTGGGGCGACCCTGGGGTCCCATGCCTTGGAGGTTGGACCTTTCAGCCCCACCTCTGTGACTTTGCATGTTACTGGCTTCATGGCAGCTAAAAAGACTGCTCAGCACGCTTCCCGGAGCACATTTCCCCAACCTGCCTCCGTCTGGCATGGTGACTCGCAATGTGGCCCTTGGGCCAATGGCGGCATTGTTAGAAATGCAGCCTCCAGCCAGGCGCGGTGGCTCACGCCTGTAATCCCAGTACTTTGGGAGGCTGAGGCGGGTGGATCACGAGGTCAGGAGTTCAAGACCAGCCTGGTCAAGATGGTGAAACCCCATCTCTACTAAAAATACAAAAATTAGCTGGGCATGGTGGCAGACCCCTGTAATCCCAGCTACTCGGAAGGCTGAGGCAGAGAATCGCTTGAACTCGGGAGGCGGAGGTTGCAGTGAGCCGAGATCGAGCCCCTGCCCTCCAGCCCGGCCGACAGAGTGAGACTCCATCTCAAAAGAAAAAGAAAAAAGAAATGCAGCCTTCAGCCCTGCCTCAGACCCATGGAATCAGAAATGCTGTGGGTGCAGCCCAGCATTCAGGACTGTAACACGTCCTGCGACGGATGCTGATGCCCTGGGACACTGAGATCCTCTGCTCTAGCCTTGGGAATAGCCTGGGCCCAGCGCCCCCTCCTCTCCCACTGGCCTTGGGCCCCAGCCTTCCATACCCAGGGACATCTGGCAGCCAAAGCGGCCTGGGCCACCCATGGGGCAACAGAGCCACCTAACCCGCTGATGCAGACACTCTGGAGGCAGTGGTAGAGGTGAGCTTCCTACCGCTATGCTGCACACACACCTGGGCGGCCCTTCTAAAACCACAGGCACTTAGAGCCAGAGGGAGTCCGAAACCGTGTGCTCTGACCCTCTCCAGGCTGCAGGGAGAACACAGAGGCCAAGGATCTTCTTCCAGCTCGGGTCTTCCAGCAGACTAGCGGCCTGACAGGCTGTGCAGGTGGTCAGCCGGGGGTGATGTTGCCCCCAGGGGGACATCTGGCAATATCAAAAGATGTTTTGGTTGTCACAACTCGGGGAGTGAGTGCTACTGGCATCTAGTGGGGTTGAGGCTGGGAATGTGGCAAACACCCAACAGTGCACAGGATGGCCCCCACCACCCAAAATTATCTCACCCAAATATCCACAGGGCTGCTGGGCATGGTGGCTCACACCTGTAATTTGAACTATAATTTGTAATTTTGGGAGGCCAAGGCCGGGGGACCGATTGAGCCCATAAGTTTGAGACCAGCCTGGGCAACATGGTGAGACCTGCTCTACAAAAAAATACAAAAAAATTAGCCGGGCATGGTGGCTTGTGCCTGTACTCCCAGCCACCCAGGAGGCTGAGATGGGAGGATGACTTGAGCCTGGGAGGTTGAGGCTGCAGCGACCATGATCGTGCCACTGCACCCCGGCCTGGGGGACAGAGTGAGACTCTGCCTCAAAAAACAAAAAAACAAACAAACAAACAAAAAACAAAACAAGAAAAACCACCACCAACAAAAAACTCCACAGGGCTAAGGTTGAGAAGCCCCGGGATCCATGCAAGTTCTTGGGCCTTCAAGTCAGCCGTGACCCAGGGAACCTGTAATTCCACGAAAGTGGATTTTGCCAGGGACTCTTGGGTTCCCATGAAGAATCTTAGCAAGGAAACCTGCTTAGCAACTCTTAGCAAGGAAACCTGCAGGGCTGCTGAAATGTACAGGATGTGATGGGCCCCTGAAAGTCTGGCAGGCCCCACAGGTTGCCACCCTCAACCCGGGCTCCCCCTAGAGGGCAAGTGGGCACACCGCATCCCACGTGGCAGGGGCTGCACCTCCTTCCGGGAAGGAGCTGGGCAGAAAGCACCGCCCGGTGGACTCCCACCTGCTCGGGAGGAGCCGCTCTGAACCCATGGCCCCACCCCATCTCACCACTTGCTCCCACTTGGGGGCTCTGAACGGAGAAACCCCACAGAGCAGAATTATACATTCAACCTTGAGAAATTAGGCGGCCCTCCCAGCTCCCGGCCCCGGGCCCCTCCCTCCTCCAGCAGGCTGGCGAGCCGGGTTCCAAGAGCGGTTCATATTTAATAATGCAATTTATATTCCACTCTCAACATAAACTATTGTAAAGGCGCTCTAATGTAAAAATACATCTGGCTTGTCAATAGTTTATCTTCTGGATCGGCATCTAAATCCCTGGGCCTGTTTGACTTATGGCTGCACCACTGTCTAATGAATAAAAAGGTGCAAATTATAGGCCCGGCTTTAATGCTCATCATAAAATTAGACGATAGTTGCAAAAGCTGCATTCTCCTGCCCACAGTGCCGCGATGGTGAGCCATAAATAAAGTGTATTTAATGTATCCCTGGGCTGTGCAAACCCAGGAAACAGTGTGTTATTGCTCGGCCTTCGATGGGTCCGCCACAAGTTCAATGAAGTGATAACGGATCCATCATGTGAATTTATGTTAACTGTCTCCTTGCAAAGCCATGGCCTCAACACTGTAAATAGCCTACAATCCTTCTAGCGGGCCTGCCTGCCAATAAAACTGTCACTGCCAGCTTGGCAGCCAGCACCTCCAGGACAGGGGGAACAAGCCGTAAGTTTCTGGAGGCCGACCCGGGCTGCGCCTCCCACCCTCGCAGCTCTGCTGTGGGGCCGTCAACTGTACAGGGAATGAATCTTCTTCCAAACAGAGCAGATCCCGATCACGGGGTCAGCAGAGGCCAGCTGCTGTAGAAGGGTTTGCTCGGGGCCCTGGCTGGTAGGGGACGGGGGCTGAGAAGGCGGCCATCTGCCTTGCCTTCGGGGAGCAGAGCCAGGGATCTCAGGGTGAGGACCCGGTTTGCCAGCTCTGCATCTCTAGGATGGCAAGTTTGCCGTAGCAAACCCCAGGACGCCCTCAGCACCTGGAAGCCACCAGTAACAGTCATTATATAGTCATTCATTTGTTCATTCATTCATTCATCATCATGTCCTATTTAGCACTTCGTCTGCTGTAGGTCCTCTGTAGACATGAAGAGGACACACTCCCTCCCCAGGGGGACCCAAAAGATGAGAAAACAAGGTACACAAATATAAAATTAAGTCCTGGCCAGACACAGTGGCTCACACCTGTAATCCAAGTACTCTGAGAGGCCAAGGTGGGAGAATCGTTTGAGTACGGGGGTTCAAGACCAGTCTGGGCAACATAGGGAGACCCTGTCTCTACAGAAAATACAAAAATTAGCATGGTGGTGCACACCCAAGGTCCCAGCTAGTCAGGAGGCTGAGGCAAGAGGATAGCTTGACCCCAGGAGGTAGAGGCTGCTGTGAGCTATGATTGGACCACTGCACTCTAGCCTAGGCAACAGAGTGAGACCCTGTATCAAAAGTAAATAAATAAAAATAAAATCAGGCTGGGCACGGTGGCTCATGCCTGTGATCCCAGCACTTTGGGAGGCCGAGGCAGGTGGATCGCCTGAGGTCAGGAGTTCAAGACCAGCCTTGCCAACATGGTGAAACCCCGTCTCTACTAAAAATACAAAAAATTAGTCAGGCATGGTGGCAGGTGCCTGTAATCCCAGTTATTCAGGAGGCTGAGGCAGGAGAATTGCTTGAACCCAGGAGGCAGAGGTTTCAGTGAGCCAAGATCGCAACATTGCACTGCAGCCTGGGTGACAGAGCAAGACTCCATCTCAAGAAATAAATAAATAACTAGAATAAAGTCATACTAATGTCTATGCATATCAAAATTATGATGCTGTCTCCCTTCTCCAAAGCCCCAGGGCACAAGCCCTGACACCTGTGTTTCTGAGCGTGGGTGTTGGGACCCACGAAGGCATGGCGATGTCATTCTGTGGGTCAGGGCAGTAGTCTTTTTCCATGGCACAAAACAGAATAGAAAATGCGAGAGATGTGGGTGTGGAGAAAGGGTGTGCGCTGTTTCAGGGAAGATGTGTACATGGCCTGCGTCATGATATAAAATGTGAAATCCATATTGTGGGTTGTTGACATAGATGTTGGAGAAACACCTGACCATGGCAGTGATTTAGCAACCAATGCAGTTCCCGAAATACCAGCTTTCTCAGCACGTGAAAGTATCTGATGTTTCCGAGTAAGTCCCCTAAATGCCCCCTCCCTGCTCTGTGTCTAGCTTGACTCCTCATCCCATAGACCTGTGGCATGGAAGGGGAGCGTGGGCCCATGGGGGAGTGCCAGCTGTGCACACCCTCTGTGTTAGTCCGTTCTCACACTGCTATAAAGAACTGCCTGAGACTGGGTTATTTATAAAGGAAAGGGGTTTAATGGATTCACAGTTCTGCATGGCTGGGGAGGCCTCAGGAACTTACAATCATGGCGGAAGGTGAGAGAGAAGCAAGGTGCCCTCTTCACAAGACAGCAGGAAGGAGAAGTGCTGAGCAAAGGGGGAAGGGCCTGTTATAAAACCATCAGATCTCACGAGAACTCACTCACTATCACGAGAACAGTACAAGGAAAACCACCCCCATGATCTAGTCACCTCCCACCAGGTGTCTCTCTCAACAGCTGGGGATTACAATTCAAGGCAAGATTTGGGTGGGGACACAAAGTCTAACCATATCACCCTCCTTGCCCTGGAGGTTCTGGGAGTAACCATTAGGATTCTCTATGTTAAATTCCTCACCCCCTTTTTGAATTGCTGTTTGGGGGTCAGTTTTATAAGGTACAGTCTGCTAGGCCAGTGGTACATGTATGTAATTGATACCTAAGTAACTATGTCCATTTGCGAAGCGTGTGCTTAACGTGACTTTACTGACATGGGTTGAAGGAAGTCTGGAGACCACCGGGACCCTCAGCCCACCCTCAGCCCTTGCCGCCTGAAGGTGTAAGTGACATTAGTGATGGAAGATGGTGCTCCACGGTCACCCGGGAGAGCAGGCCGCCATGCTTGGGGGTCACAGCTGGGGAAGATGGTGACATCAATCTCCCCAACTTCAGGCAGCTCCTCCCTCCTGGACCCTCCCTCCATGGCCCTGCCTTCCTCCTAGGTAAAGCGCCAAAGCTACTCAGCTCTTGGCTTCCCAACCCTCAACCCACCTCGTTCCCCGTGTCCCACACTCTCGTGGGAGATGGGGGTCCCTCAGCCCCGCTGCCTCAACCTCACTCACAGCGGCCGCTGCCCGGATGGGAGCGGCACTTCCACGTGCTTGTTGCAGGGTGTGCGGAAACACACAGGCTTCAAAATGGAAAAGGGCGCTCGGCCTGGAAACAGCCAAGAGACAAGCAGAGCAGCAGGGGCTCCGTGGGGCGGCCCCTCCAGCAGCAGCACGGAACCTTCCAGAAGCCAGGCCCTCCTAAGTGTGCGATAAAGGCTCAGCATTATAACCTGCACCCGAACAGGCACCCGGGCCGATGGCTTCACGGACACATGGTCAATACAGTCACACAGGGGCTGGGGTGGGCTGGATCACGGCCCCCTGAAAAGATGTCCCTGTCCTCATCCCTGGAACCTGTGAATGCGGCTTTATATGGCAAAAAGGTAAGGGTGTTTGCAGGTGTGATTAAATCAACAGTTGCACTGGAGAGGTCAGCGAGGATTATCAGAGGGACCCTGAGTGCAACGGTGAGGATTATCCGGGGGGCCTGAGAGTAACAGTGAGGATTATCCAGGTGCCCTGAGTGTAACGGTGAGGATTATCCAGGGGGGCCCTGAGTGTAACGGTGAGGATTATCCGGGGGGCCTGAGTGTAACAGTGAGGATTATCCAGGTGCCCTGAGTGTAACGGTGAGGATTATCCAGGGGGGCCCTGAGTGTAACGGTGAGGATTATCCGGGGGGCCTGAGTGTAACAGTGAGGATTATCCAGGGGGGCCCTGAGTGTAACGGTGAGGATTATCCAGGGGGGCCCTGAGTGTAACGGTGAGGATTATCCGGGGGGCCTGAGTGTAACAGTGAGGATTATCCAGGGGGGCCCTGAGTGTAACAGTGAGGATTATCCGGGGGGCCTGAGTGTAACAGTGAGGATTATCCAGGGGGGCCCTGAGTGTAACGGTGAGGATTATCCGGGGGGCCTGAGTGTAACAGTGAGGATTATTCAGGGGGGCCCTGAGTGTAACGGTGAGGATTATCCGGGGGGCCTGAGTGTAACAGTGAGGATTATCCAGGGGGGCCCTGAGTGTAACAGTGAGGATTATCCGGGGGGCCTGAGTGTAACAGTGAGGATTATCCAGGGGGGCCCTGAGTGTAACGGTGAGGATTATCCGGGGGGCCTGAGTGTAACAGTGAGGATTATTCAGGGGGGCCCTGAGTGTAACGGTGAGGATTATCCGGGGGGCCTGAGTGTAACAGTGAGGATTATCCAGGGGGGCCCTGAGTGTAACGGTGAGGATTATCCGGGGGGCCTGAGTGTAACAGTGAGGATTATCCAGGGGGGCCCTGAGTGTAACGGTGAGGATTATCCAGGGGGGGCCTGAGTGTAACAGTGAGGATTATCCGGGGGGCCTGAGTGTAACGGTGAGGATTATCCAGGGGGCCCTGAGTGTAACGGTGAGGATTATCCGGGAGGCCTGAGTGTAACAGTGAGGATTATCCAGGGGGGCCCTGAGTGTAACGGTGAGGATTATCCGGGGGGCCCTGAGTGTAACAGTGAGGATTATCCGGGGGGCCCTGAGTGTAACAGTGAGGATTATCCGGGGGGCCCTGAGTGTAAGAGTGAGGATTATCCGGGGGGCCTGAGTGTAACAGTGAGAATTATCCGGGGGGGCCCTGAGTGTAACAGTGAGAATTATCCGGGGGGGCCCTGAGTGTAACAGTGAGGATTATCCAGGGGGGCCCTGAGTGTAACGGTGAGGATTATCCGGGGGGCCTGAGTGTAACGGTGAGGATTATCCAGGGGGGCCCTGAGTGTAACGGTGAGGATTATCCAGGGGGGACCTGAGTGTAACGGTGAGGATTATCCGGGGGGCCCTGAGTGTAACGGTGAGGATTATCCGGGAGGCCTGAGTGTAACAGTGAGGATTATCCAGGGGGGCCCTGAGTGTAACGGTGAGGATTATCCGGGGGGCCTGAGTGTAACAGTGAGGATTATCCAGGGGGGCCCTGAGTGTAACAGTGAGGATTATCCGGTGTGCCTGAGTGTAACAGTGAGGATTATCCGGGGGCCCTGAGTGTAACAGTGAGGATTATCCGGGGGGCCTGAGTGTAACAGTGAGGATTATCCAGGGGGGCCCTGAGTGTAACGGTGAGGATTATCCGGGGGGCCTGAGTGTAACAGTGAGGATTATCCGGGGGACCCTGAGTGCAACGGTGAGGATTATCCGGGTGGCCTGAGAGTAACAGTGAGGATTATCCAGGGGGGCTCTGAGTGTAACAGTGAGGATTATCCGGGGGGCCCTGAGTGTAACAGTGAGGATTATCCGGGGGCCTGAGTGTAACAGTGAGGATTATCCAGGGGGGCCCTGAGTGTAACAGCGAGGATTATCAGAGGGACCCTGAGTGCAACAGTGAGGATTATCCGGGGGGCCTGAGAGTAACAGTGAGGATTATCCGGGGGGCCCTGAGTGTAACAGTGAGGATTATCCGGGGGCCTGAGTGTAACAGTAAGGATTATCCGGGGGGCCTGAGTGTAACAGCGAGGATTATCAGAGGGACCCTGAGTGCAACAGTGAGGATTATCCGGGGGGTCTGAGAGTAACAGTGAGGATTATCCGGGGGGCCCTGAGTGTAACAGTGAGGATTATCCGGGGGCCTGAGTGTAACAGTAAGGATTATCCGGGGGGCCTGAGTGTAACAGCGAGGATTATCAGAGGGACCCTGAGTGCAACAGTGAGGATTATCCGGGGGGCCTAAGAGTAACAGTGAGGATTATCCGGGGGGCCCTGAGTGTAACAGTGAGCATTATCCAGGGGGGCCCTGAGTGTAACAGTGAGGATTATCCAGGGGGCCCTGAGTGTAACAGTGAGGATTATCCAGGGGGGCCTGAGTGTAAAAGTGAGGATTATCCGGGGGGCCCTGAGTGTAACAGTGAGGATTATCCAGGGGGGCCTGAGTGTAACAGTGAGGATTATCCAGGGGGCCCTGAGTGCAACGGTGAGGATTATCCGGGGGGCCTGAGAGTAACAGTGAGGATTATCCAGGGGGCCCTGAGTGTAACAGTGAGGATTATCCGGGGGCCTGAGTGTAACAGTGAGGATTATCCAGGGGGGCCCTGAGTGTAACAGCGAGGATTATCAGAGGGACCCTGAGTGCAACAGTGAGGATTATCCGGGGGGCCTGAGAGTAACAGTGAGGATTATCCGGGGGGCCCTGAGTGTAACAGTGAGGATTATCCGGGGGGGGCCCTGAGTGTAACAGTGAGGATTATCCGGGGGGCCTGAGTGTAACAGTGAGGATTATCCGGGGGCCCTGAGTGTAAAAGTGAGGATTATCCGGGGGGCCTGAGTGTAACAGTGAGGATTATCCGGGGGGGCCTGAGAGTAACAGTGAGGATTATCCAGGGGGCCCTGAGTGTAACAGTGAGGATTATCCGGGGGGCCCTGAGTGTAACGGTGAGGATTATCCAGGGGGGCCCTGAGTGTAACGGTGAGGATTATCAGAGGGACCCTGAGTGCAACAGTGAGGATTATCCGGGGGGCCTGAGAGTAACAGTGAGGATTATCCAGGGGGCCCTGAGTGTAACGGTGAGGATTATCCGGGGGGCCCTGAGTGTAACGGTGAGGATTATCCAGGGGGGCCCTGAGTGTAACGGTGAGGATTATCCAGGGGGGCCCTGAGTGCAACAGTGAGGATTATCCAGGGGGGCCTGAGGGTAACAGTGAGGATTATCCAGGTGCCCTGAGTGTAACAGTGAGGATTATCCGGGGGGCCCTGAGTGCAACAGTGAGGATTATCCAGGGGGGCCTGAGAGTAACAGTGAGGATTATCCGGGGGGGCCCTGAGTGTAACAGTGAGGATTATCCAGGGGGGCCCTGAGTGTAACAGTGAGGATTATCCAGGGGGCCTGAGTGTAACAGTGAGGATTATCCAGGGGGGCCCTGAGTGTAACAGTGAGGATTATCCGGGGGGCCCTGAGTGTAACAGTGAGGATTATCAGAGGGACCCTGAGTGCAACAGTGAGGATTATCCGGGGGGCCTGAGAGTAACAGTGAGGATTATCCGGGGGGCCCTGAGTGTAACGGTGAGGATTATCCGGGGCGCCTGAGAGTAACGGTGAGGATTATCCAGGGGGGCCCTGAGTGTAACGGTGAGGATTATCCAGGGGGCCCCTGAGTGTAACAGTGAGGATTATCCGGGGGGCCCTGAGTGTAACGGTGAGGATTATCCAGGTGGGCCCTGAGTGTAACGGTGAGGATTATCCGGGGGGCCTGAGTGTAACAGTGAGGATTATCCAGGGGGCCCTGAGTGTAACAGTGAGGATTATCCAGGGGGCCTGAGTGTAACAGTGAGGATTATCCAGGGGGGCCTGAGTGTAACAGTGAGGATTATCCAGGGGGCCTGAGTGTAACAGTGAGGATTATCCAGGGGGGCCTGAGTGTAACAGTGAGGATTATCCGGGGGGCCCTGAGTGCAACGGTGAGGATTATCAGAGGGACCCTGAGTGCAACAGTGAGGATTATCCAGGGGGGCCTGAGAGTGACAGTGAGGATTATCCAGGTGCCCTGAGTGTAACAGTGAGGATTATCCGGGGGGCCCTGAGTGTAACAGTGAGGATTATCCGGGGGGCCCTAAGTTCAACAGTGAGGATTATCCAGGGGGGCCTGAGAGTAACAGTGAGGATTTTCCAGGGGGGCCTGAGTGTAACAGTGAGGATTATCCGGGGGGCCCTGAGTGTAACAGTGAGGATTATCCAGGGGGCCTGAGTGTAACAGTGAGGATTATCCAGGTGCCCTGAGAGTAACAGTGAGGATTATCCAGGGGTCCCTGAGTGTAACAGTGAGGATTATCCAGGGGGCCCTGAGTGTAACAGTGAGGATTATCAGAGGGACCCTGAGTGCAACAGTGAGGATTATCCGGGGGGCCTGAGAGTAACAGTGAGGATTATCCGGGGGGCCCTGAGTGTAACAGTGAGGATTATCCGGGGGGCCCTGAGTGTAACAGTAAGGATTATCCGGGGGGCCTGAGTGTAACAGTGAGGATTATCCAGGGGGGCCTGAGAGTAACAGTGAGTATTATCCAGGGGGGCCTGAGTGTAACAGTGAGGATTATCCGGGGGGCCCTGAGTGTAACAGTGAGGATTATCCAGGGGGCCTGAGAGTAACAGTGAGGATTATCCAGGGGGGCCCTGAGTGTAACAGTGAGGATTATCCAGGTGCCCTGAGAGTAACAGGATTATCCAGGGGGGCCCTGAGTGTAACAGTGAGGATTATCCAGGGGGCCCTGAGTGTAACAGTGAGGATTATCAGAGGGACCCTGAGTGTAACGGTGAGGATTATCCAGGGGGGCCTGAGAGTAACGGTGAGGATTATCCAGGGGGGCCCTGAGTGTAACGGTGAGGATTATCCGGGGGGCCTGAGTGTAACGGTGAGGATTGTCCAGGGGGGTCCTGAGTGTAACAATGAGGATTATCCGGGGGGCCCTGAGTGTAACAGTGAGGATTATGCAGGGGGGCCCTGAGTGTAACAATGAGGATTATCCGGGGGGCCCTGAGTGTAACGGTGAGGATTATCCGGGGGGCCCTGAGTGTAACGGTGAGGATTATTCAGGGGGCCCTGAGTGCAACGGTGAGGATTATTCAGGGGGGCCTGAGAGTAACAGTGAGGATTATCCAGGGGGGCCTGAGAGTAACAGTGAGGATTATCCAGGGGGGCCTGAGAGTAACACGTGAGGATTATCCGGGGGGGCCCTGAGTGTAACAGTGAGGATTATCCAGGGGGCCCTGAGTGCAACAGTGAGGATTATCCAGGGGGGCCTGAGAGTAACAGTGAGGATTATCCAGGGGGGCCTGAGAGTAACAGTGAGGATTATCCAGGGGGGCCCTGAGTGTAACAGTGAGGATTATCCGGGGGGGCCCTGAGTGTAACGGTGAGGATTATCCGGGGGGCCTGAGAGTAACAGTGAGGATTATCCGGGGGGCCTGAGTGTAACAGTGAGGATTATCCAGGGGGGCCCTGAGAGTAACAGCGAGGATTATCCGGGGGGCCCTGAGTGCAACAGTGAGGATTATCCAGGGGGGCCTGAGAGTAACAGTGAGGATTATCCAGGGGGGCCTGAGAGTAACAGTGAGGATTATCCAGGGGGGCCTGAGAGTAACAGTGAGGATTATCCAGGGGGGCCCTGAGTGTAACAGTGAGGATTATCCGGGGGGGCCCTGAGTGTAACAGTGAGGATTATCCGGGGGGCCCTGAGTGTAACAGTGAGGATTATCCGGGGGACCCTGAGTGCAACAGTGAGGATTATCCGGGGGGCCTGAGAGTAACAGTGAGGATTATCCAGGGGGGCTCTGAGTGTAACAGTGAGGATTATCCGGGGGGCCCTGAGTGTAACAGTGAGGATTATCCGGGGGGGCCTGAGTGTAACAGTGAGGATTATCCAGGGGGGCCCTGAGTGTAAGAGTGAGGATTATCCGGGGGGCCTGAGAGTAACAGTGAGGATTATCCAGGGGGGCCTGAGAGTAACAGTGAGGATTATCCAGGGGGGCCCTGAGTGTAACGGTGAGGATTATCCGGGGGGCCTGAGAGTAACAGTGAGGATTATCCAGGGGGCCCTGAGTGTAACGGTGAGGATTATCCGGGGGGCCTGAGAGTAACAGTGAGGATTATCCAGGGGGGCCCTGAGTGTAACAGTGAGGATTATCCAGGGGGCCCTGAGTGTAACAGTGAGGATTATCAGAGGGACCCTGAGTGCAACAGTGAGGATTATCCGGGGGGCCTGAGAGTAACAGTGAGGATTATCCAGGGGGGCCCTGAGTGTAACAGTGAGGATTATCCAGGGGGCCCTGAGTGTAACAGTGAGGATTATCAGAGGGACCCTGAGTGCAACAGTGAGGATTATCCAGGGGGGCCTGAGAGTAACAGTGAGGATTATCCAGGGGGGCCCTGAGTGTAACAGTGAGGATTATCCAGGGGGCCCTGAGTGTAACAGCGAGGATTATCCAGGGGGGCCTGAGAGTAACAGTGAGGATTATCCAGGGGGGCCTGAGAGTAACAGTGAGGATTATCCAGGGGGGCCTGAGAGTAACAGTGAGGATTATCCAGGTGCCCTGAGTGTAACAGTGAGGATTATCCAGGGGGGCCCTGAGTGTAACAGCGAGGATTATCCAGGGGGCCCTGAGTGCAACAGTGAGGATTATCCAGGGGGGCCTGAGTGTAACAGTGAGGATTATCCAGGGGGGCCCTGAGTGTAACGGTGAGGATTATCCGGGGGGCCTGAGAGTAACAGTGAGGATTATCCAGGGGGCCCTGAGTGTAACGGTGAGGATTATCCGGGGGGCCTGAGAGTAACAGTGAGGATTATCCAGGGGGGCCTGAGAGTAACAGTGAGGATTATCCAGGGGGGCCCTGAGTGTAACGGTGAGGATTATCCGGGGGGCCTGAGAGTAACAGTGAGGATTATCCAGGGGGCCCTGAGTGTAACGGTGAGGATTATCCGGGGGGCCTGAGAGTAACAGTGAGGATTATCCAGGGGGGCCCTGAGTGTAACAGTGAGGATTATCCAGGGGGCCCTGAGTGTAACAGTGAGGATTATCAGAGGGACCCTGAGTGCAACAGTGAGGATTATCCAGGGGGGCCTGAGAGTAACAGTGAGGATTATCCAGGGGGGCCCTGAGTGTAACAGTGAGGATTATCCAGGGGGCCCTGAGTGTAACAGTGAGGATTATCAGAGGGACCCTGAGTGCAACAGTGAGGATTATCCGGGGGGCCTGAGAGTAACAGTGAGGATTATCCAGGGGGGCCCTGAGTGTAACAGTGAGGATTATCCAGGGGGCCCTGAGTGTAACAGTGAGGATTATCAGAGGGACCCTGAGTGCAACAGTGAGGATTATCCAGGGGGGCCTGAGAGTAACAGTGAGGATTATCCGGGGGCCCTGAGTGTAACAGTGAGGATTATCCAGGGGGGCCCTGAGTGTAACAGTGAGGATTATCCGGGGGGCCTGAGAGTAACAGTGAGGATTATCCAGGGGGGCCTGAGAGTAACAGTGAGGATTATCCAGGGGGGCCTGAGAGTAACAGTGAGGATTATCCAGGGGGCCCTGAGTGTAACAGTGAGGATTATCAGAGGGACCCTGAGTGCAACAGTGAGGATTATCCGGGGGGCCTGAGAGTAACAGTGAGGATTATCCGGGGGGGCCCTGAGTGTAACGGTGAGGATTATCCGGGGGGCCTGAGTGTAATAGTGAGGATTATCCGGGGGGCCTGAGTGTAACAGTGAGGATTATCCAGGGGGGCCCTGAGTGTAACAGTGAGGATTATCCGGGGGGCCTGAGAGTAACAGTGAGGATTATCCAGGGGGGCCTGAGAGTAACAGTGAGGATTATCCGGGGGGCCCTGAGTGCAACAGTGAGGATTATCCAGGGGGGCCTGAGAGTAACAGTGAGGATTATCCAGGGGGGCCTGAGAGTAACAGTGAGGATTATCCAGGGGGGCCCTGAGTGTAACGGTGAGGATTATCCGGGGGGGCCCTGAGTGTAACGGTGAGGATTATCCGGGGGGCCTGAGTGTAACAGTGAGGATTATCCGGGGGGCCTGAGTGTAACAGTGAGGATTATCCAGGGGGCCCTGAGAGTAACAGCGAGGATTATCCAGGGGGGCCCTGAGTGTAACGGTGAGGATTATCCGGGGGGCCTGAGTGTAACAGTGAGGATTATCCAGGGGGGCCCTGAGAGTAACAGTGAGGATTATCCAGGGGGGCCTGAGAGTAACAGTGAGGATTATCCGGGGGGGCCCTGAGTGTAACGGTGAGGATTATCCGGGGGGCCTGAGTGTAACAGTGAGGATTATCCGGGGGGCCTGAGTGTACCAGTGAGGATTATCCAGGGGGCCTGAGTGTAACAGTGAGGATTATCCAGGGGGGCCCTGAGTGTAACGGTGAGGATTATCCGGGGGGCCCTGAGTGTAAGAGTGAGGATTATCCGGGGGGCCTGAGTGTAACAGTGAGAATTATCTGGGGGAGCCCTGAGTGTAACAGTGAGAATTATCCGGGGGGGCCCTGAGTGTAACGGTGAGGATTATCCAGGGGGGCCCTGAGTGTAACGGTGAGGATTATCCGGGGGGCCCTGAGTGTAACGGTGTGGATTATCCAGGGGGGCCCTGAGTGTAACAGTGAGGATTATCCGGGGGGGCCCTGTGTCCAATCACAAGCTGGTTTCTGAGAGGTGGGCAGAGGGAGTTCTGACGCACACAGAGGAAAGGCCCCGTAAGGACGGCACAGAGAGGGAGGTGAAGATGCCTGCCCTGAAGGCTGCAGTGAGCGGCCACAAGCCCTGGAAGCCAGAGTCCCCAGAGGCTGGGAGAGGCAGTAAGGGGCCTCCCAGCAGCCTCTGAAGGGGGTGCAGCCCTGCCCACACCTTGATGCTGGAGTTCTGGCCTCCAGACTGTGGCAGAATACATTTCTGGGTTTTTGTTGTTGTTGTTTTGAGACAGGGTCTCACTCTGTCACCAGGACTGGAGTGCAGTGGCAGGATCACAGCTCACTGCAGCCTCAACCTCCTGGGCTCAAGCGATCCTCCCGTCTCAGCCTCCCACATAGCTGGGACCACAGGCATGTGCTACCATACCCGGCTAATTTTGTTATTTTGTTTTTTTATTTTTGTAGAGACAGGGTTTCACTATGTTGCCCAGGCTGGTGTCAAACTCCTGGGCTCAAGTGATCCTCCCACCTCAGCCTCCCAAAGTGCTGGGATTTCAGGTGTGAGCCACTGTGCCCGGCCTACAATGTCAATTTTATCCCTCCCTTGAAGAGTCACAAGGCACATTCATTAACAAACTTAACCAACCAAGAGACCCTCATTCTCCGAACACTCAGTGTTGGGGGCAGCTTTGACGAGCCCCCAATGACCACGCCTCCTGGTGGTCATGCCCCTGGGTGGCCCCCGCCCTTTAAGTGTGGGCTGGACCTGGTGACTTGCCCCTAATGAATGGAACATGGCACAGGTGAGGGGGCTCGCTTCCGGTGTCGGTTACAGACTGTGGTTGCCATTGCGTGTGCCCTCTCTTACCCTCCCCCGCACCCTGGCTTGCCTGATAGCACAGGATCCCTGTGGTGAGCTCAGCGTGGCTTCCAGCCAGCATCCGGCAAGGAACTGAGGCCTCTATCCCACGGCCCAGAGGAACTGAGTCCCCCCCCAGCAACCATGGGAGAGGGCTTGGGAGTAGATCCTTCCCCAGCCAAGCCTTCAGCTGGGGAAGGCTGATACCCAGGAGGCCCGGCTAAGCTGGATCCGGATCCCTGACCCGCACATGCTGTGGGATAATAAATGGCGTCTGGAGCCACGAAGTTTTGGGGCAATTTTTTTTTTTTTTGAGTCAGGGTCTTTCACTGTCACCTAGGCTGACATGCAGTGGCACAATCAAAGCTCACTGCAGGCCCCATCTCCCCTGGCTCAGGTGATCCTCCCGCCCCAGCCTCCCAAGTAACTGGGACTACAGGAGCCACACCCGGATAACTTTTGTATTTTTTGTAGAGACAGGGTTTCACTATGTTGTCCAGGCTGGTCTTGAACTCCTGGGCTCAAGTGAACCTCCCGCCTCAGCCTCCTGAAATGCTAGGATTACAGGTGTGAGCCACCATGCCTGGCCTTGGGGCAATCTGTTAGGCAGCCAGAGGTAACTGGCAGGCCCAGCGCCGCGCTCCCGACAAGCTCTCTTCAAAGTGCCGCCCTGTGATGTCCCAGCCCCGGCTCCACATGGCTTGCAGGCCACTCTCTCTGGGTCCACTCTCCCATCTCCAGCCTCAGCTTTGGGACTCAGCATGGCCCCGGCCCTCAGAGAAACCACCATGACCTTCCCTATTCGCTCAGCCCCGTTCTTGAGGCTGTGCGCTCCCTTCTGCAAACCTCCTCCTCCCAGGCTCTCTCGAGTCCCCCTTCCTGGCAGCTTCTCCAACCAGACATCCCACTGGCGACTCCTCTCCCCCGAGCTTCTCAGCGTCTTGGGTTCAGGATGGAAAACACGGTGGCCCGGTGGACAGGCCGCTCTGGCTTCAGTACCCACCAGCTTATCTCACCTCCCGCCAGGCCGCAAGGTTCCTATGGACACAGCCCAGACATCGCAGGGCACCCAGAGTGTGCCGTAAGCTGCGTTCCGGGACAAACGGCACAGGATGCTACCCTCTCTGGGCCAGTGGTTCTCAAACTTGGGAACAGAACGACTTGTGAGGAAATGGTTGGGCCTCCAACGTCTCCGGGCTCCAGTTCTGAAAACCTGGCATGGAGCGCAGCTGCTGTCCCTCAGGGCGAGCTCCAGACACTGAGCTGCACCTGCAGACTCATACCTGGATCCCCCAGAAGTGCCCACTCACAGCGGGGCTGCCCAGTAACCAGCACAGGCTCACGCCAGGCACAGTTAGATGGCTGGGAACACGGAAAGCACATGTTTAGACATTCCCGTCAGGAATGGTGGAACCCAGATTGAGAAACACTGCTCTCGGCCCTCCCCCACAGTAGCAGCATGGACGGGTATCAACCCCAGTAACCGGCGTGCAGTGCTGCGTGTACACAGCAGGTGCTCAATAAACACTCAGCAGCAGTTAGAAGCTCTTATATATGGCTCATTTGGGCCTCAGCCACTTGTCCCAGCCTGGGGACCCCACCCTGGCCTCGGCAGAGTGTTGGCCCTCACCTGGATGGGCCGCCCCACAGGTAGAAGTCCCCTGCCTCCACCCTGCCCTCCCAAGCCCTCTGGGCCGGCTCATTCTCCTGGCCCCTGGTGCCTGACTTTGCGGGAGGTGCCCCAAGGGAAGCAACTGTGTCCCCTCTTGGGGTCAGCAGGCCCATCCAGAGCCCCCGAGCTCCGGTCCCGCTGGGGCAGCAGCATCTTTCTCTTTCTGCCCCCACCCCTGGTGCCCCACCCACCCCACCCACTCTGATGGCCCGGGTACTCCCTGATAATAGCAGTACTAAATCTTCCTGGCCAATTCTGCTCCATTTCTATAAATAATGTAGAATCTTTTTATTTACTGACAGGTTGTAAACGTATCAGGGAGAATAATGTGAAATCAGGAGCCGCTGAATAACGCATGACGTTGGCCTCACTCCCTCTCCTGCCGGGCGGGGGCCCCCATTGCCCCTCCCCGCACCGCACCCACCCAGCTGGGCCTCAGAAAGCCCAAGCTGCGGACCCCAGCACCATATCCGCTGATTTGGGCTTTCGTGGTTTGGCCTCCACGCGGAGGTCTTCGTGGGTGGGGTCTCTGGATCTGCACCCGCACTGATGTAGATGCTCAAACCAACCTTGCCGGCTGCCTCCTCTCACACACACAGATGCGCAAGGTCAAAGCTAGGTCTCCATTATGACCCCTTCCGCACACACACAGACACACAGACCCACAATCACACACAGAGACACACACAACATACACAGACCCAGAGACACACACACCACACGCAAACACATAATCACAGACACAAAATCATACAGAGACACACACCACACACACAGAGACACACACATCACAGAGACACACGTGCACAACCACATACAGAGACACACCACACAGAGACACAGACACATACAACACATACAAACACACAAAAACACACAGAGACACACGCAACATACACAGACACAGAGACACACACAACACACAGACACACAGAGACATGCAACACATAGACATACACTCATACACAGACGCATGCATCACACAGGTACACAACCACACGCAACACACACACAGACATACAAAACACACAGGCTCACAACCACACAGACACACACAACACACCCACACAACACAAAACTACACACAGAGACATACAACACACGGACATACAACCACATGCAGAGACACACACAAAGACATACATGCAACACACACGGCCACAGAGATACACATACAGACATACACGAAAGCACACACAGTACACAGAAACACGACACACACAGACATATAATCACACACACAAAATCATACACAGAAACACACACACACAATTACACACACACACACACACACACACACACACACAACCCTACACTTCCTGTTTTCCCATCTCTTTGATGATCCCAAAACCTCAGCAGGGAGGGGAGGGCCTGTGGGGCGTCTGGCGGATCATTCTCCGTTTTTTTGCCTTTGAAAGAATAAGCATTAATGATTTGCAGGGCCGGTGTGGCGGCGAAGACGCAGGTGTCAGCAGTCAGTAGCTCCGTGTGGCCGTGACACAAGGTCCCTGCAGGAGGCCCCTGTGTTTGCGCTGGGCCTGCTCAGGGGCTGCTGTGCGCCCAGTGTGACTTGGCAGGTCACACTCCATGGGGCGCAGCTCCAGGGCACAGCCCCCTGTAGCTGGGTGTGCAGTGGCCTGGGGCCCAGGGTCTGCCCTGGCCAGTCTTGACTTCTCAGCAATATTAATGGTAATATTAATCATGATAACCGCAGCCCGCACTCACGGAACACTCACCACCTGCCAGGGGCTCTTCTAGGAGCGAAGCACAGATTCCTAATCCATTCTTCCCCCGAACTCAGCAGAATGTGCACCCCGCCAAGTGTAGGTATCCTTGCCCGTTTCACTGTCTGCGGCATCCCCCACGCCTACGGCAGTGATTGGCACACAGTAGGTGCTCAATAAACATGTGCTGAGGACACGAAGCTTGGTACTGCTATATCCCCACTTTACAGGCAAAGAAAGCAGGCAGGCAGCTTAGGAAACTGGTCGGTTTACCCAGGGGCCTGCAGGGGCTTCTGAAAGCCCGCAAGGATGGGGGCTGTGAAACTAGGGACAAGGTACAACCGCATCAGCAACGTTCTCTTCCTGAAGCTGGTGGGGCATGTGGGTGCTGGCTGTATTATTCTTTCTACTTTTTGGAATGCATTAAATATTTCACAATTAGACACTCTGAAGGCCGTGGAGCCCCCGTGGACTGAACCCCCCCGGAAGCCCACCTTTCCACGTGCAGAGGGCCCCACTCGGGGCGGCCTGAGAGGACTCTGTGCTGGGGGGGCCCAGCAGACGAGGCAGCCTACCATGGGTGCAGGGTCAGGAGCTGACAGTGATGAAACCCTGGAGGGCTCCCCACAGCACCACACACATCACACGTGCACATCTATACGGTCATATGCACACAATACAGACACACACAAGCCACGTGTATGTGCAATCCTATGCATCCTCACACACACATGTACACACCACATACACATACACATGTGCATGTAATATATAACACACTGCACATGCATATGTGTCTGCCAATGTCTGCCAACCACACACAAGTACTTACACAATGTACACACATATGCACATGCTACACACACACCCAGAGGCACACACAAACATACAACGCATGTGGATACACACTCGACATGCATTATACATGTCTACACAAACATACCACACATGTCGGTGCGCACTCGACATGCATTATACATGTCTACACATGTGCACGTGTACACATGCACCCACACACATTCTCTGTGCGGGACCATGTAAGGACCACGTGAACAGAAAGTGACATTTTCTTCCAGCCCAGGAACCCAGAGCTGGGCTGTAAAGTTACATTCTCTCTCCTGGCTCTGACACTAAAGTTGTAGCATCTGAAATGAGCCCCTCGATCCTAACCTATCCCACTTTATAGCTGGGGAAACTGAGGTCCAGAGTCATGCAGCGGTTTGTCGGATTATGCGGGAACATCATCATTATTTGGCCATGTGTGGCCATGTCCTAGGCAGTTCTCCCACGCTTTACCTCCATCTATCCTCACCACAGCCTCAGGGGGTTGCAGGGGTATCCCCAGTCTACAGATAGCAGCAGGGCACAGCTACTTACCCACAGACATCAAGCAGACAGGCGGTACTGGACCCAGACCTGCTGACTGGGAGCTGGCACACTTCCCCTCCACCTCCTGCTCAGGAGGGACTGGGCTCTTGCCTGCTCTAACCCCTGGGAGCTCTGCGACCCCTCAGGCCTCAGTGTCCCAGGTTTTGCCACTGCAAATCACGACATGTTAACATTCCTTCTCCACTTCCCCAAAGACGCCTGAATTCTTCACCTGCTCACTTCATCTCACCCAGTGCTCACAACCATCCTGGGAACCTGTGATCCCATCACGCCCATTTTGCAGATGAGGAAACTGAGGTACTGAGAGACAACATCACTCATCGGGGTCCGAACCTTGGAGACCTAGCTCCAAGATACCCCAGAATACCAAGGTGCGTCTTCCCTAGGGTCCTCTCCTGCACAGAATCACCTGGAAGCTCTGAGAATACACCAAGGTCTGCAGCCCCCACCCCCAACCCCACCCCCACGATTCGGAACTAACTGGTCTGTAGGGTGGAGCCCAGGCCCCAGGATTTTGTGACTCTAAGGGGCAGCCCCTGGTCTGCGGGGCTCATTTGCTTCCAGAAGCCTCACACCTCCTTCTATGCGGGCTGGAGGAGGAGGATCCCAGGGGAAGCTCCTGAATTTAAATCAGACCTTCAGGAGGGCAGCAGGGGATGTGCGCCTTCCTCCACATTGCAGTCCCACAGCCCAGGGCCACCAGTCCCCAGGGAAGCGGGGCAAAGGCGATGCAGGTGTGAGGCTGACGCGCGTCCTCCAGAGGGGGCCAGATGGCAGGTGGTGCCTCCCGCACCCTGGTGCTCCGGGGAGGCCCCAGGCTGAGTCAGAACCCGAAGGCTCCCTGCATGGAAGGTGACTTTGGAACCTCGTGAACTCAACATGACAGCTCCAGAAGCTGGAGGCAGCGGCGGGGGGCAGACAGAGGCAGAGGGCTCAGTCTCCAGATTTAGTACCGTGACAAGCCTGGGCCAGCAGAGACCACATGTTCCAGGCAGGGTCCATGCGAGGAGATACACGTGCCATGCACTCTGCCTTGCCTTGGGGACACACCGCCCGCAGGAGACGGCTCAGCACCTGCATCAGCGAGTAGACACTGAGTGTCACTTGAGTGCCAAGGGTGGGAGCGGGGGTCGCAGCCTGAGTGCCCTGCTGTGTGGCCCTGGGCCCTCCAGTCTACCTCTCTGAGCTGCTATCTGCTTCCCCCAATGCAAAAGGGGAGAAAAGTGTCTGCTTTGCCAGGGGGCTGAGAGGAGGCATCTGAGCCCCTGCCCCAGTGTGTGGGAAATCAAGTCTCCCCCCAGGACTTCACAGAGGAGATGGGGGACAGGGGCAAGGGGGCTCCCTGGGACATTGGCCTGTCTCCTTTTCCATCTGCCCATGCCTCTCTGCACCCTCTTCCCACCCACCCAGCTGGAGGGGAGCCCCCGTCTCTTGGTCCTTGCTCTGCTTTTCACGTTTGCTCTCTCTCTCTGGACCTGTCACTCTGTTCTCTGCCTGGGTGTCTTCCTCTGTCTCTCTCCATGACCATCTCACGCTGTCTCTTTGTTGCTCTCTGTCTCTCTCTGACCTTCACGGGCTCCCTGGAGAGGGCACCCCCATCTCACACACAGACAGGAAACAGGCAACCGCCCAGCCCATGGCCCTGACCTGCGCTTCCCAGACAGCCTCCCCTGCCGCCACCCTCACCCACTCCTGGGTCAAGTCCCCACGGGGGCCTGTGGCCTCCCACTTGTGTAGCGTCCGGACATCCATCCTGCCCCGTTGTGGGGTCCTGAGAATGGCCTGAACGTCCTGAACTGAGCAGAAATCCTGCTCCCAATCGGAGGGAGGAGGAAGCTGCCCGTTCAGCCAACTGCTCTCCTCCATGGCTCCAGGTGGTGGGCAGCTGCCTCTGGCAGTGGCCAGGCAGTGGAAGGTGTTGGCAGGCAGAGGAGCGGAGAGCATCCGGGACAGCGGCTCCTCCACCCAGCATGGAACTAGACTTGGGTGCTGGGGAGGTGGAAGGGGTGTGGAAACAACTAATCAGAGGTGTTTTTGCATTACAATTGCAGCACATCCACTCTGTGCTGGAGTTCAAGACAGGGCCTGTCTGCGCTGGGCCACGGCCTAATATTTCCTGTCTCTCCAAACAACACGGCCACCCACTCCCAACTCCCCCCGCCCCAGTGCCTGGGCAGCAGGGAGAGGCTGAGTGAGCAGGACAGCGTGTTATCCTCCTGCCTCCATGGACTTGGGGAACTGGGGAGGAGACGGGCAGGGGCAAGGAAGGACGGGCCTGCTGATGTCCTGCCTCCTGCTCATGGGGTCCCAGTGAGTTTTCCAAATGAAGTGGACAGACTGAGGCTGGAAACAGGCCACTTGGGGCTGAAGCTTTCATCAGCCTTGTTCATATCCAAGAGAAGGTTCTAGAAGCAGCAAGCTCAGGGGTAAAAAGCAGAAAAATCCCCAGAGCATCTTGAAACTCAGAGGACATACCAGCCGGGGGACAGGGCTGTGGGCTCTGCAGGCTGGGGGGACTCAGGCCGCCGGGACTCCTCACGCAGCCCTTCTGCGGGGCGCTGGCTGGTTTTCTTCTCTCCCCATCTCTGGGCTGGCTCTGCTCCAGGCCATCCTGGGAACAGGGCAGAGCCTGGGGAGGGTGGGCGGGCGCCCAGGAGGAAGCCGGCGGGAGGAGGCAGGCGGGATGATTTAGGAGCTGTTCTGGGCAGGCCCCTAGAGAGCGTGGGCAGGGGAGGGCGGACGTGACAGAGGGAGGGAGCATTTGTTCAGGGTGAGTCAAAAGATGCAAAGGGCTTTCTCGGGAGGCCTGGAGAGAAAGGGAGGTCTGGAGCCGCTGTGGCGAGGGCTGGCATGGTGCCCAGCCAAAGCCAGAGCTTCAGAGCTGGGTGCTGGCTGCTGGGAGGGTGTTTCCAGGCAGCGAACATGCCAGCCTGTGTCCAGCCTGGCCAGACATGCAGGCTCTGAGGTGCCCCTTTGCATCTCGGCTCCACCCTTGGCAGCCTGGACCCATTGTCGGGCCTTGGTGTGCCCACCTGTGAAACGGGAGATTCCTATGGTCCTTCTCACATGAGGAGCCTGGCACACAGCAGGGCGCGATCATCTTAGCTGCTGCTTCTCCCTCCTTTCTAACACGCTCAGCAGGCGCCACTGCCCTGACACCTCAGCAGCTCGGGGCTTGGATTTTTCTGGGCCTCGTATAGATTTTACCTGTTCATTCGGTTCCATTCCATTCCCAGGGATTCAGGGTAACGTTCGAGAAGCCAATAGCCTGGCATGCAAGGCCTACCCCAGCTTGCCCCAGACCATCCTTCCTCCTCATCCTCAGCTTTGTGTGGCTGCAGCCTACAACCTCCCTATGCTTAGGTGCCCCAGTCTCTGCCCGCCCCATTCCCCGCGTCGAGAATGCCCAGGTGCTTCCCTCTACAGGCCTAATTCCTATATGTCTTTGTCCATCAAGGCCCGACTCAATTGCCACTTCCTCCAGGGGGCCTTCCCTGGATGCCTCTAGCCTGCCCCATTGAGCTTCCAGAGTGCCTCCTCCAGACCATTCATCTACCCTTGGTCTGGGCCAATGTTTGAGCCCAGAAACCGTGTGCCCAAGGAGCCAGGGCTGGCATGGAGGGGGATGCCCGAGGAAGCCTGGATTTTTGGAAGTGGCACGAACAGGAGAGGAAAGGTTTGCTCTGCTGTAGAAAAAGAGATGTTCTCGGGGGAGACGGACGGGGCTTCTGCTCCAACTAAGACAAATGAGCTAATATGAATCCCCAGGGCTTTCAGGGGGAGACGCCCACACACCTGGCTCCTGGCAGGGCCTGCAATCTCAAGGTGATCCTGCAGACAGGAGTGCGTGTGTGTGTGCGCGGGGGCTGCCGCCCATCCAGGACTAAACCAGTGACCCCACAAATGGGCACAGGGGAGGGTACATAAAGCAGAGCCCCCTCAAGCCGCTCATCCGAGGAACCACCCAAATCATTCGCTTTAAAGGGACCCTCAAAGCCCAACCGTCCTCTTCCTGTGAACATCACAGAAGCAAGCCCCCGACCTCCCCGATTATTTGAGAACTCTCCCTCTACACCCATCAAATTAGAGCAGCGTCCAGCGGGGCCGCACCAGCACCGACAGGTATTAAACTTTAATGAGCGCTAATGGCTCTGCCCTACTTTGTGAGTGCCAGGCCTACATTTATGAACATTTAATTTCTCGGGCCTTGACCTCGCTCCCCGGCCCCCGGCTGCCTCCCACCCTCCAGCCCCGCCTCTCCCCTCACAGATGTTTGTGTTTTTCGTCAGCAGTCACGGCTGAGCCTTCCCCGGTCCCCGACAGCCCGAATGTTCATTCTCCCAGGGGGTCAACAACCCGGAGCCAGCAGTGAGCCCGAACGGTATCGACGCCTGGTGACAAGTGGCCAGAGGTCCCCAGGCAGATTGGAAGTGTCCTGTGGGCCCCCGAGAAGAGGGGCGCGCTCCACCGTGGCCCCAGGGTGCCTGGAGTTCCCCAGCCCAGCCCCGCCCCAGTGGGCCTGCATCAGGACTGCCGGGCGCAAGCTGGCGGCCAACCCCCTGCTGCCCCCTGGCGGTGAGAAGGCCCACCTGCCCGTGGTGGGGAACCTCAAGCCCCTCAGCCCAGCCCAGCCACCAGGCTGGGGGGCAGTGGGGGAATAGATAGAGGGGGTCTGGGCAGGGCACCTCATTCTGGACTGGGCCCCTAAGAAGATCAGAACCCTGAACCGCCTGCTGCCTCCTGGGTGCAGGTCCCCTGCCTTGGGGTCCTGTAAATCACACAGGAGCCTGAAGACTGTTCCAGAAGGTTGCAGACCTGTCTCAGTCAGGGATAGGTGGCTCTTTGGGACTCAGTAGTAGTCTCTGCAAAATGAAGTTAGCAAAACACCCTCCCAGCTGCTTCCACACCCCTTCAGCTCCAGGGATGGTGTCAATATGAGAGGCATTTATTAGGCACCTACTGTGTGCTGGGTACTGTGTGAGACGGAGCTGTAACGACATCAGACATTTCTCCCATCAGGATTCAAGGGGATGGTGCATCAATCACAGACACCAGGTCATTTGGGCTGGGAGCCCTGAGAGGGTGTGGCCCCTGGCCTCCCTGCCGCTCCTGTCTTGCCAGAGGCCTCAGACAGCCTCAAGTTCATATATTTTGTGCCCCCGCCTCCCTTTTCTTGAGACAGGGTCTTGCTATGTTGCCCAGGCTGGAGTGAAGTGGCGTAATCACAGTTCATTGCAGTCTTGACCTGCTGGCCTCAAGTGATCTTCCCACTTCAGCCTCCCAAAGTGCTGGGATTACAAGTGCGCACCACCGTGCCCAGCGCAGTTTCTCTTCCGACCTCCAAGAGGCAGCTGCCTGTGAGAAGCAACGACTGCAGGCCCTGCACCAGCAGCCTTGACAGGGCCTCTATCTGATCCTCCTCCCTCTGACCAGCCTGCGGTCCTTATGTGAGGGAGGAGGCCGAGCCCAAAGAGGCAGGGAGAGGATGAGAGGAACCTCAGCCACATTGGGACCCCTTGCTCAGAGGCATGCACTCTGCCTCTGGGTGGATGGAGAGACCTCGGAGGGCATCCCCGCACATTCGGGGTCAGCCAACCTGGCCCCAGCCGCCTCTCCAGCCTCAGGCTCCATCTTCACTGAGGCAACGCTCCCTAAGGGTCAAGGAGGCTGGACTTCTGGGTTCCAGTCCCTTCCACAAGTCCTGGCTGTGATATGCGGCTGGCTCTCAGTTTCCTCATCTGTGATACAGAGATAGTGGGAGAACCTACCCCCAAATAGGATTGCCTGATAAAATATAGGACTCCCAGTGAAACTTAAATTTCAGATAAACAACAAATACTTTTTCAATATAACAGCTTTATTATACATAACCTGCATCCCATATGATCCCATTTAAAGCACACAGTTTGATGGGCTTTAGAATACTCACAAAAGTGGGCAGCTACTCACCACAGTCAATTTCAGAATATGTTCACCACTCCAGGGAGAAACCCCATAACCATTAGCAATCACTCTCCATCCCCTCCCCAGCCCGAAGCAATGGATGTTTTAAGAGCATAAGTATAGCCCAAATATTGCATGAGACATACTTATACTAAAAGGTATTTGTTGTTTATCTGAAATTTAAGTTTCACTGGGTGTCCTGTGTTTTTCTTTCTGGATCTGGTGACGCTCTCTGCCAGGCCTGCTGTAGTCCTGAAGGAGTCGGCCGCCTGTGCAGAATCAATGCTGTGTGTGCCAGCTGTTCTGTTATCATTATTTATATTGCCTTCATTTGGGTTCCTCAAGAGGCGGATCCCAGGACAAGGATCAAGGGCAGGGAGATGATCTGGGAGGGAATCACGGGAAGGGAGGGAGTGGGGGGTGAGGCTGGGAAGGAAACCTACAGGGGCCACGTTGAACAGGCCAGCTGGGGCCCCTAGGAGAGGAGTTCCCAGGAAGGACAAGGACGATGGGGAGGTATCCACCAACACCTTTCCTTCTTGGGCTGGAGTGACTCCTGGGGACACCCACCTCCTAGCATGTAAGTTGCAGCCTGCATGAGTCAGGGCAGCCCGGGAACACGTTCCAGCATAGCAAGTCCAGAAGCCACAGGGTTCTATAGAGCCATCTGCAGGTGAGCTCGGAGATTGGTGGGGGACATGCCAGTGAGGCCCCACAAGCATCTACTCCAGTGACCTTGGGCACACATGTCAGCTTGAATAATGTCCCCACCCCCAATTCATGTCCACCCGGAACCTGTAAATGAGGTCTTGCTTGGAAACAGGGTCTTTGCAGATGTCATCAAGTTAAAATGTGGGCATATTAAATTACGACCTGCGTCCTTATAAAAAGAGGGGAATTGGGACATAGACACAGAGGAAAGGCGGCCACGTGATGACCGCAGACACTGGAGTGATGCTGCCGCAAGCCAAGGAATGCTGAAGTCACCAGAGACTGGAAGAGGCAGGAAGCATCGCCGGCTGGACCTGCCAGGCAGAGTGTGGCCCTGCCAACCCCTTGATTTTGGACTTCTGGCCTCCAGAACTGTGGGAGAAGAAATCTTTCAGCTCCCCAGTTTGTGGTACTTTGTTACGGCAGCCGCAGGGGACAGATATCACAAGTCACTACCACTCTGTGCCTCAGTTTACTCAATTGACAAAAGGGATAAAAATGCCTGCTTCTTCGGGTGGGTGCGTGGGACATGCATTAATGCCCGAATGTGTTTGCACACTACCTGGAATGTCACAGCTCTGTGCCACGTGGGCTGCTGGGACCATTCTCATTGCTGCTGTGGGTCTGCCTTGCTCCATCCTGTTGCTCCATCCTAGCCCTCTCTTGGAGGTGCTGGGGCTGCCAGCTGGGGCGGTGGGGGGGCGGTGCCTGGGAGCTGACAGCATCAAACCAGCTAAGCAGCCCCAGCCAAGGAGGCTGGCGCCTTGTCCTGTCAACTCCCAGGGCGCAGCGGCGGAGCCGTGAAGGCACTGCAATAAAGTGGACCGCTATCAGTTCCCCGCGTTGCCCGGCCCCTCTGCTCAGCCCTGCCCAGAGCTTGTCATTCTGCCAGCATGACGCATCTCCAAAGTGCAGACACAAAAATGTAATGTCATAACATTCGCAGTCCAATAACCTTTGCTTAAGGAGACAGCTCTGCCTGTCAGAGGAGCCGGGAGGTAAATATTTCAGCAGGCAAGGCCAGCACGGGGTTCGGGCTGGGGCCAGGCTCCCAGAGCTGGGCGGTGGCGGGGAGGGGTGGGGGGGGCAGAACAAGGCGGTGGGGGGGACAAGGCGGGGGTACGGGAACACTAGCGTCCAAGCTCACCCCATTTAAAATATCCGCACAGTAAATCCAAGGTGAGTGAGCAGGAGAGGCCAGAGCCAGGATGAAATATGAGCAGACATAAAGCCCGACACCTTTATTGTTCTGAAATGTCTTCCAACAAGTTATAGGACCACAGCTTGACCCTAACCCATCATATTGTTATATGGAGGGACACGAAGCTAGCTCTTAGAATTAGGGCTCAAAGGGGACTAGCTGCCCCGGCCAGGCACAGCCCTGGGGGGCACGGGTGCCCCCCACTTAGCAGGAATCTGACCCTGATCTTGTTGCCAGAAAGCAAAGGAGGCCCCGTCCCCGTCTGTTGCTGGACACCTCCCCTTGGTCACTTGAGTGATGACCCCCACCCCAACGCCAGCAGAACCGTGCCTGTGACCGCACAAAGCTACAGGCCGTGAGTATTTTGGAGCACCTACTGTGTGCCAGCGACTGTCCCAGATTTCAGGGACACAGAAGTATGTGTAAGAATACACAGTTCCCTTTGTACAACTATTATGTATCCATCATAACTACAAATAAATAATTTTATAAATAGATAAAGAAATAATCTGTACTTTCTAGGCCTGATCTGCAGCTGAATCCCAGCCTAGGCCCCGAGGTCAGCTGCTTGTGCTTTCTTCGCTTTCTCTGTCCCTTCTCAAGCTTCAGTCATGCCTCACTTTCCCCTGGGGTAAAACGAGACGAAGAGCCTGACTCCACGGGGTCTGTGTAAGGCCTCATTGCCCAGATCCGCTAAGCGTGGGCCCACCTGCCATGCAGCTGTTTGCAAGTGACGCCCCTCTCTGGGCCTCAGTTTGCTTATCTATTAAATGGGGGCAATACTAGCACCTGCCTTGCAGGCTCGTGGGGATTCAATGGGTTAGTTCAGGTAAAGGGCTCCAAGCAGGAAGGGCTTCAGTGATTTGTTAGGATTATTCTTCTGTATATGGAAGAGAAGACCTTGGGGGCTCAGCCGTGAGAGCAGGAGGTTCTCTCTGCTTGAGGCTTTCTAGGACAGTGACAAATGGTGGGAGGGATGGAGGACAGAAGCAGAGACATGGCCACGGGAAGATGCTTTGCACATCCTGGTTTGCACCACCTGCATGCAAACCAGATGAAAATAATGTGACCCCCACCCTCAGCCCCTGGTATGACCCTAGCAGCCACTTTTTTTTTTTTTTTTTTTTTGGAGACAGAGTCTCGCTCTGTCACCCAGGCTGGAGTGCAGTGGTGCAATCTCGGCTCACCGCAACCTCCCCCGCCCGGGTTCAAGTGATTCTCCTGCTTCAGCCTCCCGAGTGGCTGGGATTACAGGTGCCTGCCACCACACCCAGCTAATTTTTGTATTTTTAGTAGAGACGGGGTTTCACCATGTTGGCCAGGATGGTCTCGATCTCCTGACCTCAAGTGATCCACCCGCCTTGGCCTCCCAAAGTGCTGGGATAACAGGCATGAGCCACTGCCCCGGCCCCTAGCAGCTTCTTAATGAGGTTCTGCTCTATCAGAATGCCTCAGATGCTGCCTGGCCCCCATTGCTGGCCAGTCCCTCCTCTCCCCAGGACCTGGCTGGGGGGCCTCAGAGCCTGAGCTCCTTTTCCCAGTCAATGAGGGCCATTCCATGGTTCAGAGATTACCCTCAACATCGTGGAACATTTCTCTCTCTTTTTTTTCCTTCATGATCTATTCCCAAAGAACACTTCTTTACCTTGTAGGATTCAGGACACCTATGATTTTCCCTGGGGATTCCCCATCTAACCACAACCTCATCACCCAGTCACTTGTCCTGGCTCAATCCAACCCCCAGTGCAGAGCCACCAGCTGCCCCACTTCTTCACCAGTAGTCAGAACTGAGTCAAGGGAAGGAAAGAAACCCAGATGTTGCCTGCCCTTTTTCCATCTTTCCTTCCTTCCTTCCATCCACCCATCTATCCACTCATCCACCCATCCATCCATCTACTCACCCATCTACCCATCCATCCATCCATCCATCCATCCATCCATCCACCCACACACCTATGTATCCATCCATCCATCCATCCATCCAACCATCCATCCATCCACCCACCCATCCACTCACCCATCTACCCACTCATCCATCTGTTCATCCACCCATCCATCAATCCACCTATGTATCCATCCATCCATCCATCCATCCACCCACCCACCCACCCACCCATCCACTCACCCATCTACCCACTCATCCATCTGTTCATCCATCCATCCACCCACCTGTGTATCCATCCATCCATCCATCCATCCATCCATCCATCCACCCACCCGCCCATCCACTCACCCATCCATCCAGCCATACATCCATTCATCCATCCATCCATCCATCCATCCATCCATCCATCCACCCACCCATCCACTCACCCATCCATCCAGCCATACATCCATTCATCCATCCATCCATCCACCCATGTATGTATCCAACCATCCATCCCTCCATCCATCCATCCATCCATCCACCCACCCATCCACCCACTCACCCATTCATTCACCAATCCATACATCCATCCATCCATCCGTCCACTTACCCATCCACTCACCAATCCATCCATCCATCCATCCACCCACCCATCCACTCACCCATCTACCCACCCATCCATCTGTTCATCCATCCATCCATCCATCCATCCATCCATCCATCCATCCACCCACCCATCCACTCACCCATCTACCTACCCATCCATCCCTTTATCCATCCATCCATCCATCCATCCATCCACTCACCCACCTATCCACTCACAAATCCATCCATCCACCCACCCATCCAACCAATCATCCAATCATCCGTCCATGCAAACATACACCCATCCATTTTCATTCACCCATTTGTCTAACCAATAAGTACTTACTGATCACCTACTTTGTACCAAAGCACTATCACTAATGTGTTCTGGTGACATAGTGAACTACACAGATGAATGAGTTCTCACAAAGCTTATGTTCTAACCAAGGGAGAGAGATGTTTAAAAGAAGAAAATCAATGAACAAGACAGTTTTGGATAGTTGGTGATAAGCAAGAGGAAGAAAGCAACCCAAGGTAACATGAAAGCAGGTGATGTCCTGGAGGAGAGGGGCCACCAGGTCAGGTGATCCTGGAGGGCCTCACCAATGAGGTGACATTTGAGTGAGGCCTGAAGGCTGGGAAGAAGCCAGTCCCGCAAAGTTCTGTGGAAAGAGCATCGCAGGCTGAAGGGACAGCAGATGCAAAGGCCCTGGGGCAGGACCACAGAGCAGGAGCCACAACGGCTTCAGCATGCGTGGGGGGTTGAGGAGGGGGGCTAGGAGGGAGGCTGAGGCCAGACCTCGCAGCACTCCCAGCGTTCCACAGCCTGTGGCAAATGGCAAGGCGTCGGGAAAGTGGGGGGTTCTGGGGAGTCACTGGGCGTGAGACTCAGGAGAGGCCTGGGGCTGGACCATGGGTGCAGGGGGCTCCCACCACCCTCCTTAGGCCCGGTGTCCGTTGTGCACAGCACCCTGTGCTGGACTCCAGTACCTGTGGCATCTGGGCTGGAAGGGCCATCTAGAAACCACGGTGGTCGGGCAGTGGCAGGGGCACCCCACTATCACTCCTTTCTGTCTTTCAAGTGGTTTCTGAGAACCTCACGTTCAAATTGTCAAGAACTCAGGGAGCTGGTGCTAGAAGACCCTGTGTGATGCTGCGTGGCCCCAGGGAGCCCCAGAACCTTCAGTGGGAGCTGTCCAGTTGTCCCTTCCAAAGTCCACCCAGCCAAAGCCAGCAGCCAGGGCCACCCCAAGAGGCACCCCAGGAATGGCACCCTGGCCCCTTCCCTCCCCTCCAGCACCCATAGGGTAAAATCTGGTAACAAGAACTCCAGGAGAAGCCTCTGGAAGGGGTGTCCCAGGAGGGCAGCATGGCGGGGGAGCTGTTTCCAGCACCCACTAAGTGAGGTCGACTTTCCTGACCACTGACTCAGGCCAGCCTCCTTCCAAGGCGTTTCACGCACAATCGTGCTGAACACTCGGGTCACAAAACTGAGGGAGGCCCAGAGAGGGTTTAGCATCTCCTCCAGGCCACACAGCCGACACAGCTGGGACCAGAAGCCATGCTCTGAGCCACCACTATGACAGTGATGATGAGAAGGATGACAATAACCACAGACACCGCTTCTGAGGCAGTAGGTGCCCAAGCTGCCAGACATAGCCCGTCATGGCGACAGCTCACCCTATCATCTCAAACCCCCGTGCGTTACGTCATATCTTTATTATTGTCATTTTGCCTATGGGGGAAACTGAGGTAAGATGGGGCAAGAGACTTACTCATTTGCACAGTAAGATGGCATGACCAGGTTTGACCCAGGCAGCATCCAACTCCCCACCTAGAGTCAGCCGTCCATCCTGGTGTCAGGCACGCAGGCAGGATGCATTGGGCCAGGCACCTGCCACGGCGTCAGGGCCTTGTTCAGCTCTGCTGGCCACAATGCTGAGCCCAAACAGGGGGCAGGGCGTGGGAGGGTTCCACCTGAACCACCATATTTAAACAGGGTGGGAGGGGGTGGTAGTCTCTGAGCCAGTGACCCCTCAACCCTGACCTGTCACAGAGAGGCCTTGACCAGAAGCGCCGCTATCCCATGGCCACGGGAGGCCCAGACAGCCCCGCAGAGTGATGCCCTCCCTGGGTGTACCCTCGGGGAATGGGGGTTCGCTCCCTGCCCACCCCTCCCCAATGGGGCTTGAGCCAGGCCTGAAAGCACCCCATACCCCTATCTAGCCCACACCCAGGTTCAGGGCTGTGCACGCCCCGTCTCAAGCTGGAGCTGGAGCTGGAGCCGTCCTGGCCCGGGGGTCACCCGCGGTCATTCTTAATGGCTCCCCTCCCCCTGTCCAGCTCTGTCTCCACCAGGGAGTGATCTATGACCCCATTACCGCCGAGGCCTCGGAAGGGCTCCAGGATGGATGGCCGGCTGCCTCGCGAGAGCGGGGAGGCGAAAACACGTGCAGGTGAAAAATGAACTTCATCAGACTCCCCGGGTCTCATGACCATCTGTCAGCAGCCAGGCTGGCCCTGGGGGTGCCACGGGACTTGCTGGGTGCAGAGGCTGCGGACACCCCTCCTCCACCAGGGTTCCACCTCAGCCACAAACTCCGCTTGGCTTCCTGCCCTGCTCCCCAGGGCCCCCGAGAAGGAGCTGTCTGCCACGGGTAGTGGTGGGAGGCAAGTATGTCCCACCCAGCCCGGTCTCTGTGTGGCTTTGAGTCTCTGTCCAGGCGTCTGGCCCCCTCTGCATGGTGACTCCAATAGTGGGGGCCATACCACACTCTTCTGGGAGCCCTGGCCTCACACACAGATGGCGTCAGGGGCAAGGGGCAGTTGAGAGGAGCCCTGCCTGCACCTGGGCCAGAGACGCACAGCTGATGTGACTCCCCTTCTCCTCCCAGCCTCCTGCCCCGGACAAGCAGCCACAGGCTGGAGGCACCCACCCCAAAACACCTGCTGCGGGTGCCCTGCCCCAGGCACCCATCCCAAGCCCCATGTGGCTCGGCCCAGGGTGGCACAAAGGGCTTCCTTGGCGAGAACAGACTTGTCTCCTGACTGGCGGAGCAACAGGGCCCGGGGCAGGTGGCGGAGCCAGTGAGACTTTTATGATGGGAAGTGTTTCTGAAAGCATCTGGCCGAGCCAATCCGAGGCCAGGGCGGGCGGGGCAGGTGTGCACAGCACGCTAACCTGCTGGGTCTGCGGCAGGCCGGATGCAAGGCCGGATCTCCTACCTGCTTGGCTGCTTGCCTGAGGGCCCCCAGGGTGCAGAAAAGCCCAGCAAGACTCGGACAGGCCTGCTCTGTCCCCTCCTGTGTGTTCCCTCCTGGATCCTGGCGCTGGAGGACCTGTTTCCAGTCCTCCACGCCTCCATCAACATCTTGTCCCCTCAGGAGAGCCTGGGCTTCATTAGCTGGAGCTCATCAAGGTCCCTGAAGAACAGGGCTCTGAGGCATCCAGAACAATCCACCCACACGCCTGGCCGTGAGTTCCCAGCCCTTCTGTAGGCTGAGCCACCGCCTGCACAGGTCCCAGCTTGCAGGAGAAGGGAAAGTGAGGCCCAGGGGCAAGGAACAGTAAAGGAAACCTCCCTCATGATGCCAGTCGGCACCATGTGTACAGGCCTGGTGCTGCACACACTGCAGGACCCTCTGACACATCTGGCAAGGTCTGGGATTGGGGCTATCCTTGGTCCCATGTATAGATGTGGAAATAAAAGCTCAGAGAGGTTGAGAGAATGGTCTGAGGTCACACAGCCAGTAAACAGCAGAGGTGGGAGGAAGTGGAGCCCTTGGCCCATCTGCCACGCTATGGGCAAGGGGGAGGTTCTCCAGCCCTCCCAGGATGGGCCGCTCGCCACCCGGCCGCACCCACACAGAGCAAGGCACGTGTGTTTCTTGCTCCTCTCGGAGAGGGTCTCGGGGCCCCCATCAGGAAGCCTGGGCTGGGCAGTCACCTGTCCGTGTTCACAATAGCACCTCCCTCCCCTCCTTTGAGTCTGTGCCCCCCTGTAAGGGGAGTGGCATTGATTGTGCATAGCAAGGCCGGAGGGTCGAGGGAGACGTGCTCTCTGGAGCAGCCTGGAAAAAGGAGGCTCTGCCCATGTGGATGTGATCACTGGCCTGAACTGGATTCTGGAGGGAAAGCCCAAGAGGCTTTGAAGCAGTCAGGGGTGGCGGCCAAGCCCCTGTGAGGATGGCCAAGGATTGAGGACAGCAGCTCCTGGGCCAAGGACACAATCCTGTGGACCCCATGCCACTGGCCCAGAGACCAGTGGTCCACTCTGACCCCAAGCTCTGTAGGAAAGAGGTCTGTGTGGTCCTCCCATTCTCGGCTGGATGACTTCCTGCCTTCATGGGGACCCTTTAACGGTAGACCCCTCTTAACCCTGCCAGGGTCAGCCACCCTCACGAGCCAGCCACTCTCTCCTCTTGGCCTCTGCTCCCCTCCCCAAGTGGACAGACACCCATGAGGCAATGAGAGGGAGGCAGGAAGAGTCCATGTGGTCGGCTTCTGAGGAAACTCATGGTCACCCAGGCTGGTCTGGAGGAGGAGGAGGAGTATGAGTGTCAGAGAGAGAGAGAGAGAGAGAGAGAGAGAGAGAGAGAGAGAGAGAGACGCAGGTGTGCGTGTGTGTGTGTGTGTGTGCTGGGAGCTCTGCGTGTATGTTCAAATGTGTGACAGACTGTGTGTACATGTGAATGCGTGCGTATCTATGTACAGAGGCTGTGTGTGCGTGTGTGTGCATGTGTGTGAGTGTATGTGTGCTGTGTGTATGCAGCTGTCTATTGGGTGCAGGTGTATGTCACGGTGTGTGTGTGCTGAGGACTGTGTATGTACATGTTTGTGCACATGCATGTGTGCTGGGAACTGTGTGTATGCTCAAGTGTGTGACAGGCTGTGTGTGCATGTGAATGTGTGTGTTTATGTACAGAGGGCTGTGTGTGGATGTGTGTGTGCAAATGTGCACTGTGTACCCAGGTGTCTACTGTATATATGGGTGTGTTATGGTGTTTGTGTCAAGAGCTGTGTGTGGGTGCACAGGCATGCTTGTGCACTAAGGCTGTGATTACATGTGTGTGTGTGCGCACATGCATGTACACGGTGTGTGTGTGCATGTGTGGGTGCAACCGTGTGTGCATGTGTTGTATGTGCACATGTGTGCGTGTGAGCGTGCATGTGTGTGCACGTGTGTGCATGTGTACGTGTTGTGTGCGCGTGTGTGCATGTATGTGTGCACAAGTGTATGCGTGTGTGTGCACGGTGTGTGTGCATGTGTGCTGTGTGTGCACATGTATGCATGTGTGTGCATGAGTGTGTTTGTGCATGTGTGTATGAGTGTGTGTGCATGTGTTGTGTGTGTGCATGCATGGGTGTGCATACATGTGTGTGCACATGCTTGAGTGTGCACATGGCTGTGTGTGTGTGTGCATGTGTGAGGTGCCATGCTCTTGATGGCCTGGGGCTTCTGCTGTTATTTGGCAGTGCTTTGGCTCTGGATCTGCTTCCCTGCTCCCCATTCTGTCCCTCCCATCTTACCCAGCATCTCCGGGTGTGGGCTCCGAGCCCGGGCACAGGCAGGTACCCCCTGCTTTCAAGGGCTCTGCTGTCTCATCGGGAAAGTGAGGGGCAGACCACGTGCATCTTCCCAGGGTCCCTCCCAGCTGTGTGACTGGGAGCGATTTTACCCAATTCTGCACATTGCAGGGGCAGCGGGTCACCATGTGGCCTCTGAAACAGAGGAGCCCTCGTCCAGGGCCTATGGACCTGATTAGCCTTGTGTGGGAAGCAAATCCTGTCTCAGAGGGTCTGGTGACTACAAGGCGGCCGTCCCTGCCCCCACCACAGTCACGGTTTGCAAGTAAAGGAAGAGCCCAGACACTGAGATAAGGGCGGGCTGGAGAATGACCAGGACGGGAGATCAGGCAGGGGAGATGAGCCATCGAGGGCCGCCTGAGCGAGCCCCGGGCCCCAGCAGCGATGTGTGGCCAGGAGATAACCACATTGCGTGGGGGTGACTGCCCGGCCAGCCCAGGGCCGCAAGATTGATCACAGCGGAGGAGCCAAGAGACCACAGGAGATCAGATCAACAGAAAGCCGGGGCTCTGTGGAGCTCCAGGAGACCTGAGAGCCAGCTTGGCTGACAGCCTGCACGCCTGTTATTTATTCCTGGGCCTGGGACCAGACTTCCTCAGGCACTCTGTGAGCAGGCCTGGAAGCCTGGCCCCAGCCCGGTGAGATGCCCCCAGGCGGGTGTCAGGCAGGGGACCCTGACAGGGAGAGGCTGCCCCTCTAGCTTGCTTTGCAGTGACATTTCTGTGAACAGATGCACCGGCCTCAGGGTCACCCAACAGCATCCTGAGGAGTGATTTGCACAAGGGAGGCCTCCTGGGCCTGCAACCCTGAGAAGCAGTTCCCAAGGGCCGCTCAGACCTGGTGGCCTTGATGCCAAATTACTACACTGACTAGTGAAAGCCAGCAGCATCTGGCTGCCTGGTTCAAATCCTGCCTGTTAAACCCACATAGCCTCAGTTTGCTCATCTGTAAAACGGAGGTAACAGTACCTCCCTCTTAGTGAGGTTATGAATATTAAATTGGCACCCAACAAGAGCTACGTATGTGCTTGTTAAACAAAATGAAAAGGATACCGTGGCCTATCAGATCCCCTCTGTGGAGATCTATACCCAGAAGAAGGGAAAACAGGTGTTCAAGGACCAATTTGCACACTCATGTTCCCAGCAGCATTCTTCACCATAGCCCAAACCTGGGGACAGCCCAAGTGTCACCAACAGAAGGACAAATACATAACATGGGGTCTATCCACACAATGAAATATTATTCGGCCATAAAAAGGGATGAAGTTCGGATTCGGGCCGCAACGTGGATGAACCTGGAAGACACCACGCTGAGTGAAAGAAGCCAGACACAAAAGGCTACAAACGGTACGATTCCATTTCTGTGAAACGTCCAGAATAGGAAGATTCATAAAAACAGAAAGTAGATCGATGGTTGCCAGGGACTGGAAAGGAAGGTGGGGGAGTGAGGAACGGCAGAGCTAATGCGTCTGGGATTTCCTTTTGGGGTGACGAAATGTTTTTGCACTGGACGGAGGTGGTGTTTGCACAGCACTGTGAAGGTCCTAAATGCCACTGAATTGTTTGCTTCCAGTTAATTTTGTGTTAGGTGAATTTTACCTCAACTTTAAAAAATTAAAGTAACACGCATTGCAAAGACTTTACCAGGGCTCACCGCGTTCCCATGCCCACTGGAAATTCACAGCTCCCCAAAGAAAATGCAAAGACCAGGGAGAAGGACGGTCTCCCAGCTTGGCAGGGCGACACTCCCTTCAGCTGGAGGAGCAGCGGAGGGCTGTTTGCGAGGCTGGATGATGGATTGCGGCTTGATGCAGGACCCCCAGTGAGTATTAATTAGATCTAATTAGGTCCGGGGCCACGCCAAATGGAGCCAATTTGTTAACCTTGTTGATGTCAAGATTTCAAATAGCTACCGTCTAATGCAGAGCACAGATCAAACGTCTGAGATGCCACACTAAACCTCGACCATGAGGGATGAGAGGCCTCCCCCGGCGGGCAGTGTTGGGAGCTGGGGGTACCAGGGTGGCGGGTGGAGGGGGGGTGTCCTCCCACCTTGCCTCACCCTGCTTCTATCCTGTTTCACCAAATGGTTCCCTACGCTACAGATTCATCACCTGCTGAACAGTGGGGTTGGCCAAGGGCTCAGGGAGGATTTAGAGGGTGGTTTTAGCACTGCCACAATTTAGATGAGGCCCTGGAGTGCCACCTCCTCCCCTCTTGGACTTGTCTCCCTCTGCCTCCAAGAAGACCTTAACTACTCTCCTTTGCGTCCTGGAATCTTTCAAGTCACAGCCTCCACCTCTCCTCCTCTAGGGAGCCCTCCCAGACTGCCTCAGCCACATGCCCTAATCCTTGGGGTATAAGAGCCCTGCCCGCCCAGCTGGACTTGATGATCCCTGAGTACAAAGGATCACAGCTGTTCACAGCTATGGTGAATGTCCAAGTTCAAATTAGAGAGTTATGACCCTTTTAGCCCATCAGAATGTTCTAGAAATGGCAATGCTTGGGCTTCCCAAGGCCAAACACCTGCTGTTCTGTCCTTGGATTTGGAAATTAAAGCCCCTTTGCCCACCATGCTTGGCAGGGCAGGGGTAGGGTCTTGGTAGATGTTGTCTGGGGCAGCCTGGCATGGACAGGCAGGCCAAGGGGCCAGCTAATGGCTACGTCTTAGAACCAGCAAAGGTCTTCTCTTTGGTGACCTTAGGCCAGGGAGCAGGAGCTGGGGGAGGAGCACAGCGATCTGCTTCCCTCAACCCCTAGGCCATGGCTGCTGGGCTCTGGCAGGGCCCAGGATCCAGTAGCAAAGGAAGTGCACAGCCAGGCTGAGGGGACTCCGGGACTCCTGGCGCCCCTTCAGTGGCCTGGCAGGGAGCAGGGTCCAGGCCCAGCTGTCTGACCTGCAATGGAGGGAGGGGCCACAGGAAAACGTACCCCAGGAGCTGGGCTGCTGCTTCTAAGTAAGACCTTGGATGGTCCATGAGAACCCAGGGGTCCCAGGAGACCTGAGCTGTGCTCACCACGGGGTGAGGAAGGAACCAATACATGGAAGCACCTACTATGTTCCAGGGAGACCTCCTGGAATCTTCTCAGGAGCAGGGAGGGGTCTGTGGGAGAAGAGGAGGGGAAGACCACTCTGTGTTCTCCCTTCTACATCTGACAAGGTTTTTCCGAGGGCCACCTCACGGGGCCAGGCACCATTCTAGGCACTGGGGGTGATGGAGAGGAGCAAAACGGATGGAAACTCTGCCTTTCTGGAAGCTGCTCAGCTAGTGTGGACACCAGACCAGGATTGGAGTTGATTGGTGCAACACACTCCCTCTGCCAGATGGCACTGCATGCGGAGGAGGCCCAGCGAGGAGGGTGCTGAGGCCCAGGGAGGGGCAGCCATCGAGGAAGAGGTAGGCCGGGCCCCGGAAGTCCAGGGAGATAGCAGCTCTCTGGGGAGAGTGCAGGGAGATGGCAGCTCTCTGGGGAGAGTCATAGCGGCTCTGTGGGAGAGGTGTGTGGCTCTGTGCATGGTGCAGGCGATAGGTGGCTTGCCCAAGGCTGTCTGGCCAGTGAGACCCAGAGCCAGGATCTGAACTTGAACCTGGATATTTTAATTCTCAAGTCCTCTGGCATTTGCAGGAGTTGGGGAGCATCCAATTTGGCCACCCTCAGTACTGGTTCAGGGAAGTTCTCAAGTGGAGGAGAGGGAGCAACAGCAGAGCCGGGAGGAGACTGCAGAGCAGCACGGGGGTAGCCACAAGGACAGGGACGAAGGTGGGGAGGGGACTGGCAGGTGCTTTCCATCCCCAAGTTGCCTTCCTGGCACTGCCCAGAGACTCAGGGCAGGCACAGGGCTGCAGGGGGCAAAGGTTCGCCTGGGCCTCGGTCTCCTGGTCTCTAAGATGGGTCAGCAACTGTGCCTGCCTCATGAGAGCCATGGGAGGATTCAAAAAATCAATCAGCACGAAGGGCGCCAAGCAGGGCTGCCCTGTCTGGTGAGCGCTGCATGTGTACGCTGTCATGGTGCTGATTATAGAGAGGGAGAGCCTGGGGTCTCTCTGGCCCTGGGGGAAGTCAGGGAGGCTGAGCAGACTTCCCGTGGCTCACAGCTCCTAAGTGAAAGGCTTCCTGCCTCCACCCTCCCACACATGCCCACACTGCCAGGCGCAGGCTGGGACCCCTGACTGCCTCCTGGCACAGAGAGGAGACTGCCCCCAGGAGGCTGCCCCAAGCCGCCTGGCCTGGAGTGGATGGGCAGGCAGCAGCATGGAGGACACCGACCCAGCTGAGGGAGGGGCTGGCGGAACCTGAACATCACAGAGTCCCAGAGGGGAGTCTAGAAGCTTGGCCTTTCTAGAGCCTGCCACGGAGGAGGGAGCCCTACCCCCACTGCCCTCCTCAGCCCTGCCCCAAGCTGGCCCCCACTGGCCCAGGGCCCTGCCCCGAGCCCTGGCACCGGGTGGTGGCGGGGGATGGGGGTGGGGGTCTGTCTCCAAGAGACGTGGCTGCCATTCCCAGAAAAATCCACTTGACCACATGTGTTCCCAAGCCCGGGGTGCAGATGACGGAGCCGATAGAGCCCTTCCTGGAGACAGGGCTGTCTGCAGAAGGCCAAGATAAGGCTGAGAGGCTGCCCAAGGAGCGGCCAGGCCCTGCGGTTTCCCCTGTACCAGGAGGTGGATGCTGGTGTGGACGAGGATTGGGGGCCCATGCCCTCCCCCCAGCTCCTGCACATGTGGATGCCGGGCCATTTGGAAGGCCACCCGCAGGGAGCCTCCTCCTGCAACCCTGCCCATGTTTACAAATCTGGGGCTCACCCTGGGCTAGGCCTGGTGCCGGCCACTCCCGGGAACAACAGAGGGGAGCCCCGGCCCCCTGCCTGCAGGACCTCCAGGTGTCACAGGAAAGCAGGAAGCAGTGGCTTCTGCCCAGGGCATGTGGGGTGAGAACTGCTGCTTACGCTTGCTTACTGTTCCTTCTCACAGTGCCCTCATCATCATCTCATTTAACTGCCTCCAGCCCTACCACATATTCTATCAGTCCTTCCTTCATTCAGATAGACAGCTAAGGCACAGAGAGGGTAGGTAACTTGCCCAAGGTCACACAGCCAGGAGAGGTTTCCATTGGCATCTCTTTCCCCAGGGATCTGAGGGAGCCAGCAGCCCAAACCAGAGTCCTTGAGTTAAGAATTTTATTTCTTGGCAAGGGGGGCCAGGAGCCAAGGGGGAGAACAGGCCAGACCCGAACCACTGGGGGCTGTGCAGCATGGCACCCTGCAATTCAGACACCGCACAGATGCCTGTGGAGAGTGGGATGCGTGACACACCCAGAGAGAAGCACAGAGAGATGTTCTTCTGTCCCCTGAGGACAGAAACGGCTTCCTGCAGCCCCCAAATCCTCAGACCACGTGCGGCCTACCAGGGGTACCCCGTCATCCACAACTGTGCACACACGGCAACCTTGTCAACATTCCAGGCTTACAATAAAAAATAAGGTGATCAGAATTCCAGAACCAAAAATCAACACGTGGTCGGTGAAGGTGGGAGGCAGGCCTGGGTCACTCACACTGGGCAACTCTGGCCAAACGGCCACCCGCGACTGCACAGCGTGCAACCTGCACAACAGGAGGGGCCGTCGGGTAACGCGGGGCCGGGTGTGCGGTGTGCGGTGTGCGGAGGGGTGTGCAGAGAGGCCTATGGCACCACGGACACAGCCTCTTTTCCCAGCAATCCTTGCTGTCCTGTCCTCCCCTTCACAGCCCCCACCTCCATCTCCCAGCCCCAGCCCCCTGCTCTCTGCCCAGCAAAGCCCCCTCTCACTCCCTGTGCAGCAGAGGCACCTGTGGCTTGGCAGGGCCTGTGCTGAAGGGTGAGGGCACAGACATGGCGTCCTCTCTCCCTCTGGGCTGGCCTCCAGCTCCCAGCCACTGTGGTGACAGCCCGCCTCCCACGACTTCGAGAACAGAGCCAGGGCTGTGTTCCTGTGTCTCCAGCCAGGACCACACGCCCGGCAGGCAGGCAGGGAGGGCAGAGCCCCCAGCCCACTCTGCCCACACCACCCGGCCACAGGCTCTTTCTGTGCCCAAATCTGCCATCAAGGAGCCAGGAGGTGGCCAGACCAGCCCGCGCAGCCACCGAACTCACCCCAGCCCAGCCCTAATGGGCCGGGAGCAGAAGGGCAGGGTTCCAACAGTTGCAGTAATCCTAACGGGCAGGGGCACTGTGCCAGGCACCCAGGCACCTCCCCAGGACTAACCGAGGTCGAGCTCCTCGATCATCCCCATTTCCCGGAGAGAGAAACTCAGGCTCAGATGTGCCTGTGGGGTCTGGTTCCTGGGCCTCTCTGCGGCCATCTCACCATGTTCTGCTTGCCAGGGGAGGCAGAACAGCGGGTGCAGAGCTTGTTTGGGCTGGGGATGAAAAGAGAGAAGCCTGGAGTCTGTACCTTCTTTGGCGGGGGTGAGGACCGTGAGGGTTGGGGGCAGTTGCTCAGGCCCAAGGAGAAATCCACATAGCAGAAGGGAGGCCAAGTTGGAGTGTGGGGTCTGGTTCCCTGTGGGAATTCCAGCTTCAGAACTGCTGGGCTGCAGCCAGGCCCCCGGCACACCTGGGGCAAACCTCACACGTCTCTGAGCCTGTTTCTTCACCTATAAAATGGGGCTGATGGTGGAGTTGACATGCGCACGAGAGCTGGCATGCAGTAGGCACTTAATACATGTTCTTTCCCTTCCAGTATCTCACTTGGTGAAGGGGAGAGAGTCACAGGGGCCAGGGTACTGGAGGCGGGCAGTGTGGCTACGGAGCTGCCCCCGGGAGAGACAGGCAGGCCTGTGTGGTTCCCTCGCCTGTGCTGGCCCAGCCTGGGCTCATGGCGCTCTGGGTGCTGCCTGGGAGGTGCCCGGCGAGGGAAGACAGAGTCAGAGGTGTCCAAACTCCAGTCTCCACCCCAGCTTCCCCTATACCTGCTTGAACACCAGCAAACCCACCGCTTAAGCCCTGCATGGCCCCAGGCAGGCTTGGGGGTCTCAGGGTCTTGGCATCCGGCTGCCCTGCACCCCACCAGCACTGGTGCTGCCCAGCTGTGGCTCTTTGTGACACCCGCTGCTTCCCAGATATGGGGGCTGGACTGGGTCCCACCTTAATGGGCGCCCTGGGCCTGGTGAAGATGAGGCGGGAACCTCCCTCATGGCTGCGGTCCTGCTCATCTGAGACTCCTGCATTGCCCCTCACCTGGGGGAGGTGAGGTGACTTGGCAGGGCCAAGGCATGGGCTCTGGGTGGCCCGAAAAGGCACCTGGGGCCTGGGAGGTGACACTGGGATCCAGAAGCTCCCAGGCAAGGGGATTAGTAATGACAAGAGTGGCAGTGACAGGCAGGGTGCCGGCAGCTCGCACAGCCTGAGCTGGGTGTCCTGAGGGCCTCGCACCCCAACTCACTCTATCCTACAGTCCCAGCCCGTGAGGGGCTGCTGACTCCCCTTGATGGCCGGCAGCAGTGCAGAGAGATTAGGTGGCTCATCCAGGTCACACAGCAGCGAGTGGCTGCGCCAGGATCAAAACCCAGAACGCTGGGGCCGCAGCCCTGTTTTCTACCATGACACTCGGGGGCAAAGGGGTGCCCAATTGGGATGGCCTCGGCCCCAAAGGGAAGGCACAATGTCACCATCACCAGGAGGAGTGACGAGAGGAAGGACTGTCTTCGTCCCTCATTTGTCTTCACCCCACAGAGGATGGGGGCTGTCCGTCCTCAGTGAGGCAGAAGGCAGCCCAAGAGGAGGTTGGCGAGGGTCCCGAAACTGCGTGGGCGCCTCCCTCCTCCACAGCCCTCACCAAACCAGCAGCTCGAACGCATCCACTGGGCCCATCCACCCCCTACCCCCTCCAGGGTCATGGGCCTGGCTGGCTGCCAAAGCTATTGCCTCCACGCTACTGCCCTCAGCCTGGCCATGGCAGCCACACACCCTGAGACCTGTACATCACACCACACAACACGCTAGGAGCTACCTGTGCACGCGCGCGCGCACACACACACACACACACGCACACACTGACACACATTATACACTGAGAGCCACACACCCACACACAATCATACATGTGCACACAAAAATGCACATGGACACAGACACAGACATGCACACTGACACACACTGCACACGGAGGGCCACACACAACCACACACATACACAATGACACACACTGCACACCGAGGGCCACGCGCGACCACACAGAGGCACACTGACACACACTGCACACCGAGGGCCACACACAACCACGCACATACACACTGACACACACTGCACACCGAGGACCACGCACGACCATGCACAGGCACAATGACACACACTGCACACCGAGGGCCACGCGTGAACACACAGAGGCACACTGACACACACTGCACACCGAGGGCCACATGCAACCACGCACATGCACACTGACACACACTACACACTGAGGGCCACGCGTGCACACACCAACACATACAGCACCACACACATACACACTGAGAACCACATGTGCACACAGACACAGGTACACAGATTCATGTGAACCTGACACATGTGGACACCCACACACATACGCACATGCAGCCACCGTGGGGCGATGGATAAGGCGCCGCTGACCTGACAGGGCCTGCGGGGAGCGGGGAGGGAGGCCGGGCGGGTGCCTGGAGGCTGCCGCTCATGAAAGAGACAAAGAGACTGGCCCTGCCGTGGCGGTGGTAACCGTGGGGCACCGTGGGGCAGGAGCACAATCACCCTGCCCTGGGCTGCCTCGGGGATCCAGGGTCCCCAGGCCTGCCGGGAGAAGGCGGCCAGCGCTCATTCATTCGCCCTTTCGTCCCTCCACCCACCCGCCACACACCTGTTCACTCCAGAATCTCCCTGGAGCACCTGCTCTGAGCGGACTCTTCCAGGCCGTGGCCAGCATACCTGTGGCCCTCCCAGACACTCACTCCAGGCTGGGAGGACACATAGTAGCGATGCGGTCACTGAATCCCTGCTATACACAGTGCCCCAGCCCATTCTCCCAGGGGCCCCGGGAGGCAGCTGCCACAGCATCCCTACTTCACAAATGGGGAGACAGGCTGAGCTGGAAAGCAGCGGAGGGGGAGAGGTTCTCGTCCCCTCCCCTCCTCTGCTCTTCCCTCCCTTGCTTTCTTTCCATTTTTTGTCTGTTTGACAAGAGAAGACACCAGAGACACCCAAACAAACAGCCCATGATAGAAGACATCAGAGAAGGCACCCCAACAGCCTGGCTGTTTGAGACAAAGGGGTGGAGGGAGAGCGCGTGAGAGTGGGGGATCCCAGCATGGAGCGATCCATCCCTGGGAGCACCTCGAGGCAGCTGGGCCTGCTACCAGGCGCCTGGCACCCACCCTGGTGGACAAGGAGCCGGCATCCCATGGCCACATTGGCTGCTGCTGTTGCTGACACCTGCCTGTCCTGGCAGAGGACCTGGGCCTAGAAGGCCACAGCCCACTGCCCTCACAGTCAAAGCCGTGCAGGTGATTCTGGAGAACTTCTGCATGTCTCACAGTTTAGAGAACACTTTCCTAACCGGTGGACTTCCTGTAACTGAGGTCAGGATGAAAGCTCTGTGCCACATGGCCTGGCTTTGCAACCCAGCTCTGTGACTCAGCTGACTGGCGGGACGACCGTCAGCAAGTCACTTTTCCCCTCCTCCTTAGCCTTCTCATCTGCAACAAGGGGGAGGAGCCTGCCCACCTCCCAGGGTGTGGTGAGGATTTGGTGAACTGGTGCCCACCGAGGGTGGTGAAGAACCTTGGTATACAGTAAGTGCTCACTAAATCCTGGCGGCTAGGATCCTCATTACAGTACAGATGAGGTGCATGGAGGAACTGGGATCTGGAATCTAAGACCCAGAAGGAATATGGTCTCTTCTGACCTCCACAGACTCCTTGACGGGTTGCACGAATCCTGTTTGAATATGGTCAGGGATGGGGAGCTCACTACCTCGCAGCCAGCCCACGTGCAGAAGGGCACGAGGTGCGCACTACTTGCTAATGTGTGCTTGCCATAGGGTAGTGTGTTCTTTTTTTTTTTTTTTTTTTTTTTGTGAGACAGAGTCCAGAGTTTCACTGTCACCCAGGTTGGAGTGCAGTGTGCATGATCTCGGCTCACTGAAGCCTCAACCTCCCAGGCTAAGGTGAGCCTCCCACCTCAGCCTCCAGGGTAGCTGGGACCACAGGCATGAGCCACCATACTCTGCTTATTGTTTGTGTTGTTTTTTAGAGATGGGGTTTTGCCATGTTGCCCAGGCTGTTCTGAAACTCCTGGGCTCAAGTGATCTGCCCACCTTGATCTCACAAGCACAAGCCACCGCGCCCGCCAGGGGTTCCTTCTTAATGAAATCAAATCCATCTTCCACAGCCCAAGCCAGGGAGTGGAGGGTCCGGGCCACAGTCCCGCGCTAGCTGTGAAACCAGCCATGATGGAGGAAGGGGAGGGTGAGAAGCCGCTTACACCCCACCTGGTAAGGGAACTAGGAGCACCAGGGCTTTGGTGTCACCTGTGCCACACACACCTGTGCCCTCCTGGAAGCTCTGCAGAGGCGGAGCCCCTCTGCACGCTTCCTCTCCCTCTCTGCCCGTTCCTTCAGCCAGGGCTGCCTGGCTCCTCTCCCAGCCCCTCCTGCCCTTTTCCTCCCACTTCCAGAAGCAGTAGGAAGCTTGGGAGAGGGTCATTCAGGTTCTAGGCTTGGCACCATCCGGGACTACTGAGCAGCCTCAGTTTCCCCCTCCACGGGAAAGGAGGGTGGGATTCAGTGACCTCAGAGGGCCACCTAGTACCCAGGGGCCCAGTGAGCTGGGAGGATGGGAGGCACCCTGAGCTCACCCTCAGGTGTCTGGTGCCAGGCTCTGTGCCAGCCTGTGTCCCGTAAGGGTCCATGCACAGTACAATAGGGGTGCCAGCAGCAGAGGCAGCTGGGATGTGCCCAGGGAGTGCCCAGAAGGCTGTCAGCTGTGGCCCCAAGGCCCTGCCACGCCCCCTTAGAATCCTAACGCCTGCGCCTGGGCACTGGGGCTCAGACTAGGACCATTATGCCTGTCCCTGAGGTCACCGTCCCCTGGGCCAGCACTCATGCTCCACATCTGCACCCATACAGCCCCTGCAGCCAGGACGCACACCCTCACCGAGTCACAGCTCGGCCCTCTGTCCCTCCTTGCTATCTCCGTCTTCTGTCCTGGAAGTCTGGGCACTGTCCCAAGACCCACTCCCTGGCTCCTCCATGGCGCTGCGTGGGGCCATCCCCGGGGACTCACCCGGCAGGAGCACTTTCCACTTGGGGCTCTTCTGGTCCATGAGCACTGCCTGGCCCAGCCCCTGGCCCCCCTGCCCTGGCCTGGTAGCCCGAGGAGCAGCGGTGGCCTCGGTCATCAGTCAGCTCCCCTTGGCCTGGGGAAGGAACGAGGGGGGCGGAGCAGCGAGGGTGGGAGGAGAAGAGGACGCCTCCGGCTCCCTCCAGGCCCAGGCCCACAACTCAGTGTGGGGCGCAAACTCCCCAGAAGAGAGCGCGAGGGTGTGGAGCAGGCCACAGCCAGCCACCGCCGGGCGCAGGCCCTCCTCCTGCCCTCCCAGCCTCCGCCCCACCCTGGCACAGGCTGCTGCAAGCTGTACACAGGAGCCAGGCTGGCTCGGAGGGTAGTGGGAGCTGGGAGCTGCGGCAGCCACTTCCTGCCTTCCCTGTCAACTCCGTGGGCAGCAGAGAAAACCCAGTTCCCAAAGGTGGTCACACAGAGTGATATCCCGCCCAGGTCACACCCATGGGCTCGCAGAGTCATCCAGCAGCACACACTGGGTTCTCACTCCAGGCCTTCTGCAGTGTCCAGCCCTGGGTTGGGGCCTAGAACTCGCTCCAGGCAGAAGCAGCCGTCCCCATGGGAGGGAGGGAGAGAAGGAGGGAGGGAGAGAAGGAGGGAGGGAGAGAAGGAGGGAGGGAAGAGAAGAGGGAGGGGAAAGGAGGAAGCCCACCATCATTGCTGTATCCACTTTCAGGTTCTTTTCCCCTGAGGGGCCTCCTTTGCCCTCCTAGGGTCTGGGTGCCCAGTTCAAGTAGTGCGCCTCCTCCCTGGAGCCCTCCTGGGTTGCACCGTGCTGTGTTCTCTGCGTCTTGTGAGAGCCCATCTTAGTGTATTTGGGGATAGACGGGTTGAGCAGTGACCAGAGGTGAGGACCATGGCTTAGCTGCTTGAGGGGCAGGCAGAGGCAGAGGGACGCCCAGTGCACTGGAAGGTGGGGTCAGTTGGCCATCTCCTGGGGTGCGTTGCTCAGAGGCTAGGGGAGGGGCAGAGCCTGGCTGGGTCTCTAGGGTGAGTGCCATTCCCAGTGCCCAGGGACAGGGTGGGGGCAGCCCCAGGGCTTGGCTTTGGCTGTGCATCCAGGGCTTCACTGCGCCACCTCCTGGGAAAACGCTAAACTGCACCCAGAACCTCCTGGGTCCGGCCAGTATCCAGCCCCTGCCCCGCAAGGGTGGCGCAGGGACCACCTAGAGGGCTGCCCTCCCAGCTCTAAACTCGGGAGTTACTAACTGAGGCCACCCTCTCAAGGGGGCTCCGTCATCAGCCCCGTGTTCCCAAGGAGGGGACTGACCCGGGGTGACGCAGAATGCACCCTTGGGGTTGAGCCAGGCAGTGGGGCCCAGTTTGCCCCTGCAGAATGACCGTGAGGCTGAGGGACCAGTCCCAGCAAAGCACCTACAACAGTGCCTGGCACACAGTCGGCGCTCAATAAATGACTAATTGTGAGCATGGACACCACGCCCCTCAGGCTCAGCCAGCTCAGCCCAGCCAGGGAGAGTGTGTTAGGCTGCATAACAGCCCCAAAAGACGTCCACATCTAATCCCCGGAGTCTATGAAAATGTCACCTTCTATGGCAGAAGGGACTTTGCAGACATGAGTTGGAATCTTGAGATGGGGAGAGTATCCTGGACTGTCCAGGGTGGCGAGGGGCATCTAATGGGGTCACAGGGTCCTTGCAAGGGAGGCAGGAGTGGGTGGTGGGAGATGTGAGAACAGGAGCAAGTGGGGGCTCATGCCTGTAATCCCAGCACTTTGGGAAGCTTGAGGACTGCTTTGGGAGGGAGGACTGCTTGAAGCCTGGATTTTGAGACCAGCCTGCACAACAGAGTGAGACCCCATCTCTACAAAAATACAAACATTAAGCAGGAATGGTGTCGCATGTCTGTAATCCCAGCTACTTGGGAGGCTAAAGTGGGAGGATCCCTTGAGCCCAGGGAGGTCAAGGTTGCAGTGAGCCGTGATCACGCCACTGCACTCCAGCCTGGGCCACAGAGTGAGATCCTGTCTCAAAAAAAAGGCAGCAGCAAGAGGTCAGAATGATGTAGGAGATGAAACGGCCCCTAGAAGTGGGAAAAGATGAGGGAACAGTTTCTCCCCTAGGGCCTCCAGGAGGAGCCAGTCCTGCCCACACCTCGAATTTAGCCTCGTGAGATCCGAGTCAGGGCTCTGACCTCCAGAACTGTAAGGGAACAAGCTTTTGGTTTAAGCCACCAAGTCCACGGTGACTTCTTACAGCAACACAGAAATAATATGACTAGGAAGAGTGCTGTTTCCAGACACAGCACCCGACTCACAGCAGCTGCTTGGGCAGGACCCCCTCCATGTGCTCAACTCAGGGAGCCCGCAGCCCTCCCAGAGCCGTCCATGCCCTAGGGAGGGGGACCCATCACTCTCGGGTGACCTTGAAGTGCCCTTGACCCCAATCTAATCAGTCTGGGAAGCCCCCTAGAGAAAACAGGGTGGTCTACAGTTGCTGGAATTTTATTTTAAACTTCATCATCATTTCAAATGGAATTTTAGTTTAGTTTAGTTTTTTAGTGACAGGGTCTCACTCTGTCACTCAGGCTGGAGTACAGTGATGCAAGCATGGCTCACTGCAGCCTCGAACTCCTGGGCTCAAGCGATCCTCCAGCCTCAGCCTCCTGAGTAGCTGGGACTACAGGTGTGCACCACCACGCCCAGCTAATTTTAAAATTTTTTGTAGAGATGTGGTCTCATTATCTTGCCCAGGTTGATCTACAACTCCTGGGCTCAAGCGATCCTCCTGCCTCAGCCTCCCAAAGAGCTGGGATTACAGGCAGGAGCCACCGTGCCTGGTCAGAATTGTATCTTTTAGAGAAGGCATTTAGGGCTGATCTAATCAGTTGTGAAACAGGCGGCAGGAGAGCCAAGGCTCTCCTCCGATGCTCCAGTGACCTTCAGAACTCTCCCAGCACAAAGAGTTCTGCCCAGAGAGGCCAGATGGTTGACTCCACCCTGGGTCCTGGAGAGAGAATGAAGCTTCTGGAATGCAGTAAGAACCTGCTTGGAACATCAGCTCTTGACCCAGGAAACTCGGGAAGACGCGCACCCTCCGTGCTTGTAAGAATCTTATTTCCGGTGGCTCACGCCTGTAATCCCAGCACTTTGGGAGGCTGAGGCGGGTGGATCACCTGAGGTCGAGAGTTCGAGACCAGCCCGACCAACATGGAGTAACCCCGTCTCTACTAAAAATACAAAACACAATTAGCCGGGCTTGGTGGCACATGCCTGTAATCCCAGCTACTTGGGAGGCTGAGGCAGGAGAATCACTTGAACCCAGGAGGCAGAGGTTGCAGTGAGCCGAGATCATGCCATTGCACTCTAGCCTGGGCAACAAGAGTGAAACTCCATCTCGGAAAAAAAAAAAAAAAAAAAAGAATCTTATTTCCTCTTTACATTTGCCCTCCCCTGGTCATGTCTCCCAGCAACAGCTGACTAAAAAGCTCACATTCACTCAACAAAAGTTTACTGAGCACCTATTATGTGCACTGTGCCACGCACTGGAGAGATCACGAGGACAGGGAGCCACGGTCCCCGCCTTCATGGTGAGGGTAAGCATGCCAGGCACTGGCTGCCCCGGGGCCCTTGCATATGCTCTTCGCTTGGTCTGGAACTCTCTGCCAAATGCCACCTCCTTAGGCCTCTGCGACCACCCGTCTAAAGCCACGCCCTCAGGTCTCTCTGTCCCCTGCCTGTTTCTTCGTGGCCCTCTCACCACCCGGCATCACTCCTTTACCTGCTCATTCGGGAGTTATCTGCCTTCCTCTTGAATATCTGCTCTCGGGGCAGGGGTTGTGTCTGGTGTGTGCCCTGCTATGCCCCCCATGCCCAGCATGGTCTTTAGCACACAGGTGGTGTTCAATCAACACTTGTGAACAAAGGCACACATACGGCATTGTAGCGGCAGAGACAGACGTGCCGGCAGACAATCAGAGCTCGGTCAGATCGGAGCCGTGGTGAAGTTGCCAGCCAGGAGAGATCCCCAGCTCTCCCGTGGTGTCTGCTCCCACTTAGAAGGTCATGGGTGAGGGCAAGGGTGGCACTCTTCAAACCGCGTAAACCCACAGTGGTGCCAAACGGACCAGCCGAGGTCCCTGGTGACAGTTTATCAGCTTGGACCGGTCAGGGGAATGAAGAACAGTGGGTGAGCAGAGGCCACGGCAGGGTGGTGGCCAGGCGGGCCAAGGCACAGTGGCCCCTGCAGAGACGGTCTGTGCCTGGTGACACGGCTCTGTCCCTGGGGTCCCTGGCCCTGCCCCGGGGACACCCCACCCTAAGCTCCAGAACAGCCACTCCTGCTACTCAGCCAATCTCGTCTTTTCCATCTAAAATCTTTATCACCAACTTATTGGGAAAGAAATTCCAGTTTAGGGTAAACAGACCCTCTTAACAGCAATTTTGCCAGTTATAAAGATCTGCTTTTATTCAATGCTTGGTGTATTGTTTTTTCAATTGCCCAAGTTAAATTCTCTTTTCTTTTTTATTTCATACAAATCTAAACCAGTCACAGACAGACACACAGAGTCACACGCTAGCAAGGGAACCAGCTGAGGGAAACCAGATCCCAGTCTAAGTAGGAGGGCAGGAAACAGAGGGGCGGGAGGGTCTCTAGACCCAGCATGGGTAAAAGTCCCTGCTAAATATTCCAAGAGGCTCCTGGGGAGAGACCCACTTACAAGGAAAGAGCCTCTCAGGGCTGCCTGGGCTTCTAAAGCTTCCTGCCCCAACTTGTAAGCTCTGCACTCCCGGCATTACAAGAAGTTCCAGAGAAGATAAATAGATTGGTCGTGGAGAGGGAAACAGACTATGGATCCCAGCTCAGCTGGAAACGTATGAAGAGAGACAGAGACAGAGTGGGTGACACGAGCCAGGAGGCAGTCATGCTGCAGCAGGGCCAGGGAAGGGGGGCTCTTGTGCAGAGCTGGAGAAGCCACAGCCAAATCCAGCCCCCCGTGCCCTCCGGAGCAGCTGCCGCTTGGCAGTGGGGGCAGAGCTCTGGGAGCGCCTGGTGTCAAAGCACTCGGCAGCGGAGCCGCTACAGGCAAGGCTTACCAAGGACTTCGGGAGGCCGGAGCCCAGTACCCGAGCGCAGTCCCGCCTTCCCGGCGGTGGAGGCCCAAGCCCGGCTGGGAGCCCATTTGCCCAACAAAAAAGAGACAAAAGCCGTCCCAGGGCCAGGGTTTCTGGTGGTCACCAGCTCTCTGTCGCTGCCAGGGCAGGCCCAGCTCACACATTCCCGTGTGCCAGGCAAGCATCTGATGTGGACTCTGATTCTTGAAACCCCGTCATCCCCGTTTGACACATGGGGAAACTGAGGCACAGGGAGGCGATCTGCCACATAGCAGAAGCTCCAAAGGAGCAGAGCCAGGTTTGGAACTCAGGGAGAGGGAGTCCAGGTATGCACACTGAAAGCCATCCACAGCCTAGTCATTCCCAACGAATAACTGATTTCAACACATGGCTAGAAGAGAGAGAGTGGAAATGAAGTCGCTGTAGGCTACTATAAACCTTCACCTTCTATAAACCTTCGCCTTCTACAAACCTTCGCCTTCTACAAACCTTTGCTTTCTACAAGCTTCACCTTCCAGGCAATGCACATGGACGCACCCTTACGGCCCTGTGGTTCCATCTACTGAATGTGGTCCCCAAGGACGCTCCCCAAGCTCCAAGAGATCCTCAGCCTCAGGTTGAGGGGCTGAACCCCAAGGCTACGCTCTGCAATGAACCTGTCTGTACTTGCCCTCTGCTGGCTTCCTTCTTTCGTGTTCCCAGCTTGACCTGGGAGGAGCCAGGTGAACCAGCTGCCCCTTTGTCCACAGGGAAAAGAGAAGAGTGAAGGTGGAGGCGGAGTGCAGGAGTGAAGGAGTGGTGCGTCTGAAGTGCTGTCTGCATAGACCAGACTGAGGCCATGGCCCTGGGCGTGTGCTGTCTCAGGCAGGTTTCTCAGAAGCAGACAGGGAGACCAGGACGCCGTGATCTCTAAGGCTGGTCTCCCGGGGATACTGGGGGCGGGTGTGAGGATGCAAGCGTGACTTCAGACACAGCCCCGACCCCAGCCCTGTCCCAGAGGAGCTCTGGAGGGTGGGTGGCTCCTCTCTCCAGAAGTAAGGGGCTTCCCACCCCACAGCTGCCAGTCACTGGCTGCAAAGGGCTGCCCCAAAGATGAGAGCTCCCAGCCCTTCCTACAGAGCAGCTGCAGGGGCCTGAGGACAGGCCTCCAAAGACAGCCTCGAAGACAGCCAGGGGCTGCCTCAGAACCACAGTACACAGGACCCAGGGAGAGCATGTAGAAGTGGGAAGTGCCTGGGCAGCGCACAGACAGCCTCTGACCCGTGCCGTCTCAGGGACTGTGGGACCATGGACGAACCGCCCAGCAGAATGGCAGGGCTCGGCCCCTTCTGCCGGGGACAGAGTTGCTGGGGAGTGGCTGCTGTCCTGCTCCCCGTGCGTCTGGGTGGGGTGTGAGCTGGTCCAGGCCAACGGGAAGTGGGCAGGAACGGCATGGGTCACTGGAAGGCCACAGCGGGAGAGTATCCAGGGGTGTTCCTGTGTCTGTTGCCCGTGCCCGCTGGTGATGGGACATCAGGGCACTCTGGAAGTCCCAAGGAAGCAGAGACCACAGCTTGAAGAGAATCCGGGATCCTGAGTCACTCAATCAGGAAGACCCACCATGAACCCTGGGACTGTCTGTTACGGCACCGGGGGTGCCTGCCCTGACTAATGCAGCTGACTTTATAAATACTGTGGCTGCAGGCTAAGCACGGACTCAAAAGATGTCTACATCCCAATCCCTGCAGCCTGTGCACGTGCCACCTTACCTGGGAAAAGGGGATTAAGGTTGCTAACCAGCTGACCTTGAGATGGGAGATGGGCCTGGATTAGCCACGTGGGCCTGGTGCAGTCACAGGGGCCTTCTAAGTAGGAGAGGGGGGCAGGAGAAGAGGAGAGAGAAGGAGGTGCCACCCGGAAGCAGGGTCTGAGAGACGCTGAGTTGCTGGATTTAAGGTGGAGGGAGGGGCCGCAAGTCAAGGAATGCGGGCGGCCTCCAGCCAAGGAAGCTGCAGAAGGCACAGAAACAGATTCTCCCCTGGAGCCCCCAGAAGGAACAGGCCCTGCCCACATCGGGATTTTTGCACAGTGAGACTAACGTCAGACTTCTGACCTCCAGCACTGTAAGAACTATGTGTGCGTGTGAGAGTAATGAGTGTTGTTTTAAGCCACGAAGTTTGTGGTATTGTCACAGCAGCCATGGGAAACAAACACAGACCTCTTCTTAAGTAAGCCCCTGCCATGGTGATCGGCAAGGCAGAAGTCACAAGAGCAGGCAGAGGGAAGGGACCTTCTGGATCAGCCCAGAGTAGAGACGGAGGGCATGCTGTGTCTTCTGCAGCAGCTCCCACCCACCCTGCCAGCCCCCTCCTCTTCTCCCCCGCCCCACCCACTGTCCCAGACCACAGGGAGAGGCTGGCTTTCCTTTCCTCAGGTGGCCAACAGAGGGCAACTGGTGGTGACAGTACCCACGGGTAAACTGAGGCACAGCATGGGAAAATCAGGCTTTTGCAACTGCACCCTCTGGTGGGAAAACAGCTCAGTGCTTTCATTCTCTTGATTACCCTCGCTCCCTCCTTCCTCTGCTGTGTGTGGATGCTGGGATCAGCCCTGCCCTGGGAACAGAGAGAGAAACCCCATGGGAAGAGCCAGGAGGAGGTGGAGACACCACAGGCTCTGACACCCATGTATAGGGAACGCAAGTCCAGTCCTGGTCGGCCAGGGTTGGAGGTAAGGCCTGGCCCAGTGGTTCCCCAAAGCCTGGAGCAAGCACTGCTGAGAACAAGGGATCTCTGGGTGGAGGCAAAGCAGACAGCTACTGGGGCAGAAGGAACCCATAGACTGCCCCAAAGGGGCAATCAGCCCCAGCACCCCTGTCAAGCAAGGCAACACCCCAGTATGGCAGGTGAGAAAGGGAGGAGCCCCTGGAACATGGCCATAAGCAGAGAGTCAATCTTGGCCTGGTTTTCTGCAACCCCACCCCAAACTCAGCGGTAGGGTCTGTGGCATCTGCTATCTGTATTAATAATGATATCCAGCGGGTGCGGTGGCTCACGCCTCTAATCCCAACACTTTGGGAGGCCAAGGCAGGTGGATTTCCTGAGTTCAGGAGTTTGAAACCACCCTGGGCAACATGGTGAAACCCCATGTCTATTAAAATACAAAAAAATTAGCTGGGCATGGTGGAGTACGCCTGTAATCCCAGCTACTCGGGAGGCTGAGGTGGGAGAATTGCTTGAGCCTGGGAGGCAGAGTTTGCAGTGAGCCAAGATCATGTCACTGCACTCCAGCTTGGGCGACAGAGTGAGACCTCATCTCAAAAAAAAAAAAAAAAAAAAAAGATATCAATAACCACTTCAGAAACGGTTTCACAGCTCAGGAAGGATACCCAGGGCCCACGTGGCACTACTCCAGGGCCACCACTGATGTGCCACACGGCAGCCCCAATGGCCATGCAGAAAGCACATTCACAGAGACCACAATAAGAATGGTGCCTCCGGGAGTTGTGCAGTGTGCAACCTGCACAGCCTTGCATGGCAGCCCTCAGTGCCTTCTCAATGTTCATCCAATGTCACTGACACCACGCTACCAGAAGGATTTTATTTTTACCATGCCTATTCAGTAGTCAGAGCAGCTGAGCCCAGGGAAGGTCCTGAACCTTGAGAAGGCTCCATGGCCGGGAAGTAGTAATGCTAGGACTTGGAAACTTGGACCTGAGTCCAAGCCCCTCCCTCCTATCACCAACCAGTGCTGCTTCTCTCCCAAGGTGGCTGCAGACAACACAAAGATAATTGTTCTAGGGAAGCCTGTTCCCATCCACTGGTGATAAATTAGGAGTGTCCTCTCAATAGATTTTATACTGCATGCGATGGCACATGAGAAATGGGTCTTCATTTGACTAAAGGCCGAAGAGTATTGGAAAGAGATGAGCTCAACTGCTCACCCGCCCCACGAGGGAAGGACATCCATCACAAGGTTTCGGTTGCACCCTTCTCCCGGCAGCTGAAGATGCCTGGTCAGTCCGTTTGGGCCTTGCCTGCCAGAGGAATCCCAGCCCCAGGGTTCCTCATGGCCTTCACAGGAGGGCAGAGTCCCCAGCCCTGGAGCTGTACTCCCGGCAGCCAGCAAGTGGCCACCTCCCAGACGGCCACTTCAAATGCAACACCTGGGAACCAAAGCTGCCCACATGGTGAGAGCCTGGCCAGCCACCAGGAGCCTTTGCCCGGGAGTGGCCCCACTCTGGACACGGCAGTGGCCCTATCCGACCGTAGTGACGCAAGTCTGATAAGCTCTGTGGGCTGCCCCGGGAGTCTGGGACGGCAGGGAACCCAGTGTTACCAAACTCATCACCGCCTTCCACAACACACACAACCCCCGCCTCTGGGGGAGACCAAGGCAGCTGACGGCCACGTGTTTCCCTGGGGGACTCTGCCCAGGGCCCAGGTCGGCACAGGCTCCTCCTGTACCTGCTTCCTTTCCCTGGCAAAAGCTGCTGTCCCCACGTACGAGGCATTTCCAGGGAAGTGGGGGTCAGAAACGGACGGCCCTGGGCGGTTACAGTCGCGCCACCTGCCCTGGCCACCCCCACTGCTGGTAAAGGCTCCTGCCCCAGCCAGTGCCAGGGTGGGGCCACCATGGCAGGGGGCCAGAGAGACAGAGAGGGCAGAGAGGGCTGAGAGGGCTCAGTGCCCCTGAGGCCGTGGCCTGGAAAGAGGGAGACGGGGCTGTGGTGGGGATGGGCATTTGGAATGTGTGTCCTGTGTGTGTGTGTCTGTGTGTTTGTGTGTGGGGGGGTCTGTGCCTGTCTCTGTGTGTCTCTGCCCCTGTGTGTGTGTGTGTGTGTTTGTGTGTGGGGGGGTCTGTGCCTGTCTCTGTGTGTCTCTGCCCTTGTGTGCGTCTGTATGTTTGTGTGTGGGGGGTCTGTGCCTGTCTATGTGTGTCTCTGCCCCGTGTGCGTCTGTGTGTTTGTGTGTGGGGGGTCTGTGCCTGTCTATGTGTGTCTCTGCCCCTGTGTGTGTCTGTGTGTTTGTGTGGGGGGGGTCTGTGCCTGTCTCTGTCTGTCTCTGCCCGTGTGTGTCTGTGTGTTTGTGGGGGTACTCTGTGTATGTATCCATATGTGTATCGCATATGTGTATGTGAGTCTGTGCTTGTATCCACCTATGCGAGGATGTTTGGCTTCTGTGTGTGTGGCTGTGTGTGGTATGTTTGTGGTGCAGACAGGGTCTGTGTCTGTCTGCACGTGGCCCTGTGCTTGTAAGTCTGTGTATCCACGTGCATATCGTGTGCTTGGGAAAAATCTATGCAGGTGTGTGTGTGTGTGTCACGGGTTTCTGTGTGTGTATCTGTGTGTGTGCTGGGTCTGCCCATGTGTCTGCGTATGTGTGTGTGTGTCTGACTTACGCGTGCACCCGTGCCTATGCCATGTCTGTGAGCTGTGTCTCCGAGTGCCTGCTTTCGTCTGTGTGTTTGCGTGTATGTACTGTGTCTGTGTCTGTCTCGTGCGTCTGCATGTCTGGACGTGCCCCCTCCCCCTGCACCCGCCCCGCCGCCCAGCTGGCAGTGCACAGCTGGGCCCGGGAGACAGCGCCCGCCCGCCTGCCGGATGAGAGGTGGCAGGTGTGTAATAAACCATTAGTCACTGTCACGTTTCTGAGCAGCAGTGGCTGCCCAGGCGGGGCCTGACTGCGGGACATGCTCCTGGTGGGTCTCTGGCTGAGGAGCTGCCCGGACTTGGCTGCAGCCTGACAGGGAGCAGCTGGCAGACGCAGGTTCGTGCCCCGGCCCTGCCCCACCTGCCCCCACCCGGCCGCAGGGCAGGGGCTCCTGGCTTGCCAGGTCAGCCGTTGTTGCAGGGACACTCACGGGGGTCCCCCACAACCTCTGCACCCTTCTTGGCACCCCCAGACTCTCAGGCCCCCGCCCCCAACGTACCCCGCTAGTACGCAGTGAGTTGCAGCAAGGACCTGCTGATGAGACAAGGTTCTTTCCAGGGACCTGGTGGCCACCGGGACCAGGGACTCAGGAGTGACCAGCCCCATCCCCAAAGGTCTCCAAAAAGGGCTCCTTTTGGAAATGTCACTCTGAAAACCCCTGAATTGATTGTTTTAAAACATTTTTTTAATTAAAAAAAATTTTTTTGAGACAGAGTCTTGCTCAGTCGCCTAGGCTGGGCTGTGGTGGTACAATCACGGCTCACTGCAGCCTCAACCTCCTGGAATCAAGTGATCCTCCCACCTCAGCCACCTGAGTAGCTGGGACCACAGGTGCGTGCCACCATGCCCGGCTAATTTTTGTATTTTTTTGTAGAGACAGAGTTTCGCCTGGGGGTTGCCCAGGCTGGTCTCAAACTCCTCGGCCTCCCAGCACTCAGGGAAGCAGCCTGGTGTGCCGAGGGTGAGTTCGGCGCGGGAGCCAGACGTCGGGGTTCGTGCCCCATCCCCCTCGCTCACTACTGTGTGAGTGGAGGCAGATTGCTCAGCCTCTCTGGCCTGCAGGACACTGTTTCACTGATGGAGGAGGACATGTGTCCCAACATGAGTGGGAAAAAGGCAGACTTGGTTCTTCCTCGGTGCCCAGCCCTCTTCAAGCAGCTTACAAGCATCAGCTCACGAGGTTGCCACGAAACCTCTACCAACACCTACTATTAGGGCTCCCTCTTACAGATGTGAGGACAGAGGCTCAGGATGACTCATTCATTTGCCAAAGGTCCCTCAGATAAGAAGTGGGTGGGCCTGCTCCCCAAACCACAGCCAAACTCCGCCTAGGGGTCCATCTGGGCCTTGTTCTGCTCCGGAGGACTCTGGTTTCCTGGGGCAGGGCTCTGCCCAAAGCTGTGGGAGAGAAACGGTGAGAACCAGGCAAGCTGCCTCCTCCTCGGAGCCCTCCACTGACCCGTGAGCCGCCAGGCCCAGGAGGACGCATCGCCAAACAGGGGCACCCGGCCTGCCCTAGGCACAGGGGAACACTGGTGTCCTCCTCTGCCTGAGCCTCCCCTGGGGATGTCCTGAGTGACAGGTGGGTGTGGACCCAGCCTGAGCTGCCACCCAGAGCTGAGCGTGAGAAATCGCAAACAAATCATAACTCCCTGGCCCCAGCCTGCACCCTGAACACTGAGGGTGCCAAGGCCTGTCACAAACACGCTCGGGTCCTGGCTGAGTTAATCCCCACATCTGCCCCGTGAGCCAGGCACTCCCATTAGCTTTCTTCCCATTTCCCAAATGAGGAAACTGAGGCACGGAGCAGGGAAACTCACTTGTCCAAGGCTCTTAGCCATTCCTCCCCGACAATGGCCTGGCTTTTGTGATCAGGAGCTCTGATTAGCTGGCTCAAGGCAACGGCAGAGCAGGTCCTCAGACAAGGTGGGGACAGTAGTCCCTGCCTGGCCTGTTTTGTGGCCTGACCACCCTGACCTCAACCGCCAGTGTCTGGAAGCCCTTCAGAGGGGTCAGCGTCCCTAAAGCCCCTGGCCAGCCCCTTCCCTTCCCCGGAGCCTACCACACAAAGAGAAAGAGGTCGGTATTGGGGTTGCCCTGCAGATGGAGGTCCCAGATCAAAGTCCAGGGCTTGGGGGATGGGCCAGCTGTCCCCAGGCCCCCAGCAGTCCCCTGTCTGTCCATCTCCTCCCCGGCTCAGCCCAATAACATGGGGTGCTTTGGACCCACTGCCCTCACTGTGGTTGGCACCAGGGGCGGGCTGGGCTGGGGGTCTCAAGTCTCCCGTGCTGTGGGGGCAGCGATGGGGGCAGGACAGAGCCTTGACCACAGCCCTCTGGAGGGTCTTGCTGACGAACCTATGGCCTAAGGGGTGGCTTCAGGATGAGGCCATAAAAACGCATCATGGGGGTCACCACATGTCCAAGCCCAGCCAAAGCATCTGACCTGGCCCAGGCCCCAAGGCCCAGCAGCCAAAGCCTCAAGGGTCCACACACGGCGATTAACCAAGGAGGGCACAGCCTCGCCTGGCCTCAGGGAAGCACCATGCAGAAGCCCTTAGGATGTGTCTGAGGATGCCTTGGAGTGGGGGTGTGGTCCACAGCACGCCTGTGGCTGGCGGGAGTGGGAGGGGGAGGACGGCAGCGCCATCTCCCCGCACAGAGCAGCCTGGTTCCCCGTGGCCCAGCCCAAGAGAAGCGCACACGTGCACCTGGGACACAGTGTGTTGACATCTGAGAAAACCAAGAAACGACCCCCTCTGGGCTCAAGACTATCCATAACATCATTTTTTTTAATGAATGAATGAAGACAAGAGAGTGTATAGGTAAATAAACAAACAAAGGCAGCCCAGGAGCCCAGCAGGCGAGAGTATCGAGAACCAGGGATGTTGATGAAACTACGGTTTTGGAACCCTAAGGAGTATGGAAGAGAAAATCCAAACTCCAGTAAGGGAGACCCAGCACCCGGTCTCTCCCCTAGGATGCCGAGGACACAAGGCGGAACTGTATCTGAACTCGGCTCTGGGAGCCCCCATCCCTGCTGGGACAACCGCATCCCAGCCCAGTACCCAGAGATACAAAAAGAGCTGGCGTCTACCTGCACCAGTAAGGTCTGGTCCGTCCTCCTCCCGGCTGCTCTGCAGACACTGTGCTGGCCTCAGCTCCTGGGCCATCCTGGGGCCTCTGGGCAGGGTCTCCGTGGGGGCGCGTGGCCGGGTCTCGGACTCCCGGGTGGGAGGGTGGCTGGCTGCAGATGCTTCCAGAGATCCACAAACAGGCTGAAAGGAAAAGAGGTGGACACAGTGAGCCTGGGCCATGCCTGCAGGGGATGATGCATGAATGGACTCTCTGGCCATAGGTGCCATTCCTCCCCGACGATGGCCTGGCCTTGGTGATCAGGAACTCAGACTGGCTGGCTCAGGGCAACAGCAGAGCAGGTCCTCAGTAAGGCCAGTGCCAGTGTCTTCCTTGCCCAGCAAGCCCAGCCTAGGGAACACCAGGCTGGACCCCTGCTGCTGGGGTCCCACCCACACAGCCCCATCTTCTTGGCCATCCAAAACTGGAGCTTCTGGAGCCCTCGCGGCAGCTGGCCAGCACTGCACGGAGCCCAGAAGCATCTAAGAGGGAGCCTGAGGCTAAGCCCAAAGGTCCAGCCTTGTCCTGTCCCCTGGCGGTGGTGGGGACAAGGTTTATTCTGTGGTGCTTGCCCAGAGATCCCCTGGGGCCTGGCACTTGGCTCAGAGAGCTGGGCAAACCATCTCAGCCGCACCCTGCAAATCAGGGAAAGGCCCTCATCTGAGTACCCCCGGGGGATGCTCTCTTCCAGACTGGGCCGCCGGGCACCTGGTGCGATCCTGAGCTGTTATTACCAGCCGGGGAGCAGCAGGCAGGCCCCTCACCTCTCTGAGCAACTGGAGTGCCTTGATTACAACATGACAAAATGGATACAGGCCAGGCGCGGTGGCTCCCGCCTGTAATCCCAGCACTTTGGGAGGCTGAGGCAGGAGGATGGCTTGAGCCTAAGAGTTCCAGACCAGCCTGGGCAACATAGGGAGACCCCATCTTTACAAAAATAAATAAACAAATTTAAAAAATGGACACAGGAAGGCTGTGATTGTGATGTCTTCATTTATTGCAGGAGAACAGGTGGGGCGGCACCTGGTTTGGTGCACGTCCTGGTGGTGACCAGCTCTACGCCACAAGCTGGCCAGAGTCTCACCTGTGGCTTACTAACACAGATATTTCTTCTAGGTCCCTGCACCAAGGGGAGTCAAAGGGAGCACAGAACTGGTGGGACCCTCCTGGGACCTGGCAACACTGGCCACTGACCACTGACAGCCGTGTCCCTCCCCGGGTGCTGCCCCCTGCCAAGGGAACGGACCCGTGCGAGGGCCAGGACTGCAAGGGTGCAGCCCCGGGCCTCAGGGCACTTTTGCAGGAACTGCAAAACGTGCCTCTCCATCCTGCGTGCACCTGGGCTCACTGGTCCCGAGGCGAGCAAGAACTACCATGACGACGACGATGATGGGGATGCTGATGGTGACGACGCCAACTGCCCGTTACTAAGGGCCTACCTGTCCCTAGCTCTACATGGAACTTGGAATGACCAACTACCAGTTATAACTATACGGATGAACTCAGTCCACACTGCAGGGGGGTCATCCCATGCCCACAGCCCTCACTTTTTTGTAATCTTTATTTTTTATTTTATTTTGAGATGGAGTCTCACTCTGTCACCCAGGCTGGAGTGCAGTGTTGTGATCTCAGCTCACTGTAACCTCCACCTCCTGTGTTCAAGTGATTCCCCTGCCTCAGCCTCCCGAGTAGCTGGGATTACAGGTGCCCGCCCCCATGCCCGGCTCATTTTGTTTTTTGTTTCTTTAGTAGAGATGGGGTTTCACTATGTTGGCCAGACTGGTTTCGAACTCCTGACCTCAAGTGATCCGCCTGCTTCTGCCTCCCAAAGCGCTGGGATTATAGGTGTGAGCCCCTGCACCTGGCCACTTTTCTGTAATCTTTAAAATTGTCATAAAATATACCGAACACAAAATTTACCATTCTGACCATTTCCAAGTGTGCACTGAGTACATTCCCAGTGTTGTGCTACCATTACCACCATCCATTTCTAGAACTTTCTCATCATCCCACACAGCAACTCTGTCCCCATTAAAAGGCTCCCTGCTCCCCGCCCTCAGCCCTGGCTGTCGGCGTCTGCTCTCTGTCTTGGTGACGGGCTGCTGTTGTTGGCCCATCCCCTTTCCAGGAAGAGTTGGTAGGAGCCCAGGGTCACAGGCAAGGTCAGCCCAGGCCAGAGGCTTCAGAGCCCTGGGTGTGGGAGGCTAAGGGCCTGCCGTCTGGTGAGGTTGTGAGCTAAGCCCCAGCTTGAACAACGAACTGTGCTACCAGGTCCCTGTCGTGGGGGTTGGTGACCCTCCACTTCCCAATGATGAGCTCCAGGGACAGCAGGGTTGTGGAAAAGCAACTTTCTGTTGATCCGGTTTTTTGTTTTTTTTTTCTTTTAGGGATTAGTGCTATAAAACCCAAGTGCCTAAGTGAGATGGATGGTTCAGAATTCCTCGGGCAAGCGCAGGCCCCACCAGCTCTGCATGCAAGGGACGTATAAATTTACCGTTTGTTTCCGGGAATGCTTTAATTTATGGGATCCATATGGTGACACTGGCCAGACCACAGCCCCCACAAATCCCACAGGCATGCCGGCGGCTTAGGCTGGAGCCAGGAGGCGGCGGCACCTCAGGCCAGCACACTTGATTCATTCATCCACTCACTCAGGGCCCAGGGTAAGCCCATCAGGACGGCAGGTACCCTGGGGCCTGTACCAAGGTGGTTCCCACCCTGGGGACTGAGCTACTCCTGCAGCCTTGCCCTGAGTCATCTCAGGAAATGCTGCAGGGTGATGCTAGAGAGAGGAAGGCTTGGGGCTACTGTGTCCATGATGCAGCACAGACGGCAGCTCCAGCCAGCCCCAGAGGCTCCTGCTGCGAGGGACGGCTTATGGGGCAGCACCCGGTCATGCTGGGCCGCATCTGCATTCAAGCCCCCAGGGGATGGGCTGGAGGGGTGCAGGGGAGGGCTGTGCCATGCCCCAGTCTCGACCCCTGTCCACCTCCTGGTCCCTCCTGGAGCTGGGGGGCCAGGGTTCTGCTGGAGAGAGAAGCTGAGAGGCCCCTCCTGGGGTGGAGATGGCTCCCGGAAGCGGGACTGTGAGTATAAGGAAAGAAGGCAGCAAACACGGCTGTGGTGAGGCTCACCCTCCACTCAACTCAGCACTGGAACAAAAGAGAAAACAACCCTTTTTACTGAGCACCTACTATGTGCCAGGCACTGATCTAGGGCTTTGTACTGATTAGCATAGTTAATCCTTCCAACAAGGCATGGAGGCAGGAAGAGATGAACTGAGTGATCTGAGCTCACACAATAACTGGAGGGATACGGGTTTGACCTGAAGCAGTTGTCTGTAACTTCAGACAGCTTACAAAGCAACTGGGGGACACAGCTTTTCAGTAGAGAACAGAAGATGGCAAGAGGGAATACCACCGGGGGAGATGGGAGCACAGATGACAAGTACTATAGGAGTTTGAGAAGGGGAGGGGTCCCCAAGGTCTGAGGAAATCCGCACGGGCTTCCTGGAGCAGCTGGAATGTGAAGTGGGCCTTCAAGAGGAGTAGGATTTGAAAGGGAGTGGGAACAGGAGGGACAGCATTCCAGGTGTGGGAGGCACCTGCACAAGGCGCCAGAGGCAGGAACGCACACAAGATTGTTCAACAGACACGGAGCCGACCAGGCAGCAGGCTTCCTGCAAAGGCAGCTTGGACGGGCTCCTGCTCTTCCTCAAGGGGCTCGTGGTCTAGGACAGGAGGTTGGAACACACATCCCCGCAGGGGCCAGGAGGGGAAACTCTGCAAGGGCATTGAGTGGAGGAGACTGCAAGGAGACAGCCACAGCCCTTCCCAGGGTCAGCAGGTATCACCTTGATGGAATTGAGCCCCACCTTGACAGATCTTCTGATTTTCCAAGAAGAATCTGGGAACCTCTTTTTAAACATGTTTTTATTAAGAGACAGGGTCTTGCTTGTTGCCGAGGCTGGCCTTGAATTCCTGGGCTCAAGTGATCCTCCTGCCTCAGCTTCCCAGGTAGTTGGGACTACAGGTGGATGCAATCGCTTCTGGCTTTGGGAATCCATTTTTTAAAGTTGAACTCTCCTGATGATGAAGTGTCAGCAACTAATCCCCGAAATGTGAAAACCCTGTGCTTTTGATGGGAACGTAAAATGATGCAGTTGCTTCGCAAAACAGCTGGCAGTCCATCAAACGGTCTAACATAGGGTTACCCTGCAACCCAGCAACTCCACTCCTAGACATATAGCCAACAGAACTGAAAACATCCAGCCATCCGCACACGAACTTGTATAGGAAGGTGCGTAGCAGCCCTCAGTCCTACAGACAAATGAATACTGACTGGCAACAACCCAAGTGAGTGTGGAGGTGGGTTCTTCCCCGGTCGAGTCCCCAGGTGAGACTGCGTCCTGGCCAACAAACCAAGTGAGTGTGGAGGCGGGTTCCTCCACGGTTGAGCCTCCATCTGAGACTGCGTCCTAGCCAACACCTTGATCTGCAGCCTAGTGAGGCCCAGAGCAGAGGGCCCAGTTGAACTGTGTGATAATAAACATGTGTGGCTGTAAGCTGCTAAACATGTCATACTTTGTTACACAGCAACAGAGAGCTGATACAGTCCTTAAAGTTCTAGAACAGTGCCTGGCCTAGGTATCAGTGTTCCCTGGCACCACTGTCTGCTGAGCTGTGTGTGTCAGAAACAGAGGGAACCAGGTGCCAGTCCCTCCCCTGGCCTAGCTCTTCCCACTACCATGACTCTTGTTGGGAGTGAAAGGATTTTACCCCCTTTCTTTGTCAGCAGCTGGCCTGGACTCCCAGGGGAGCCTGGTCAATATTAATGGACACGCAAGGCTGTGGGGCACACAGGGTTTTGTGATTATGGATTATCTCCTGCTCAGCACCATCTTGAAGGTGGAGACAAAAGTTCTCAGCCAGGTAATCAAACAGAGGCAAAGGGCCCCCCTTCCTTATCCTTCTAAGGCCACATTTACGACAGTCCCTGAAAAAGCAGGCCCTGAAACCTGCATATGTGCTGTGTCTTCTCTACCAGGGCCAGGAATTCCAAGCCCACAGTGGGTCTGGATTTAAAGTACTATTGTGCCTGGGCCTGTGATGTCAGCATCCCCCACTCCCAGGGGGCCCTGGAGAACATGGCATCTCAGAGCAGTTCAAGGGGCTCAAGCAGACTGGGCCTCGGAGGACTGGCCAGGCTGGGAAAATGCCATTGTTTCCTGAATTTCCCTGGACCGCAGCCACCACCTTTAAAGCTTTAGTTAGTTAATGGGGAAGGATGAAAGGGGGAAATTTAATAGGGTTCTTCCAAATAAATGGGGATTCACAGCCCACCGCTGAATAGCCTAATGAGATCCTGCATTGTTATGCTTTCTCCAGGGAGCTGGAGTGCTTTCTGGAGAAAGCCAACTCCTGGTAGACTCAGGGGAGGAGGGTGTGGGGGAAGACAGACGCCACATCCCTGCTCCAAAGAGGAAGACTGTATGTGTGTATGTGCATGCACACACGTGTGGTCAGTGCCAAGTTTTATTAATTTTATTAGTCCATGAGATCCCTAGGTCTGGGATCCCCAGTCTATTTGGGTTTTTTTTTTGTTTGTTTTTGTTTTGAGATGGAGTCTTGCTCTGTTGCCCAGGCTGGAGTGCAGTGGTGCGATCTCGGCTCACTGCAAACTTTGCCTCCCGGGTTCAAGCAATTCTCCTGCCTCAGCCTCCCAAGTAGCTGGGACTACAGGTGGCCGCCACCAGGCCCAGCTAATTTTTGTATTTTTAGCAAAGACGGGCTTTCACCATGTTGGCCAGTCTGGTCTCGAACTCCTGACTTCAGGTGATCCGCCTGCCTCGGCCTCCCAAAGTGCTGGGATTATAGGCATGAGCCACTGCGCCCAGCCCAAGGCTATTTTAAAAAATGCTTTATTGAGATACAACTCACATACTATACAATTCGCCCATTAAAAGTGTATCGTTTGATGGCTTTAATGTATGTACAAGCTGTGTAACCATTACCACCATCCATTTCAGAACATTTTCATCACCCCCAAAAGAAACCCCCATCCCTATGAGCAGCCCCCGTCAACCCCATCCTTCCAGGCCCTGCAATCACTCATTTGCTCTCTGTCTCCGTGGACTGGCCTCTTCTAGACGTTTCATACAAATGTCATTTCTGGACATTTCATACAAATCCAATATGTGGCCTTTTGTGCTGCCTTCTTTTTAAAGTTAGCACCATGTTTTCAGGTTTGTCATGTTGTAGTGTGTAAACCCAGTATTTTGAACAATAAAGGACATTCCAGTTTGAGGACCCACAGCAGCCCAGGGGCTGCTGGACAGAGAATTCCCTTCTCCAGGAGCCTCTTCGGCAGGAACTGGTTGGCTGTTCATGCAGCCAGTTCCCTCTCCCTCCTGGGCATCCAGCCAGATTCCATCTCCCGGCCTCCTCTGTAGCAGGGCACAGCTGGTGCCCCAGGTCTTGGCTACTCTCCCAGCTGGGAGATCTTAGCAGAGTGATTCACCCCTCCAGGCCTTGGTTTCCTTTTGAGTACAATGAGAGTGGCACCTTGGGAGGCCGAGGCAGGCAGATCACTTAAGCCCAGAAGTTCGAGACCAGCCTGGCCAACATGGCAAAACCCTGTCTCTACTAAAAATGCAATAATTAGCCGGGCACGGTAGTGGGCGCCTGTAATCCCAGCTACTCGGGAGGCTGAGGCAGGAGAATCACTTGAACCCAGGAGGCAGAGGTTGCAGGGGGCTGAGATCATTGCACCACTGCACTGCAGCCTGGGTGACAGAGCAAGAGTCCGTCTCGAAGAAAAAATGATAGTGACAACACAGTGCCTACCTCCAAGAGGAATGACGGAGGAAATTCAACGAACTCTTCTGCTAAGGCACTTGGAACATAGCAGGTTCTCAACAAACTAGCTGATCCCATGAACTAAGAGCAGGAACATCAGGAACAAGAATCAAAGCATCACGGTGACCTCATGGCCCCTCAAAGCTTGAAGGGGTGTGTGCTGGGGAAGGCGTCTTGGCCTTGGGTGCAGATGGTGGGGGCGGGGCCTGTCCAGTGTCCCTCACACCCTGGCTGCTGGGCAGTTTCGGCTCCAGCTGGCAGGGCTGTCTCCTAGCTGCTGGCCTGGAGCCCCATGACAGTCTAGGGTCCCTGAAGTCACAGGGGCAGGATGCTCTGAACAGCTAAATGTCAGGAGAACAGGGCTCACCCACTTTTCCTGACCAGCCTGAATCATCTCTTCCTTCCAAGCAAGCTCCAGGTGCACCCCAGGAAGCCGGCACTGCTGATCTTGAGTAAAACACACGTAGGCCTGAGTCCAAGCTGCCACTCACCTGCTGGCGTGACTAGGAGAAACCAAGCGAGCCACAACTGCTCTGGCTCTCAGCTGATGTCTCCGGAAAGTGGGCTAGTAACCCCTGCCTTACTTGTCCCGAGTACCTACTATGTGCCAGGTGCCAGCTGAGCACCTGCCATCGGCAGCCCATTTAATCATCCCAGCAACCCCACCTGAATTCTCAGAGGCTCAGAAGTCAAGTCAGCTGCCCAACGTCACCCAGCTGGTCACAGTGAGAGCCGAGAATGCAGGCCAGCATGTGTCCTCTGTCAAGTACCTAGTCCCCGCACAGTGTCCAGGGCACAGTAGGTGCTCAGTAAACACTGGCAGAGCCTGGTTCTGCACCCCCACGCCTAGCGGCCGTACAGCAACCCAGGCCGCACTCTGGGGCAAGTAGGTTTGTGCTGCTGGTGAATGGCAGAGAGGGGAGGTTTGCTGATGGGCTGAGGCTGATTTATCTCAAGAGCAAAGCAGGGAAGATGAGACAAGGAACACAACCGCAGGAGGGGGAAGAGACGCCAGCATCCTGACAACACAAAAGAACACGGCGTCGCCTCCTCTTCGCCCCGAGGAAAAATCAAGCACAGGCACGAAGCCAAGTGTAGGGGGAAAGACAGTCCCTTCCCCAGGGCGCTGGCAGGGTGTGTGCATTGGCTAGGGAGGGCGGCGGGCACAGCCAGCCCAGGAGCACCTCCCGGGCTGGCCAGAGGCCCCTGCCCCTGCTGGGGACACTCAGGTTGCAGCACCAGTGCTGTCGTCTGCCAGGGAGGGAGAGAAGGGAACATGGACAGGCCAGCCCTGCCACGGGAGCCCTCTTCTCCCGCTGTCCTGACCCGCTGTGGCCCCGCACCAAAGCCCACCTACGAAGACATTCTGCTCAACCTGCCCTGATGGGATTTCTTGTTCTGTGCTGCAAGCTAGTGTGTCAGAAGCCAAAAACAGTATTTTACGCCCCTTAATTCCCTGTAATAGCTCCATAATGGCAAGCAGAGGCTCCAAATACTGCAATAAAGGGAATGATAAGGCTTCGGGTCAGGGGGAGATTGGAGATGCCGAATGCAGAGTCCCTGATAAGCAGACAACTAAAGGGTTATTAAATGTGCGCTGGCGACCGGGTGTAATTGGAAAGTTATTAGATATGGAATACACACAGCACCCGGCAAATGAGTAATCAGGGACTAATTAAGCACACGCCACACGGCAGATCGCGCGGGAGAGGCTGGTGGCTGCCACATCTGTGACTGCAATTAGGGCCGCTCCGGCTGCAGCGCTCCCGGCTGGGGTTGGGGAGCGGCAGGGCGGTGGGGGTTGGCTGTCTCGGGCAGGGCGCCGCAGCTGGGGGGTCAGGATCAGACTCTCCCCCATCTCTCGGGGGCTGGAGGGAGGGAGGACAACAGAAGCTCAATTAGACACATGGTCCAGGGCTTGAAGAAATAAAAAGGCAGTTCTGTCCCAGGCTTCAAGTTTGGCCAGGTGACGGCTGGCTGCAGCTGCCCGAGTCTCCTGGACAATCCACGAAACACATGCACAAAAGCACGATCCAGAGCCAGGCAGGCCAGGTGAGAATGACCAACCCATTTTATAGATGGGAAAACTGAGGCTGAGCGGACAGAAAGTGGGCAGAGGTTGTCCAGCTGGATCCTCTTCCAGCAGGCACAGAGCACCTTGCCCCGGATGTCTGGGTTAGGGAAAGGAGCCTGCATTTCATGGATGGGCAGTGGCCAAGATCAAGTGGACAAAGGGGCCAGATGCAGCCGGGTGACCAAGAAAGAGCTGGGACCTGGGCGGGAGTGAAGGTAATCTAGGGAATGCCTCTCCATGTCATGTTCCTGGCCTCAGCTTCCTCCTCCGCAAAGGTGGAGCTGAGAGTCCCACCCATAGCTTTAAACTGGATGGGTTGATGGACTGAATGGACAGATGGATAGGCAGTGGATGGATGGATGGATGGATGGATGGATGAACAGTGGATGGATGGATAGATGGAGGGGCAGGTGGGTGGATGATGGATGGATGGATGATGGACAGGTGGATGGATGATAGATGGGTGGACAGATGATGGACAGATAGATGAATAGTGAATGGGTGGATGGATGATGGATGGATGGAGGACAGGTAGGTGGCCTGGCCAAACTTGAAGCCTGGGGCAGAACCGCCTTTTTATTTTTTCGAGCCCTGGACCATGCGTCCTGGACCATGAGGCAGCTGTGCACTCCAACTTAGCGCAAGAAGTCCATGAATGCCTTTGCTACATAAAGAGTAGAAGAAAGAAGGGGACCCCACCCCGCCTGCCGCAAAGAAAAGCTTGTCATTGGAAGACAAGAAAGTCCCTGGTTCAAGGCCTCGAGGGCTGCTGGGGCTGAAAAATCTGGGTTCAGTTGACACTGGGGTTGTCCCCAAGCCCAGGAGCTGCTGTCTGTCCCTGACCAGGTGGAACAGAAGGTCCTAGAGCGGAAGCTTGTGGCAAAGATGGCTTTTGCAATGCCCGCAGCCACTATGTCCACAGCATCTACTGAGGGCCAGGCCTGAGCTTGTCCCTGCAGGGGCTGACCCATTTAAGCCTTAAACAACTCAGTGAGGCAGGAACTGTGTGTCCCATTATATGGATGAGGTCACTGGCGACAGAAACATTGGTGCACTTGCTGTGTCTGATCCCACTGTGGGATGGGCGGGTGGGGCACGGGTCTTTCCAGGAGGGTCACTAGAAAGCGGGGATCCATCCATGTTGACGAAACTGACAGCCTCAGGACACACTCAGGCTCGGAGGCAGCTGATGGTCCCTTGAAAGGCTGGCACAGGGCAGGAGCTCACTGCTTGCTGAGGCAAGAGCGCCTCCTCATGGCTGTCAGGCAACAGGGCGCTTGGGTGCTGCTGGGGAATCCAGCCGGGCCAGGGTGAGAGGCCAGCGCCCCAAGATGTGGAGGCCCTGAGACCTTGGCATCAGCCCAAGAACCTCCTCCTAGGGGCTGGCAGTGGGAGCTAGGCTGAGCTCAGACCGGCTCACCACGGACATCCTGTCTCTCCCAGGGACCCCTCCCAGCCCCAGAGGTATTCCCCAACCCCCAGCCTGCCCCATACCTGCTCATCTCCTGCCTCCAAGGGTGAGAGCCTCCGGCTAGACCTGGGTGTACAGCCCTGCCAGCCACAGCTCTCAACACCACCGAGCAGCGGCCTTCCTGAAACACCACACTTATCCCGCCAACCCCTTACCAAAGTTCTGACCCTGTCACGTGACATCTAAGAGCCACGTTATTTGGTTCAGCTCAGCTTTGCATCCACATTTCTGTCACACCCTCATATCTACCCATCCACCCACCTGTCCACCATCCACCCACCTGTTCACCATCCACTCACCTGTCCACCATCCATCCGCTCATCCACCATCCATCTACCTGTCCATCACCCATCCACCTGCCCATCATCCATCCATCCATCCATCCACCATCTACCACTCATCCATCTACCTGTCCATCCATCCATCCATCCACCGTCCACCCACCTGCCCACCATCCACTCACCTGTCCACCATCCACCCACTCATCCACCATCCATCTACCTGTCAATCACTCATCCATCCACCCATCATCCATCCATCATCCATCCACCACTTATCCATCTACCTGTCCATCATCCATCCATCCATCCATCCATCATCCACCCATCTGCCCACCATCACTCCACTCGTCCACCATCCGCCTGTCCATCACCCATCCACCCGCCTATCATCCACCCATCCACCATCCATCCATCACCCATCTATCTACCTGTCCATCATCCATCCATCCATCATCCACCCATCAGCCCATCCATCCACTCATCCACCATCCACCTGTCCATCACCCATCCACCCGCCCATCATCCATCCATCCATCATCCACCCACCTGCCCACCATCCATCCACTCGTCCACCATCCATCTACCTGCCCATCATCCATCCATCCATCATCCATCCACCCATCCACTATTCATCCATCTGTCCATCATCTATCCACCCATCCATCATCCATCCATCCATCATCCACCCACCCGCCCCTCCATCTATGCATCCATCTTCCCATCCATTGTTCATCCATCCATCCATTCATCCACCCACCCGCCCCTCCATCTATCCATCCATCTACCCATCCATTGTTCATCCATCCATCCATCATCCACCCGCCCGCCCCTCCATCTATGCATCCATCCACCTATCCATTGTTCATCCACCCATCCATTCATCCACTTGTCCATCTGTCCACTGCCTGTCCCTCTGTCCATGCATCTATCCATCCACCCATCCATCTGTCCATTCATTGACGTGTCCATGTGTCCACCATCTATCTATCTGTCCATCCAGTCATCCATCCACCCATCCACATATCCACTGTTCATCCACTCATCCACCTGTCCATTTGCTCATCATCCATCAATCCATTCATCCAGTAAACATTTACTGAGTACCAACTATGTGCTAGGCTCTGTGCCTGGGATGTAGCAGCAAGAAAAACAGCTAAAAATCCCTGCTGACATTCTGGCTGGGGAGACACACAGTATTTTAACATGAGTATGAATAAACAAACTGTTCATCTGTCCATCAGTAGGAAGTGCCATAAGGACAAACAGCACAAGAACAGGATGGAGAGAAGGGCGGGTGGGTGGAGAAAGTAACGGATGGGTGGGCAATGGTAGAGATATCATTTTCCATAGGCTGGCCACACTGAGAAGAGGATGTTTGTGAAAAGACCTGAAGGAAACGAGGACACTAGCCACAGAGATAGCTGGGGAAGAGTGTTCCTGGAACAAGGAACAGCAAGCGCAATGGCCCAGAGGCAGCAGCACATTTGCAAACCTTTTCTTAAAGGGCCAGATGGTATTTTTTGGCTTTGTGGGCTGAATGGTCTCTGTCAAAACCACTCAGCTTTGCCACTGCAGCACCCAAGCAGCCTCAGACAATACCTAAATGAACATGTGTGGCTGTTCCAATAAAACTTTATTTACGGACACTAAAATTTGAATTTCATATAATTTTTATCTGTGGTGAAATACTGTTCTTCCTTTGGGTTTTGTTTTTGGCAACCATTTAAAAACGTGAAAGCCTTTCTTAGCTCATGGGCCATCCAAAAACAGGCAGCCAGCTGGACTTGGCCCGCAGGCCCCTGCTCTAGAAGCAGAGAGGAGGCCTGGGGTTTAGGAGGGGGTGGGAGGTGGGGCACGGTGTACGCCGACTCCTAAACACAAGGAAGTTTCTTGTAGGCAAAACCCGTCAGGGAGGAGGGCCTGTGGGAGGGGGCGGCTGAGTCTTGACAGAAGAGGCGAACCTGTGAGCCACGGTGAGGGCAGAGCAGAGCTGGCTACAGCAGCACCCACGGGTCACCTGCATCTGCCTGAAGGCGGCAGACAGCTCGTTCTGAAGCACACATGGCACCAGCCAGCTTGTCTACACCACCGGCTCCTCCCCTCCCTTCTCTCTCCAGCCTGGGAAGCTGCATCCTGCTGGGGCTGAGGGCATAGACTCAGCCTTGCCTGCTTCAAAGTCCAGCACCACCTGACGAGTTGTGTGCCTGCAGGCAAGTGGCTCTACCTCTCTGGGCCTTGGCTACCCCATCTGTGAAATGGAAACAGTGACAGTGCCAGCCTCCTGGGGCAGCCGCAAGGGCCAATGAGTCTGTGTTGTGAAGCTCTGGGACAGGGCCTGGCCCGCCAAGGGCACTGAAGGATAAACGGGGAGCAGCCCTGCGCTTCACACATGCTCCTGGTGCCCATCAAATGTGCCCCGCACACCTGTCCTCTACACATTTGTCCCATCACAGCTTCTCAGGAGGGCAGCTCTCAGCCCCGAAACAAGGGCTGCTGTCGTCCTGGGAGCTTCGGGCAGTCAGCCAAGGAGGCTCCCCGGGCAGGACCCCGCTCGGCCCAGGGTTCCGGGCAAAAGCAACGCGCGGGCTGCTCACAAACCTTGCCAACTGCCTAGGAGTCCCCTCCCATCATAAAATGCCCCCTGCCTTTCTCCCAGAAATGTTCTCTGCCTCCTCCTCAGCCAGGGACCGTACCCTTTCCCCTGGGCACTATCCCTAGCTCCCCCGCCGGGCAGGGCTGGCCGCATCCCACCCCATGTCCATTAGTGCCACATCCCAGTGCCAGAGATTTGGATTGCAGATCCGCACCCCCAGACCATCAGCAACCTGGGAACAGCACTCCCAGGCCCTGGCACGGCGTCCTCAGCACAGCCGCTGAAGGAGACGTATCTGAGTTATGTAAGGAGCCATGTTCCTGGGGGAATAGTGTTTCAGGCGCGGGGAATGGCCAGTGCAAAGGCCCTGAGACGGGACTGTGCCCGGTTGCATTTGAGGAAGAGCAAGGAGCAAGTGGCACGGGAGGAGCTAGGGAAGCAATGGGTCCCATTTTGGAGGTTCCCACAGGTCCCCGGGAGGACTCTGGATCTCATTCGCAGTGAGAGGGGAGCCTGCTGGATGTTCCGAGCTGAAGAGACATCATTTTGATTTTTGCCTTTTTAAAATTTCAACTTTTTTTGAGTCAGGATCTCACTTGTTGCCCAGGCTGGAGTGCAGTGGTGCAATCATAGCTCACTGCAGCCCCAACCTCCTGGGCTCAAGCGATCCTCCCACCTCAGCCTCCTCAGTAGCTGGGTCTACAGGCGTGCACCACCATATGCCCTGCTAATTATTTATTTTTTGTAGAGATGGGGTCTGGCTATGTTGTCCAAGCTCATCTCGAACTGTTGGCTTAAAGCGACCTTCCTGCTTCAACCTCCCAAAATTCTAGGATTACAGGTGTGAGCCACTGGGCCGGGCAAACTTTTTAAGCTGAGATACCTGCAGATTTGTTTGCAGCTGTAAGCAGTAATGGAGCCATCCCCGACACCCTTCACCCAGCCTCCAAGGGCAACCCCTTGCTCACTGTAGTACCCGCCACAAGCAGGAATTGATAACCGCTAATCTGCTCTCCATTCTAGAACTCGGTCACCTCAAGCACGTAATGGAAATGGAATCACACAGTGCTCGGTCCTTTGGGGCTGGCCTTCCCGTTCAGCGCGGTCCTCTGGAGATGCACCCAGGTTGCCCTGTGCACCCATGCTTTGTTTCTTTTCATTGCTGAGGAGCGTGCCGTAGTGTGGACGCGCCACGCTTTGTTGAACTGCTTGCTGATTTTGGGTTTAACAGGATCAAGAAGCACCTTCCTCCCTGAGAGGCTGAGGGAGGCACATCCAGCAGCTCAGCTGCTCCCTCTGCACCCCCAGGCCTTCTCCACAGCCTCTGCTCCCCACTCCCTGCTGCCTGCCACCCCCTCCTATCTTCAGAGCCTGTGCCCGGCTTTCTCTGCTGGCCCCCCTTTTCAGCGGCACCCCCTCTTCATGCACAAATGGCTTGGAGAGGGGTACAATTTGTGCATGGAGAGGGGGTGCCGCTGAAAAGGGGGAACCAGCAGGGATGCCCCATTTGCTAGGCACCTGTGGAGCACAGTGCTCCCTTCACCCTACCATCGCCTCCTCTGATGTCCCGGGCTGGGGAGGCCAGTGGCTATGAACAGCTAATCCTTAGGGTGTGCTCCCTGTTTAGATGTGGCTCAGAGATGTTTAACAGACTGCCAAACGTCAGACAGCCTGAAGATGACAGACTCTCGCCCTGGTGCGCCTTGAACCTCACAGAGACAGATCCTCAACACATGCGCTCTGAGGAGGAGGAATTCATCCAGCAGGTCTCCCAAAAGGATATGAGAGTGGGGGCTGGTGGGGCTGCCGAGGCCCACGCCCTGAGCTCTCAGCTCAAGCGTGGGCCACCGCAGATGAGCGTGACACAATGACTGAAGGAGCAGAGCCGCCTCACCCAGGGCAGTCAGTTTCTCAAGCGCTGACAGGGCATTAGCTAAAGTGATCACTAGACTATTAATTTCTTCCCCAGCCCCTGCCAAGGGTATTACAGTGAAAAATGGCAGCTCAGCTACAGGGAAATTCTTCAGGGTGACAAACATAAAAATAGCTCTAATTGAAGTTGATAGAAATTATACCCTTTAAAAATACACGTCCGGATGCACTGGCTACAGTGTGAGTTAACGCCAGGGCAGGGTTTCTGTCACGGGATCATGGAAACACAGTGACAGCCACAGCAAACAGCCTCAGGAGATATCACTTCTGCTTGGTGGGTCCCGAGGTGTCAGGGAGGTGGCAGTGATGGGCTGGAGGGCTGGCCACCGGGCCCTGCAGACACAATCCCACCTGCTCACCTGCAAGTCCCTGTGGAGGGACGGCAGGCAGCCCAGGGATAGAGAGACCACCTGCCGGTCTCTATTCCACTGCCGAGAGACCGAGGGTATGTCCTGAGCATCCCCAAAGGCCCAGGGACTGAGGCCATTGGCTCGTTAGCAGGCAAGGCTAGGATCCAACCCTAGCCATCACCACGAGGCCTTATTCCCTAAAGCCTGATGCCCATCTGAAACTCACACATTAAAAAATGTAAATAACAGGCCAGGTGAAGTGGTTCACACCTGTAATCCCAGTGTTTTGGGGGGCCAGGGCAGGAGGATTGCTTAGGGCCAGGAGTTTGAGACCAGCCTGGGCAACATAGCAACATCCTATCTCTACAAAATTTTTATTTATTTTTATTTAGAGACAGAGTTTCACTCAGTCACCCAGGCTGGAGTGCAGTGGTGTGATCTCTGCTCACTGCACCTCTGCCTCCCGGGTTCAAGCGATTCTCCTGCCTCAGCCTCCCGTGTAGCTGGGATTACAGGTGCCTGCCACCAAGCCCAGCTAATTTTTGTATTTTTAGTAGAGACGGGGTTTCATCATGTTGGCCAGGCTGGTCTCAAACTCCTAACCTCAAGTGATCCACCCGACTTGGCCTCCCAAAGTACTGGGATTATAGTCATAAGCCACTACGCCTGGCCTCTACAAAAATTTTTAAAATTAGCTCAGCATGGTAGCACATGCCTGTGATCCCAGCTGATTAGGAGACTGAGGCAGGAGGATCACTTGAGGCCAGGAGGTCAAGGCTGCAGTGAGCTGAGATCCACTGCACTCTAACCTGAAGACAGAACAACACCCTGTTTATTTAAAAAAAAAAAGTAAACAACAGAGCCCCTAGAGAGCTTAGAAAAACTCGCATGTTCTTGCATGCAGTGATGAATTGACTTTCAGCAGTCAGGAAGGTTTCAATTCAGTGGATGGAAGAATAATAAGTATAATGGCAATAAAATAATAATCAACACAGGTGCAGCATCTGCTCTGTGCCCTGCTCTGTTTTAAATACTTTCCACATATTTTAACTCACTTAATCCTTGCCACAGCCTGTGAGGTAGACACTGCCATTATCATCATCATTTTCCAGATGAGGAAACTCGTGCAGAGGCTCAGAGAGGCTGCAAAACCTCCTAGACTGGGGGCCTGGGCAGAGCCGGGAGTGGAGCAGCTCAGGGCTCCAGCCCACCCTCGCACCGTCCCACCCTCCCAGCCACCTGCAGAGCCTGTCAGCCTGACATGTGGGAGAAACCCCTTGACCTGCTGACCTGCAGGAAGTGTCTCTGTTCATTCTTAAACCCAAGCTAGGAACGCACCACACACAATGGTATCAGGAGCTGGTCCCGAACAGCTCACGTGAAGATGTTTTTTCTTTGTTTGTTTTTGGGACAGGGTCTTGCTCTGTCGCCCAGGCTGGAGTACAGTGACGCGATCTTGGCTCACTGCAACCTCTTCCTCCCGGGTTCAAGCGATTCTCCTGCCTCAGCCTCCCGAGTGTCTGGGATTACAGGTGTGCACTACCACACCCAGCTAATTTTTTGTATTTTTAGTAGAGATGGGGTTTCACCATGTTGGCCAGGCTGGTTTCGAACTCCTCACCTCAAGTGATCCTCCTGCCTCGGTCTCCCAAAGTGCTGGGATTACAGGCATGAGCCACCATACCCGCCTTTGTTTTTAAGACAGGGTCTCATTCTGTCACCTAGGCTGGAGTGCAGTGGTGCAATCACCGCTCACTGCAGCCTCGAACTGGTGGGCTCAAGTGATCCTCCTGTCTCAGCCTCCCAGGTAACTGGGACCACAGACACACGCCACCACACCCGGCTAATTTTTTTCTATATTTTGTATAGATGGGGTCTCACTGTGTTGCCCAGGCTGGTCTGAACTCCTGGGCTCAGCCTTGCATGATGATTCTTAAACGATTTGTACCATCTGTTTCCATTCTGGATACACCTTTATCGACTGAGATTCAGAAATGTACCTAAAGCCCACTGTCTAAGCTCAAAGCTGTGCTGAGAGAGGTGGGGACCAGGGGACATAAAACAAGCCTGTTAGTGAATTTTAAATTATTTATCTGGCCCCCGCCCTGGGCCAAGCACCGTTCTTGGCACTGAGGACTTGGCAGTGAGTAAGACAGGGAAAGATCCGGCTTCTGTGAAGCTGACATTTCAGGTTAAAAGAAGACAGACGATGTATATCCACTCCTTCAGGTTCCATAGGCAAACACGAAAGTCACCAAAAATGAAAATGCAGACGCCGTCCCCTGGCATAAAGACACAATTCCAGAGTCTAAGACTCTCACCAGCAAAGGATTAAGAGTCATTTTTTTAAAGAGAAGAAAAATGGAAAGATTAAAAAGAACCGCCCCCACCCCCACCCTGCGCCCGCCGCCTCTCTCTGCCCCCCTCCCCCTCCGCACATCCACGGAAAGAAATCTAATAATGGGAGAACATTGAGAAGACAGCAATTTTAGTGCCTTTTCACTGCCGCCTTCCCTGAAAAGATCTGAAGGGAATAATTGACTGAAGTGAGTCCCAGTTGGGGTGGAAAGGGGAAAAGGAAACATAGGAAATAAAAGGCAGAAGCTTCTAGAAAGGGCGCAGCAAGCAGGCAGAGTCGTGCCAGGGCCTCGTCAGCACCGCGGCCATTTGTCCGGAGAAATCACGGCTGGAGCGAGCACAGCCCTGGGTCCAGGCAAAGACAAATGTGCCCCTTCCACAGGAGGAAAAGGATGTCGCCGGCTGGAAATCCCGGGTCAGCCAGCTTGGCATCCACGCCCAGGTGGACTCTAGAACAGATCACTGGGAAAATCAATTTGCAATCACGTAAAATAGCCATGAGAACTACTACGGGCCTGGCTACTGGCCTGGCTGGTGGGGAGGGAAATGACACCAGACCCAGTGACCTCCCTCCCTTCCAGGTGACAGCAAAGGTTCAGGGGAAGAGAGCAGGGTTGGGGGCATCCACCTGCCCATGACAGTCACAGCGGTGGGGGGTGGTAACATGCCCAGCTGCGAGTCCACCCAAACACCCGCCCCAACACCGAAACCGACGACGCTCACAGGATGAGATGCCCCATGCTTCTGCCTGCTGCGGGCCAGGCCAAGCTCTGCAGACACGCGCTCATTCCATCCTCAGCAGTATCACGAGAGTAACGCCACCGGCAGCAGCACCTGTCCATCACAGCTTGCCCTGCTTCACGCACTGACTCGGTTACTGCGGGCTGTGTGGCCACGGGGAAGTGATTAAACCTCTCTGGGCCCCAGCTTCCTCATCTGTAAAATGGTCACAATGACAGTACCTACTAGCTACCTCACAGGGGGAAAAAAGTGACTCAAGATGGGTGTATTTAGACTACTACCGGGCCTTTAGGAGCCGCTGGATAAAACCTAGCTGATTTTATTTCCCCTGATGGTAACCCCTTAATTATTTAATGTTATTTAAATTATTTAGCCACCACATGTGCCATGCAATGCTCAAGCACTTTGCAAATCTTACTTGCCTGATCCTCCAAACATGCCTATGACATAGGTGCTATCATTATACGCCCATTTGATGGAGGGGGAGACTGAGGCAGGGAGGGGTAAGTCAGCTGCCTCACGTCACACAGAGCCAGCTCTGCACACATACGCTGTCATCCTCAGCCTGCACTGTTAACCTTGGGGGACATCTACCACTCAGAGCAGCCCGGAAGGTTAGGAGGGCACTCAGGGTGGCCCCATTGCAGGAAAGAGGTTCACCAGCTGAATGCACCCAGAGGTGAAGGCAAGATACGGAAAAAGGCGCATCTGGAGATGCTGAGGGGGAAGATCTGCCGGTGCAGAGATGAGAAAGGAGGATGAAGCAGGCAACGCCCAGGCAGCCTGCCCTGCCCTGCCGTGGGCAGCCCAGGCTCAGGGCTCCAGGGAAGAACAGGACAGGTGGTCAGCAAGAGCAGGACGAGCAGGGCCAGCACCCACAGGTCCAGCACAGGGAAGGCGTGGCTTCTGTGTTCATTCTCTTGATCCAGAGGTGAGGGAGAGCCCAGGGGTGTTCCCAGCACCCTCAAAGCTCAGAGGTGGGAAGAACCTGAAAGGTCACCTGCTCCATAGTCTCCAACTCCAGGCTGGGTCCTGCCTGAGACCAATACGGAGGCTTTGGCCAGTGGTTTTCAGAAAGAAAATCAAATGGAATGAGAACACTGACGGCGCCGCATGCAGTGAAAACTGCAGAGGCTGACGCTTCCATTTCAGACGCCAGGTGTGGCAGCATTGCTGAGACCTGGACAACCAGGACTCCTGCCCTGGGCCCTGTGCTGAGAGAAGCCCGGCCCTGGCCCACACCCATGGACCCCTGAAGGCAAGGAGATGTGCAGCCCAGGTGACTGGCCCCCAGCCCATCCCTGCGCCAGGTCCCCGGTTTCCCTGCTTGAAAGTCCTGAGCCTGGCCGGGCGCGGTGGCTCACGCCTGTAATCCCAGCACTTTGGGAGGCCGAGGCGGGCGGATCACGAGGTCAGGAGATCGAGACCATCCTGGCTAACACGGTGAAACCCTGTCTCTACTAAAAATACAAAAAATTAGCCGGGCGTGGTGGCGGGCGCCTGTAGTCCCAGCTACTCAGGAGGCTGAGGCAGGAGAATGGCGTGAACCCGGGAGGCGGAGCTTGCAGTGAGCCGAGATCGCGCCACTGCACTCCAGCCTGGGCGACAGAGCGAGACTCCGTCTCAAAAAAAAAAAAAAAAGAAAAGAAAAGAAAAAAAAAAGTCCTGAGCCCAAGTGCAGGGCCTCCCCTCAGGCCTGTCCTCCTAAGGGGGCTGTGCTGCCTAGGCCCAAAGGGTAGCATGAGCTTTGAGGAGCAGGCGGGGGTGCCCACAGGCGTGGCCTGGTGTGATGGGGGACACAGTGGCGGGTGAGAAGAGACAGCAACAGCAGGAGCTTCTGTCTGCACTCTGTCGCCAGCCCCTCGATGCTGGGGGCAGACCCAGGGTGTGTGCATATGTGTCAGTGTGCATCAAGCGCATAGCAAATGTGCCTGTGGATATGTGTGTGTACATGTCTGTGTGTGTGCCCATGTATATGTGTGCCTATGTGTATACAAGCATGTGTGCATGTCAGCGTGTGCATTTGTGTGGGCATGCGTGTACACGAACGTGTGTGCCTGTGTGAGCATGTGTATGTGTGAACGTGTGAATGTTCATGCATGTATTTTGGCATGACATATGTATACATATGAGTGCCTTGTGTGTGAGCATGCATATGTGCACATAAGAATTGTGAGGGCAAGGCTGGGCGTGGTGGCAGGCGCCTGTAATCCCAGCTACTCAGGAGGCTGAGGCAGGAGAATCGCTTGTACTGAGGAGGCGGAGGGTGCAGTGAGCAAAGATCACACCACTGCACTCCAGCCTGGGCGATGAAGTGAGACTTCAACTCGAAAAAAAAAAAAAAATTGTGAGGGCATGTGTGTGTCCTGTGCACACATGAACATGCTCACACGTGTGTGTTAGACTGTTCAGTGGCTCACAGCCCACCAGGCTGCAGAAAGCCACCAGTGTCCTACCCGAGCCACCAAGGCTGCAGGTGGCCTAATCCTGCACCTCTGATTCTGCCCCTTCTGTGCTGAACGCCACCGACTGGTCGGCATCTCTGAAGCTCTGTCTTCAAAAGCTGATGAGCTGATGCTTAGGCCGGGAGCTCCTTGAGCAAAGTCTGGGCCATCCCCTGGCTCAGTGCCAGGCTTCATGAACATTTGTTGAATGAATAATCAAGGGAACGAACAAAGGCTCAAAAATCCATCAGCCAATCCCCAAACACTGCTGGAGTGGCGCATGTCAGGAGGGCTAATGGAAGCTCATTAAAGCACCAAGGCTTGATGCTGCCCAGTCAGCCCCTGGTGACCCTGGAGTCCTGCAGAACTGCAGCCGGGTCCTCACCAAGGCTTCCAGGAGGACCCTGGCCTGAACCCGGGGCAGGGGCAGCCTCCACGCCCTGTTCCTCCATATCTCGGAGACACTAGGGTCCCAGGAAGGCCTGGGTCCCACCTGTCCTAGTATGCGGTCCTGCCCTGGCTCTGTCCTCCTGGGACCCCAGCCCCAGCTGCTGGAAGTCCACTCAGGCCAGCCGGTCAGCATGCTGGAGCCTTCTTTATGGGACATCTGGGGTGGCAGGGAAACTCCACACTGGACGTCAGGTCTGAAGGGTGTCCCGCCCTGCTCCCAGCGCGCCCGGCTGCTTGGAGGCCTCAGACAAGGCACTGGCTTATTTGGGCATCAGGGTTCCCAACTCCGAAATGGACATGGCTCCCTCCCTTCTACCTCTTCCCTTCCTCTTTTCCTTCTCTTTCTCCCGGCAGCCAACAGTGTTATTGCTGCTGTCACTGTTGGTGGTGCCGGGCATGAGACTGCCACCCTGCAGCAGTGGCTGTGGGAGGAGCCGGGCACCTTTTGCGGTGCACGGCCTCACCCCATGTACCTCCTCCTATTCTGGGCCATGTACTCCCTCACCCCACAAACCCACGCCCCAGCACCTGCAGGGAGCCCAGCCCACCCAGCACGGCCTCCGCCTCCTGCCAGCCCGCACAGCACGGCCTCCGCCTCCTGCAACTGCCCACTCCCGGCTCCGCGCTAATTACTCATTCCTGCTGGATCAAAGGTCTTGCTGATTAAAAAGCCGACTGAACTCACTCGCTTGCCGAGGAAAGAATGCCAAGACAGTACGGCCCTCCACCCGGGCCCGGGGCTGCTCCCGGCCTCAGCAGTGCCACCATGGGGCAAAGGGCTGTGTCAGCGAAAACTACTCAGGGCCGCTCACCCCCGGGCTCAGAGCTGGGGCCTCCCGGGATGGGTGTAGGGAGAGAAAATGATTCCCCTCCACCCTCCGAGGTTCCCTGGCTGGGCTGTGAATAAATCAACATGAGCGATTAACAGGAGAAAAACCATGTTTAATTACATGCGCAGGCACGGGAGTCCCACCGCACGGGAAACTCAAACAAGGGTCAGGTGACTGTCGCTTGTACAGATAGCATCCGAGCTGAAGGAAGGAGCAGGGGTCTGGGGCTTCCAGGGGTGGCGGGAGGTGAGGGAGGAAGTGCCTGGTGAATCAAGCTTGTCTTGCTGTGCAGATAAAGTCTCCCTGGTGATAAAAGTTGTTGGAGCAGCTCTCTTCCGGGTGCAGACACCTCACTAAAGCGGCTCTCCTTTACAGATGCAAATTGCTTTTACAAAAGGACAGCTTTTCAGAGCGACTCCTGGCTCCGCAGTTTCTCAGAATAACCGGCAGTGAATACGCTGATGAAGTATATTTTGGGGTGGCACATTCTGGTCTCCTACAGCCATATTTTGGGGTGGTGGGTCTTGAGCCCCCACATTTAGGGGGAAGAAAAATGGCTTCCCTCCATGGGTCACACATAGCCCCAATAAGGGGCTCCTCACAAGTGGCCCACCCCACGCCAAGCGTCCCCAAAAGTCAATGCACTGCCCCTGCACCTCAGAGTCCACCCTCTGGTCGGGACACCAGGTCCTTCAAGGATGAGCAGAACCTGGGGACAGACAGGAGAGAGGAAACGCAGAGAAGGGATGCCGGGAGAGGAGAGCTCATCATGGCTGGAGGGGGCCAGAAGGGCCCAAGTGCGGGACCTTGGCAACAGGATGGTGACTCCAGCAACCCCAGCGCAGCTCCCCCATGCAGGCCCTGTCCAAACTCAGTTCCAGAAATGCTGTGAGGCGTGGATGACTTTTTCCAGATGACAAAACAGAGGCCAGTGAGGCCCAGGGCCACCAGGTGGCAAGTGGCAGCTCCACATCCACACTCTGGATGGACCAGCTCGACTCCTGCAAGGTCCGTGGGCAGTAGGGAGCCAAGTCGATCATAGAGTAGAGGAGTGCCGACACAGCATCATGTGTGGGACGAGGAAGGCCGCGTGGGCTCAGAAGACAGCTTGGTCAGTGCACATGGTGAGGGCAGGAGCAGGGGAGTGGCTGGAGAGGGAGCGGGTCTGAGGAAAGCAGAGGCCCCGTGTCCACGCCCTGGAGGACAGACGGTGTTGATCCCGAGGCTGACGGGGACATTTTGGTTGTCACAGTAGTATCTAGCAGGAAAGGCCAAAGGCGTAGCTCAGCATCCTGCCATGCACGGGACATCCCCAATGTCAACAGCGTCCAGGCAGAGGAAGCTTGAGCACGGGGCGTCTGGGTCAGGGAGGGCAGGCAGGGCTGTGGGGGGAGGAGGAGGCTGCAGCTTGGGGCCCCCTGAGGGAAGTGGCCCAATGGGATGTCCACGCAGAGATGGCGGGTGCTCCGGAAGTGAGATCTCCAGAAGAGGCGTCCAGATCCAAAGCTGAGGACCCTCTTTGGGCCCCCATGCCTGCCGGCCCAGCTCCAAAGACTTGCTCTCCTGTAACCCAGCCAGTTCCCAGGAGGCTGGTATGTTATTGTCCCCATTGTATAGAGGAAGAAACTGAGGCCCAGGGCCACATACAGTAAAGAGGCGGAGCCAGCTTCTGATGCAGGCTGGCCTCAGGCACCTGACCCAGGCCCCCCAAGCCCTAAGGGGGTGAGGTGGGCAAAGTGGAAGGGCCCGAGGCCGGGCTGCAGCCGCACTCAGAGGAGCCGGCAGGAGAGACAAGGAGGAGGCCGGGTGGGAGGCTGGAAGGGAAGCCTGGTGGGCTGGGCCAGCACGGGGTGGGTTGCTCCATCATACTGGCCTCTGGGGCTGCTGGGAGGGGATTTTGCCCTCTCAGTAAGGAAGACTGTTCTAGATGACCTGGGTGGGCCCGCGTGGATCAGCTGGGAGGCCTTCAGAGCCAGGGTGAGGCTTCCCTGAGGAAAGAGGACCCACTTGTGACAGAAGCTCCCCTGCCACCCCTCCTGGTATGAGCCCTACAGACGCTGGGCCTGCCCACCAGCCTCCCCACTGTGAAGCTCAGTGTCCACCTCCCAGCTCTGCAGCCCTGGGTGAGTGCTGGCTGATTTGGGGGTTTCTAGAAGGGTCCAAGGCGGCGGGGTACAAAGGGATGACAGGTGGAGAAGTGGTCCCTGGTGGTGATGGTCTCTGGTGGCCTCTGAAAGGACACACTCTGGGAGCAAGGGGGGTTCAGTCTGAGAAGCTGGTGTAGACCAATCACAAAGGCCCCGGCTGGTACAGGGGATAAAGGGGGGTTCTGAGGTGGGACAGCATCCTCCCTGGGTGGCCAGCACACGGCCTGGCCCCTGGGCCCGCCATGAAGGGCACTCAAAAGACAAGCAATGACTCTGAGGAGAGAAGAGGCTGGAGGGGGAGAAAGGGCGTTTCAGAGGGAGGTGTAGACAGGAAGAGGCCGAACTGGTGTTTCCAGGTAGGAAAACAACCAAATCCAGCGTGGGAAAAGCATCACACCATCCAGTCCCCTCGGTGTGGCGCAAAGGAAGCCAGGGGAGAAGGAGAGTCCTGCAGGGTCCGCAGAGAGCAGTGCGGCCCTGGCTTCTCAGTCCCACCAGCTGAGGGTCGGGGGAGGCACACGGGGAGGGGGCTTTGGACACCGTAAGTCATATTAACCAAGAGCTGCTGGCTATGGATCCCGCTGTGTGACCTTGGGGAAGTCACATCCCCTCCCTGAGCCTCTGCCACCCCATCTGGAAAGTGGGGACATTAGTCCTGACTTCGTAGGGTTGCTGGAGGATTCAGTGAGTTAAGGACAAAGCACCTGCAGTGCATGCTCGGTATGTACCGCATTCCTTAGTGTGATTATGGAGACGGAGGAATTCGACCCATCTGGGTCTGTAAGTGGGAGACCAAGGCATACAGACCCAGGGGTTGGTGGCACTGCAGCCCCCTCTCATGGCCGACGGCTACAGGACCCCAAAGGACAGACAGCAGCGGTGTTGTGCTTTTTACCTCTACATATGAGTCACCTCTGGTACTTGTCCCACTTGCTTGGGTGTGACTGGGAGTCTGGGCCCCCTGCCCCATCCCTGGCTCCCCACTTCAGACCTGGGGCAGTCAGGCTAGGACAGGAGCCCCCAGATGGTTGCCAAAGGGCCCCAGAGCCTCTACTTTGAGGCAGGAAGCACCCTCTGGATGCAGAATTGCCATAAAGGTGATTCAGGTGTACACACCCCTTCCTCCAGAGGCCCCAAGGCTGCATGCGCTCATTAAAGGTCTTAGGCCCTGCGCCTCAAGCTTCCAAACATGGGAGGCACACCCTCAGGAGCACTGCAAAGACAGGGAGTAGCTGGGCGCGGTGACTCATGCCTGTAATCCCAGCACTTCGGGAGGCTGAGGTGGGCAGATCGCTTGAGGTCAGGAGTTTGAGACCAGCCTGGGCAACGTGGTGAAACCCCATCTTAACTAAAAAAAAAAAAAAAAAAAATATATATATATATATATATATACACACACACACACACACACACACATATACACATATATATATACACACATATATACACATATATACACACATATATACACAAATACACATATACACATATATACACATGTACACATATATACACATATACACATATATACACACATATACACATATACACATATATACACATATATACATATATACACATATACACATATATACACATATATACATATATACACACATATATATACATATATACGCATATATATACATATATACATATATACGCATATATATACATATATACACATATATATACATATATATACATATATACACACACACACACACACACACACACACACACACACACACACAGAAATTAGCTGGGCATGGTGGCATGTGCCTATAATCCCAGCTACTTGGGAGGCTGAGGCAGGAGAATCGCTTGAACTCGGGAGGTGGAGGTTGCAGTGAGCCGATATCGTGCCACTGCACTACAGCCTGGGTGACACAGTGAGAGTCGGTCTCAAAAAATAAATAAATAAATAATAAAAATTTAAAAAATAAATAATAACAATAAAAAAACAAAGACAGGAAGCATTTCCCGTCTCCATTCCCATCTCCAGAGGAGCGCCTGAGCTCAGAGAGGCTAGGTGCCCAGCCTAAAGCAACATAGCAGGGTATGACCTCTCTAACTCCCCACTAGGTGGCTTGCATTAAATCCTACCCCAAAGCCAGGCTTTGAAATGTGAGCCATTAACAGCTCCCACGTGTCTTAAGCAGCAAGACAAGAGTGATTCCCACACAGCAGCAGACTTCCAGAAACACTCAGACTTCCCAAGCCTGGGGTAAGAAGGGAGGAGGGAGATAGAGAAAGACAGGGAAGATGTGTCCCTGGGCCCCAAGGGCTCATGCTTGGCCACTGACATTTATCCAAGAGGGGCAGGAGAACTCAGAGAGGGGCAGACTCTGGGATCCGGGCAGATGTCGTTTCACAGTTTAATTATGAAACATTTTAAACATACAAAAAATGATGCATCATGCCCTCCGGTGCCCACCCCTGCCCACCTGCACGCTTCCTGGATCGGCAGAGGCAGACGACATGGCAGTGGGGCGCTGCAGCCCCTCACAGTGCCCCAGGTGAGGCGCCTGCTGCGAGGGGCTGTCTCTGTGTTCTGCGGCTGCTGTAACATGCGACCACGAACAATGGCTCTAACAACACATATCCACCCTCTTGGGAGGTCAGAAATCCGACTTGGGTCTTGCTGGACTAAAGTCAAAGTGTAGGCAGGGCTGGCTCCAGGGGAGACTGTTACCCGTCCTTTCTTCCAGCTTCTCCAGGCCCCTGCGTTCCTTGGCTGGTGGCCCCCACCCCACAGCACTCCAGCTCCTCGGTCTGTCACCACGCAGCCCACTTCCTCTCCTGCAGCATCAGCTTCCATCACCCTCTTCTAAGGACAGTCACAAGGACAAACCAGGACATTCTGTTTCAAAGTCCCTAGCTCACATCTGCAAAGCCTCTTTGGTGAGGGGATCAGGACATGAGCCCTGGGGTCCCTGCTCGGCCCAGCACAGCAGGCATTTATTTCACAGACGTGGCTCTGCCCATTCCCCACTCCTGGCCGCCACCAGGAAGAACACGTGCACCTCGGAGCCCACCGGGGAGACTGCAGAGCACCTGGCAGGGGCATCTGCCAGGGGGCAGAAAATAAAGCAGGAAGCATGGGAGCCCCTGGAGGGCGGGGTCTTACCCCTGCCCCCCCACCAGCCTCTTGCCCCCTGCATCCCCCTAGCCCCTTGCCCCCTGCCCCTGATGCCTGGCCCTTTCCCCTCCTGCCCTCCGCCCTCCCCACACATTCCCTCCCCTCCCGTCCCCAGCCTTCTTCCCAGGCAGTCCCTGGAGTTACTGTTTTAATGAGTTCCTTGCCCTCTAATTAGCAGGTGCGGCTCTGAAAGGAAGCGCCTGGTGTTTACCCTGCGCGGAGCCTTTAATAACCAAGCCCAAGGAATCCTCGGCTGGCTCCGGCCTAATCCCCTCAGAACACCGGCGCTTAATGAGCCTTGGCACAGGCGAACCTTCTCCTGCCCTCTCCCCGCACCCCGCAGCCCCCCAGGGGCTTGTTGCTGAGCGCCTCTGAGCGGCTCCCACAGCCTGCGGAGACCCAGGCCTGGGGCCAGCGGGTGCCCGACTGAGGGTCCACCTGCAGGTGGCTCTGCAGCCCCCAAGCCAGCAGGGCACCCGGCTAATATCCTTCCAGCAGCCCGCAGCCCCTGGGGCTGGGGCTGTTCCAGGCTTAGCCGAAGTGGCTGACTCACACCCGCCCTATGTCTTCCCCACGCCGCCCCTAGCAGAGCTGAGGCCCTGTATTCACAGCACACGGGTGCTCCGAAGGTCCTTCTCCACTCACTTCACACACCAGCCCTGGAGGCAGCCAGCGTCCACCCCCATTTTACAGATGAACAAACTGAGGTGCAGAAAAGCTCAGGCCTTGGCTAGCTCCTAAAGGGCGATGCTGGGTTTCTAGCTGGGCTTGGTTTGATGCCAAGGCTGTGGCTCTTTCTGGGGGGCCCAGGGAGCTGTGGGGGAGGGGGAGGAGCCTAGGGCAGAGTTCAAGTGTTAGAACACTGGGGCCGCGGGGGTTCTGGCTCCACTAGGGGCGGGGCAGCTGACCTCACCCCTCAATCCCCCACCGAACGCCCCTCTTGGGCCCTGATGAAGGGTTGGGGCCCCCAGTCCTGGAGGGGCATCAGCCACCCTGCAGGCCCTGTCATCCTCTTCCTCTGCCAGGCTGCGGGGGCAGGGGTGGCAGGGGTGCAGCTGGAAGGTCTGGGTGGTCTCCTCTGTCCCTGTCCATCCATTCCACCGCGGGAGGCCCCGGGGCGGGGAGGCCCCGGGGCGGGGACGCCCAGCCGCAAGGCCTTGTCAATCACTGCAGAGGCGGAACCTGTGAGGACCCGGCAGGGGCACGGACATGACTACGGGGAGAGACCCAGCCCCGTTGTCTCTCTCCAATTCCCTGCCCCACTGCAGACCCTGCAGGGCCCACAAAGGGACCTGCATTCTGAGGAGGAATATTCTGGAACATGTTGTGGCTTTTTTCTTTTAAATAAATGGCTCTGCCTCTCTGTTGCTTGGGAAGCAGGGGCACCTCCCACCCCATTTTGTGCTGCAGTTGAATAGCCCGCCAGTCGGCTGAGAGCTTGAAAGGAGCCTGGAGTGTCTAGGCGGGCGGGGGAAGGCCTCCGCAGGCTTCCTTTGTTGGAAAACGGCTCCCTCCGGCCCCCGCTGTGCCTTTATCTGGCTCAGCCGGCTCTTCCTGCAGCCCCGACGCCTCTGAGGAGGTGGCTGGGGAAGGGGAACCCTACAGGCTGTGGGCAGACAGTGGCCAGGAGACTCTTCTCTGGGGTGACAGCCCCACCCTGGACAGGGAATTCCAGGCCCTTTCGCCCCGTCTGGGGGCTTGCTGTGGAGGAGGAGCGGAAAGGGGCCTGCCAGGCCTGGCCCCCCAACTCTGCTGTCGTATGTTCTGCCCTGGCCTGGTGAGAACGAGCTTCCTGGCATCGGCTGGGCATGAGCAGCCAAGCATTTATTGAGCACCTACTGCATGCAATGCTGTGTGGCCAACATAAGGAGGAGAGGCCAAAAGGCTGAGTGACCTTCTGGGACATGACCTGGGGGTCCACTTGACCACAGCCAGCTGGATTCATGCATGGCCAGGGATCTGTACCAGGCGATCTGGGGGTGGGGGGCACCAGGGCAAGGATGAGCCATCCGCCCCCCTACTCCAGGAATGTGGTATCAAGGAGGAAAGACAACATCCTCCCAAATAGCCTGTATATGACAGGCTGTGAGTCTGTGATCCTAAGAATTCACTCTCCCCCCGGGACCTCAGTTTTGCTGATCCGTAAAATGGGCATGTGGAAAGGGTCAATGGCCTGTATGAATCCATGCAGTCTTGACCCTCTATTTCACAAAGATGGAACAAACACAATGTGTGCCAGATTCTAGTTTCCAAAAATGGCCACAACAGTATTTCCCACCTGACATGCTCTTCCACAACCTTCTAGTTTTGTTTATGTTTTGTTTTGTTTTTCTGAGACAGAGTCTCGCTCTGTTGCCCAGGCTGGAGTGCAGTGGTGCGATCTCAGCTCACTGCAACCTCTGCCTCCCGGGTTCAAATGGTTCTCCTGCCTCAGCCTCTGGAGTAGCTGGGACTACAGGTATGTGCCACCATGCCCAGCTAATTTTTGTATTTTTAGAAGAGACAGGGTTTCACCATGCTGCCCAGGCTGGTCTTAAACTCCTGGCCTCAAACGATCTGCCCACCTCAGCCTCCCAAAGTGCTGGGATTACAGGTGTGAGCCACCGCATCCGGCCTTAGAACCTTCCAGTTTTGTCCCCATTCCCTTGGACCCGGGCAGGAGGAGGGCTCTGTGTCTGCATCTGCTAATAGCACGTGGTAGAAGTGGCGGGTGCCTTGTGGCTTTGGAGGCCAGATCATAAAAGTAATCCAGCTCTTTCTTTTGGGACACTGGTCTTGGGACCCTGCCACCATGTTGTGAGGAAGCCCAGGTTGCCCAGGGAGAGGCTCCCATGGAAAGAAACAAGCCCAAACCAATCTAGCAGCCCTGTGGTAGGTGCACGCACTGTCTTGGAAGTAGATGCTCCAGCCCTAGGGGAGCTGCCTCCCCTGGTGCCCTGTGGGGCAGGACCAGCCCTCCCTGCCGAGCCTTATGCAAATCACAGACCTGTGAGCAAAAACAGCGATTATGGTTTATGCTGCTAAGTTTGGGGTGATTTGTCACCGGGTAATAGACAACCGGAAGAAATGTTTCCAGGCAGGGACTGGGTCTTAAACTGATCGGGACCCCACAGCGTCTAGCACCTTCTAGGTGCCCACACGTGCTTGCTGATCACAGCTTCTACCCTGGACAGGAGCTGAAACCACAAAGTAAGCACCAGGCCATATTAGTCTGTTCTCACGCTGCTATGGCGAAATATCCGAGACTGAGGAATTGATAAAGAAAAGAGGTTTAATTGACTTACAGTTCTGTATGGCTGGGCAGGCCTCGGGAAACTTACAATCATGGCAGAAGGGGAAGCAGAAGCAGGCAACTTCTTCACAAGGCGACAGGAGAGACAGTGAGTGCAAGCAGAGGAAATGCCAAACTCATGATCACAAGAACGGCATAGGGGAAACGCCCCCAAGATCCAATCACTTCCCATGGGGTCCTTCCCAGGACCTGTGGGGTTTGTGGGGATTACCATTCAAAATGAGATTTGGGTGGGGTCACGGCCAAACCATATCACAGGCTAAACTCATTTAACCCAACAACAATCATCCCCATTTTACAGATGAGTTCACTGAGGCACAGACATGTTAATTAACTCACTTAAGGTCACACAGCCAAGATGTGGTGGAAGTGAGATTCAAACCAGGCGGGTGGCTCAGAGTCCTCCTCATTAACCCTTAGGCTTAACCGCCCCTCCCAGGTGGTTGTGATGAGCCCATATCCTGAACGAGCCAGGGGGGCACCGATTCCAGAGATGTATGACCCTTCCAGTCAAGGATCTTGTTAAAGTAGACACCGTCAGGCCAACTTTCTACCCCTGTCAAATTTTTCATATGAACGTATTTTTAAAATTGACTGAGCTGGGGGTGGTGGCTCACACCTGTAATCCCAGCACTTTGGGAGGCTGAGGCGGGTGGATCATGAGGTCAGGAGTTCGAGACCAGCCTGACCAACATGGTGAAACCCCCTCTCTACTAAAAATACAAAAATTAGCTGGGCACGATGGCATGCGCCTGTAATCCCAGCTACTCAAGGCAGGAGAATCGCTTGAACCCTGGAGGCGGAGGTTGCAGTGAGCTGAGATCGTGCCACTGCATTCCAGCCTGGGCGACAGAGGGAGACTCCGTCTCAAAAAAAAAAAAAATTGACTGAAGGCCGGGTGCAGTGGCTCACGCCTCTAATCCCAGCACTTTGGGAGGCTAAGGCAGGTGGATCACCCGAGGTCAGGAGTTTGAGACTAGCATGGCCAACGTGGTGAAATGCCGTCTCTACTAAAAATACAAAAATTAGCTGGGCATGGCGGCATATGCTTGTAGTCCCTGCTATTCCAGAGGCTGAGGCAGGAGAACCACTTGAACCCAGGAGGCGGAGGTTGCAGTGAGCTGAGATCGTGTCACTGCACTCCAGCCTGGGCAACAAAAGTGAAACTCTGTCTCAAAAAAAAAAATTTTTTTTTTTACTGAAAAATACCCTTTATCAGATCACAGGACTCAATTTTTGGTTTGAAAACCATGATCGTGACACTGGAAGAACTTAGAGGGACAATAAAGAGCCCCCAGAGGTCAAAACACAGTGCCCGTCCAGGCCCAAGGCCTGCCCCCCTCGCCACTAAAGCTTTTTAAGACATTGAGATCTAGACTGGATACGGCGGTTCATGCCTATAATCCAAGTACTTTGAGAGACTGAGGTGGGAGGATCACTTGGGGCTAGCAGTTCGAGACCAGCCTGGGAACACAGTGAGACCTCGTCTCTATGAACGATTTTAAAAAGTAGCCAGGTGTGGTGGCATGCACCTGTAGTCCCAGCTACTCAAAAGGCTGAGGTCCCTGGGCTCAAGTGAGTCCAGGAGGTCGAGGTTGTAGCAAGCTGAGATTGTACCATTGCATTCCAGCTGCAGTGACAGAGTGAGACCTTGTCTCAAAAAAAACGGATAAAAATAAAAATGAATTGGGATATAATTTATACATCACAAAAAGCACCATTTTAAAGTGTCCAACTCAGTGCTTTTTACATTTCACAATGCCGTGCAACTAACTCCAGAACTCTTCCATCACCCAAAACAAAACTCCATACCCATTCAGATTTATCCCCCTTTCCCCGACGGAATCGCCTTCCCCAGGCCCTGCCAGCCACTCATCCGCTTCCTGTCTCTGTGGATTTGCCTATTGGACATGTCACGGATGGCGCAGACCCACCCTCTGTGTTCGTTCCTTTTATGGCCCAGTCATACTCCACTCTCTGGGTAGACCAGATTTTGTTTATCCGCTCATCAACTGACAGCTTCTGTGCTGTTTCCACTTAGGCTATTACAAATAATGCTGCTGTGAACGTGTGTGCACAGGCTTTTGTGGAACCGATGTTCCGATGTTTTCTTTTTCTTTTTTTTTTTTTTTTTGAGAGGGAGTCTCGCTCTGTCACCCAGGCTGGAGTGCAGTGGCGTGATCTCAACTCACTGCAACCTCTGCCTCCCAGGTTCAAGTGATTCTCCTGCCTCAGCCTCCCAAGTAGCTGCGATTACAGGCATGCGCCACCACACCCAGCTAATTTTTGTATTTTTAGTAGAGACGGGGTTTCGCCATGTTGGCCAGGCTGGTCTCAAACTCCTGACCCCAGGTGATCCACCTGCCTCAGTCTCTCAAAGTGATGGGATTACAGGCGTGAGCCACTGTGCCCGGCCACCGATGTTTTCATTCTCTTGGGTACCTACAGTGCAGTAACTGGGTCCTCGGGCAACTCTAAGTTCATCATCTGAGGAGCTGCCAGGCTGTTTTCCATGGCAGCTGCACCACGTGCATTCCCAGCAGCTGTGCACCAGGGTTCCAACTTCTCCACGTCCTCGCCAACACTTGTTATTATCTGCCTTTTTAATTCCTGCCCCGTCATGGGTGTGCAGCGAGACCTTGGTTAAGCTTTCATGTGCAAAGGAATCGGGTGGTGCAGAAGCAGTTCACAGAAAATGCTCCTGGGCTCAAGGCAGATTCGGGCTCAAGGCCTTACTGGACTTGGAAGCTGTGTGGCAGGCGGCCAGATGACCAGCCACTCTGTGTCAACCTAGACCACAAGGCAGGACCCCTTCTCATCTAAGGGGGAACTCCTCACTCAACAACAATGCAGCACATTAGGGTGGCAATGGGGGAGCGTGGAAGTCAGCCTGGGGCCCCAAGTGTCTGCACAGTTGCCCCCCTTGGGGCCGGCCCTGGACACAGGTCTCCAGACCTCCCCCCACTGCTCAGCCTGGCCAGAATCAGGGGTGGGGGCAGTCACTGGGCAGAGCCTCTGAGAGTTGGCAGGTTCCCACCACATAGGCCTTGGGATTGGGGTCCCTCATTTCATGCCCCACCTCACCTCCCGCGAGCTACCAGGCTGTGCCATCCACCTGGCAACTCGCCCCCTCCTCCAGGCCGGCGACTTTCCCCCCAGACGCCCTGTCTCTCTGGGCCTGTCTCCCTTCTTCCAGAATTCAGCTCACCTTGGCAGCCTCCTGAGACTCTAACTCCCAAGGCCTGGTCCGCCAGTGCCGCTGACCTCTAGGCTCTCACCCTTTCTAGAGGCAGTCCAAGTGGGCCACTAATTCTATCTTGCCATTTCGTGGTCTCCAGCAACCCTCAGAAGGTTCTGGAAATGTCAAGGCTTTGGCACTGAATGCTGTCTCCCACCCGGAGACAGCACAAAAACGCTCTATTGAACCATGTGACCCAATCTTTGGTTTTGAGACTGCAGCCCTTCAAGTTCCAGGCCCACCTGAAATTGCCTCTCACGTCTTGCCCCAAGATTCTGTCTCCACCACGAACCACAAACGGTCAGAAACAACAAACAATGACGCCCTGTTCTGTTTTCCCTTCCAAATGCTATTTTGGGAGGTGACAAAGTAGGAAAAAGCATGAGCTTTTGACTCAGACCAACTGACATCTAGTCCCCGCAGGGTCACTCACCAATCAGCACTGACCCCGAAGTCGTCTGAGCCTCAGTTTCCTCAAAAGCAAAACGGAGGCTGGGCGTGGTGGCTCATGCCTGTAATCCCAGCACTTTGGGAGGCCAAGGCGGGTAGATCACTTGAGGTCAGAAGTTCGAGACCAGCCTGGCCAACATGGTGAAACCCCCTCTCTACTAAAAATACAAAAATTAGCCAGGCATGGTGGTGGACGTCTGTAGTCCCAGCTACTCAGGAGGCTGACGCAGGAGAATCGCTTGAACTCGGGAGGTAGAGGTGGCAGTGAGCCAAGATCACGCCATTGCACTGGAGACTGGGCGACAGAGCAATACTCTGTCTTAAAAAAAAAAAAAAAAAAAGCAAAATGGAGATAACAGCCCTTTGCTCAAAGTCACCCAAGAGGGCTGGGAACAACATCCCTAGAGCACGGCAGAGAGGTCCTGAACCCAGCAGACCCCTGCAAGTATCCACTGTTGGCTCACTGCAGTACAAACAGTCCCTTGGTCACTGCTTGCAAACCTCCTCTGATTAGGTTTATGTATTTATTTTTCTTTGCAACAAGGTTTGAAAGTGCAAACAGTGTGGCCAGTTACAATATTTCCAGAAGCCTCCGGGAGTTCTCAGCAACTCTGGGTGGGCTGCTCCCCTTCCCCCACTGCCACCTTCCCCCCCGCCCGCCCGGGGCTTTCAGGGTGCTGACCCACCCGGTACTATCAGACCCAGACTGGCCTCCAGGGATGGCAGAGGCCGCTCTGTTTCCTGGAACGTGTGCCATGTGACACTGAGCTAGCCGCTGGCAAGGCAGAATGTTGAACTTGGAAACAACACTGCTCTGAGCGCCTTGGAAGGTCCACCCAGTCCCAGCTCTTCTGACCTGCAAGTTGCTGGGTGCAGAGCCTCAGGCACCTTCCCACGCAGGCTCCACGCCAGCCCCTAGCAATGGTCACTGCCCAGGCAGGGAGGAGCCGCGGCCAGGCTCAGTGGGTGGACACGGCCCTGGCGGTCAGGAAGCTGGACTTGGGGTCTGGCTCTACCCCAGCTGGCTCAGGACCTTAGGCTGCATCTGCTTAGGTCCTTCTAGGAGCCTCAGTGTCCGAGGCTGTTACTCTAGATGTTCCAATCAGCCTCTAGATTCTTCCGTCAGTTACAGGCAGAACTTTTTTTTCTTTTTTTTTTTTTTTAAGACAGGCTCTCACTCTGTCACCCAGGCTGGAGGGCAGTGGCACAAAAGTCCTGGGCTCAAGCGATCCCCCTGCCTCAGCCACCCAAGTAGCTGGACTACAGGAGCACACCACCACACCCAGTTACATTATTATTTATATTAACAAAATTTTTTTAAGAGCTGGCTCTTGCTCTGTCACCCAGGCTGGAGTGTAGCAGCATGATCGTGGCTCACTGCCACTTCAAACTCCCCCGGGCTCAAATGATCCTCCTGCCTCAGTCTCCCCAAGTGTTGGGGTTACAGTTGTGAGTCACCATGCCTGGCCTAATTTTTTAATTTTTAGTACAAACAGGGGCCTCAGTACATTGCTGGCAGAATTCTTTTCGCCCTTCCTTTCAAACAAAAATAAGTATATAATTTAGAGAAAAGCAGACCAGCTCAGGCAGAAGAGGGGAGAAACCATGGAGTGGATCCCTTCTTCGCCCTCCTCTCTCCTTGTGCTGCAGCTTCTGAAACCCCTGTGCTGAAGAAATCATTACTTCAAGGACCCCTTGGGATTCCACAAGCCTGCACACTTGAGCTACACGAGCATTCACTCAGGCTACAGATGGAGTTGAGCACCTACTGTGTGCCAGGAACTGTTCTAGGACACCGGCAGAAGAGACAGACAAGGTCCCTGTCCTTCCAGTTGCCTGGAGGTGTCACAGACTGGCAAATACACATACAACATATAGAGGGCCAGGGGTACACAGGAAACTAAGGCGACCTAAATAAGATCGGGGTGATGGGGGCAGGGGGCGCAGAGGAAACTAAGCCACGCTAAATAAGACTGGAGTGACGGGAGTGTGATTTCTAGGAGGTCATGTGAGTAGACTCCTAGAAGAAGTGAGGAAGGGAGCTCTGGGTGTTCCGGGCAGGAGGACAGCAGGTACCAAGGCCCTGGGGCACAAGCATGCCTGGTGCTGTGGAGCAATAGCAAGAAGGCAGTGCCTCCAGGGCAGCCACGCAGAGTGGGGAGAAAGGACATGGGGGCTGGAGAGGTGGTGAGAGCCCATCCTTGGGAGAACAAGTGCAATGGCTGGAACAGTGTTCCCCGAGAAGTCATGCTGCTCAAAACCTCAGAATATGACCTTTTTTTGAAATACGGTCTTGGAAGATGTTACTAGTTAAGATGAGGTCACACTGGATTAAGTGTTTCTGTAAGAAGAGAGGATACAGGCCGGGCGTGGTGGCTCACGCTTATAATCCCAGCACTTTGGGAGGCTGAGGTGGAAGGATCACTTGAGCCCAGGTGTTTGAGACTAGCCTGGGCAACATAGAGAGACTCCATTTCTACAAAAAAACAAAACAAAACAAAACAAAACAAAACATTAGCCGGGTATGGTGGCGGCCCTGTCTGTCCTGGTTCTGTGAGCTCTTGGATTCACCAGGTGAAAACTGGGCGTCTGCTCCACACACCTCCTGGCCTCAGAGGAGGCAAACGGGCCTGGTGTTCTGCGTGAGCGAAAGGAAAACTGCTCCGGCCTCAAATGACACAGGTCGGCTAACTCATGCGCCGCCCACTCCCTCCACGGAGGGCGACCAGGGCCCTGCTGGGTGGGGCCACGGCTGCCCACTCTGCTTCCCACCCAGTCCCCTCTGGAGGCCCTTGGCCCCAAGAACGGCAGCAACATGGATTCCCCGGCCCCGACTGCTTCTCCTTGTTGCCTCATTTAAAGTTTCCCAGACAGATTTCTCCTGTGAAAATGTGGGGCCTGTCATTATCCATCTGAGAACCTGTAATTTGTTTTTAAAGAAACGCAACCCCAAGGAGAAGCGAACCGGCTGGGTAGGCGCAGCCCCAGTCTTTGCCAGTTGTAAGCCCGGGACCCAGGGAAAGCTTACCCATGGACTCAACAAGCATTTATTGAGCACCTTATGTTTGCCAGGCACCATGCTAGGTGCTGCCTCAAACGGCACTTCAGTTCAGTTCAAGGATGTTGTACTGAATGCGTACCATTTGTGAGAAGGCCTTCAAAGAAGGTCTAAAAGGTATAAGATGTAACACCAAACTGAAATAACACAGTACGAGGCAGAATCTGCAAATGCCCCCAAGAGAGGCCTCTAAAAGATGACAGGGAAGCTCAGAGAAAACAGAGTGAACTAATGCTGGAGGCGGTGTTCGAGGGCCCTATGGGCCCTGTTCTGGGTGGAGCCTCAATATGCTCATCTGTGAGATGGTCGCAATAATGTCTGCCCAGAACCTTGCCTGGCAACTGAAAAGCTCCAATGGGCTCAGCACAGGGACCCCTTCACACAGGGAGCTCATCAGCCCGACGCTCGCCACCCCACCCACTCCCGCTGGAACGGAAGGGTGAGGACGAGGAGGCTCTGCTGCCAGGGCGGACACAGGCTGAGGCCCAGGAGCTGGCGTCTCTCCTGCTCTGCTAGAAGAGCTGCCCGGCTCACTGCAGCCTGGTTACGACGGGACTCGATCCAGAGGCTTCCATTAGGACTCCCGCTACACTGTCCCACCCAGTGCCCTGGCACCGATCGCAAGTTCTGGGTCACACGCCTACTTTTCCAGAATTTTCTTCACAAATTTCTGACAACTGATGGTGGAAAGCTAGTGTTTTCATTGGCTCTGAGACCCTCAATCTACCGCCTGGGCATTTGCCTAAATGTCAAGAGAGAAGAGGAGGAGAAGGGAGGGGGTGAGCGATACTGAGGGCCTATGACATGCTGGGCCCCACAAGTTCACATCTAATGTCACCGCCACTCCACCCTTCCAAGATACAGATGATGCTCGCTTTCCAAAGGACACCAGACACCAGGTGATGCGCCATTCTTAGCACCTGGGTCCTCAGCCCAGCCTGCTTCTTCAGGACTCCGCCTTAAACACTGCCTCATCCATGTTATTAAGGGACCCAGGTCATTTACCAACATCTCACCCTCACAGGTTGAGTCAACAGCTAAGGTGGCCCAGGAACTGACAGTCCGGGAGGTCTCCCCGACCCTGTGTCTCCTGCGACACTACCTTTGGGGAGTCATTGGGGGTGAGAAGCTGAGAAGCCACATCCTCACTGGAGGCTGCTCTGGAGTCTGCCCAAGCAGCTTGATAGGGCTGTGCCAACCCCACCACCTCTGACGCTGACCTGAACGATGGCGCTGGCTCTACGTGTGCCCCACAACCACCACTGTTCCAGGTGCTTCTCACAAATCACTCATTTAGTTCCCACTATCGTCAGCCCCATTTTATGGATGAGGAGGCTGGGCACAGTGGCTCACGCTTGTAATCCCAGCACTTTGGGAGGCCCAGGAGGGAATATCATTTGATCCCAGGAGTTTGAGACCAGCCTGGGCAACATAGGGAGGTTCCCACTTTACAAAAAATTAAAAAAATTAGCCAGGCATAGTGGTGCATGCCTGCTGTCCCAGCTACTTGGGAGGCGAAGACAGGATGATCACTTGACCCCAGGAGGTTGAGGCTGCACTGAGCCACAGCTGCACCAGTGCACTATAGCCTGGGGCCCAGAGTAAGACCCTATCCCCCCATCCAAAAAAAGGGATAAGGAAACCGGGGCTCAGAGTGACCGAGTTACTCATCTTCCAGACACAGCCAAACTTCAAAGCGATGCCCTTTGAAGTTTAGAAAGGACTGAATCTCTTAAGGGGCCTGGCGGTGGGCACCGCATCCCTGGCCCCAGATCTGAAGCCTCCTGCCCACTTGGGCACAGGTCCCTGCCCCACCACCATGGGACGGCCTCCTCCCCTGCCCTGTTCAAACGTGGCCTTGTCCTGTGGCCAGATCTTTGCAGATGCTATTCTTCCTGACTGGCTTGCCAATTCCTCTCTTTTCAGCTTTCTAGAATGTTCCCAGTTCTTTTGAGAACCAACTGAGGCCCCACCTCCCCCAGGAACCCCGGGCTGAGGCAGATGTCCAAAACACCTGACGATTCACACGATAGTTTCCCTCTTAGTCTGGGCTCTCCCAGAAGCGGACGAGGCAAGGAGCTGAGCTCAGAGCTCAGGTCCCACACTTAGGAGGGGAGTGCTGGATACACTGGTGGGCAGCGCGGCAGGAAAGCGAATGAGCCAGCGCAGGGTGCATGAATGCTCACCAGCGTTCACTGTGGGCACCGGGGCTCAATCTTGCCAGGGGCCTCGGGGGCTGTGCAGGGCGCATGGATGCCCACCAGTGCTGACCGTGGGCACTGGGGATCAATTTTGCCAGGGACCTTGGGGGCTGTGCAGGGCGCATGGATGCTCACCAACACTCACTGTGGGCAGCAGGGCTCAGTCCTGCCACGGACCACGGGGGCTGTGCAGATCAGGCCTAGGCTATACCACCTGAGGGGCTGGGACTCGTAGGGGGGTTGTCCTCACTTCCTGGGGCTGCTGGCTGAGGCTGGTCCTGGGGGCATGAGTCTGCAGCACCGCTGGAGCTGGAGGTAGGAAGCGTGGTGTGCACAGCACACCAGAGAGCCAAGAGGAGAAGGAGGGCTATCGACGTTCTACAGGAATGAACCAGCCAGAGGGATGCATGCCTGCTGTCAACAGCCAGGAGGTCCTGCAGCCCTGACATGGAGCAAGTGTTAGTCCCGTCCACACCCAAAGGAGGTGCCTGATGTCACAGTCACTACAACCAGACAAAGGCCCCGTCTTGTCCCCACGTGATCTTCAGAGCCAGGCATGGTGCCTGCCCAGCACACAACAGGTGCTCAGTAAACGCTCATGGTTAAATAGACACATGGCAAGATGGAGCAGAGACTTTTACGGGAGGGAATCAATGTGCCTGCCTCTGCCTTAGGCCCCAGCAGTGCAGGGACGGGGCCTGAGACTCGCTCAGCAGCCCACCCCCAACAGAGGTGGGTTCCCCAAAAGTGCCAGGGCATCCCTCCCGGGGCTCCTGCTCTGTGGCCCACTCAGTTTTTCCACTCTTTGAGGCCGTACCCTGTGCCCTGAGGGGCTGCAGCCACGCCGGGCGGGGTTCCCTGAGCCCAGGTTCAGCCCCTGACACCCCATCATCCTGACAGGGAGACGTCTGCTCCCAAGACACACAGGAAATAGGCCACAGCACCACTGTGGATGGTAACCCCTGCGGAGCCCCATGGGGGTTGGGACTCGATCTACTGCAGAGGCCACTGGCTGATGTGCAGCCCCCAGTGAGGACGTCTGCTGTCCTTGCAGGTGGCCTGGTCCGTGGAGGGCAGAGCACTGACCTCCACTGCCCCCTACTGGCCACGGGCAGTCCAGTCCCCTTACCCCTGTGGACCTCAGTGACTCCTCCCCCAGTGGGAGAGACCTCAGATCAAAGCCTGCTGGAGCGCTCTTCACCGGGCAGAGAGGACACCCGGACCAGTGGCTGGGAGGTGTGGGTGCAAGATGGGCTGGTCCCTTACGGCCACCTGGGCCACACGTGGCTAGGGAGCCCTCGAAACGTGCCCTGTGCAGATTGAGACGTGCTATAAGCAGACACACCGGATTCTGAAGACTTGATAGGAAGAAAGGAATCGCTCTCTGACAATTCAACATATTGATGACATGTTGAAATGATAATATTTTGAATATATTAGGCTAGAGAGAATATATTAAAATAAATTTCACCTGCTTTTCCTTTTTAAAAGCGTGGCTAGTAGGAAACTGAAAATGGAATAGGTGGCTGGTGTCGCACTTCTGCACCGAGTTACTCAGGGAGCTCGTGGCTGCTATCAGGTTTCTGGTAAATTCACTTCGCCCTTTGGAAACAGCAGTCAGGCCAGATGGCCTCTGCCGTCCATCGGGTGGGACATTCGATGGCTCTGAGCGCTGACGCAGGAGCGGCCAGAGGAAAGCCCAGCAGGGGCACCATGGGCACCAGCCCTGCCCCTCCAGCCTGGTCCTGCTCCCACCTTCACCCCCCCTCCCACTAGGGCTTCACCGTGCTCTGGCGTGGGATGCAGCGGATACACTTGCTTGGTCCTTTCCCAACCTGGGTTTGCTCCGAAGCCTTTATCCCCACTACTCAGGGTTGCCAAATACAACAAATAAGAATACAGGGTGCCCAGTTCATTTCGGATGAACAACGAATACGTTTTTAGTATAAGTATATCCCAAATACTGCATGGGATAGACTTTTATACTAAAAGCGTGTTCGTTGTTTATCTGAAATGCAAATGGAACCGGTGCGTACTCCTCTCTTGCCTTACACACGGTCTCAAGTCTACACACACCAGGCAGGCGGCTCCCCCAGGACACAGGGGTTGGGTTTTGGTTACTCTTGTCCCCATCACTGTCCCACGGAATGAACGAGGGAGCCCAGCACTTGCTGTAGGAGGCAACAGCCAACCCGAGGCCCTCCAGGCTCTGCCCGCTCCCAGGCACTCAGCACGGGCTCCCTCTCAGGGCCAATCCCCAGTCCTGACCCCCAGGGCTCTGCAGGATCACCATCCACCATGGTACCACGGCCTGTTCCCTGCCTGTTTGCCATCTGAACCCTATTTGTAAGCAAAACGTCCTTCAATCTGATGTGCGTGCAGGAGGGGCAAGTGAGACCGGACTGCAGGAGAGCAGGCCCTAAATGCTCCTGTGAAGACGGGGCAGAGCTGTGTGGCCTCCCGCTGAGCCTCCCCCCGACCCCTGCTCCCTCAGCCACCCCTTTGTCTCCTTCCTTGTCAAAAGATCACCCTGCGGTGGTGCCCTCAGAACTTCTCAGAGGAAGATGTTAAGGCCCACTGTGTCCAGGGCGGGCAGGGTGGGGCACTCCCAAATATTTCTAAAATAAGTGACAGATCTTCACTGGGCCTTGGCTTTGTCCTGGGACATGCTGCAGATTTTCTGAGCTGGCCCTGATTGCAAACACTAACCAGTTTTCTTCCCAAGCATCTAAGCATCCTGGGTGTTCCTGTGAGGTCAGCAAATGGCAAACGCAGGGCCGTGCCAGCTTGTCACTTGATCAACACACGGCCCAGAATGCTTAGCTGGGAGGGTCCCAGGATGGTTCTGTCTCCTCTCCAAGAGGCCTTGGAAGATACATGAGACACAGAGACCTCTCCTGGGCCTGCCCCCAGGGAACCTTGCCTGGGAGATGAGAAACAGCAGGAGAAAACAAGCCTGGGGAACCTAGGGCCTGCTGCGGGGGAGACGGCGGAGCTCCAGGCTTCTAAGCCAGAGACCCAGGCCCGCCATGCATGGGGAGCCTGCCAGGGGAGCAGGTGTTCAGGAAGGAGTGGGGCGAGGAAGGAGGGAGCCTGTGGGTGTGTTCGTGTGTGTGCACATGCTCACGTGTGTGTGTGTACATGCTCATGTGTGTGCATGCATGTGTGCACACACGTGTAGGGGACAGTGGGATGACCAGCCTGGCCACCTCCAAGCCCTGCAGCCTCACCAGGCCCCACTGTTCCTCACATCCCTTCATCTGTCCCACAGCCCCACACAGATGCTGGGCTGGGACATGGCATCCTGCATGCTTCACCTCTACCCGTGAGACACAAGCTGAAAACAGGCACCCAGCGCAGACTCAAGACCTTTCCAAGGGACTCCTGGGAGGTGGCAGCATTCACGTCCCCCTATTTTGGCGAGACGTGTGTAGGGTCTGGCTGGTTTTTGTGGCACTAGCCGGCAGAATGCCTGCCTCCTCCTTTCCTTTCCTTCTCACTCCCCGGGCTCTGTGAGGCACTGCCTCAGGGGAGGGAGGCTGGGGAAGTGACAGCCCTTCTCTGAGCTAGGCTGTGTCACACACACACACACAGAGCTGTGTCACACACACATACAAATGGCTATGTCTTATACACACAAACAGCTGTGACACACACACAAATGGCTATGTCTTATACACACACTAGGCTGTATCACACACACACACATACACACACTAGGCTGTGTCACACACACACTAGGCTATGTCACACACACACACACACACACACACACACAGAGGCTCAGACTAGTGCTGTAGCACATCACCCCAGGATGCATTTGCTGTTCATGTATCTTGGGTCCTCCGGCCTCCCAACTCCCCAGTGGGCATGTACGAGGGTCTCGCAGCCCAGGGTGGACATTGCCAGCTCAGCCCAGGCTGGCGGGGAGCAGAAGCCAGGCCTTGGCCACATGAGCTGCCCAGAGGCTCCCGGACAGCTCTCCGCGGGCTTCCTTCCCCACAGCCTGTTCTGACCGCCCAGACTTTGGGCCTGCCTGAGCAGGCTCCAGAATCCTCCTTCCCCACCCCCCAGCCTAGGGCCTCTCCAGCTGTCCCAGGGGCACTAGCAGGGCAGGAAAACCTCTCACAGCAAAGGGCAGGGAGGGGGCAGGAAGGGGATCAGGGGGGTGGGGGGTGGTAATATTCTGCTTGGCTTCCTCGGGGCCAACATGAAAGGGAAAAGGGGCCCGTTGTCTGCAAGAGAGGAGGCCGAGATGGCCTGGCCCTGGCCCAACGGGACAAGCCAATCCGAGACTTCCACCAGGGTGGTCTCGGGGCAGGGGCAGCCCTCCCCAAACACGGAATCACGCTGGACAAGGTCAAGCCAGGTGTCTCGAGGACCTTGAGGAAGACACGCAGGACAAGGGGGTCTGCCCAAGGAGAAGCAGGGCAGGTCTCACCAGGAGCCTCTCGGAGCCCTGACCCCACGCAGGTGCTGCCCCCGGTCCATGAATGCTCAGCTGTGGTCAGAGGGACAAGGGACCCCAGCAGGCCAGGGGCCCCACCTCTCACTTTCTGAGACGGTTCCCTGGGAGGCCCCACAGGCTTCCCTCCTGCTGTGGCCAGGGCTGAGTGTGCACTGGAGTGTCAGAGCTGGGGCCTTGGCGAGTATCAGCCGGGCAGTGGCTCCTCCTCCTCTCCCAGGGAGGCTGCCCGCTCCAGGGACCTGCAACCCGGCTGGCCCTGAGGCCCGCTTCATCCCCTGCCCCTTGGCCTCAGCACTTCCGTCACACCTGCCCAGGAGGCCATTCAGGAAATCCACCAGCCTAGACAGGGTTGGACAGTGTGGGGAGAGGACACTTCAGCTACTCCCCTCTGAGGCCAGTGTCAACCTGGGTGGACGAGACCTCCTCCTCCTCCTGCCCTGCTCCTCCTCTCCTCCTCCTCTCCTTCCTCCCCCTCCTTCTCCTCCTCGTCCGCCTCCTCCTCTCCTCCTTCTCTTTCTCCTCCTCTCCCTCCTCCCCCTCCCTGCTTCTTCTGTAGTGAATAGCATCCCCTCAAAACCCATGTCCTGCTGGAACCTGTGAATGTGGCAGTCTGGAAAGGGGGTCTTTGCAGATGTCAGGAAGTTAAGATGCTCTAAATCCAGCCTAAATGCACCCAAATCCACGGGGCTCTAAATCCACTAACTAGCGTCCTTACAATGAGAGAGAGATTTGGGGACAAAGAGTGAGGAGGCCACGTGAAGGAGAGGCAGAGATCGGGGCAATACAGCCATGAGCCAAGGCACACCTGGGACCAATGGGAACTGGAAGAGGCAGGACGGGTCCCCGAGCCTTGGAAGGGAGGGCGGCCCTGCCAACAGCTCGACTGTGGACTCCTGGCCTGCAGAACCGTGAAAAAGTGAGTTTCTGCTGTTTTAAGCCGCCAATTTGTGGCACACTGTCACATCAGCCTAAGGGCACTCAGTTGTGTTTAGGGTTTGGGGGTAAGTGTGTCCCCCCCCCCCCCGCAAGAGGATCAGAGAGACCACAGAGGGATTGCAATGTTCTCTGAGCTGGGCACACGGGAGGGGATGGAAGCGGTGGGCGAGGGGGCCAGCAGGAGAGTCTGAGCGTCCTGTTCTTGCCCCAGGGCTCTGGGGGTGCAAGGCAGAGAGGCCAAGCCAGCCTGGGCCACCCTGGTCCCAGAGGTCGAGCTGGCCCAGCTGCTCCAGCAGTGTGCACGGACACCGCCCACATCTCCAGACATGAGGACAGTGGTGCGGGGCTGGGGCTGGGCAGTGCTGGGCCGGCGGAGGGAACCCGGGAAGGCAGGGACTTCACAACCCTCATGAAACACAGACGCTGGGGTCTGGGGTGAGAAGGACTCGCGGCTGGGGCCACAGGTCAGACAGTGGGTCCCCATCACCAGGACTGCAAGGTGGTATGTGGGCATCGGCAGGTGGGACAGATGTCCCTGGAGAGCCTGCACCACCTCAGGTCCTAAGACATCTGGGAAATGAAGCAGGCAGGAGGTATCCAGGGCCCCAAGAGAGCCACAGACAGAGCCACCAGGCCCAGGTACACAGCCCAAGGGGCCCTGGAGAAGGACCCCCAGGGGCACCGAAGCAGAAGCCCATGGAGTACCCCAAGGAGGGAAGAGAAGAATCCGGAAACAAAGCCTCGGGGAAGGTGAGCACCCCGGCACCTCCTTCCCTCCCTCCCTCCCTCCCCAATGTCCCACGGTGGGAGGCAGCCGAGGGCTCCGCCCACGTCCTGTCCCCAGCAGCTCTCTTGTGGTGCCACGAGGGCAGGTTGCCTCCGATGCTGCTGCTGACCTGGGCTGTCTGCACCAGAGCTGGTTTAGAACTGCACAGTCTTGGGTCCTGCCACCACCGTTTCTGCTCTAACGACGCCCACCCTGTCCAGGGAGCCCGCTGCCTGGCAGAGAGGATGGCACACCCTCTCTCCGTGGCTAGGCTCTGCCCCTTTGTGCCCACATCAGTGCCATGGGATTCAAGTCTCAGCTCTTCTGCTGGGGGCACCCTGGGAACCAGGGGCATCCGATGGGCCTCTGGAATTTGGGACCAGCCCACGGAGCAGGCTGCCCTCCCCTCTGCCGTCCTCCACGGCTGTCAGATGCCCTGCCTGCTGGAGGACGAGATAATCCTTCTTGACAGAGCCATGGCCATTGCTGACGGCCGCGGAAAGGCGGCTGGGTTTATATTTAGCCTCAAACTGCTCCTGCCTGCCGGTTGCTGAAGGATGCGGAGCGGCGGGGGGCCCTGCTGTCCCCTCTACTGTGCCTGTGGGTGCCCCCCTCCATCCCCAGCCCCTGAGCAGACACACAGGGCTTTGGCTGTGCACTGCCTTGCAGCCCACCTGGCCACACTTGCTGGACCCCGGGTGGGTGTTGAGGGGAGGGGCTGGGCTGGGGAGGTGGGTGGGGGGGGGACGCAGGCCAGAGGTTGCTCCGAGCACCTCAAGTGGACCTTGACTGGGTGCGCTCCCCTTCCACATCAGGCTCCATCTCTCCCTGGTGGGCCCCAGCGGGCCCTCCTGCTCCCTCCCTCCCTCCCTGCCAGCCTGGGATGGCTGAGAGAGGATGCCCAGGTGTCAGGGAGCAGGGAGAGGGGCTCAAAGGGAGAAGCAACAAGGACCAAGGGCAGTGGGCAGGTGACAGGATCTGAGAGGTGGGGGAGAAGGAGGAGGTGGGAGGAGGGGGGAGGGGCAGAGAAGAAGAGCACGGCAGGGGAGGGGAGGGAGGGAGGAAAACAGGAAGGAACCGCTGATCAGAGCCACTGTGAAAGGAAGGCAGCCGACAATGACATTAATGAGAACGACAGCTTAATAAAGTAGCTACTGTTTCTCCAGTATCGCCAGCTGGTTCACACATATTAAGGCGCTGAACCTCACAAACATCCCATGCAGTGGCCACAGCGACTGTTCCCATTTCCAGATGTGCAAAGTGAGGCCCACAGCAGTTACACGCCTCACGCACCCCTCCCGGGTCCTCTCCTGCCACCCAGGCAGGCTGGGTCAGGGCGTGGGGGCGCCAGCGGGAGCAGGTGGTGGGGGCAGCTGGCAGGAGGCACAGGCCTGCGTGGTGCCCCTAGCCCTAGCTGAGTGCCAGGCGGGACAGGGGTGAGGCCGTGCTAAGTGGCTTATGCCTGGGCTTATGCCTGGGCTCGGGCCGACTGACAGGCGCTGGATTAACAAAGACACGCTCTGTTCCCAGGCAGGTCATGTGGAAAGCACAGCCGTGACCCCGCCACTTCTCCTTTTTTATTTTTTTGTAAGAAGGGATGTCTGTTCCTGAGCTGGGGCGTGAGGGGGTGGCAAGGGGGCGCCCGCCACTTCGCCAGCTGTAACCACATCAGCTGCTGCGGGCACAATGGATGTTTCTTGGCCGCGTCCACCCTTCACCCGAAACCCCAACCCCAGGCCGCCAGCCGGCCCAGACCCAGGGCTCAGCCTGCCGCTCGGCTCTGCAGCACCGCGACAGCACTGAATGCCAGCTCAGACAGCAGCTGAGAATGGATCATTAGCCCCAAATGGCGTCTGCAGAGCAGGAGAGGTGGACAGGTCCTGGCACTGTGGAAGCTGCTCCCGGCCAGATCCGGGGGGTGGGCCACGTGCCTCGAGGACGCTATTTTGGATGTGCTGAGTTAAATAACATATCATCTCAAAATTAATCTCACCCGGTTCTTCTTATTTATTTATTTATTTATTATTGTTTTAGAGACAGGGTCTGGCTCTGTCGCCCAGGCTAGAGTCCAGTGGTGTGATCATGGCTCATGGCAGCCTCAAACTCCTGGGTTCAAGCGATCCTCCTGCCTCAGCCTCCTGAGGAGCTGGGACCACAGACAGGTGCCACCATGCCTGGCTTTTACATTTTTTGTAGAGATAGGGGTCTCACTACGTTGTCCAGGCTGTTCTCAAACTCCTGGCTTCAAGCGATCCTCTAGTTGGCCTCCCAAAGTGCTGGATTACAGGTGTGAGCCATGGCACCTGGCCTCTTTTTACTTTTTAAATGAGGCTACTGGACCATTTAAAATCCTGTATCTGGCTGGCATTCTGTTTCCTGTGGGCGGCCTGGGTCGAGAGCTTCGCTAGTGCAAAACCGGCTGAGACCAGCAGCTGCAGCAGCCCCTCAGAGCCTGTCAGAAATGCAGAGACTCAGGCCCCGCCCCATCCTGTGGAACTGAATCCCAATTCCCAGGCCAATTTTGGAGCCTCCACGGCTGTCCTTGTGACCTGTCACTACCTGAATGCAGACCTCCCGTGCATCTGCGCTTCTGAAAAGCCCCAAGTCACACTCTAAATGGCTTGTCGCTGTCACGTCATCCGAGATAGCACAGTCCCAAGCTGGGAGGAATTTCTCCTGTGGGTCATGGTAGTGGCAAAATTGGATCTGAGAAGGCTGAACTTGACCTGGTCTCTCCAAAATGGCTTTTGCTGCAAACCTCTCTGATTCAGACTGAAAGGAAGGAAACAGCTGTCTTGCAGAATTCAAGAACCACTGACAGAGCGAGAGCCTTCCCCAGGCAATGTGTTTTAAAAATATATGTTCTTCTTTGTGGCTATACACAACATAAAGCCAGGCTTCCCTGTTGAAAATCTTTCTGGGGTCAGTTTTAATAAATAGATGAGAAGGTTTCCTGTTCAGAGTGGATTGCAGGAGCTATGGTGAGAGCTCCTTTCGAAGTCCCCGAGGAGTTTGTTTTCTGAAGCAGTTTAAAGGAAGCCCTCCGTATTCCTGTTTGTAATCAGTATTGCGCTTTATGGCTTAAAATGCACACTGATGTTCGAGGATTGCCAGGCTCCAAAACAGAAGCTTCTCTGTTTTGATCCAGAGCCTTAAGAAGTAAAAGGCGTTCTCTGCCCTGGCTGTCCCAAAAGGTTCCCTCAGCGTCCTCCCGGAGGCTGGACTCGGTGTCCACAGAATGGTGGGAGTAGTCATCCTTTCCTGTCCCCAGCTCTCCCTCTGAGATTCCAGCTAGGTGGTCTTCAGAGCTGAGGGCTTCCTTTAGATGTCTCTTTGGAATTCAAAGAGAAGAGCAGCTCAGCGTTCTAGGTGAAATACAAGGAAACCGAAATGCAGACACTTACTCGGAGTCTTCTGAAGTCCATGACCAAGTCCCTCCTTTGCCCACAGAACCGCACCTGACCTCCCTCCTGCCTGGTGGAAGCTGTCCACGCTGCCGGCACAGCCCCCGGAGGGAAATAACCAAGCCCGCCCCTGAGGATCTAGAACCTGCTATCAGCTTCACAGCTGAATCCAAATTCCCAAACTCCCAAGTACTGGTGTACAGTGAAGGATTAACTGAACTCACAGAAAGTCTGACCTTTCCCCCGGCTCCTGGGGCGGTCACCTCTAGGCCCTTGAAGAGTCCCGCCTGATGAGAGTGTCTTTGTTTACCTGAGGGCTTAGCCACCCTGAACAGCCTATGCTAATGATAAGATTCATGGTGGGGCCTTGAACCACAGGGCATCAGCTTGACGTGCGGAGGTGCTGGAGGTTAAGGTCAGTCACATGGTGTCAGCCGTGCCCACGTGACCAAGGCCCAGCAAAGACTCTGGACACCGAGGCTGGCGGAGCGTCCCTGGTTGGCAATGCTGTGTGCCATCACACGCTGTTGTCATGAGGAGTTAACACTGTCCAGGACTCCACGGAGAGGGACAGCTCGAAGCTCTGTGCTGGGAACCCTCCTGGGCTCACCCCATGGGTCCCTCCCCTTGGCTGACTTAAACCTGCATCTGTAATAAACTATAACTGTGAGTGCAGCTTTCGGCTGCCAGTTCTGCGGTTCTTCTAACAAATTACTGAAACTGAGCGCTGTCCTGGGGCCCCCTGAGCTAGGCAGGTGTGTCAGAAGTGAAGGTGATCTTAGAAGCTGCCTTGGAACGTCGCAGGTGGTTAAACCAGAGAGAACATAGAAAAGAAACAAGAGAAAGCGGTGGCCACTGACAAGGAGCCTCCAGGCCTGACACGGAGTGTACCTGCCTCTCCACCATGCAAACCATTTGACAACCTCAGGTCAGCAGGTAAACGAGGCCTGAGCTTCCATCCCACCCCACCCCACCCCACCCCCACTATCGGGGGCGGGCAGCCGGCTGCAGCCTGTACGTGTGACCAGAGCACAGAACAACCTCTGCCCAAACTCAGCTGCTGGCCCAGCCTCGTGGACACTTCCCAACCTGCCCTCACCTGCAAGGAGCTTGGGCTGCACCCACACACCTGGGTGGCTTGTGCTGAGCTTGGGCACAGCGCTGGATGTGTCACAGCAGAGCTTGTGCCCCAGTGCATAACAGGAAGGGGACACCCAGGCCTGTATGCTCCCGCCTTTTATGAACAGGTTCAAACCGTTTGGGGCCTCTGAAAGGCCACTCTCCTTTCCGGAAAATGCTCAGCCTAAAAGTCGCTCTGTCAAGTCCACAGCTCCTTCCAATCTGCCTCCGTTTGGCCATACCCAGGGCTGGAGGTGGCCCGCTCTTATTGGCCTCAAATTGCTAGAAACAGCCAGGCATGGTGGCACATGCCTATAGTCCCAGCTACTCAAGAGGCTGAGGTGGGAGGATCGCTTGAACCCAGGAGGATGAGGCTGCAGTGAGCTATGACTGTACCACTGCACTCCAGCCTGGGTGACAGAGGAGACCCCATCTCTAAAACAATTTTTAAAAAAAGGCTAGAAAGTTATTTCCCCTACTGACTCAAAGCCTTTCTCCTGCAACTCCTACCCACAGTCTGAGGGGAGCCCTTGGCTCTGACCGGAAAAACTCTACTTACTCTCAGCACAACTCACAACAGAAGCAACGACCATGTGACCACGCCCCTGTGATGACGCAGCCCCACTTCCCTCAACTGCCGCTCAGGCACCGTGGCCTCCTGCACTCACGCAGACCTGACCCGCCAGGTCCACATGCCAGAGTGTCAACGTGACCCAGCCAGCCTCCTTCCTGAGCTAGGAGGATTAGGAAATGAGGCTGGCTAGGAGCACAGCCAGGGCTGGACTGTTCTTTAGGGAAACTGGAGACCAATACATTCTTGGAGGAAGGTTCTCTCTTTCTAGAGCAGGAGTTCCTAACCCTGGCTGCAACCAAATCACCAGGGGACCTTTATTCATTTATTTTTCTATTTTTTCAGACAGGGTCTCACTCTGTCACCCAGACTGGAGTGCAGTGGCACGATCTAGGCTCACTGCAACCTCCACCTCCCAGGCTCAAGTGATTCTCCCGCCTCAGCCTGCTGAGTAGCTAGCATTACAGGCACGCACCACTACCATCCGGCTAATTTTTGTATTTTTAGTAGAGACGGTGTTTCACCATGTTGGCCAGGCTGGTCTCGAACTCCCGGCCTCAAGTGATCCTCTTGCCTTAGCTTCCCAAAGTTCTGGGACTACAAGTGTGAGACACCATGTGCGGTCCACCAGGGGAACTTTAAAAAATACTGATGCTGGGCGGAGTGCAGTGACTCACGCCTGTAATCCCGACACTTTGGGAGGCCAAAGCAGGTGGATCACCTGAGGTCGGGAGTTCAAAACCAGCCTGACCAACATGGGGAAACCCCGTTAAAAATACAAAATTAGCCAGGCATGGTGGTGCATGCCTGTAATTACCCAGCTACTCGGGAGGCTGAGGCAGGAGAATTGCTCGAACCCAGGAGGCGGAGGTTGCAGTGAGCTGAGACTGCACCACTGCACTCCAGCCTGGGTGACAGAGCAAGACTCCGTCTCAAAAACAAAACAAACAAACAAAAAAAAAAAAACAACAAAAAACTGATGCTGGCTGGGCATGTGGCTCATGCCTGCAATCCAAGCACTTTGGGAGGCTAAGGCAGGGGGATCACTTGGGCCCAGGAGTTCGAGGCTGCAGGGAGCCATGATTGTACCATTGCACTCCAGCCTCGGCAACAGAGACCCCACCTCCAAATAATAATAATCATCATCATCATCCTGATGCCCAGGGTCCATCGTCAGAGATTCTAGCTTCGCGGACTGGAACGAGGCCAGGACATCAGTATTTTGTGGAGAGCTCTCCAGGTGATTCTCACGTGTAGACCCTGCTCCAGTCATGGGGGTGGGGAATCTGGAGATGGCCCAGGGAGCTGCTTGCCTAGGGCAGAGCCCACCAGGACAAGCTGCGGCCCAGGATGGCATGTGCCCTAGGGGAATGGGAGGGCCTCTCATAAGGAGTTGAGCTGGGCTGGATGGGCTCCTAACAGGATGTGGGCTTGTGTTGGGCGGGCCTGAGAAGGGTGTGGAAGTGGGTCCCACACTGGGTTGGACAGTCAGGAAGCAGGGGTCACTCAGTGCTGGGCTATCTTCATTTTTTTTAGGGGCTCAAAAGGTTAAAGCAAGGTTAGAGTTGTCACAGGTAAAGGAACAGCAATGAACAACGCTGGTTGAAAGAGGGGGACATTGAGTCATTCTGTGGCTGCAGAGCGGCCTGGTCGCTGTCTTATCCCCAGTGAAGTCGAGAGGGCCCTGGCCTGTCTCTGCCATCTTCTGCAGGTGTTATTTATGTTCAGGCAGGAACATCACGGCCCAGCTGCCAACAGGTGGCTTTTCACGTTCTCAGCTGACACCAGGTTTGGTGGTGGACTCAAGGCAAAAGGGATGCCCCACCCCCCCGCCCCCGGCTTGGCAGCTGCCATGCAGCTTTTCAATCTCAAAAGCTCCCCACTTCCCTTTCCTTTCTGAAGCTACACGTTGGGTGCTTCTCCTGGCATGGGAGAGCCTGAGCTCCACAGAGCTGAGGGCACTGCCCCTGGCGGGCGGGCTACCCTGCCTCACCCACAATGCCCAGGAGTCAGCTGGGGCCCAGCCCCCACAGAATGCAGGCACCCAGCCCCTCTGCTAGAGAGCCCCGGCCCCACCGAGGGCCTCTCCCCACCTGGCTGTAGCCAGGAGAAGAAAAGGGCAGGAGGTCAGTAAAGACACCATGCCAGGGGTCTACTCCCAGCTCTCCACCACGCAGCCGAGTGATCGATCCCTTCCTTTTCCTGGGACTCAGTTTCCCGGCATAAAGCAGGACGGCTGGCTATGTCTCTGGGGCCCGTTTGCTCTGTATTCCCTGGCAATGGGATGCGGTGCAGAAAGGCCACTGGGCAGCGATTCTGTTCCCTAACCATGGAGAGACACACCAGGGACCTCAGGAGGCCAAGGGGCTCTGTCCTGCGGCTTTTTCTGCTGTCTCCTCTTATCTGGGCCTCGCTTCTGGAACCTTCTCCTGCCCTAGACCACTGGGGTCCTGTTCTCATTGTCTCCGCTGTCTTCGCAAGCAGCCCAGAGGCAGGAGGCCGGCAGCCGAGAGCAGCACCAATGGCCGGGGCGTCCCCGGGACAACCCTGGGGGCAGCGGCACTGCCAGGCGATTCCCAGCCTTCTCCCATGCAACCCTCGCAACCCCGCCAGGCCAGGGCCTGTGTTCACCCTCGTTTCACTCGTGAGGAAACTGAGGCAGGGCCAGGCCGCAGCCGCTTTCCCAGGTGCCCCCAGAACTCGGGAGGCGGCGGCCGGTGCCTGTGGCCCCAGCGCCCGGCTCCTGCCCGCACCGCCGTGTTTCCTAACCTGGTCTGCAGCTGGCCAGCTGTGCGGCCTCGGGCAGCCCCGTTTACCTCTCTGAGACTCAGTCTTCCTGTCAACAAAATGGGAGTCACAATAGAACCTGCCACCCTCAGTTGTCGGGAAGGTCCAATGAGCGAGTCCAGCGGCCCCGGGCTCACAGCAAGCGCTCAGCAAGCGGCGGACAGCGGCGGGGGTGCGGCGCCCTCTGGTGGCTAGGAGGGCTTCCTGCAGGAGGAGGGGATGCGCGGCACCGTCAGACCGACAGGTGGGAAACCACAGACCTCCTTTCTGGAAACATCTGGGTCGGGACTCCCCACCGAGGGGTCATAGACCCTCACTTCCAGGGTGTGCCCTGACCTCAGCATGACTGGGGCTGGGGCATATCCTGGAGCCCCAGATAGGAACCCAACCAGAGTGACCGCGGCAAGCAGGGCAGTGGGTCCCATGGAAAACTCCGCCTCCGCTTCCCGTTGCTTGGCCACCTGTCCTCAATGCCGGGCACCCCACTAGGCCTCCGGGCTGGGCAACAACGGCCAGAGGGATGGTCACTAAACCCGTTTCCTCGCTCTGGACACATGGCTAAGCAACATTTTCACCCCCTCGCTGCAGGCGGGGGCCACAGGACTGGCTCCAGTCAGCGCAATGTAGGTCGAGGTGACGTCACCTCTGTGCCATCCTCTGCTCATCACTAGCAGTGGGGAGGCCGAGGCTCCGGGAAACCGGACCCCGAGTCACCTTGTGGAAGACCCACTGAGCACCCCGTTGGACCCGATTGAAGGAGAATGCGCTTCGGCTGCATCACGCCACTGAAGACGCAGGGTTACTTGTGACAGCCGCTGACCTCACCCACCCTGCCCAGCACACCGCACCTCGACAAGGCCAAGGCCAAGAATTGACCTCCTGGAGCTCATCACGTTCTCAGGTTCAGATGCCTGGGCCCCCTACACCAGAATTACCAGGGGTGCTTGTGAAAATGCAGATTCCTGGGCCCAATCAGCTCTTTTGATTCAGAGGCTCTGGGGATGAGGTCCTGCAATCCACATTTTAAACCAGCAGCCCTGGTGATGCTGAGGCATGCGTGCATTTCAGAGCTGTCAGTATCAGCGCAGGAAAGCACAACCTCTCACGCCTGCTGTCCTCCCGAGCCCAGCCCCCTCCTACTGTCAAGAAGAGCCTTGATAGCAGTACTATCGGTGTGTGTGTGGGGGCGGGGGGGGGCGGTGTGCTGTGACTCATTTGTGGCTAATGGTCATTCAGTAAACTGGGCCGACAAGAGATTCATTAGGGTCCTTGCTTAACACAATGACGAATTCATTGAATTCTGCTAAGGTCGCCCCTTAGCAGGTGGGATAAATCGTGGCTGATCTCTGTCAGGATGACTCCGAGTCACCCCGGATTAAATTAATAATGATTAATTGGGGCTCCTGAAAGCTGAACCGCCAAGCGAAGATTAGAGTGTGCATTCGAGTCCTCTCTCTCTCTCTTTTATTTCCTCGATCCCTTCCTGGGCTGTGTCTCCTCTCCCCAGGTGACATTCCAAGACGGGAAATTGGACGTGGATGATTTTGAGATCTGGGGTGGCCATTAGCAGCTGTTCAGAGGGCTGCCCTGCAGCTCAGCCGGGGAGGGAGGTTTGGAAACAGCCCTGCCTGGAGAGTTCTCTCTGGTTCTCCAGCGCTGTGCCCCATGAGGGTGGACAGGGCCATCTTCCTGGGGCATGGACCTGCTCAGGCTGGTCTGCACCCTGATTTCCAGACAAGGCTTGACTATCAGAACCCAAGGATGCAAGGACAGAATGGGGACAAGGTCACGGGTTCCTGGCTGTGCTCATCTTGTGAGACAAACAGCAGGATCTGACTGCTGGGGCCTCTGGGCCATCTGGAAGGAGGGTGCTCCCTCTTGGGGACTGCTGCCTGTGGGGGTGCCCCTCTGCCCTGCCCTGGGAGGGGACCCAGGGAGACAGGGTCCAGCTTCAAGGGCACAGAGGCAAAGGAAACACAGATGGCAACAGAGCCGAGACGAGGGACAGATGTCCATTAGAAAGCACTGTCCCTGTTTAAAAATCAACCCTGCAGGGAGAGAAGTCCCACACTGGCCCCAGCAACTTTCCTTTGGCGGGATTCTTTCCGGTGCCCATGCAGGGCAGCTTGCCATCCACCAACCGGCAGCCACTGGATTTTATCTCAAGTGTGGCTTGCACAGGTGAGGGCAGGAGCCTGTGTCTGCTGGCAGACTTTTAACAGGAGATCATGTTTCCTGGAAACCTTCCATCATCCCAGGAACCCGCCTCCCAGAGACCACCCACTCCAGGGCCTTCCTCAATCACCCCCATGAATCCGACACGTCTCCCAGTGAAGGCAGCTCCTGCCAGCTGCCTGGGTTCTTAGCAAACATTCACCAAGGGCACCACTTTCCTGGGCCCAAAAGGCTCATAAAATGGAACACGGGCTCGACCTGGGAGGTTTAACCATAAACATGCCTGCAGTGGGCTTGGCAACCGCCCTGACACTGACCACCACGGCGCCATGTGATGGGAGAGGGAGCGCCCCACCAGGCCTGGGGGTCTGGGGAAGGTTTGGGGCCACTTTAGAGAGCCGGTAGGTGCAACCACAGGGGAATTCTGTGTAGTGGGGGAAGGTGGCCCCTGGAGGAGGGAACACACTGGACCCTGTGGCCGAATGCTGCCATCCCACACCCCCACTGCATCTCTGCCTATGTCTTCCCCTTCTCCAGCCCCCAGTCCCCACTCCCCCCAAATTCTGGGAGGCAGGATGGCTGGCGGGTTCAAGGTATGGGGCGTGAGTCCAACTACCTAGTGTGTCCCAGTTCAGCCACACGCCAGGTGGGTGGTCGGGGCCAACTGGCTTGACTGTAAATCCTGCCTCACCATCCACACAGCGTGAGACTGGAAGCGGAAGCCGAGAGGCAGGAGGTGAAAATGCCTGGTGCAGAGCGGCTGCTCCAAAGTGGAACCCTGGCAGACGAAAGGACACACAAAACGTGGTCGGACCACTCCATGGACTATTCCTCGGCGAGAGAGGAATGAGGCACTGACACCCCCTGCAACGCAGTAGACCCTGACGACGCTGCTGAGTGAAAGCAGCCAGACACCAAAGGCCGCAGTGTGTGTGAGTCCATTCACATGAAATGTCCGGACAGGCAGCTCCTTAGAGACAGGAAGCGGATGAGTGGTTACAGGATCTGCTGGGAGGAGAACAGGGGCTGACACCGAATGGGTACAGAATTTCTGTTTGGGAAGAGGAGAAAGTTTGGGAACTAGACGGCGGTGACAGTTGTACGGCACTGCAAATGTACTCAATGTCGCTGAGGTGTATACTTAAAAATGGCTAACATGGGCTGGGCGCAGTGGCTCACGCCTGTAATCCCAGCACTTTGGGAGGCCGAGGTGGGACGATCACCTGAGGTCAGGAGTTCGAGACCAGCCTGACCAACATGGAGAAACCCCGTCTCTACTAAAAATGCAAAAATTAGCCAGGTGTGGTGGCGGGTGCCTGTAATCCCAGCTACTCGGGAGGCTGAGGCAGGAGAATCACTTGAACCCGGGAGGCAGAGGTTACGGTGAGCTGAGATGGTGCCATTGCACTCCAGCCTGGGCTAGAAGAGCAAAACTGTGTCTCAAAAAAAAAAAGCTAACATGGGAAATTGTATGTTATATATGTTTCCACACAATTAAAAAGCTTTTTTTGTTGGGTTGTTTTTTTTTTTTTTTTGAGACAGGGTCTCACTCTGTCACCCAGGCTGGAGTGCAGTGGTGGGATCAGAGCTCACAGAAGCCTCGACCTCCCAGGCTCAAGCGATCCTCCTGCCTCTGCCTCCTGATTAGCTGTGATTATGTATGCCACCACACTTGGCTAAATTTTTTCTTATTTTTAAAATTTTTTATAGAGACAGAGTCCCACTATGTTGCCCAGGCTGGTCTTGAACTCCTGGGCTCAAGCAATCTTGCTGCCTTGACCTTCCAAAGTGCTGGGATTATAGGTGTGAGCTACCTTGCCTGGCCAAAGAATGCAATTTTTAAGTCTGCAGTTAAAACTGCTTAATTTCTGCAGAGAACGGAGTAGGCAGAGGGCTCAGGTGTGACATGCTGGGCTTGAATCCTCAAAGCAAGAACAAGTTCACTGGAGGCCCAGAGGCAGGCCTGCTAGGGATACGCTCCCTCCGACCTCAGGCAGGTCACTGGCAGAAGTGGGCTTGGTGGCTTCCCTGGATTCCCCTGTGGCCAGGTGAAGGCTGGCAGGGGGGTTGGAGAGGATATAGAGAAGGCAGCCCAGGACTCAGAAATCCAGGTCCTGCCCCTGGCTCTGCCACCACTAGCCTGTCACCTGCAGACCGGCCCGTTCCTGAATAGACACAGGAATTCCAACATCCCAGATCCAGCACCTGGCGCATTTAGGACCAAGCCCCTTAACAACTCAGGTATTATTTGGCCAGCATGTTGCCTAGACTTGCCAGGACAACCCCAAATGTATTTTCCCCGAAAAAGACAAGACGGTGCAAACATACGGACATGGGATTTGACTGACCTAACACCATGCTGCATGTTCACTGCACATATTCACTGACCAGAGGGCCACGCCCCACAGAGGAACCAGGGTCACGAATGTCAGGAAGCATCCTCACACCTGTCCTCCAGCAGCGAGGACGGACATTCCAGACAGGCAGGCTGGCCCGTGTGCCTACGACTGCAGGTGACTGGGGACAGCCACAGACTGCCTTTGCCAACCAAGGAGAAAGCCCGTCCACCAGCACAGACATAAACACCCATAAACGCCTATGCTCCCCCACACCCACTCCCGAAAGTTCTAGCCCATCTGCAGCGGAGTGCCCCTGCCCTACCTGTGACGTTCACAATGCGGTCCTGGCCCAGATTAACATGCAAAGGGCGTGAATCTGTTTCTTTAAAAATATTATGAGGTCTCGGCCAGGTGCAGTGGCTCACGCCTGTAATTCCATCACTTTGGGAGGCCAAGGCAGGTGGATCACTTGAGGTCAGGAGTTCGAGAACAACCTGGCCAACATGGTGAAACCCCATCTCTAAACATACAAAAAAATTAGCCAGGCATGGTGGCGCACACCTGGAATCCCAGCTACTTGGGAGGCCGAAGCAGGAGAATTGCTTGAACCCAGGAGGTGGAGGCTGCAGTGAGCGGAGATCGTGCCACTGCCCTCCAACCTGGGTGAGAGAGAGACTCCATCTCAAAATAACAATAATAATAATAAATAAAATACTAAGAGGTCTCTGTCAGGGCTATGCAAACAGTGGTGATAGCCCTGCTCAGCGGGTGACTCAGGAAGGTGGCCAGTTTAAGAAGGAGGTGGAGATAAAGCGCTTCTTCTTGGATATGTCAAATTTGCCTCTTGGAGACATCTGGGCAGGGAGGCAGCTGAGGGATGGGGCCAGGCTCTCAGACTCAGAGGGCCCTGCACCAACAGCAGCATTGCATCACCAGGGAGCTCATCAGAAATACAGAGTCCCAGGCCCCACCCCGCACTGCGGAATTCGAATCCGCTTTTCTAATAAGATCTGGACATGTCCCACGTTGCAGTTTGAGAAGCTCTGGGTGTCCTCGCCTCTCTGGAGAATGGAGATTACAGCCTTTTACATTTTTCCCTCAGTGATCTGTTCCAACTGTCTTCACGGAAGGCAATCCTTAATAAGCTGAGCTCAAGATAACTGGCCTGTTTCCCACTCTCATCCCCACATTTCTGCATATGGAACGCAGGGACTAAAATCAAGTTCCACGGCACCCTGAAAATAAGTTCTGCAGGCCACGATGGAGATTTCATATCCCAGCAACAGAGGGAGACAAGGAAATATAAAACTCAAAAGATAAGGGCCAGGTGCAGTGGCTCACGTCTGTAGTCCCAGCACTTTGGGAGGCCAAGGTGGGAGGATCCCTTGAGGCCAGGAGTTTGAGATCAGCTGGGCAACAAAGTGAGACCCTGTCTACAAAAGATAAAAAAGAAAAGGAAAATTAGCCAGGCACTTTGGGTGGCATGTGCCTGTGAACCCAGCTACAAGGGAGGCTGAGACTGGAGGATCACATGAGCCTGAGAGGTGGAGGCTGCAGTGAGCCATGATCACACCACTGCACTCCAGTCTGAGTGACAGAGCAAGACACAATCTCAAAACAAAACAAAACAAAAAAAACACAATAGCTAGACATTCATGACAGGGGCAACCCATCTGATAGGAAGTCATAATTCTTAAACTAAAACTAAGACGTCATCTGGGTTCAGATCAAAGTCTAAGGGATTTACAGATGCTTTGCTTCTCTGGCTAAGAAGGTTCCTATCTCTGGAGTTCGTCTGCTGCCCCTACCCTTCGGCGAGTCACTTCACTGGTGGGCCTGAGGGAGGCCTCTGGCCCTGTGAGCCCCAATTTTCAACGCCCACTGACCTGGTGGCCCAGCTTCTGTACAGATGCTCCGAGCAACTCCAGTGCGCCCTCTGGAGGGAGGGAAGAGGAAGCGCCGTCTCCTGACAACCCTGGAGGGTGCCAGCCTGGCCGGGTAGAGGGCGGGCAGCAGGATTCACTGGCATCACTGCACCCCCCAACCTCCCCACTCAATCCCCCTTGCCCCACACTGTTCTGAAGGCTTGGGACTTCCCAAGCCCCATAAGTCAATAAAGATGCAGTCCACACCCAGCAGGCACAGAGTGAGGTCAAAGGAGGAAAGATCGGGCACTGGCCGGGGAAGCGCCGGGGGAGCAGCCTGGGCGTGCCGACAGACCCCCTGGGTTCAGACCCCACCCCCGCCCTCACAGACTGCAAGACTCCAGGCAAGCTGTGGACTGGCCCATGCCTCAGTCTCCCCGACTGTTACATGCAGCAAGTGACAGTCCCTTCCTCCCAGGGTCTCTGTAAGAATGGAAGGAGTTAGGACATGAAAGGGAGGGAAGCCAAGGCTCTGAAAGAATCGGTGCACAGTCAGCGTTAGCCCAGGTCGTTTGCACAGAGGAAGAAGTTGAAGGGCGCTCAGAAATGGGTTCATGCTGCACACTTTTTGTTTGTTTGTTTTTGGTTTTTGTTTGTTTGGAGAAGGAATCTTGCTCTGTCACTCCGGCTGGAGTGCAGTGGTGCGATCTTGGCTCACTGCAACCTCCACCTCCTGGGCTCAAACGATTCTAGTGCCTCAGCATCCCGAGTAGCTGGGATTACAGGTGTGCACCACCACATCCGGCTAATTTTTTTTGTATTTTAGCAGAGTCGGGGTTTCACCATGTTGCCCAGGCTGATCTTGAACTCCTGAGCTCAGGCAGTCCACCCAGCTCGGCCTCCCAAAGTGCTGGGATTATAGGCGGGAGCCACTGCACCCGGCCCTTTGTTTTGTTTTAATGAAACTACCTGACCCCGCTTTGTGCCTGGGTGTCCGTGCTCACACATGATGAGCCGTGCGTGGGAGGTGGTTAGAGACTGGCCACGGGGAGGGACGGGCAGTGTTCGCACAGGCTGTCCCCTTCCCTAGCGTGCCTTTCGTACCTTGTGCAGTTCAGAAATCACCTCCTCTCCGCTCCCACATCCCCCCTCAGCCTTGAAACAGCTTTCATCCCTACATTTCCCAAGCCGGCCTCCTGGTTCTCAGCCTGCAAAGCTGATCCAAACTGGCTCCGAGGAGAGCTGTGGTGCCGGCTTCCTGGATGGGTGCTCCAAAAGGCTGGATTGCAGTGCAGCAGTGACGGTCGCCCTTCCTTTTACAAATAAGGGCCCAAAGCAAGGGACCATTAAAGTCCCAAGTTAGGCTGGGTGCGGTGGCTCACACCTGTAGTCCCAGCACTTTGGGAGGCCAAGGTGGGAGGATCACTTGAGCCCAGGAGTTCCAGATCAGCCTGGGCAACACAGAGAGACCCCATCTCTACAAAAAAAAAAAAAAAAAGTTACGAATTAGCCAGTTGTCCATGGGAAAAAGGATCGATGTGTGTTTTCTACCAGTGTTGCTGTGATGGTCCTGAATCGTGTCCACAAATTCTTTGACAGCCCCAGCAAGAGGGGACTCTAATTCTCCTCCCCTTGACTTAGACCAGCACAGGCTCACTCCTGACATCGAGAGTGCAACAGAAGTGACACAGCCCTGTAACTTCCACGGCTAAGTCATAAAAGGCCATGAGGCTTCACACAAGACCTTCTGCATGGACGTGACAGCAGCCGAAAGGTGGAGACAGCCCAAACGGCCATCGGCGGTGGATGGGCAAAAAGGACGCGGTCTACGCGCACGGTGGAATAATCACTCAGCCATAAAAGGGCTGATGTGCTGACCCGCGCTGCAGCACGCGTGAACCTTGAAAACTGATTTGTTTGTATTTTTAGTAGAGACAGGGTTTCGCCCCAGGCTGGTCCCGAGTGAGAGAAGCCACAAAAGAGCTTGTACTGCAGGATTCCATTCCCAGGAAATGCCCAGCACAGGCCATCCTCAGGCAGAAGGTGGACCGGTGTGTGCGGAGGCCCTGGGAAGCGGGGCATGGAGTAACCGCTGGGTGAGTGTGGGGTTTCCTTTTGGGGTGATGCTATGCACTGAATGTATCTCCCTCAAATTCAGGTTGAAACCCGAACCCTCGAGGTGATGGTATTAGGAGGTGGTGCTTTTAGGAGGTGATTTGGTGGAGAGGTAGCTCCCATCTGTAATCCTAGAACCTTGGGAGGCCTAGGCAGGAGGATGGTTTGAGGTGAGACGTTCGAGACCAGCCTGGGCAACATAGTGAGACCCCGTCTCTGCAAAAATGTAAAAAAACAAAAACTAAAAAACCCAAAATACTGTGAACGTACAAAATGTCACTAAACTGTACACTTTCAAATGGTAAATTCTGTTATTAACCTCAATTCACAAGAGATCCCCACCCCTTCTCTCTTTGGACTTGCACCTTGGGGTCCCTGGACTTCTGTGCAAGGATCCCAATTACCCTGAAGCACCCATGCTGGAGAGATCATGGAGAGACTAGGGTTTTGGTGGGGGGTGGGGAGGGAGGGAAGGGGGGGGAGAGAGAGAGACAGAGAGAGAGAGAGAGAGAGAGAGAGAGAGAGAGAGAGAGAGTGAGAGGCGTGCTGGCAAGATCCAGGAAGGCTGAATGTGACCCCAGCCTGTAACCCTGAAATTCAGCCCCACACTGTTGAGAAACTGTCAGGCACCAACATGAGGCAAAAGAACAGCCTGGGCAGCATCTGTAATAGCAGAACCTGGAACCAACCTCCCTCCATTGACGGAACACGAACGAACAAATGTCACCCATGGAACACCACGCAGCTGGGACAAGGGCCAGCAGGGCCTGCACGAGTCACTCAGAGTAAACCTCACACTTTAAGCGCAGACTCCAGAGGGTACAGGTTCCATGTGACCATTTATCCAGGGTTTACCAACAGGCAAAACAAAACCAGAGGTGGACTCTGACTGGAGCCATATGCCCTGAAAGTCTAAAGGAAGCATCAGGTTTTCAAGAGTGGGCTGCTCTGGGGTGGAGGGAAGGAGGCAGAAGGGACCCCGGGGATCTCATCTGCAGCTGGAGAGATGCCAGCTGGAACAGGCCACCTGGCTTGGCTGTTGCGGGGAGCCAGGCTATGCTCTGGAGTCTTTGCCGGTGTTTTCTCATTTCACCAGCGGCCGGGGAGGAGGCATCACTGCTGCCATCCCCATTGCACAGAGGGCGCCTCGAAGCATGGGGAGGCATCATGCTGGGTTGGCATTGCTCCCGAGACTTCAGGTCCACCACAGACTCAGCACATGACCTCCTTTGGAAAGTGGGTCTTTGAGATGTAATTATGACCAGATGAGGTCATGCTGGGTTAAGGTGGGTCCCCATCCAAAGACTGGTGTCCTCCGTAGAAGGCCGCGTGAAGACACACAGAGAAGGTCACATGATGGCAGAGGCAGCGATCACAGCGATGAAGTTCAGTGATCGGAGAGATGGCTTCTAGGAGCCAAGGAACCCCAAGGACTGTGGGCAATGCCAGAAACTGGAAGAAAGGCCCGGACAGATTCCCACTCTAGCTCCAGCAGAAGGAAGCCGTCCCGCTGACACCCTGATTCCGGACTTCGGATCTCCAGAACTGTGAGAGAATACATTTCTACTGTTTCAAGCTACTTTTTAAAAAAAATTTTTTTTTGAAATGGAATCTCACTCACTCTATCCCCTGGGCTGGAATGCAGGGGCTCAATCTCAGCTCACTGTAACCTCCACCTCCCGGGTTCAAGCGATTCTCCTGCCTCAGCCTCCCGAGTTGCTGGGATTACGGGCACACACCACCACGCCCAGCTGATTTTTGTATTTTTAGCAGGGACAGGGTTTCACCATGTTGACCAGGCTGGTCTCAAACTCCTGAGTTCAAGTGATGCACCCGCCTCGGCCTCCCAGAGGGCTGGGATTATAGGTGTGAGCCACCGTGCCAGGCCAAGCCACCACTTTTGTGGTGATTTGTTACAGGACACTAACAGGACACGGGACACTACCACAGGCCTATCACTCATCCAATCACTAACAGAAAAAGTACAGCGATGGGGGGACAAAAGCCGATCCGTGACTCTCAGGGGCTGGGCTGGGGAGAGGGGCCTGACCATGGGGGATCGGTGGAACACTGCGGAGAGAGGGAGGTGTTCAGCAACACGGTGGCGGTGGTGATGGCCACACAACCGTACACGCTTGTCAAAACTCTTCAAAACGGACACTTAAAACATGTGGCTTGTATTGTATGTATAATATTCCTCCATAAAGCCAATAAAAAATAAAGCAATTTAATTTGCGTGCACACACAGCTATTCATCACAAGAGGTAATGTCTAGCATTGTCCCTGTTTCACAGACAATGGAATGTTCTGGGACCACACAGAGGTGACGGGTGTGCACTGTCGTGAATGTGTGAAATGCCCCCGAACTGTACACTTACCAGTGGTTCATTCTGGCCGGGCGCAGTGGCTCACACCTGTAATCCCAGCACTTTGGGAGGTCGAGGCAGGTGGATCACCTGAGATCACGAGTTTGAGACCAGCCTGGCCAATATGTCGAAACCCCATCTCTAAAGATACAAAAATTAGGCCAGGCACAGTGGCTCCGGCCTGTAATCCCAGCACTTTGGGGGGCCGAGGCAGGTGGATCACAAGGTCACAAGATCGAGACCATCCTGGCCAACATGGTGAAACCCCATCTCTACTAAAAATACAAAAATTAGCTGGACGTGGTGGCACGTGCTTGTAATCCCAGCTACTCGGGAGGCTGAGGCAGGAGAATCGCTTGAACCCGGGAGGCGGAGGTTGCAGTGAGCCAAGATCGCGCCACTGCACTCCAGCCTGTTGACAGAGCAAGACTCTGTCTCAGAAAACAAAAAAAAAAAACAAAAACAAAAAAACAACAAAAATTAGCTGGGCATGGTGGCGTGCACCTGTAGTCCTCGCTACTAGAGAGGCTGAGGTATGAGAATTGCTTTAACCCAGGAGGCGGAGGATGCAGTGAGCCAAGATTGCGCCACTGCACTCCAGCCTGGGTGACAGTGAGACCCTGCCTCAAAAAAAAAAAAAAAAGGTTCATTCTTTTGTGTGAATTTCACCTTCAGTTACAACAAATTAACCAAAGCCCAGAGAGGTTAAGCAATGTGCCCAAAGCTGCACAGCAAGTAGCTGGGAATATGGGGGGCGGCACCTCCCATGCTGAGGGTGGATTTCCTGATCACCTCTCTGCCTCCTTTACGGGGCTCCCAGGGTCAAGGGCAGGGCTGCCTTATTTCTATGTAAGTCCCCATAGCCTGACCCGGTCAACCCAAAGCCGGCTCTAATAAAAGCAGGAGGGAAATAAGGGCCCTTTGTGGTGAGAGGGACGAGTGTTTTGTGCTGGCGGGGGGATGGGGAGGAAGGCAGACAACCAGGAGGTTATGGGCCCCACGGAGAGGCCTGGGAGGTGGCCTCTGGCCTCTGGGCCTCTGCCCCCAGCCTGACCTTCACCCCTAACCCCCACAGGGTGAGGGCAGTGTAGGGAGGGTCTCCCCGGGGTCAGGGGCCCAGCTGGGCTCTGTCAGCAGCTGCGGCTGGCCGGGCGGAAAAGGGCGGGGACGAGGCCCAGCCTCCTTACCAGGCGGTGGCCACACACTGCGCACAAGCCGGCCCTGAGCCCTGTGGGGAAGTCTGCCCTGCCAGGGCCGACAGCCCTTTATTCGACCCCATGGGACACCAGGGCTCACGCGGGGGCCGGGGGAGGAGGCTGGGGAGGGCGGCGTCCCCTCCGAGGGTGGTAGCAGGTCCAGTGGAAGAGAAGGATCCAGAAAATGCTGCTGGATTCAGGAAGGAAAAAATCCAGCACAAGCCAGATGGGCACAAAGGCGCCCTTCTGCAGAGCGGGCTGCCCAGGGGGGCTGGTGCCACCCTTGGGACAGGGAGGAGGAGGGTGAGGAGGGACGCCTGGCTCCTACTCAAGCTCTGAGCAGGCTCAAGGTGATCAGGAGACCTCAGCTTGGATCTGCAGCCTGGTGTCCAGCTCTGCTGAGAGACCCTGGGTGAGGGACATACCCACTACATGCCTCAGTTTCCCCTTCTGTAAAATGGGGATAATGACAGTGCCAACCTCCCAGGGCTGCTGTAAGGATTCCATGAAATGCTGGATGTCACATGTGTGGACAGTGTCTGCCTGAATCAGGCTTTGCTGTTCTCGTGATTATTCCAGGCCTGCAGCCCCCTCCCATGTCTGTCTGCTACGGCTCTGACACTGAGAACGGGCACTTCCCTGCTCCCTGCTTGGGGACCCGGCAGACACTCCCCAACTGCTTGCTCTCAGGGGAGGCTGGGTGGGGCTCCCACACTGGCCTGCTCAGGGACGAGGGGACTGCACGAGCTGGTGAGGCTGAGGAGCAGGAGAGAATGCAGGACATGGCACTGGCCGGCCATCTGGTCAGCATGACAAGGTGAAACAACTCAGAATCTACCGGACAGCTCGTGGGTGGCCATCTCCTATCTTTGTGTGTCTCGGTGACAACAAAGGCTCTATGAAGAGTTAGTTATTATTACAGATTATTACAAACAGCGGTGTATGTTGGAAAAAGGTGCTCCCTTGCTCCAGAACACCTGGCATGGTGTGTGCTGTGTGGCCTGGATTTTGGTCTGCGTCCTTGGTCCTTGGGCAGTGTGTAATCTGCACAACTGCACAGGGCAGCTGTGGAATGAACACACAGAAGGCCAAGCAAGTGACGGAGGGTTTAAGGCATGCTCCTTGCCCCCTAGAGGCCTAGTGTCTATCGAGGTTGCAGAAAGAGAACTGCTTACATGTCATTTGATGGGATCAGTACCCAATGGAACGGAGCTCACTGGAGGTCATGGGGAGGGATCCTTGAAGGCTGCCGCACTCCAGGTTGGGGGCCTGGGGGTGACGTGGACATGGCCTTGTGATGAGAAGATGGCAGGGGCCCGGGTCTGCTGAGGCAGGGCAGGCCTGTGCAGGGAAGTGCGGGCGGGGCCTTGGCCAGGGGCAGGAAGGCTGCCCTCAGGAGTGCCACAAAGGGGACGACCCTTCCCACGCAGGGAAGTGACTGACTGTCCAATAACTGGCATCCAAACCACTTCTCCCCTTCACCAAAGAAAACCCAAGCGGCGACTCTGGGAGGGGAAGAGGCATCGTCTCACTTCCCCGCTGGGTTCTGCACCCAAGACCTCTGCTCCCCGGCCTTCTTAACACCCACCTGCCCCCATCACCCGCAAGGACACGCTTGTTAAAAAATGCAAATTCCTGGGCTCCAGCCAGATCTAATGAATCTGAATTCCAAAGAGAGGTCAGGCACACACATGCTCAGAAGCTCTACCAGGGGCTTCTTTCTGAGTAAAACCGTGGTTTTCATCCCCGCCCCAACATGAAGGAGCCCCCCAGCCTGTGAGCCAGAGGCTGAACCAGTTGAGGGACAAAGACCAGCCCGGCCTGGGTTCCTCATCGGGCGACTGCCCCAGGACCTTGCCATGTCCTTCACCAGCAAACGTGAGTTGCCTACTCTACCCCGTCCTCTGCACCCTCCTGTATCCCACCACCACCCCGTTGCTTACCCTAAGCCCCTAAGCCAGGCTGCAGACGGTCCAGCTCCATGGTTCTCAAAGTGTGGTCTGTGGCCCAGCACATTGGCCTTCCCTGGGAGCCAGTGAGAATGCAGAGTCCTAGGCCTCATCCCAGACCTGCAGAATGGGAAACGGCATTTCCACAAGGCTCCCAGAGGGTTCACACACATTGGTTTGAGAGGCCTGGCACCACATATGTGTCACTTAGGGGACACGAAGCAAGGCCTGGACACGAGTGTGTCAGGGGCAGGGGAGCTGAGCTGGACACGGGTGGCCACAGTACAGGTGAGTCCTTGTGGGGCAGCTGCTTCTTTCACTGACAAAGCCAGCCTCTCGGGCCTGGGAAAAAACCCCAGCATTGGAGGGGAGGCCAATGGCGGGAGGATGAACTCACAAGAGCCTCTGGGACTGCAGGGAGGACTCCAGGGACCCTCCCATGTAGCAGGTCATGCCTGTTTGTATATGAGCTTTGCAAGCAGAAGGGGTCAAGGTGACACCCTGCCGGAAACTCAGGGCTGTGCCAAAGATTATTTGAAGATAAAATGAACCTTGAGCCCAGGATCTGATCATTCAGAGGTAGGTGGTGAGAGCTGCTGCCCCACAGACCTGGCAGGTGGAGGTGAGGAAGGTGGCCGAGGCTCAGGAGAGCCTGACACCATTGTTTTCTCGCTGACCTCCCCTCCCTGCAGTGTCCTAGTGCTAGGCACACCATTTCTCAGGCCCATAGAGCCCAGGCTGGGCCTCCTGTCTCAGTTGGCAAAGAGGGGACTGAATTTTACCCCCACTCCCTCTCTCTCAGGGTGGGTGCCTCCTGCAGATGCTGACAGCTCCACCCTCCCCACCTCCAAGATTTGCTGGGGCTGAAATGCCCCCCACCCCCAGATTCCAATGACCCAGCACAAATGCCGCCTCTCCCAGGAAGCCTGCCTGGACCCCATGTGAGTTTTGCTTCTTCCTCTATGCACCCCAGCCCCCAGGACAGAATAGACTGCATCCTGACCTCTGCTGTCCTCAGTGGCAGGGGTGTCTCCCCACAGAAGGGAGGCTCCTTCAGATCAGAGGCTTCTTTGAAACTTTTCTGACCCCAGCTGGGCATGGCACTGCCACACACAGCGGGCTCTCAACAGGTTGTCACATTCCACCTCCCCAGTGCCCCCATGGGTCAGCCCAGGCTAAGAGGCAGCTCTGCTTCCAATTAACTGCACCGCCCTGGGCAGGTGGCTTCTATGCCCTGGGTCTCTTTGCCCATCTGCCCAGGTTGGCTGTATTGTCCTACGAGTTCCTCCAGCTCTGGCACCCCAGAGTGACTTCAGGGTCAGTGCCTCTCTAATTATTTTTTAAATGTCAAAGTGCGTAGGGGGGCTGAGAGTACTTATTTCTTTTCTTTTCTTTTTTTTTGGGTCAGATTCTTGCTCTGTCACCCAGGCTGGAGTGCAATGGCGTGATCTCAGCTCACTGCAACCTCCGCCTCCCGGGGTCAAACGACTCTCCTGCCTCAGCCTCCCGAGTAGCTGGGATTACAGGTGCACGCCACCACATCAAGCTAATTTTTATATTTTTAGTAGAGATAAGGTTTCATCATGTTGGCCAGGCTGGTCTCGAACTCCTAACCTCAGGTGATCCGCCTACCTCGGCCTCCCGAAGTGCTGGGATTACAGGCGTGAGCCACCGTGCCCGGCCAATAGCGCTTATTTCATGATGATCTCCATTTCTTCCTTCCACAAATACTTCCGTGCCTACTGTGCGCAGGCATTATTCTGAGTCCTAGGGATGCCGCTGTGAACAAAACAGACCAGCCATGGAGCTCCTGCGGCTCCTTTAGGCTTCAGCAGGGGTGAGGGCAGGAGACAAGAGGTACAAGGTCAGTAAGTAACTCACCAGCCAGTGCTGGTAACACATGCCAAGGAGGAAAATGGCATCGGGGGGTGTGGTCAGGACTGTCAAGTCTGGGGCTGGAGTTTTAGAAAGGGTGGTCAGGAAAGACCCCACAGAGAAAGTGACCAATATGGAAAGGCCGAAGGAAGCGAGGGAGGAGCCGTGTGGAAATCAGGAGGAAAGCATTCCAGGCAGAGGGGGCAGCGGGTACAAAGGCCCTGAGGCAGCGGCGTGGCTGGTGCAATCAAGGAACAGCAAGAAGGCCAGCAGGGGCAGAACAGAGCGGGTGCGTGGAGGAGATGAAGCCAGAGGCGGGGGTGTGGGTGGATCATTACTGCCTTGTCAGTCACCGTAGGGACATGCACGGCTGTTTCACTTTGAGGTCTCCCATGAGGTCCCACAAAACCCTGGGGTGGCTGGTGCAGGGGGATGGGCAGGCAGCAAGTCCCCCACTCCCCAGCTTGCTCCGGCCCCATGCGTCAGCCCGAAAGGCCACCCTGGGAGCTCAGGCCTCCAAGCCCCACCAAGTGGTGCACGTCTTGCACAGTTTCCAGGAGCCAGATCTGACAGAGCCATCTGTCTCAAACAGACCCCGGCACTCGCCTCCAGCTGGCCTCGTGCATGAGCCAGAGTTCTCAGTGACACCGCAGAACACTCATCTGCCGCCGCCAGCTCAGTCCCCGTCCCCGGAGACAGGCAGGGAGGCCAGAGGCGCTGGAGAAACAAGAGTCCAGCTGTGGCGGGCGGCACCCGGGGCGGGCAGAGTGACCCGCTGGAGCCCGCGGCCCCCGACGCTTTCCAGGGTGGAAGCACATTTTGCAAAGGCTTCTCTTCCACCAGAGCTGCTTCCGACCCGGCCCTAGCCCACGGAGCCCATACTATGGGACAACGAAAAAAACTGCGTTTTCTCACTATTTTGTTTTTAATCCCTACACAGGGAAGAAAACATCCCACTCGCTGATCATACGAACTCGTCTGACTTTAAACTTCCCAAGTGATACCAGAGCAGATGTTCAAACAGCCCCCAAATCTTTCATCTTTCAAAAAAAAAAAAAAAATCCCAACCCAGTCTGAAGCTGTTGGGCAATTGGACTAATAGATGCGTAAACCGCAGCGCCAAATAATTTCTGGCAAGCCCAAGAGCTGCCCACGATGACTGTTGCAGCTCCGACCGGCCCACTCTTAATTTATTTTCACAGTCCCCAGTCCTCCGGGCCAGCCGCACTACAATAACCTATTGTTAACATGGAAGTCTCCCCATGTGGGAACGGACATTTGGAAGACCATCCTTTGAACGGACACCAGGCTCACCAAGTCCTTGATTCAGTAACACGGACTGCGGCAGCAATTTGAGGGGAGATGAGGCACCAGCCGGGCACAAAGACACAGACACCCCCTTTTTATTTGTCACAGCTGAGTTGTCATACATTCCCTCGAATAAATGTTCCCATCTGGAATGAGTCACTTGGCAAGGACACGGAGAGCCTCTGCCAGCCCGTGGGCCGACCCGCCTGAACCCCGTATTGGAAAATATCAAGTGGCCACTGTGTCCTCCTCCCGCTAACATGCTCGGAGCACGGGGCCCTTTGCTGGCACTTGTTCATCACCGCCCAGTCTGCTGACCTCCTGGCTGGGCAAGAGGCACACATGCGCCCTGGGCTGTAAACTCAGCAGCTCGGGACCGGGGAGGGGCTGCAGGCCAGATGAGGGGACATCCCGCCCTGTGCCAGGCCCAGACACCAGCCCCTCCATCTTTTCTGGGGGACCGCCCAGTGCCCAAGATAGTGGGCCTCACTCACCCCCACAGCCTGATGCCCACAGTTGCTTTGGCTTGTCTGCCAGGGCACGCCACGAAGTCCTGTTTTCCCACGTGGTTCCTTGTGATGTTCAGACAAATGGCATCAAAGCCACAAGCTCTGGGAGGCGGAAGGTGTTTTGGATTAAGCATTCTCAGCCTTTACTGTGGACAGGGATCACAGATGTGGGGTTTGTTAACATGCAGGTCCTGATTCTAGGTCTGGGGCAGGGCCCGAGACTCTTAATTTCTTTCTTTCTTTCTTTCTTTTTTTTTTTTTTTTTTGAGACAGAGTTTCGCTCTTGTCGCCCAGGCTGGAGTGCAGTGGCACGATCTCAGCTCACTGCAACCTGCACCTTCTGGGTTCAAGTGATTCTCCTGCCTCAGCCTCCCACGTAGCTGGGATTACAGGCACCCATCACCACGCCTGGCTAATTTTTGTATTTTTAGTAGAAACGGGGTTTCATCATGTTGGCCAGGCTGGTCTCAAACTCCTGACCTCAGATGATCCACCCACCTCAGCCTCCCAAAGTGCTAGGATTACAAACATGAGCCACCATGCTTGGCTGTGCTTTCTTACAAGCTCGGGGTTAAGGAGGTAACCCTGCTGCTGGTGTACAGACCCCACTTTGAGTAGTGAAGGGCTGGTCCAAATCCCCACCCATACAGAATCAGCTACATCGACAAGCACACACTCTCGTGAGTTTAACCAAATGGACTGTTTGGGGCAGGAAGAACCCCAGAAATGACATTGGGTTCCCCTTGGCGCTTCATGTCACAGGCACACCGTGTCACCCTGGAGATGGCAACATGGATCACTCAGTGTAAGTGACATCTGCCAGGCTTCACCTGGCCATTGTCCCCTTTGAAATTAGTAAGTATCTCATGGAGAGATACTTTGAAACGATGCAAATCGCCGTTCTTCATCACACTTTTGCTCGCTGATGTCAGCATCCGTTGATGGTTTTGCCTGAAACGATGACCACAGTGCTATTTGTAAGCGGCGATTTTCTATTTCCATTGTCCCCTCTAGGTTTATTAATTTTTAAGTTCAAATTCTGGTCTGTGATTACAGACCTACTCTAATACCAAAAAAGAACCCAGACACCCTTGAGCTGACATCTCAGCAATACCTGTCACTGACTGCCAGGACGGCAGCGGAGCAGGCAGCTTCCTCAGCTGAAGGTGAGCTGTGTGTGCCAGCCCCGCCCGCACCTGACAGCCTTCCCCTTAGTATTCCATGAGCCACCATTTTCCCCACGATCCCTCCAGCCTGAACGATCACATCCTACTGTGGACCACGACTCTCCCAGCAGCGGGCGTTTAATATCCAGTTAGCAGGTTCTCACCACCCCCTCGCTGGCTCGAATACAGCATCTGCACCGAGTTCCCGAGAATCGTCAACCCAGCAAATCCCTTAATTGGTGGACATGAAAATCCAGGGCTTTGTGCTGTAATAACAGAGTCCTGGGGGCCTGGGGAGTTTGTGCCGCTTGGAGCTCAGGTTTCTGGGACAGAGGCTGAGCGCAGGGCAGGGAGGCAGGTCTCACCTGGCACCTCCCAGAGTCCTCGCCGAGCAGATGGAAGCAGAGGCTCTCGCGCCCGGCCCCCGCCGGGAGACCTCTCTCTCTTTCCCTCGGCCTGCTCTGCCCTCTCCCGCCTTCTCCCTGTCTGATCCTTCTCTGCTGTCATGTTCTTTGTCCTCGCGCCACATGCTGTGATTACACGCCAAGAGTCGCCCTACAGCGACAGCTAAAGCACGACCCGCCGGGCAGATTCTCAATTCTCCCGGCCTCCCGACCCGCCGGGCCTTCTCCTGGGCCGGGGGCATCTTGAAAGCTGAACAACTGGCCTCTGAAGGCTGGCAGGCAGCTGTCCTCACGCATGCCACAGCCACGGGCATGCATTTAATTGCTGGGAGGGACTGTGGAGGCCATGCAGCCTGCCTCCCTCCCCGCCCCCATCTTACTCACAAGAGGAAACTGAGGCCCAGAAAGGCAAAGAGATGGGCCTGAGGACATGTGGGCAGGAGGGAGACGTGGTGGAGCGGATAAAAGCATGGATGCTGGAGCCAGACGGCCTGAGATTAAAGCCCAGCTCCAGCATTTCCTAGCTGTGCAGCCTCAGCTTTTCTGGGCCTCAGTTTCCTCATCCATAAAATGGGTATAATAATGGTCTCTACCCCTTAGGGGCTGTTTGAGGGCTGAATGAGCTAATACACTTATGAAGCACTGAGAACAGGCCCAGCAGAATCAACAGCCATAAATACTGTTTTACCCCACGTTCAATTCAGCGCCCTTCCTTGGGCTGTGGCTGGACAAGGTTGCAGCGTGCATCAAACCCCGCCTGCTGGGGTCCACAGCCCATCCCAGGGAGAGCACTGAGGACGCCACCAGCCCAGCCCACTCGCCGGCAGCTGCAGGACGATAGCCTGGGTCCCTCTGGGGCCTTCGCCAACTACTCTGCCTGAGTTAGGCCATGCCTCAGGGCCTGCGGCTCTCACGAGCCCATTCGCTCCAGAACAAGGTGCGTGTGCAGCCCCAAAGTCCAAAAAGGGGATCCAGCTGCAAGCCAAGCAGAGCCAAGATGCTCAGGGCGCAGGGGGTTGGCACCCACTCTCCGGAGAGCCCGAGTGAGCAAGCCACAGGGGCCCCGTGGGGCGTTTTCAGTCTCTGCCAGTCCAGCATTTGGTTAGGACGCAGCGAGGACACGGGAGGCACAAGGGCAGCGGAGAAGAGGGCAGGAACCTGTGTGGCCGGGCCCAATGGCAGAGGCATGGCTAGTACCTCCCAGGTTGGGCCATCCAAGGGGTTCCAGCCTCTACCCTGGTCAGCAGCCACCATATCATGAGGTCATCCAAGCAGCCTTGTGCAGAGGCCCACTTTGGAGACAGGAAACCATGCGCCTACCGTGGGAGGGAGCCGCCTCTGAAGCAGAGCCTTGGAAGCAGATCCCCCTGCCCGACCCCAGGCCAGCCTGCAGGTGACTCCAGCCCCAGCTGATGTCCAACTCCAACTCCGAGAGAAACCCCAAGGCAGAAGTGCCTGGTGGCGCCACCCCTGGAATCCTGACCCACAGAAACTGTAAAAGATCATCAGTGATGACTGTGGTTGTAAGCCACAAGGTTTGGGAGTGATTCGTTATGCAGCACTAGATAATTAATACAACACAGAATTATGCAAATTTGTCAAGAGACAAGACTTCAAGGCAGGTGATAACATTGAATCTCGACTAAAATCCTGGTATAGCAAAAGCACAAAATTATGGACAGAAATAAAGGAAATCATAATTCATAAAAATCCTCCAAGGAAAAACAAGAGCCTCTGAGTGTCCCCAGCTTTTAACGAGCAGCTCCTGATCCTCCGGGGGCTCTGTGACCTCGTCACCAAACAGTCCAGGATGCCTGAACGTTTCCCCGATCCTGTGCGACTCTGACTTTCTGAGACTGGAATTTCCAGCCCTCACCGGGTTCGGTAAATGCCCTGGGTCCCCAAAACACACATGAGAACTCTGAACCGGGCTTTCAGCAAAAAACAACTTTCAGAAACCTGGAGGAGAAAAAAGCTTTGAAGTCAGTCTACCCCAGTGAGAGGCAGGTCGGTGGCAAATTGATCTAAAGCAGTCATGAAAACACAGCAACCCAGCCGGGCGCGGTGGCTCACGCCTGTAATCCCAGCACTTTGGGAGACCGAGGCGGCTGGATCACGAGGTCAAGAGATCCAGACCCTCCTGGCCAACATGGTGAAACCCCGTCTCTACTGAAAATACAAACATTAACTGGGCATGGTGGTGCACGCCTGTAGTCCCAGCTACTCGAGAGGCTGAGGCAGGAGAATCACTTGAACCCAGGAGGCAGAGGTTGCAGTGGGCTGAAATCGTGCCACTGCACTACAGCCTGGGTGACAGAGTGAGCCTCTGTCTCAAAAAAAAAAAAAAGAAAAGAAAACATAGCAACTCACAGGATAACCCCGGCTGTGGCACCCGGCACCATCTGTGCCATCTAAGACCCTACACAGGGCTCTGCATGTGGGTGGCAAACCTGGGGACTGTGAGGTTTCTGGCAAAATAATGCTGGCATGCTGTGGTGGGCGTGTCCTGCTCAGATAACGTGAATCTATTCCGCTTTGCTTCCAGAGCTCCTGAAATCAAGAGTGGCAATGATAAGCTTGGAAGCAACACTAACCCCGTGCACATGCTCTCCATCCTCCCACCCCATCACTGGACACCACCTATAACCTGAAGTGGGCTGACACCCTGAAAACCACGTCCATGCACCTTGGTTTTGCCCACGGTGACCAGGTAGGAGGGAACTTGAGTTTTACATTCTTCTAGGGTTTTCTCTTTCTGGAGCATTGCATATCGTTTTTAGAGGAAAATAACAAAAATGGAATCCTTGAAAGTCACTGGGGCCTCTTAGCCCCAACTAATTAAGAGGCAGGTTAGACGGCGCTCCGATGCAAGGTAACTTCTCATCTGGCATTTAAGACACTCACCCCATCCCTGTGGGCCTCGGTTTAGCCACCTACAGAGGGGATATGAGTAATAATTATCTCCTTTGGAGAGCTGCTGTGAGGGTTAATTAACTCGTGCCTGGAACTGCTTGGAGCTGCTGGTGGCCGGGGTTTGGAGGGTGTGAACGTCACCATCCAGAGTGCTGTTCTCAGAGGAGCCGTCACCTGCCTGCTGTCAAGAGGGCCTCTTGTGTCCCCAGCTAATTGGGACCTGGGACAAGCCACAGGGCTTCTGCAGGCCTCGGATGTCCTCCCCAGTAAAGGTTCAGAACTGACAGCCTGGAAGATCATGTCCAGCTCTAAGGCTTTGTGGAGGTGATGCTGAGAGAGGCCGTTTGCATCGTGGGTTCATTTGCTTCTTGACAATTTTGGGTCCCTGCTGAAGTGACTTTAGAGCAGGGAGAGCCGTTCATCTCAAACTTCCCCGCAACCCATCAGAGACATGGGGCGGCAGAGGCAGCTCTGACCGGCCCAGGCACTGGAGCAAACCCAGATGGGAAGACCTGGGCAGGCAACGCCAGGACCTGGTTCCAATTCAGCCCGAGGACCCACGGGACCCTCTCCTTGTCACCGCCGATGTTCTCTGCTTCTCCTTGCACTGGCTTTCTAAGAAATCAGACACAGTAACACAAGACAGAGTCCTCAGAGGGTTTGAAAAATGGAGAGACACTGACACAGCTGCAAGGAGGCAAAGGTGACATTTTGTAAAGAATGACGGCAGGGATGGTGTGGGGGCAATCCCCAAATTAAAGAGACCATGTGGCCGGGTGCTGTGGCTCACGCCTGTAATCCCAGCACTTTGGGAGGCTGAGGTGGGCGGATCACTTGAGGTCAGAAGTTCGAGAGCGGCCTGGCCAACATGGCAAAATCCCGTCTCTACTAAAGACACAAAAATTGGCCAGGTATGGTGGCGGGCGCCTGTAGTCCCAGCTACTCGAGAGGCTGAGGCAGGAGAATCGCTTAAACCCAGGAGGTGGAGGTTGCACTGAGCCGAGACTGCACCACTACACTCCAGCCTGGGCAACAGAGAGAGACTCTGCCTCAGTAAATAAATAAATAAATAAATAGACCATATGACCCAGTGGGACAGCCCAGGAGTGGTGCATTCCACGGGTGGAATCTGAGAGCTTGGGTGCTGGATGGGGCCTTGGCCAGAGAAGCCTCACCCTGGACTGGTAGAGGCCTTACTCAAGGTCACCTGGCCAATGGAAAGCAGGGGCCGGGTGTACTTTTCCCAAAACCTCCGACTCCTGGGCCAGGGCCTTCCTACCATCTTAAGCACCGCCTGCTGGGAAGCTGGGTCTCCAAGGGCCAGTTCCATCTGCTCCGAAACAGCATGCACTCTGGAGAGAGTGCTGCAGACCTTCCGAGCGCTGGGCGTGTTGCCAACAGAACTGCAGCCCTCAGCAACCTTTGGGTGAAAGGAGAACTTTCTGGAACCTCAGCAAGGCTCAATTTCCCCCTCAGCTCTGTGTGTGGGGAGAACTGAGTAATTTCACTGATAAACCCTGGAGTCACCGCTCACACTTAATGAGCTGCCATCTCCCCGGCTAATGACGCCGCCGGAGTTTGCTCTGAGATGGCGTTCCTTCCACCGGGAAATGGGCGGCTCTTGAAACACAGATCCTCACTCAGGCAGGGGAGGGACAGACAGTCCTGAGAATTCAAGTGAAGACAGAGAAGTTGGAGTTGAGAAAACACCGCCTCCCATAATGACACAAGGCTTACGGGCTCAGGTGCTCAGGAGGCCCCATGGAGCAGGCCGGGCAGCACCATTTCACAGGGAGGAAACTGAGCTCTGACCCACAGAGCTACATCACTGTTTGATTGATTGATTGATTGACTGACTGATTGATTGATTGAAACAGGGTCTTGCTCTGCCACCCAGGCTGGAGTGCAGTGGTGCGATCTTGACTCACTGCAACCTCCACCTCCTGGGCTCAAGTGATCCCCCCTTGAGTGGCTGGGAACACAGGCACACATCACCATGCCTGGCTAATTTTTGTACTTTTTGTAGAGACAGGGTCTTGCTATAATGCCCAGACTGGTCTCAGACTCCTGGGCTCAAGTGATCCGCTGCCTTGGCCTCCCAGAGTACTGGGATTACAGGCATGAGCCACCACACACAGCCCCATGGCACTACCTTAAATGAGCTTGTAGCGGGCTTGCATGGTAGAAGGTATTTCAGGACTGAGAATAGAACCCGTAGAGTACACAGGAAAATACGCTTTCTCCCTGGGGCCTTGGCCTGAAGCATCCTCCTCCCCCCTCCCCACTATTTTATCGCCCTGTAGCCCTGAAAGTTACCACATCGTTATTTTATGTCGTTTGCATTTTTAAAAAATCTGGGCATTTCTCCATCAGCTGGGAAGGACACTGGTGTTGAGGTTGATGTCCCTATCAAGGACGATAACCGCCAAAGCTTCCAGTGCTTTGACAAAACCTCAGATGCGTGGCCTTCTGGCCAACGTCTGCAATTTCCCGTACTGAGCATTCACTGTCTCTCTGGGGGCTGCAGCTCTCTGTAAGTCTGCTGTGGCTGAACCAAGAAAGAGTCATTCGCAGATTTCTACAGCAATTAGGATTCCGTGAAGGATTTTGAGGAGATGAGGAAGGCTGGTATCTTTCAGAGTGCAAGGTGATTTTGGAATATAGATAATCTTCTTGGGTTGACCTAAAAGTTTGTCGCTGACCTATGTTCCTGAACTATGAAACATGAATATGTGAGTTAAGAAATAGTTTCTCTTGAGAAATAAACAACTGGCAAATACTTTGGACAGGAAGGTCTCTGCTAAATTATTCTTACTGATAATTCAAGACACTTACTTGTATCAGAATTGGTTTGGGATTTTTAACTGTGCTTATGAAGACTATGAGGCTAACAGAAAAATATCTGGGGTAAAAATATACCCCTGAAAAATCTGGGGTAAACAAACAAAACCAAAAACAAACCTTGTGAATTCAGGATCATAGAGTCTGACCAGGCTCAAATGATTTTTTTAAAACCTGTATTATTAAATACAGTGTCTTCTTTCTCAAAAACCTAATGAAAAACAGGCAAACACAGACAAAAACAGAGAAGCAAAGCACTGCTCAGTAAGGGTGCTCAGAGCACCCTGCTTCAGGCATGTGTGGAGAGGGACCTCCAGGGCTCCCGCCAGTGTGGCCTCACTACTCAGGAGCAAGAAGAGAGGGTCTCAGGTCACACTCTGCAAAGGGCCTGGGTCAGAGGACAGCACCCCCGCCCCCTGACGCTGCAGGAGGGTGAGTCCAGGGGGGCCTCACCAGCTTGAATTCAGACCCCGGACTTCAGCCAGGGACATGGACCCCTCTCCTCCATCTTCTCATCTGTAAAACGGGGCCATGCCCGTGACCTTCCTCGCGGGACAGCTGTGAGGTTCAAATGGACGATACGGTTGGGACACATGCCGCCAATATTGTGACTGCTCTCAATGGAGTCGTGAAGCCTGCTTTCCCACCCATTCCCCTCTGTGCGCACCCATGGGCTCTAGGGACCCGCTGACCCCAGCAGGAAGGAGCCCCGAGGTGGAGGCCAGGAGGAATCCACAGGCCAGTCCCAGGCAGAGGCCCAGCAGCAGCTGGTGTCCTGGGGCCGGCCTGGGGTCTGCCACAGGCATGGATGGCACAGAGGCTGAGGGCTGGCCCAGACACAGCTCGAAGGCAGGGGCAACGGAGAAGCAGGCCTCAGCTGTTGGAAATGGACATAAAGCAAAGAGGAGATGCTTTGTAGGGGTGAGGAGTCCCCAGCAGACCACCACATACCCACCGCTTCCAGGCTGCCCAGCTGCAGCCCAGGGGCTCTTCCAGGTGGGGTGGAAGTTGGGCTGGATGAGGCACCTGTGGGTAGGCGGGAGGGCTTCAGAGTGATGCCCTGACCCAGCATCACAGGCAACACCGGAGTTTTTTAGAAATCCGGAATCCCAGGCCTGGCCCCAGGTGACTCGCATACACATCTGAGCAGTACAGGCTTGCCCTGTGCCCACCAGCCGCCCAAGGGACAGGCCCCACCAGACCGGCAGCTCAGCCTCTTCCGCCTTTCAGGGGTGGGTTCTGGCACTGACAGACCCTGGAACCCCATTCTCTCCTTCAGGGCTCCTGTGGAGGGCTCCAAGGCACCCCAACTCTCACATGCAAAAAAAATGACCCAGCCTGGGCCCGTCTGGAGGCACTGGCCAGAACCCCAGAAGGAAATCTCCTTCCCTCCTTGGGCAGGCCTTACAGTGCCCCACCCCCACCGCCACCTCACCTGCCCAGTCTCGCCTCTATTTCTCCCCACTCCACAGGCTGGCCGTGGGGTCTCAGGGGCCTCTGATGGGCCAGGTGTCCCCTACACCCCTCCCCCAGCTCCTTCCCCAGATTCAATCCATTCTGGAGCAGCTGTTAGGGACTTTGAAGATGCCATCCGATCCTCTCATCCTGCAACCTGAAACCCTCAGGGTCCCCCTGCTCTCAGAACAAAGCCCCCAGGCCTGGCCCGGCTGCACGGTCCCCTCCTGCCCACCCACGCTGCCCAGCACCTTCTCCAGAGCCCGGCCTTGGGGGTTCTCTAACTTGACCGTGCACAGGAGTCTGAGGACACCTGCTTTTCAGAGCCCTGGTGGGAAGCTCCTGAGTCAGGGGGCCTGGGTGGGGCCGAGAGCACATCTCTAAGGAGTTCTGGGTGACATCCTGCTGCTGGGCCACGAGCGAGGTCCCACCCCACACACCTCCCCGGCCCCTGCCCTGGCCCACGCTGAGAGCAGCGTGGTGGGTCCATCCTGTCTCCCGCCACCGAAGCATCCTCCACGCCCTTCCCGGCCACTTGCCTCTACTAGCCCCTCATGGTCATCACGGGGAGGTCACCCCGAACCCGGGCCCTTTCTGGATTAAACATCCTTAATATTGCTCCCTGAGGCCCTGCCTTGGCTGAACCTGCTCAGTGACTTAGGAGCCGATTCCATTCATTTCATTCACCCAATATACACTGGGGCAGCAGGCAGTGTACACAGGCGGTGCTCAGAAAACCGCTGGGTGAACAAATCGCTGACCTGGCCAAGCTGTAAGCCAGACTTCCTGGTCCAGTGCGTACCAGCTCTGAGGCTCCTGGGGCACACCTTCCTGAAGTCCTCCTACCTCAGTTTCCCCTTCTGCAGCAGTACCCGTTGTAACAAGCGGGGAGATTCAAGTCAGGTGCTCAAACAGTTCAGAAAGCAATGCTCAGCATGGGCTGGCAGCCACCAGGAGGGTCTTCCAGCTGCGCCGCAAGGCGGAAACAACAGGCCTGGCCTGCTGCTCCCAGCTGTGTGACCTTAGGCAAGTCACTCAACCTCTCTGGGCTTCAGTTTCCCCATCTGTAAAGTGGGGAGGCAAACCCCAAGGAAATCTACCAGGACCATCTTTTCTGTGGCACTGTGCTAGCACAGGACTCAACTGCTTATCAGTCCCTGTTTGCCCATCGCTGGGAGGGGGACCCTGAGGCCAAGGACATAGAAAGCACCCCCTCTGACTTTGCCTATAGCTCTGCAGCATGAGGCATTCCACCCACCTGTGCAGAAGTGAACGGGGCCAGAGAGCAGAGACCGCCAACAGGCAGGGAGGGCTTCCTCCATCACCAGCCCTCCTCCCAGCCAAGCCCTTCCCTTCCCAGGCCGAGGGCGCCATCTGCTGGGGACATGGGGCTCAGCGCCCCGGTTCATCCCTTCGCTTGGTTTCCACCTGGGTCCAGGGCCCCACGCGGAGGGCTGCAGCTTTACAGGCCCCTATTCAGTCCCTGGGGTCCCCTCACCCTGACTGCCTCCCCACGTCTAGGACCGACCTCTGGAAATCAACTTTGACCCCAAGGACCCTGGGGGTGGCCCAGAGAGGATGCCACAGGGAAAGTATGAAATGCTGGGTGCTAGCTCCGGAATCTTCTCTTTTCACTGGTGCCATTTGAACTCGGTGGCTTGTCGAGTGAGACAGGTCTGAGACTCGCACCGAGGTACTTCTGGATGCAAAGTCCAGGCCCTTCCTCCAAGGTGCTCCTTGCTGGTGCCAAGGGAGTGAGCCCTCAGCACCCCTGGCTCATGCTCTCCCGACAGAGCCTTCGCCCCTCGGTGCCCTCTGCCCGGGCTTCTGTCCCCTGCCTGCCCTCTGCCCAGCTTTTCTGTCCTGTCCTTCCTTCGGTGTGGAGGAACGGGGGCTATTGGAGCCCTGGCTGGCTGTCCTAGCAGGGAGCTGTTCTGTCTCCTCCAGTTCGGAGGCCTCTGTGGTTTGGGAGTTAAGACTTCAGGCCACGTGGTCCAGGGAGACTTTTCCCTTGTCTGGGGGTGGGGCCCGCACAGGCCCAGGTCTGTGTCTGCGGATCGGCTGATGCTCCATGTCATGCTCCCTGGCCAGCCACAGCAGAACAGCATATGGCCCCTCACACCTGACAGACTCCTGGCTCTAGGCACCAGCCACCAAGGAGCTCTAATAAGGAACGCTTTGAGCCTCAAGGCTGCTGATGGAGAAACTGCAGAAAATGCCTGGTCTCACTCCAAGAACAGCAGGAGGGGCCGGAACTGGAACAGGGGCAGTGAGGGCCAGGCCCCACATGCATCTGCAGGGTCCAGGACTGAGCTTTCTGCAGGTGACCTGCTGCTGGAGGCAGGTGCCAGTGTGAGCTTTCTGCAGGTGACCTGCTGCTGGGGGCAGGTGCCAGTGGCTGGACGTGCAGGCTGGAAGCAGCCTCAGTGGTCAGCCTGGACCAGCGCTCTGGGTTTGGTTCCTCCCACTGGCGAGAGGGGGACAGGCACCTAAGCCCTGTTAGCACTGCTAACACTAAGCTGCCCATCCCACGTGGGAGGCTGGGGATCCCTACAACCGCCAGGTCCCCTGCCCACAGAGGCCTCGACGGCTGCCCATTCATGGCCCTCTTCACACTCCTGAGGCCATTCCTAAACCTGACAGGTAGCAAAGTGCACAGCCACTGGGATGCCTGAGCCAGGTTTTAGGAGAGCCACCAAAGCCATCTGGCCGAGTGCTCGATAAATACATCAATACACTCTTTCCCTCTTTTATTTATTTTATTTTATTTATTTATGTATTTATTTTTGAGATGGAGTTTCTCGTCACCCAGGCTGGAGTGCAGTGGCGTGATCTCAGCTCACTGCAACCTCCGCCTCCCAGGTTCAAGCGATTCTCCTGCCTCAGCCTCCCGAGTAGCTGGGATTACAGGGGTGGCTGCTGCCACGCCCAGCTGATTGTATATTTTTAGTAGAGATGGGGTTTCATCATGTTGGTCAGGCTGGTCTCGAACTCCTAACCTCGTGATCCAGCCGCTTCAGCCTCCCGAAGTGCTGGGATTACAGGAGTGAGCCTCCGTGCCCAGCCTACAATTGCCCATTTTCAAGTGTACAATTCAGTGGCATTCCCAATGTTGTGCAGCCACTACCTCTATCTACTTCCAGAACTTTTTCATCACCCCAAAAAGAGACCCTGGATGGGTGTGGTGGCTCACACCTGTAATCCCAGCACTTTGGGAGGCCGAGGTGGGTGGATCACCTGAGGTCAGGAGTTCGAGACCAGCCTGGCCAACATGGTGAAACCCCATCTCTACTAAAAAAAAAAAAATACAAAATTAGCCGAGTGTCGTGGCAGGTACCTGTAATCCCAGCTACTTGGGAGTCTGAGGCAGGAGAATCACTTGAACCCAGGAGGCAGAGGTTGCAGTGAGCCGAGATCGCACCACTGCACTCCAGACTGGGCGACAAGGGCTAAACTCCATCTCAAAAAAAACCAAAAAGGAGACCCCATGCCCATGAGCAGTCACTCCTCTTCTTCCTCCTCCCAGCCCCTGGCAGCACCAGTCTGCTTTCCGACCCTATGGACTGGCCTGTTCTGGGCATCCCATACGAATGGACTCATACACTGTGGCCTCTGCAGACTGGCTTCTGTCACTCAGCGTCACGTTTTCATGGTTGATCCATGCTGCACCATGGATCTGCACTTCACTCCTTTTTATGGCTGAGTAATATTCCACGGCATGGAGAGGCCACATGTTGTTTCTCCATTATCAGTTGACAGACACATGAGGTGTTTCCACCTTTTGGCTGCTATGCATAATGCTGTTATGAACATCTGGGCACACGTTCCCTTAACTTGTCCTAAGGTCAGATTGACTGGGGACGCTTAATTATATACAGTAAAATCTACTCTTCCTAAGTGGATGTTGCGCTGACTCAATGGCCTAGCATCACTGTTTTCAATCTTCCCCCACCCCCAACCCTAGTGATGGGGACACCAGGGCCCGGAGAGGCCAAGTAGTTGGCCTGGGGTCCCCCACCTGTAGGCTCCCATTCCGTCAACTCCCAGCCAGTCACGGCTTCAATTCTTCCCTGAGAACAAGTAGGGCCCCCATGGGCTGGGCACAGTGGCTCACGCCTGTAATCCCAGCACTGTGGGAGGCCGAGGCGGGCAGATCACCTGAGGTCGGGAGTTTGAGGCCAGCCTGATAAACATGGAGAAATCCTGTCTCTACTAAAAATACAAAGTTAGCCGGGCATAATAGTGCATGCCTGTAATCCCAGCTACTCGGGAGGCTGTGGCAGGAGAATTACTTGAACCTGGGAGACAGAGGTTGCAGTGAGCAGAGATCATGTCATTGCACTCCAGCCTGGGCAACAAGAGTGAAACTCCGTCAAAAAAAAAAAAAAAAAAGAAAAGAGAAGAAAACAAGCAAGCAAGCAAGCAAGCAAACAAGCAAGAAGTAGGGCCCCCTTGCAAGGACAGCTTCAGGTTCTCTTTTCTCCTGTGGGTCCCCTCACCAAGCCCCCAGCACTGCCAGGGGCTGTCCACAGTCAGCCCAGGCTCCCCGCACACCCGTGGCTTCTCCAGAAAGGGCCAGCTCTGAGCACGGCTCCACCCCTCCCACTGCCTGGGCCTGAGGGACCCCAGGCACCATCCCACAGACATTCAGAAGGTTTAGGAGAATGCCACCTATGGCCGAAGGGTGACATGTAGAAAGATCTCACCAAAACCAGACCGTTTTCCAGGAAAATAGAAACTGTCAGCATTCACCCAATAAGTAGAAACAAAACCAGATCTCGAATCAGGGCAGAAACAGAAGAAAGTTGCCCAAAGAATCACTCCAGGGATGGCAAAGGCCCCGACACCTCTGCGGGCCTGAGGCTCCTTCAGACATGGAAAAACGGATCGTCCCACGCGCATAGCCCTTGCAGAGCACGGCCAAAGACAGGGGCCCCTATCCGCTCCACGCTAGGAAGTGTGCAGCCCAAACTCAGACATCCAAAGCGGAGCCTGTTAGAAAAGGGAGCCTAGGCTTCCTCGGGCCTGCGTGTGCACCCAGCTAATGGCGGCCGCATGGTGACGATGATGGGAACGCAGGATACGGGTCTGGGGCCATCTGCCCTCAGGCTGGCGGCACCATGCCCTGTAGTGCACAGGAGGCAGCCTCCACCAGAGGGAAGGGGTGACACAGTGGTTTGGAAGGGGAACCCTTGCAGAAAGGCGTCCTGCAGACGCTGGCCTGGCCACGTAGCCCCCGAAGGCACTCCTGAGGTGCCCTGACCCCAGCCCTGGGGTCTCCGGCTGCTACCCTTAGAACAGGGTGCATCTTAACCAGAATGTGACCCATTGCTTCACCAAGAAACCATCACAGCCCGACTGGAGCTCCCCCATCCCATCTCTCCCTCCAGGCGGCACTGCTCTCCCCACTTCCCCTCTGTCACAGGCTCCCAAGACAGGGTGAAAAGTGGCAGAGGTGGTGGGTCATGGCACCTGATCACAGGCCCCTGGTGTCTCTGAGCCTATGTCCAGCTTTAAGCTCCTGTACATACGGCCCTGACTGCCTCTGACTCTCAGTACACGCTGCGAAGCAGCAGGAAAGCCAGCGTGGGCTGCAAAGGCCTCACCAGTGCTATCACTCCCGCACTTTGGCAGATGATTCGGGCTTTGGGGATGCCTCTCCTTTCACCCCCAAAAGTCCTACTGCTGACTCCAAGAACCACATTCATACTTCCCCACCAGTTCCCAAGCCCTGATCTTCCTGTACCAGATTCTGAATATATATCTGCATCCCACAGAAACCCCAAGGAGCTGACTGAGAGGAAGATGAGCCATTCATGTGAGCAGAGATGTCAAACAGGCAGGAGCGCGGGGAAGAGGGGCAGGGGAGGAAGAGGCTGGGAGAGAGGGTGGGCTTCAGCCAGTCACCCTGGTGGGCAACTGGAACTCGATCCTGCTTGGGGGCTCTGGGACCCACCGTGAGAGACATGCTTCCGTGGTCCACCTACAGGAGGGATCTGGGATATTTATACACCAATTCCCACAGACACTAGTAAAGGGCTCCTCCCCGGGGCATTCACCTCCCGGTACTTCTGGCCTCCCTGAGGCCAGGTGGGCTGCTGGGCCACAGAAAGCACCTAGAAAAAGAGATCCTTTTGGGGACAGGGCCTGATGGCATTCGCTCTGCCTCAGTGAGACGGGGGAGATTAGCACCAGTAAAGAAAGGAAGAAATGCTGGTTCAGCTGGCACAGAGGAGGCAGGTATGTGAAGCCAGGTCTGTGTGCCTGCACCGGGTGCCTTCTTTCCATGTCCGCCTGCCTCTGTCTAGCCTGGGATGGATGGGCTGCCGGAGGAGCCAGACAGGCACATTTAGAAACTGCTCTTTCCCGAGTGGATGGCGAGACCTCATAAGGAACCTCTCCCACCCCGGAAACACCCAGGGCGACATTCTCTCCAGCTGGCGGGAGCTGGGCTTCTGAGGATTATTAAATGGATTTTTCCTCCCTCTCGTGTGTGTTTCCTTCAAGGCCGCACGCAGGACAGAGCATTAACAAAGCAGCCAGCCCAGGGCAACATCAATCCAACAAATACAACAGCCCGAGAGCTTTGATTTAATAAAATCGGCCCCCACTGGGCTGCTTTAATTGTTTCCAGATTCTGAAAACACTGGAAAAGAGGATGCAAATGGAAAAATCTACCTCTGGCTACCGAAGCATCCCAGGCTTGCTGTGCCGAATGTCTACAGGGGCTGTGTCCTCGGAGAGTCACCCAAGCAGACGGAGTGGAGCCTTGGATGTCGCTGGGACAAATGTCCAGGAGAAGAAGGACACCAAGAAGGAGACTCTCTCTATCCATCAGACAGGGAGAGCAGCAGGTCACTGGGATCATCACCTGGGCCTCAACAGAGAGGCATGTGCTGGGAGCCTGGGTGGTTCTGTTTTGTCCCCAGAGACCGCAGAGTTGTGCTGTGGCAGGTGGGAGCCCCAGGATCTGCTCAGGAAGCCGATGGCCCGGGGAGGTTACCACTGAGCGTCTGTCCAGTCCCTTCTGGCCAGTGTGACCCCAGAGGAGTGAAGCCACGCTAGGCTCCACAGCAGAAGGTAACATAGCCGCATGGAAGGAGGAGCATGGGGTGGAGTCCAGCAGACTTGGATTTGAATCCTAGCTACCAACAGTGTGGCCTCAGGCACATCACTCACCTTCTCTCAGCCTCAGTCTTCAAACCTGCAACACGGGCTCACTATGCAAACCACAAAAGCCCTCCAAAGCGTCCACAGAACGCAGCTACATGTCGGCGCTGCCTCGGGTGCTGCTTGGTCATCAACATGGCGTGTGTGTAGGGCACAGGCATCCCACCTACGGTGCCACCTCTCTCGACAGGGCCTGGTGCTGCCCCAGGGGAGGAGCCCAGAGACCCCAGCAGACCTGCTGCAGAGTGCCAGGTGCAAGGGCGTCTGGTGCAGCTCCTCTTTGGGGACACTGGGAGCCCCTTCCCCATGGCTTGGGCTTCAAGGTGGGCACTGAAGGCTGGACAGAGGGGCTTCGGGGGCCAGGGGAGGGGCCGGGCATGCAGAGCACGGGAGGCAGCACCGGGGAGTCAGGAGTCTCCTGTTCTGTCCTGGGTCCCCAGCCCCACAGGCCATTTGCACTGTGTTTGTAAGAATTTCCCTAACAGGAAAGAGTGTTTTGTTACCTCCGTAGAACACAAGGGTGAGAACACTCACACACACACACACACACACTCACACACCCACACACTCATGCTAACAGGCGTATTCCCACCCTGCGCTGACGCAGATGACAGCCTGCCACGGTCTGTATGTTACAAGTCAATTACGCTCGCCTCCCAGCCTGCCTCTGATGCTGCTGGGGAGGTCATCTCACCATCTTGGGACACAGGGGAAGGACGTGGGATGCTCCCCCAGGAAGGGCCTGGCAGCCCTCAGGAGGCCACCTCCCGTCAATCAAAGGAGTAAATTGGAGGTGGGGGTGGCTCATTTATTTTCATCTCTCCATATTAGATGGCATGGTAATAAAAGAAAAAAACAGTATGGTTCTTGAGTGGCCTCGGGCAAGTTTCTGAATGGCATTGATGCTCGGTTTGTCCATCTGTAAAATGCAGGGCATGCCCACCCCAGGGTCACTGTCCAGGAAGCCCTTGACTCAGAAGACATCACAGATCCATCCTTTCCTCCCTCCTGGCATTTTCTGCAGCCTCCCCCTCCCCTGTCATTAAAATCAGAACCTGTTAGAAGGCAGGGGCAAGCCTAGCCCCCTGGTCCCCCCTCAAGTAGAAATGGGTCCCATCCTTCAGGGCCTGTGTCTGAGCAGCTTTGAGTGTGGAGAGAGCACGGGGGTCCCAAAGTCCACCTGGAAGGTGGTGGCTCACAGGTTCTTACCCAGGAGGCTGGGCACAGAGGGAACCAATGCCCCCCGAGGAAGGCAGAGGGTGTCTGGACAGCTGCACCCCTCCTGCTGAGGCTGTGCTGGCAGGTGAATTGTCCAGGCCCTTGGGGGGCTCCAGGGGCAGCTACACGCCGGGATCATGGCAGCAGCAGTGCCCCAGGCCAGCCTCACAGGCCTCACACCTGTCCTTATGGCCAGACAGGGTTTAATCAGACACCTGAACGAGGATGAAGGTGCCTTTTGGTCTACATGGCTCGCAGCCCAAAGCCAGCACCCCTGACTGGCAACCCCCCTCCCCACTCATAGAAGAGTGATAGCAAACTAGGACCCACACCTGGGGCAGGGGCCAGACGGGGAAGGGGAGTGACCTGAGTGCACGATGCAGAGGGGATCACTGGGGGGCTCGGCGCGGTCACTCAGTGGGGACCTGGCAGTGTTTGTACTGTGACCATTATCATTATCAGGAGGAGGACTGCGGGGGGAGTACAGCTGTGCGATGCTGTGTGTGAAATTATGCTTCTGCACCAGCGGCCTATAGAACCCTTGTGCCACACCTTGTGCCAGTACCAGGGCCTCAGAGAGTAGACGAGCTGTGGCCCCTTCCCTGGGCCCCAAGCAATCCCCCCAAGGCAGCAGGATAGACAGCACTGTGTCACGAAATACAGAGGCATCACAGCAGACCGCTCAGCAGTGGGCATAGTGAACCCCACCTCCTTACCAACCGTGACAAAGCCTGGCAGCCTCTGGGCAGTGCCAGGCAGTGACTTGAGCTCTTGACAAGTATCACTAAGTTAATCCTGGCCACAACCCTCTGAAGTGGGCACTGCTATTAGCCCCATCTCCCAGATGAAGAAACTGAGGTTCAGAGAGGCCACTTAGCTGGGGCCGACGGTTAGTCTGTGGCAGAGCTGGGGTTTGAATCTGGCATCTGGTTCCATGGCTCATGTTTAACCACGACACTATGCTGCCTCCTATACAGTAAGAGCATATCGATACAGTGCCCTGGTTGTTTGAGGAGGGTTTGCCTGCAGTGGGTTTTGAAGGATGAATAGGAGTTGTCTGAGCAAAGGAAACAACCCAGGGGTCAGGGAAAGCTTGGATGTGTTCAAGAGAATGAAGAAAAGTGAGTATAGCTGGGAACAAGGGCAGGTCAATCCCTGGCACATAGCAGGTGCTCAATAAAATACTTGTTGCAGCAGGTGCTGGGGGAGAGCAGCTAGATGCAAGCTCGCAGGGGGTGGCTAAGGAGCGTGACGTGACTGTCCTTTAACCCACCTGTACATGCGTGCGCACATAGGCACCTCCCCATTCCCCCACCCCCCACGGTCACTGCCCTCCTTTCCTTCCTGCCAGCCCCTCCATGCCAGGTATCCTTGGGAAGTCACCGAGGGGGTGATGGAGAAAAGAGGAGACTCAGGAAGGCAGGGACAAGGCAGGGGTGGAAAAGCTGGTCCACTTTGCTTCTGGGTTTTTATGGTTTCGGAAAATATGCCAGGGGCAGGGGAGGTTAGCTATCCACTGCCACCCCCACTTCCTGGGCACCCCGATGGGGAGGGGGCCGAGGATGTGGCTCGGCCTCAGGCGAGGGGCGGGAGTCTCAGGGGAGGCCAGCCCAGGCAGCCACCGCCGCTGCTCCGATAGCCTTCAGCCCTGACCTCATTTCCCACCAAGGCTCGTGCAATTTCTTCCAATTTTCCACATAATTAGCTGAGCGGGAGACGCATCCCCTGCTCTAGAGGCCCAGCCTCCCGGGCAGGAAGGAGCCAGCCGTCTCGGAGCCCAAGGGCCTGTGGCTGAGAGCAGAGCCATCCCCCTGCAGGCTCCCTCCTGTCCCCGCGCTGAGCAGGCACCAGATGTCCAGAAATGGGGGACCAAGGGGGAGAGGGCAGGAGCACAGGACGTGGAGGTCGGTTTCCACTCCCCACCAGCTGGTTGTGTGGCTCCAGTCCTCAGCCTCTCAGGCCTCAACACACAGGTCACATAAGATCAGTACCTGCAAGAGTCCACTAGAGCCCTGTCTCTGCCCACCCCTCCCAGCCCCAGCATACCCCCAGCAAACAGCCACCCCTCCTTCATGCTGCCCTCACCTTTTCTGGCAGGCCCCAAACCACCCCTTCCCTCCCTGGAGAGGTAGGGGGTAAAAGGACTAGGAAGGGGCATCTAGGAGGCCCACAGCTCAGCTCTGCACCAGATCCATCCCTTGTCTGCTGGGTGACAGGCAGTGTTGGAGACCCATCAGCCTCAGCCTTGCCCTCTGTGAAGTGGGCACAACAGAAGCTACCTCAAAGTTGGGAAGAAACAGGTCCTTGTGCCGGAGACCCTCGGTGCCAGCCCTGCTCCCTGCCTGGCAGACGGTGCCATCCCTGTCCAGTTAGAGGGAGGCCTCGGGATGCTTCTGGAATGCTTGCCATTGGCAATCTCCAATTTGGCTCAACAGAAGCAGGGAGGGAATTCACTCCTCGGGCCTCAGTTTCTCTAACTGAGCAATCAAGCTCGCTCATTGCTAGAGTTTTCCTAGAGAGAGAGGACGCATGCCCAGCAGTCTCGCCCGGAGCTGGAAGGGGGCACTACGGCCCCCAAGGTGCCCAGAAACAGGGACAAGTTTGCCCTTCCTGGGGAGGGAGGCCCCTGTCAGATGGGTGGGGTGGGGCGCTCCCCCACCTCCCTGGGGAGCCTCGGGCTCCTTGGAACGGCCTTCCCATGACAGCATGAGCGATTCCCTTCCTCACTCCAGAGCCCAGCGCCGCGGCCTGAAATCCATCATTCCACTTTGTCTGTCCAAGGACCCGCAGGCCACCCAGCCACTCTTACAGGGACTACAGCAAACATTCTCGGGCAGAACCAGGCACAGCGGACCCAGAAAATGTCAAGGCCAGAGACTGCAGAGACCCAGGCTCACCCAGCCCTGTGACCGTGGACCTGGGACCTCACCTGCCCTGGCCCTGGGCTGCTCATCAGGAAAATTCAATCATCTACGTCACACAAGCCTGGACCCCGGCGATGCATGGGATGTTCGGGCACCCCAGGTCCTGAGCACAGCAGAGAGCCCCCCAATGGCCTGATCAAAACATTCCTCCCTCATGAAAACCAGAACCTGCCCCAAACACATGGTCTTTCAGTGCCTGCTCCCAGCAATAGCAGGGTAGGCATCAGCCTCTGGAGTCAGCTGATTTGGAGGCAATCAGGGAAGGCTTCCTGAAGGAGGTTATGCCCGAGATGAGGAGTTTGACCAGGGGACAAAGGAGGGGTCTGCCCAGTTATGAGATATAGTCCGGACATATTCTAGAAAAGGCCAGGAATTGGCCTGAACTGGGGCAACGATGTCAGCAGTGAGGTCCACAGGGTGCATTAGCGCGGGTCTGGGGCGGTCGAGACTCAACAGGGGGAGGACAGCAACTCTGAGCAATCAGCCTTCCTTAGCAGCAGTCATGTCTGCCTCCACCCAGCGGAGGTGGCCGCCAACTCCTTTCTGTTCCGTTTATGAAACTGGCTTGCAGGCAGGCAGTCAGGATTGGTGACAAGCTCTCCCTTTGCAAACAGGCTGGTCTCAGCGTCCTGTCCACACTCCAGGCCTTTACCCGCAGGCCCTCATTCTAATTCTGCTACTTGTTTGCCCTTAAGAATAACAAAATTATATTCCCCCTTGCAACTCTCCCAACTCACCAATGCAGGGAAGCGGCCCCCGCCATTGCAGTGATAAGAGTGCGCGTTTACTGCGTACTTACAACATGCCAGACGCTGCTCCGGGTGTCACAGTGGTGCCTGCTCGTTTACTCTTCACCGCAGCTCTCTCAGGCTGTCGTGATGTGACTGTCCCATTTCTCAGAGGAGAAAACTGAGGCACGGAGAGGCCAAGTCACCTGCCTGGCCTCACACAGCTTGGAAGTAGGGGAACCCCTGTAAGGACCCAGGGCGTCTGATCTCCAAATGCGAGGACTCAGCCCAACCCCCTCACCCCTCCCGGTCCTGGTTACCCACACTCTACACACACCTGACACCAGGGGTCTCCACAGGGGACGGGCCAATTTCACATCGTTTTCCTGACTCTACACACACTGGGACACCAGCAGCTGGGAAGTCGAGCAGGGAGAGAGGGCTTGAGCTGCGACAAGCACCAGGGACTGCCCACCCGACGCCGTCCACAGGGGGATCTCATGCGAGCTCAGAGTCCGAGCAGCCACCCCCGGCCCTGGCCCCTTCCTCTCGTCCCTGGGGGTCCTCTGCTGTTGATTCTTAGACCTCAGTTCCAGGTCTTCAGCGAGTGGCAGGTGCAGAGGAGAGTCGGCCGAGGAGGGAGGCGGTGATGCTGGGGGAATCAATGTGAAATCAAGACTGGGCCCGGAAACCTCAGGGGCTCCCCGGAGTTGAGGCGTGGAACCCCCACAACAGCCTGCCCAGCGTGAGGCCAGGGCTCCCCTCTACCTCACCCGGTCCCCCAAGCCCATCTGAGACGGGGTCCTCCGCAGGGTCTCCCTCCTTGTGCTATTAAGCTAGGGATGTGGGACAGATACCACATTCCACACCAGGGACGTGATATTCCACCCCACGGGTCAAGGGCCCCTCTACCCCAACATGAAACCTCAGGCCCTCTGAGAGGGGCCCACTCCAAGCTCCAGCTGCCCCCCACCCTCCCACAACAGGTTGTGCCCCATAATCCCTAACTGCTAACCTCCTTGCAAGGCGCCCTACCACTTGGAATACCATTCCCCGCCTTCTGTATCTGGTAGTGCTAAGGGTCTGTGGAGCCCTCACTGGGGGAGAGAGGTCCCTGCCTCCTAGAAGCCCTCCCCGGCCCCAGGCTGGAGGGCCCGCTGTTGACTAAGCTCTGTCTGTCCACCCTGCCGACCAGCAGCTCTGTGAGGCCAGGACGGCAGAGGAGACCTGGAATGACGAATACAAAATAGAAAAAGTGGCCAGGCGTGGCAGCTTATGCCTGGAATCCCAGCACTTTGGGAGGCCGAGGAAGGCAGATGACCTGAGCTCAGGAGTTCCAGACCAGCCTGGTCAACATGGTGAAACCCTGTCTCTACTAGAAATACAAAAATTAGCTGGGTGTGGTGTCCCACACCTGTAATCCCAGCTACTTGGGAGGCTGAGGCGGGAGAATCGCTTCAACCCTGGAGGCAGAGGTTGCAGTGAGCCAAAATCACTCCATTGCACTCCAGCCTGGGCGACAAACTGAGACTCCATTTCAAAAAAAAAAAAGGAAAGAAAAAGTGGCCATTTCATCTGGTGTGAGCTGACCCTAGGTGCCCCCGAGGTAGAAGAAATTCAAGCTTTAATGCAAGAGCCAAGTCCATTTGGGCCTAGACCAGGGATTCTCAAACTGCAGCCACCGGGCCAGCAGCGCAAATACCAACTGGAAACTTGTTAGAGACGCAGATTCTGAGTGAGAAACTCCCAGTACTGCCAGCAGCCTGATTCCCCGGCTCTCTGGGGGCCTCTGATGCACACTCCAGCGTCACAATCCCTGCCCTAAAAATTGTAAATTAATAGGCTGTGTATTTCTAACAAGCCAAAAAAAAAAGGTTTGATGATCTTTGCTAAACAAGCATGATGCTAACATCATGATGATGATGATCTCAGGGAGGCCTATTCTGACCACACTCTTTGAAGCTACAACCCTCTTCCCTCCCGCACTCTCCAAGCGTGAGCTTCCTTCTTCTGGAAGCCTCTAATCACTACGCGTCGCTAATTAGCTGTCAGGAGTGCTGTAAGCGAGCCCGGCCCCCGCCCTCCCGCGATCTGTGGGATCCGTGTGTTATTTATCTATTCCTGTACTGTCTCCTTCCCTGCTAGAAGCTCAGCTCCCTAAGGGCAGGGATCTCTGTCCACTTTGTCCACTGCTCTATCCTCTGAGCCTAGAACGGGGCCTGGCATACAGTCGGTAGTCAATTAACACTGAATTGCAGAATGGAGGAACCCAGAGGCTCGCCGAGTTCTTTTCAGCTCCCATTGCAACACATTTTCCAACTGGTGCCCGCGGCAAGCTTGTGAGAGACGGAGCAAGCATCACTCCCATACCCAATTTCGGATGAGGAAACTGGGCTGTGGGGAGGATCAGAACTTGTGCAAGGTCACACATGGAGTCTCGGACTCCCACTCTGGTCTGATTGCTAAATCCAGAACCCTGTGATCTGTTGGCAAATTCAGGCTCTAGGGATCAGGCGTTCTGGCCTTGCGTCCTTCTCCTGCTGACAAGCCCACAGTCTAATGGCATGGCCAAAATGGAAACCGTTACCCTAGAAATCACCGATGTGGGGCTGGAGGAGGGAGGCCAAGGCATGCTTCCTCTGAAGTCCCGGCATGCGGCTTCAGGGCCGTGACGATGATGCCTGCCATCTGAGAGGCCCCCCGGTGCAAAGACACACAGCTAATTAGCTGTCAAAAGCGATGCAAACTCTAGCTGGCCCCCTCCCCGACAATCTCTCCCAGAATCGCCCTCTGCCACCGCGTGTCACCACATGATAAAAGGAAATATGTTCAAAGCAGAACCACTAACAAGAGACGGGGAGGCTCTGAGAGGCAGAAGGAAGCAGATTGCCTCTGACACTCTCTGAGGAAAGGGGGATAAATTAAAACCATTAAATAAATAATTTGTCATCGTCAGTTTTCAGAAAGAAGTCATTCTTGAAGAGCAGGCTTCTTGTTTGGGGCATTCCAAGCACCCGCCGGGGAGATGCCAGTGAAGTGGTTAAGAGTCTGGGCTCTGGATTCAAAACAGGCTCTGTCCTTTGCAACCTGTGTGACCTGGGGCAAGTCACCTCACCTGCTCGGCCTCAGTCTGCCCATCTGTAAAGTGGGGGAGACAAACATCCCGACATAAGGCATGGGGGAGAGCCTATGAGAAAATACACATATCTCAGGATACACACGAGGGTTTAGCCCCCCAGGGACAGCCAAAGCGGGCACCAAATCACAGGTGCTGATACGCCCCACTGCTGCCCAGCTGCAGAAACACAGGCACATTCTCAACCCCCTCAGCTTCCTTGTCTGTAGACTGGGGACGATGGCGGCTCTGGCATACAAAGTGCTTAGCGTGCACCTGAACAGCCATCCACCGTGGGATGATCTGTCCGAAAGCATCTGCTGGGCCCTGTGGACACTGCCGAAAGTCAGTGGCCTCAAGATGGTCGGGAACCCATCAATGCCCAGCCCTCTCCTGCTGGCCGCCAAGTCCCCTCTACCACACGGGGCAGCCCTCCACTCTGAGCCTGTCCTGGCCTCTCCCACGAGGCCCCCGTGGATGTGCCTCCTGTCAGTCAGAACCAGCTGGACTGCCTCGGAGATGTGCCTACCCACTCTGCGCCCTCCTCCTCTGCGGGATAAGGGGAAACATGCCAAGTGCCTACCTGGCTGAGCCCTTGCCAGAAGTCAGGCACAGCTCAAAACTGCGTGAAATTCACTGAGTCAGCAACTGCTCACTGTACAGATGGAACACTGAGGCACCGAGGCAGAGTCATACACTGAGTGAGTGGGGGCACCAGGCCTCCTGCCCCCAAGGGTAGGTATGACAGGCAAGCACACGACACTGGGTATGGTTAGGGCCAAAGCGAAGGTGTAGTCTTGAGCATGTGTTTGGAAAGCTCTGGCAAGAATGCGAGCTGGGATGCGGCAGCCCAGGGCAGAAGAAATGGCCCAGACCCTGGGCAGCCTTGGCCCTCCAGGCGGGGGTGGTAAGGGCTGATCACTTAGAGCACTGGGTGAGGCCTGGTGACCAGAGCACCCGAGAGAGGCCAGGACCCATCAGGGCCAAGCCATGGTGGAACTGAGCACCCCCAGGCTGAATGCCCCCTCCCAAGATGCCAGGCCGGGCCTTTCCAAACACATTCGCTTTCTCCCTGCAGCTAGGCCAGGGTAGGTCAACAGATGTCCTTAGCCCCCATCTGGATGCTGGCACAGAGGCCACCCATGGACTCCCTGAGCCCTCAGTGCCACGCCCCATGCGCTCATCACTGCAGATGTCATGCAGGGGTGGGGGCTCCCAGTACAGTGCAGGGGCAACAGGGAAGCAGAGAGTAGATGGTGGGCACATGGGCAGGGGAACAGCAGCTCCCTGGAGTAGGGAGCACGGGGGGCCAGAAAGGGCCCTGTGGCGTAGCCCCCATTGCCCTGGGAACAGCTCCTACCAGAGTAGTCGCTGAGTTGAAATGTTTGACCTGGCTGGGTGCGGTGGCTCATGCCTATAATCCCAGCACTTTGGGAGGCCGAGGCAGGTGGATCACCTGAGGTCAGCAGTTCGAGACTAGCCTGGCCAACATAGTGAAGCCCCGTCTCTATTAAAAATACAAAAATTAGCCAGGTGTGGTTGCGGGCACCTGTAATCCCAGCGACTTGGGACGCTGAAGCAGGAGAATCACTTGAACCCAGGAGGTAGAATTGCAGTGAGCCAAGATAGCACCACAGCACTCCAGCCTGGGCAACAGAACGAGACTCCATCTCAAAAAAAAAAAAAAAAAAAAAAGAAAAGAAAAAGAAAAAGGAAAAATAAAAAAGAAATGTTTCACCTGACAAGAGTCAAGGTCACTGAAATTAAAGCCGTGGTGTGACCCAAGACCAGAGGCAACTAGACTGTCAGGTGTCCAGGTACCATGGGAGGGCAGTGGGCTGCCGTGAGCCCCAGTCTGGAAGCGCCACCAAAGATGACCAGCACTGCTGCGGGGGGGCTGCCCATGCCCCGCAGGGCCCCCTATGTCCTGTGGGGCTCACACGGGGACACCAGCCCCCTCCTCCACTGCCTCATCTCCGTCCCTTTCTGGTAAGTGCTGGCCAGATGGAGCCCTGAGCCTTGCGGTAGGCCTCCTCCTCCAGGAAGCTGTGTCGGGCCCCGCCTCTGTGTGCTTGAGTGGTCACCATCCAGCCCTTTCTCCCTGCAGCTGGGCTGGGGTAGGTCAACAGATGTCCTCAGCCCCCATCTGGATGCTGGCACGGAGGCCACCCATGGACTCCCTGAGCCCTCAGTGCCATGCCCCATGCGCCCATCACTGCAGGATGTCGTGCAGGGGTGGGGGGTCCCAGTACAGTGCAGGAGCAACAGGGAAGCAGAGAGCAGGTGGTGGGCACACGGGCAGGGGCACAGCCCTGCCCTCGGGACTGTTACTGCTCTCAATTCCCCTCTCCTCTGCCACCTGTGTGGCCCCCATCTGGCACTGATGCTTCCACAGGGGACAAAACCCCAGCAGCAGGACAAGCAGCTCCTCCCACTAGCCCTGGGCAGCTCTGTGCAGCTGCCCACCCTCTCTGTGCCCTGGCTGCCCTGGGGCAAAACAAGCCGGCCGTGAGGGCCTCCAGCCCACACCCCGCAGGACAGCTGTGACTTCGGTCTTTATTCTGAGATCCCCTGTCTGGCTGTTTGTGGATCCTTGGCCTCTTTACACAAAAAACAAGTCTTCAGGTGCCTGGAGCCCATGGCAGGAGGGGTGGAGCACGGAGGGAAGGGGCGAGCACAGGGTGGGCCAGGGTGGAGCACAGGGTGGGCCAGGGTGGAGCACAGGGTGGGCCAGGGTGGAGCACAGGGCAGGACGGGGGCTGCACATAGTGGGGCCGTGCGGATGGGCAGCCGGGAGGCAACCGGGGTTCCTTGGAGACCAGGGGCACGAGCCCCCGCCCCTGGTGACATGATGTTACTTCTCCCTTCCACAGACGCGGTGGCCCCTGCAGAACCCTCCTCCTCCCTTGCACTGAGCCCCTATCCTGCCCGGGCAGAGGTCAAGGCCCCCTCCTCTCTCCAGGACCAAGAGGGGCCTCTGGGGAACTTCTCCCCAGCCTGGCAGCTCCTGGGGGCCTCCCAGAAGAAGCCTCCCAGAAGCTCAGCCCCCAGAGAAGAAGGGGGAGCAGTGGGCCCCTGACAGCTGAGCGATTGCCATAGCAACCACGCGGCAGGGCAGCTGGCGGGGGGAGGTTGGCAGAACAATGGGCAGAACAACGGGGAGAGGGCGAGGTCAGGCTGGGGCACGGGGACCACAAGGGGCAGAGGCTAAACCGCCACAGCTCCCTTCGCGGGCCTGACAAGCGCCAACATGACAAGCGTGTCCCTCCTGGAGGAGTGCATGGTGACCCCGCTGGGCGGTCACTGACCAGGCGGGAAGGACATCTGGGAACCCCTCCAGGCCCGACCGCTTTGACAACCCTCTCCCTCCTCCTCCCACAGGCGGAGAAGGGGCTCTCGCTGGGATTCCTGATGCCTTGGGGGGCAGAGGCGCCCTGGCACCCAGCTCCCCCTCCACCTGGAGGGCAGGCGGGAAGGGGTGGCAGGAGCAGTGGCCACGGGGCCGCAGGATGCAAGAGGGCTGAGCTTTGCTGGGTTTGCCTGCTGCTGTTTCTGCAGCTCGTGGTGGGGACCCGGTGAGAATGTGTTCAGTGGAAGAACGAAGGAATCAGTGGGCCTCGTCTCAACATCCTTTCACTGTGGCTCAGGAAGGGAGTCCCAGGGGTGCGGAGCCAGGACAGATGCTCGGCTGAGATCAAGCTCAGTCTGTGTGACTCCAGCCTCTTGTCAGCCCCTCAAGGGAACTGGGCTGCTCCCAGCGGTGCGATGGGCCAGTGGGCCATGTTTACAGTTTTGGGGGAGCTTCAGGGGACTCTCAGCCCAACTCTGTCCCTTCTGAAGATGCGTGAGGAGGCCCCTGCTGCCTGCTGGCCTTCTAGGTGCACACTCTACCCTGCCCCTCAATTGAGATCCTCACCCAACCCATCTGTAGAATGTTTTGCCCATGGGGGCACTGGGGATGGGGAAACTGAGGACCCCCAAAGTGAGTCAAGCTGCCCAAGATTACTCTGCAAAGTGAGGAACTAAGTCCAGGCCCTGAGCTCCCAATCACACCAGCCCTCCTAGGCCCCTGGAATCTCCAGGTGAGGGGCCTCAGTTTACGTGTATGTATAAACAGACATGGAGGAATGATGACAGAGCGTCCCAGATACTCAGGGAGATACTCAATCTTAGCTAGTCTCTTCTCTCCTTTTCTCTTTTTTGTTTTTGAGACAGGGTCTCACTCTATTGCCCAGGCAATGATGCCATCGCGGCTCACTACAGCCTCACTCAAAGGACTGGGCTCAAGTGATTCTCTCACCTCAGCCTCACCAGTAGCTGGGACCACAGGTGCGCACCACCACGTCCTGCCAATTTTTAAGTTTTTTGTAGAAACGGGGGTCTCACTATGTTGCCCAGGCTAGTTTTTTTCCTTTGCAATAAAGGCAGTTTATAAAATGCTTGACTAAATGTGATTTCATTTTTCATTATCTTTTAAGACTTCTGTAAATCAAGTTACAAGTATATAAGAAACATCCTTCCTCGCGCTATGTGCTCCGGCTTGAAGTTGGATAAAATATAAGGGAATGAGCTCCTGGGGAAATATGGTAGAAAATGCAGAACATTGCTGAGCGTGGTGGCTCATGCCTGTAATCCCAGCACTTTGGGAGGCCGAGGCAGGAGGATCACCTGAGGTTAAGAGTTCGAGACCAGCCTGGCTGACGTGGTTGAAACCCCATCTCTACTAAAAATACAAAAATTAGCCAGGCGTGGTGGCAGGGCTCCTGTAATGCCAGCTATTCGGGAGGATGAAGCAGGCGAATCGCTTGAACCCAGGAGGTGGAGGTTGCAGTGGGCCGAGATCGCGCCACTGCACTCCAGCCTGGGTGACCCTGTCTCAAAAAAAATGAAAATACAGAGCATTGTTCCAGTTGTTCTTCTCCAACAAATACAGCAAGTATAATCCACCCCTCATCTCTTCAACCTCCCTATGTCCCATGTCCTCCCCACCCAAAGACTCCCACCTTGGCTAATAACAAGAGCAGCACCATCCAATACAAAGTATCGTGACAGAAAGAACCTTCTAGATCTGTGTTGCTCAATGCAGTGGAGACCGGCCACATGTCGTGAGCACTTGAAATTCAGTGAGTGCAGCTGAGGAACTGAATTTTGCGTTGCGTTTCATTGAAATATAAGTGGCCACGTGTGGTGACAGTCCTGGGCCCCAAAGCTGGAGAGTAAAACGTTTATCATTTACCACAAGTGTGTCCTGAGGCCAGAGGGCAGAAGAGTGAGGGACGAGACCCCAGGGCTGACAACACCTCTGGGTGGCTCAGCACCCCGTGACGGGGACAGACATGGGGTCTGAGCTGGTGGGTGTGTTCAGGCAGGGATGGGGAGGAGCTGGTGGAATCCGGGGTCCCGGATGGAAATACAGCGTAAGCCAAGGCCGGGAGGCCGGGCCAGGTGCTGGATCAGGCCCAGTGGGAGCTTCGCCAAGGAACGTGCCTGGGCGGCCCTGACCCCGAGTGAGCACCTCAGCCACATCACACCTCAGCTACCCCATCTGCACCAAGGCAACGAGAACAGTCCCAAACCTAAGGCTACTCTAAGGCTGAATGAGCCAGTGCATGCAAAGCGTCTGCCTTATACAGGGTGCTCCTAAGTGCTGACTGTTGTCATTTTTATTAATGCAAAGCACTTAGACGTGTCTGCCTTATAGCGGGTGCTCCACAGGTGCTGGCTGTTGTCATTATTATTATTATATTATTATCATCACATGTTTGTTGGGTTGTTTTCCCCACTTGAAGCTCCCACCCTCCACCCCCCGGTGCTGTCCGAGTCTGCCTGCCGAGGGAAGAGCCTCCAACTCACCCTGTTGGCGTCCCCTCCCCACCGCATGATTTAACCAGAAAAACCGGCACTGTTTCAGCCCCACAACACTATGAGGAAATTAGTATTATTCTCCCATCTTACATATGGGGAAGCTGAGGCACACGGAGGTTAAGGGACTTGCCCGAGGTCACGCAGGATTGAGAAGTAGGCACTGGCCGGGTGTGGTGGCTCACGCCTGTATTCCCAGCACTTTGGGAGGCTGTGGTAGGAGGACTGCTTGAGCCCAGGAGTTTGAGACCAGCCTGGACAACACGGTGAGACCCCATCTCTACAAAAATTTAAAAATGAGCCAGGCATGGTCATGCACACTGGTAGTCCCAGCTGTTCAGGAGGCTGAAGTGGGAGGATGGCTTGAGCGCAGGAGGTGGAGGCTACAGTGAGCCGAGATCACGCCACTGCACTCCAAAAAAAAGAAAGAAAGAAAAGTAGGCACTGACTGGCCGGGTGCGGTGGCTCACGCCTGTAATCCCAGCACTTTGGGAGGCCAAGGCAGGCAGATCACGAGGTCAGGAGTTCGACACCAGCCTTGCCAACATGGTGAAACCCTCTAAAACTACAAAAATTAGCCGGGTGTGGTGGTGGGCGCCTGTAATCCCAGCTACTTGGGAGGCTGAGGCAGGAGAATCACTTGAACCCGGGAGGCAAAAGTTGCAGTGAACTGAGATCATGCCACTGCGCTCCGGCCTGGGCAACAGAGCAAGACTCCGTCTCAAAAAAAAAAAAAAAAAGTAGGCACTGACATCACCCCTACTTTACAGATGGGGAAACTGAGGCTGGGAGGGGTATCATCAGTGGTCCTGGACCACACAGCCAGAAGGCAGCGGGTCAGGCTGGGCCGGCAGCTGGGCTTTCAGGCCTCCCAAGCCCAGGCTCTGGCCTCTGGGCTCCCGGGTCTCCCAGGCAGCAGGAGTCGGGGGAGAAGCCTCTGGAAGGGCTGGGGAGCGGGTGGGGTGGTGTGGACAGCAGGCTGGGCTTCTGCCACTCGCTCCATCCTGCCTCTCACGCCCGCCCCTCGGGGAGCCGGAAGCTGGCAACAGCGACCGCCGCCGCCGCCTCCCTCTCTGGGCCCATCTGCTCCGGCACCGGGATCCGGTGGGTGGCGGGTCCCTGCAGAGACCGCCCGCGGCAGAGGTGGGTGCTGCCCCCAACCACCTCTTCTCCCCAGCCTGGGGATCACCGGGGGACACAGAACAGTGTTTATGAGCGCACTGTGGTGGGCAGAGCAGGCCGGATGCCCCTCCACCTCCAGCACTGGGACCTGGGCACACATCTCCAGCCTCGGCTGCTGCAGGTGTGAAACGGGCATAGCATGTCTTGGTTTAACAGTGGGCTCTAGGCCAGCTCCTGCCCCTGACTGGGACCCCTCTGCCTGCGTCCTTCCCTTCAGGTTTCCTGACCATAACGTCTGGGTTTCCAAGACCCTCCCATTTCAAATCAGTGCTGCCGCCCAGGAGCACGGTCATCCTGGTCACAGGTGTGTGGCCGGGCTTAGGATCAGAGCGAGCGAGGCGCGAGGATGTGTGGACAGGGAGTGAGATTTCCAAAAGACCTCCCCAGTGGGTGGCAAGGGCCCCCCAGAAGCTAAGAGCCCAGAGTCACCTGTCTCAATTGATGACGCTCATTGCCAGACCTCCTGGGGTCAGGGGACCTCTCCGAGTGGGGGGGTCATGCTAAAGGGTCACCTAATACCAGCATATGTGCTGAGTACCTGCTGTGTGCGAGGCGCTGTGGGAGAGGCTAGGGGACAACTTCTTCAGGGTCAACACATGTCCCAGTCCAGACAGCCAGGAGAACCAGGTCTGCAGGCACCTGGGCTGAGGGCAGGGGCAGGCAGGGCTCTGTGGGAGAAAAGCTGGGTCCCACCACCTGTTCCTGCTTCCCAGGAGTGGGCTCCAGTGCCGGCTCTGCCAACGGGCTGTGTGACCCCAGGCTAGTCACTTGACCTCTCTGTGCACCAGAGTACACCAGGGTAGAAACCATGCCCCCTTGGGGGCGATCCCGAGAGGTGAGATGAGCTGCTGCCTGGCACATGGTAAGTGCCCCATACGGGCTGGCAATCGGATGGTGCTGAGGCTATGCCCCACACGGCAGGGTCCCCATCCTTCTCCAGATGGGAATTCGGCCTCTATTTTTGCTCCAGCTCCATCCCACACCTTCCAGACACGATGCTCCAGACATCCAGACATGTTTGCCACCTCTGAGCCCACAGCACCCAGTCTGTGCCGCCTCCTGCCCTTTGCACACACAGTTCCCTCTGCCAGAGCAGCCTCCGAGCCCACAGCACCCAGCCTGTCCCACCTCCTGGCCTTTGCACACACAGTTCTCACTGCCAAGAGCAGCCTCCAAGCCCACAGCACCCAGCCTGTCCCACCTCCTGGCCTTTGCACGCACAGTTCCCTCCACCGGGAGCACTCTTGCCACCCTCCTTCTCCCCTGGCTAACTCTTCCTCCAGGTCTTCCAGGAAGGAGGCTGGGCGGGATGTCCTTCCTCTGGGTTCTCCCAGACTCCTGGAGCTCCGACCAGTGGCATCAATCACACTGTGCCATAGCCCACCCTGGCACAGTGAGCCCTGGGAGGGTGAGGCCTCCCAATCCCTCTGCAACACCCAGAAACCAGCCTACAGGAGGGACTCCAGAAAGAGGAGGCAGAGGAACAAAGGGGTCCCAGGTGGAGACAGCAGAGGTGGCTGCAGCAGCAGCTCTGTTCCCCCTGGAGACCCCACCCCATTTCCAGGGCCACACAGGCTGCAGCTCTGCAGGATCTGGCAGGGGACAGCGACACCTAGCGGGCAGCGGGCACAGTGCCCCACCACCCAGGAGGCCCAGCACAGCCCAGGCCCCAAGCAAGCGGGGTTGCAGACTCCAGGGCAGGACTGGGGCAGAGGGGCACCCAGCAAGCCAGGCGGGTGCTGTGAGTCGCCGGCGGCGAGGCAGGCCTTGGCGCCTTCTCTGCTCCTCCTGCCTCCTCCCGTGGGCAGCTCATTCCCGCGTGGCATATGCCCGCCATATGCTCTCCCCGTCACAGCATCTTCAGCGGGCCTGCAAGCAGCCTGCTGGTGGGGGGGGGGGGGTGGGGGGGGGGCGGGGGCGCCTATGAGCTGGAGCCGCCTGGCTGCTGCACCTTACAAGCTGTGGGGAGTGGCTAGGGGCTGCCGAGGGCAGGGAGCCCACCCAGCTTCCACTTCCCTTCCACCTCCCTGTGGGCATGTGTCAGCTCCACGAAGGCCCCTGCAAGGGAGCCGAGCCTGTGGTCATCCCACATTACAGGCAGCCAAACTGAGGCTCGGAGAAGCTGAGTGCCTTACTGGAGTATACAGAGCCTGCAAGGACAGGCCCGTCCTGTCACCGGCAGCCTCAGACTGCACCTGTAACTCGGGGCAGGTGAATGGGGTGACTCAACTGTGGCGTTCTCTGATGTTGGAGGCTCAAGGGTTCAAAGCTTTGCTGTGCCGTCCCCACACCGGCATGACCTCAGTTTCCTCCTCCCCTGAAGCCACAGCTGGGGCCTCTCCAGCCTCTTCCTGCTCTGACAAACCCCCGAAGGAGGATCTTCAGGGCACTTCTGGGCCTGACACCTGACCCTGACTTGAGCTTCTCAAACTGGGTTCCCCAGAGTGCTGGCGCCTGCAGATGGGCTTGGGTGTGCCCAAGGGGCTCAGGGGAAATTTGAGATGGGGACCGGGGGTTGTCCCCCTTAAACCAGAAAGTGTCTAGGGCTGATTTCCACAGTAATTTCATGCACGTACACATCCTAAGCAACAAGGGGAGGGAGGAAGATTCCAGAACTTTGTGCTATGGAGGAGGTAACACTGAGCTACAGTGACAGGTCCAGCCCCCTCCTGCCACCAGATTCCCTCAAGAGCCAGGCCGGGTGATCGCATGGAGATAGTGACAGGCTCAGCCCCCTCCTGCCGCCAGATTCCCTCGGGAGCCAGGCCGGGTGACCACATGGAGCAGATTCCCAGGCAGCGGATGTTTACTGAGCATCTACTCAGTACGAAGCTCCGTCATTTCCAAGCTTCGTTTAATCCCACAGTGCGGGAGTCAGCCCTGGGTCTCCGGAGTCAGACTCTGGGGTTCAACTGCTCTCTCTGCCATCTATTAGCGTGTGCCGATCAGGCAGTGACTCACCTCTCTATGCCTCCGTTTCCTCATCTCTAAAATGGAGCTGACAGCAGTTCCTACCTGTTCATGGCAGCCTGGCATGGTGGCCTCTGACAGCCAGGTAGTGGCTGGCTCTGAGCACACAGCAGGGACCTACTTGCCTGGAGGATGGGATAGGGGTTCCGCACACCCAGCGGTTGTGTGCAGCCCCCTAATGCAGACAGGAGCCGGGTGCCAGTCCACCAGGCAGCTGCTGCATTACTCAGGCCCCTTGATGCAGAATCACCTGGGAAAGAGGAAGAGCCGCTTGCGTTTAGAAAAGCGGGTCCTGTACCCCGCAGCAGAGGCCTGCGTGTGAAAGAGGGCACGTGCCCAGCAGGCAGGGTCTGACCGCCCAGCAAGGCCCGGGAGGCACCACCACAGGCAGGCAGGCCCCGGGCCCAGCCCCTGCCCAGGGTCACTCTGCTGCCCTTCTCCAGCCCTGTCTGGTTTCTGGGTCAGGCGGAGCAGGGTTCGAGCCCCGGCCTGGCCGCACCCCCGCTGGATGACCTCCGGCCTGTTTCCTGCTGAGCCCAGGGAAACAGAGAACAGGACTGTGCTGCAGCTCAGCCAGCTGGCGAGTGCCAGGCCATATGGCCGCCCACTCACCCGGCGCTTCCTGGGCACCTACTCTGTGTTATTTGTGCTGGGTGCTGGGACACGGTGGTGGAGAAAACAGACATGAGTCCTTCCCCATAGGGACAGGCTTTGTCACCTTGAGGGCATCCGTGGGAGGACAAAGCAGCCTGAGGGCAAGGCCTCTGAGAGCTGGAAGAAGCTGCTCTGCGGAGAGCACTCACACACGGAGGTGCCCAAGAGCCATAACCCCATACCAAGGCACATGTCTGAGGGGATGGAGACGCGCGTCCACAGGCATGCTCACAGCCGGGTGATTCATAACAGCCCAGAGTGGGAGCAGCCCAAACATCCATCCACGGATGAACAGATAACGAGACGTGGCACACCCACACAGTGGAATATTACTCAGCTATGAAAAGGAATGAAGCCTTGACTTGTGCTACATGGATGACTGCGGAAACCAGGCGCCGAGTGAAAGATGCCAGACACAGAAGTCCACATGCTGTGATTCCACACAGATGAAATGTCCAGAACAGGCCAATGCCTGGAGACAAGAAGTAGATGGGTGGTTGCCAGGGAGGGGGGCTGGGGGTGGGGAGTGACGGCTGAGGATGCAGGGCTTCTTTTGGGGGTGGTGGAAATAGTCTAGAATTAGATAGTGGTGATGGTTGCACAACTCTGTGAATATCCTCAAAACCACTAAACTCTACACTTTAAATCAGTGGCTTGCATGATATGTGAATTATATCTCAATACGGCTGTTATAAAAAAAACTGCACTTAAAATAGCACTTACAAAATGCCATTTTTCATACATTGGGGTATTTTTGAAATACAAAAATGAAAAGGCATGAACACATATTGTTTTGCTGATCAGCAGCATAATAAAGGTGCTTGGGGTCTCCATGGCAAGGGGCTTGCAGACAGAGCGGTAGGGGGTCGGGGGAGGCCTGGCCCTGGCGCCTCCGCCCCCAGCTGGGCTCACCAGCCATCCTGGGAACACCCAGCTGGGGCGGGGCCAGCCAAGCGCAGACGCCCCACAAGCTGCTCTGTTTGTAAACTGCCAGCCGGTCCTGCAGGGGCTGGGCGAGAGGGGGTGCACTGCTGGCGCAAACAGGGCGCCACGAGAACCTCTGCCGGGAACCCAGGACCCTTTGCCAGGCCTCCCTGGAAAAGTCCAAGCCCATTCTGAAAGAAAGGCCACTTGGCCTCCCTCCCTGGTGTGGGCAAGGGGAAGAGGGGTCTCTTCGAGGGACACAGCCAAGGGCTCGGCCTGGCCTCAAGTTGGTGGACGAAACTAGGAGAGAACCGAGCAGAGCTGCCGAGGCCGCCGCAGACCAACACCGCAGGAGCTGCAGCAGGAGCCAGGCGGATGCTGCTCCACAAACCTTGCCCTCACCCCAGAGGACCCCGCAACAGCTTGGGAGGCAGGAGCCGTTCTCATCCCTGCTACAGACAAGGAAACCGAGGCATGGAGAAGCGCCCAGCTGGCATCGCTCTCGGCCCTGCCGCATCACCAGCTTCTGCAGCTGTGACATTGCTGCCCTCATGGAGGACAACTGGAGCGATGGGCTGTGGAGGGCATCTCCCTGCCCACCTGCCAAACTGCAGGGCGGCCTGACCCTGTGCCACTTGGGCACGCAGCTGTGAGGGGCAGCCCCGACTCCAAGCCAGGCCCTCAGGGCTACCAGAACACCCCCTTCCCAAATGTCCTGCTGCGGGGACAGCTGGACAACGGGAGCCCCAGGACCAGGCCTGCCCCAGAGCAGCTGGACGCCTGCCCCCAGTGTCCTGGCGGGAACCCAGGACTCTGCCCTGCTGTGCTGTTGCTCCACGGAGTGACAATCCGTGAGAAGTCTTGGTGCTGGTGCTGGCGCTGGCAGCAGCCTTTGGAGAGAGGCGCGCCCCCGGAACCCAGAGCTCTGGCTGGCATCCCAGCACTGCCACTCAGGGTCCCAGTCTGAAACGGGCTGACGGCAGCCTCACCTCGGGGTTGCTGCCTGCACAGGCCCACAGAGTGCTGGCCCGACTGGGCCTCCGCAAGTGCCACAGTCCTCGCTGTGAGCATCCCTCCTGGGCCCCATGCCCCCTTCTGCGAGGGGTCCCCGCTATCCCCCATGGGACCTAGGGAAGGGGCCAAGTCAGAGACGGGCTCTGGGCCCACTAAGGCAGCTTCATTCCTGCTGGCTGGGTATACTGGGCTACTGGGCACCATGAAGTCTGCACAAATGCGGCCGCTGCTGCTTAAATAACTCTCATGCCTGGGAAAGGCAAGATGTCTTAGCTGGGCCTCAAGCTGACTGAGCAAAAGGGCTTTTGTGGACTTGGAACATGAAGTGTCTGGGGCAGGAGGCCTTCAGGCATGGCTTGATCCAGAGGCTGAAGACATCGCCTGGGAGCTGCCTCCTATCTGTGTCTGTGTCTCCCCCGCCCCAAGTTCCTCACTCTTGGGGGACTCTAGTCATATAACGCCCCGGAAGCTCCAGGACTCCACCTGCCAGTTGAGCACTAACTCCACGGGGGTGCCCAGTGCCCAGGGCCCATGCAGGCTGGTCCAATCAACCACTCTCAGCACTGACTCCACACCTCCCAGGACCTCAGCCTGGACCCTGGTATCTTCACCCAAAGGGAGGAAGCAGTTCCCATTAACTAAAGACCTTCTGAGCTGGTATCAATGGGGGGAGATGGCTCCAGCCAGCACCCCCCTCCCTGCTTGGTTCTAGCCAAGATAAGGTTCCCAAAGGACTAATACTGGTGTGTAAATATTAGATACTTCTGTCTCCTTCGAGACCAATTACACAGATCATGGCGGCTCCCCCAGGACTCTGCCTTCCACTTACTGTATCATCATTAACAGCCTATTAGGTAACAGCTGCTCAGAGAGAGAGAGAGAGAGAGGCAAAGAGGGAGGAAGAGGCAGAGAAAGGGAGGGAGAGAGAAAGACGGAGGGAAAAAGGAGGGAGCGTGAGAGAAAAAGGGAGAGAGAGATGCGGGAAGAGAAAAGAGACAGAGGAAACAGAAAGAAGAGGGAAAAAAGGGGAGAGATAGACAAAAGGAGAGAGAAAGACAGAGCTACTGAGGATGGCAGCACAGGACACAGAAGGACCCAGAATCCAAACCGGGCAGAGGCGGGAAGACAAACGGTCAGAGAAGGGGAAAGGTAAAGGGAGGCAGAGGGAGGCCGAGGCGGAGTAGGCAGCTGTGAAGACTCTCTGAGGGGTACAGGGATCTGGGGGTCCCAAGCCCACCTGCCCAGCGGGGTCCCCACAAGATGAGCAGCAGGGTCCTGCCCATCCTTCTCCATTTGTACCTGCAGCTCTACGCACCCCACCCACTCTCAGCCCCACAGGCAGGTGGACAGAGCTGGGGGCACCAGGCAGGCCTTAAGTAAGCTCTTTTAAAGCCAGGGTCACCCCTAGCTGTCCTGAGCCCAACAGCACTGGGCAATTTGTCCCCGAGGAATTCCTACAGCCAGAAGTGACAAGATGGAAGCCACCATCTGGCAGAGCCCAGGCCTCCTTGCAGAAAGGGCCTTCAGGTGCATGCTTGGATGCAGGGCCTGTGCCACTGTTCAGAACGGGGCTCAGGTGTCCCCACTGCACTCAAAGACCAGCCCCCTGGCATGTCCCCCATGTGCCCAGCCCCTCCCTCCCCGCGTTCCCTCCCTGAGTGCTCACAGCAGCCCCAGGGGCAGCAATGAAGTGAAAGATGAGAGGCAGGGGCTGTGAATGACCTGCCCAGGGCCAGCTGGCCGGGGAGCCCCAACGCTGCTGCTGCTAAACCCCAGGACAGGCAGGTCCTTGCACCCAGGGTGGGAGAAGTGGCAGTGGTGGCAGTGGCTTGAGCCAGGCTTAGGAGAGAGAAGACCCTGTATGGTCAGCCAGGTCCAGGCCTCCTCTGAGGAGCATGACGTGCGGGTCCGGCCCTCATCCCGTCCTCCTCTCTGGCTCAGGCCCGGTCCCTGCATGCAGCCACTGCCTTCTGGAGCCTGTACAGTCCTCCAAGCCACCTTCCTCTGCTCAGGGACCCCACTGAGCTCTGAGGATCTCCCAGTGCTGCGGTGGGTTTCCCATCCATTGTCCATCCAATGTCCAATGGACAATTATGTGTCCAAACAACACACAATTGTGGAGCACTCCCTACCCACTAGGTCTTTTCTAGGTGCTGGGGACAGAGCATGGACAGGGAGACACACACCCTCCCATTCAGAGCATCCAGCCCGTGGCGAAATCAAGACCAGGACACTTGTGACCAGAGAAACCACAGATGAGAGCCTGGGTGGAAACAGAAGAAAGAGAGAGGTGTACCAGAGGCGGTCAAGGAAAGCTTCCGGGACAGCAAAGAGCAGCAGCAGCAGCCCTGGGGGGTGGGGCAGGTGACGAGATGGGTCAGAGAAGAAGGCGGTGCCCCCCTCTAGGGACCCCCACCCCCGAGCCACTTAAAATTGTATTCTAAGAGCACTGGGAAGCGCCTTGGCAACATTAGCAGGGGGTAACCCAACCTAGCCCCTCTACCAAGCTCCCCTGGGCTATGGTGTGGGGGACAAACCAGCCAGGACTCCGTGACAAAGGGGCTGATTTCCTGAGCACCCCCTTCCTCTGGTGCTCAGTAGGGGCCACAGACATCCAGGGGGGAGGCTCCCCCAGAGGGTGCCCATTTCATTGCTTCCAGGCACAGTGCCTTTGGCTGCCCCCCAGGCCCTCTCTAGTCCACTAGGGTTCTGGGGCCTCCGAGGGTGGGAGTGGGGTGGGCCTGGTGCCCAGAACCCCTGCTGAGATTTCAGGCTCCCAGCCCTGCAAAGCGCCTCATTTCTCCTCCTCCAGGGCCGGGGATAATTAGACGACTGGGGACATAAATCACGGCTGCTCCTGCACAGCTGCTAATCACATCTCCTGCAGACAGCGTCGGGGGGGGGGGGGTGTGTAGAGTGTGTGTGTGTGTGTGTGTGCAGCGTGTGGGGTGTGTGTGTGTGTGTGTGTGTGTGTAGAGAGCATGGGGTGTGTGTGTGTGTGTGTAGACAGCGTGTGGGGTGTGTGTGTAGACAGCGTGTGGTGTGTGTGTGTGTGTGTGTAGACAGCGTGTGGGGGGTGTGTGTGTGTGTGTGTGTGTAGACAGCGTGTGGGGTGTGTGTAGACAGCGTGTGGGGTGTGTGTGTGTGTGTGTAGACAGCGTGTGGTGTGCGTGTGTGTGTGTGTGTGTGTGTGTGTGTGTGTGTGTGTAGGGTCCCTGAAGCTGGGGCATCCTGCAGTAGGGCCTCCACGGCACCCCATGTCCACCAAACTCCCCAGGAAAACACGGGTGCTAGTGTGTGTGGTCTCAGGTTTCCTGCAACTCACAAGCATTCACACAGTCACACACAGATGCTCTGCACACTAACACATGCAGACAACCCCCAACACACACACACGCACACACCCCTTGCCTCCCCACTAACACACCCAGACAGCCCCCCACACACACACGCCCTGCTCCCCAACTAACACACGCAGACACCTCCCCACACACACGTAGACACCTCGACACACACGCACACACACACACGCACACGCAGGAGGCAGAACTCCCAGTGAGGACCAGGAAAGTTCAGGGTTGGGTTTTGGTGCCACCTAGAGTCCATGTCCTGGAACTGCCAGAGCTGGACAAGGCACCCCCCAGGCGGTGCCCACAGTCTTGCCGTCCCCCTCTAATCAGAGGACACTTTTTTTCTATTAAAGGTCCCCAATCTGTTACGAGTCCGGTTCATACAATTAACTGGAAGAGATAGTAAGGACTATTTTAAGAGTTAAAACGTTTAATGTAACCGCTTTTCAACAAGATTAGGGCATGAAACTTTATATCCAAGAAATCCAATCAAAAGGGGCAAGAAAAGAGGGGAAGTGCTTTTAAACACAGCCAGTCAGGAAGAAGCTCCTTCTCCAAGGATGACGGGACAATGACGACAGCAACAATAATAATAGGACACATGAATGGGTATGTGTCAGGCAGAGGCTCTGCCCCTGGACCAGGTGGAAACGCAGCATGACGTCCACACACAGCAAGCGAACTTCCCTTCACCATGCTCCCGGCAGAAAGTCTCGGGAGGGTGATGCTCTGACTTCAGTGCCTCTCGAATACTAGCCAATCTCCAGCTTTAATAGCAGGGCAAGGGCTGCGGCTGAGAGATATCAGAAGCTATAATATCAGAAATTTCTCACTGGCTACCTTTTATTTATGGTGAGTGGAGCCAGGGGTGTTTTGTTTTGTTTTGTTTTGTTTCTTGAGACAGGGTCTCACTCTATCACCCAGGCTGGAGTACAGTGATACAATCATAGCTTACTGCAGCCCTGAACTCCTGGGCTCAAGCCGTCCTCCCACCTCAGCCTCCTAAGTAGCTGGGACTACAGGCATGTGCCACCACACTCGGAAAAAAAATTTTTTTTTTTTTTTTTTGAGATGAAGTCTCACTCTGTTGCCCAGGCTGGAGTACAGTGGCACGATCTCAGCTCACTGCAACCTCTGCCTCCCGGGTTCAAGCGATTCTCCTGCCTCAGCCTCTTGAGTAGCTGGGACTACAGGCATGTGCCATCACGCACGGCTAATTTTTGTATTTTTAGTAGAGACAGGATTTCACCATGTTGGCCAGGCTGGTCTTGAACACCTGACCTCAAGTGATCCACCGGCCTCGGCCTCCCAAAGTGCTGGGATTATAGGTGTGAGCAATTGCACCCAGCCCCAGATAATTTTGTATTTTTGGTAGAGATTGGGGTCTCACTATGTTGCCCAGGCTGGCCTCGAACTCCTGGGCTCAAGCGATCCTCCTGCCTCAGCCTCCCATCGTGCTAGGATTACATGCGTGAGCCACTGCACCTGGCCTGGTTTTTCACGTATAGTTGCATTCATTTCCTGTGGCTGTTGTAACAAATGATACCAACTTAGTGTCCTAAAATTAATTTTTCTTATTAAAACACAAATTAATTTTCTTATGCATCTGGAGGTCAGAAGTCTGATAAGGTCTCCTGGGCTAAAATCAAGGGCTCAGGAGGGCTGTGCTCCTTCTGGAGGCTCTAGAGAAACATCTCGTTTCTTTTCCAGCTTCTAGAAGCCACCTACATCCCTTGGCTCACGGCCCCTCCCTTCCACCTTCAAAGCCAGCGATGCCAGGTGAGTGCCTCTGGCATCCCACCTCTCTGACTCTCTTCTGCCTCCTCTCCACTTACAAGGACGCTGTGATTACACTGGGCCCACCAGCATAATCCAGGGTTAATTCACAGCCTTAATTCCACCTGCAACCTTAATGCCCCCCACTTTTTTTTGGAGTCAGAGTCTTGCTCTTGTTGCCCAAGCTGGAGTGCAATGGTGCAATCTCCGCTCACGGCAACCTCTGCCTCCCAGGTTCAAGCAATTCTCCTACCTCAGCCTCCTGAGTAGCTGGGATTACAGGTATGTGCCACCACACCTGGCTAATTTTGTATTTTTAGTGGAGATGGGGTTTCTCTATGTTGGCCAGGCTGGTCTCAAACTCCTGACTTCAGGTGATCCGCCCACCTCGGCCTCCCAAAGTGCTGCGATTACAGGCGTGAGCCACCGTGCCTGGCCAACACATGATTTTTTAAAAGCCAAACAGTAGAAACAGTTAAAAGTGAAGGTTGCTTGGACTCCCCAAAAATGACCATGGTGGATCCTTCCTGTGCATGTTCCCCAAATCTGCCACGCGTCCACACATGCACAGATGCGTCCACACACATGCTCACCTGCCAGGACAAACCACGGCGCACCAGACACAAAGCCTGCTCCGTGCTCCTCCACTCACAACATCTCTGGGAGCTCTTTCCACCCCAGCTCCTGCTGCTGCATAGAGGCCAACACTTGGCTCCTGTGGTTTATTTCCCAGCCCCGCCTTCCAGGAGGGCATGTGCAAGGCTCCTGGGATCGCTGCGTGCACCCGGCAGCAAGCAGCCACACGCCACCGCCTTCTTCAACACAGGCCGGGATGCCAGGGACACAGTTTCAGCAGCAAAACTGTGAGCAAAGGAGTGTGTGTCCCCGTTTGGGGTAAGCCCCACTGCCCGTGTCCTTCCCCTCACAGGCACCCTTTAGAAGCAAAGAGATTCTCCCCTGTAGCCCCCAGAAAGAACCTGCTCCACTGGCACCTTGACTGTAGCTCGGCCCAGCAAGAATGATTTTGCACTTTGGACTTGCAGAACTGAAGGATAATAAATGTGTGTTGTTTTAAGTGCCAAAGTGTGTGGTCATTTGTATCAGGACCACACACTTTCCAAACTGATACATTTGTGTGTCTCCTCGGGGGCTGCATGTTACTCACCTGAGGGATGGGCGCAGAGGCTTATGCCTGTAATCCCAGCACTTTGGGAAGCCAAGGAAGGAGGATTGCTTGAGCCTAGGAGTCCGTGACCAGCCTGGGCAACACAGCGAGACCCCATCTCTGTAAAAATTTTTAAAAATTAGCTGGACTTGGTGGTGTGCACCTGTAGTCTCAGCTACTCAGGAGGCTGGGGTGGGAGGATCACTTGAGCCCGAGAAGTCAAGGCTGCAGTGAGCCATGATCACACTACTGCACTCCAGCCTAGATGACAGAGCAAGACCTTGTCTCAAATAAATAAATTAATTAATTTAATTTAATTAAATAAAACAGGGTCACCTAGAGAACTTTGCAAAGATGTCCAAGCCCAGGCTCCACCCCAAGCCAATTACATCAGAATCCCCAGGAGCAGGGCCAGCATTTCTAAGGAGCAGTGGGGTCGGGGTCGCTGTCGTATACCTCCTGTTTCCAGAGTCCCCATCCAGCCCTCCCTGCTTTGGGCAGGGGCTGCTCCCTCAAGCCCAGCAGGCACGGCTGTCCTGGATGGGCCTCAGTGCACCCATCTGTAAAGCGCTGGTGACAACGCTGTCCACACTGTGCTGCTATGAGTTTAGAAGAAGGACCAGTGCAAAGTGGCCGAGCACAGGCCCTGCCCTGCGGGGCACCGACAGAAAGATGGAAGGTGGCCTTCACCAACTGCTTGGCTCCACGTGGTCCTGCTGACCACACTGACCCACCCCTTCCTGCATGGGGGTGCGGGGAGGGTGACACATCACCTGTTTGCAGGCCCTGGCCAGCAGGGACAGACCCCGAGGGCTGCTGAGCCTCTGGCAGAGGGGAAGCAGGAGGGCGGCTGCTTGCAGGGGGGCTGGGGTGAGCAGAGGATACTGAAGCTTGTGGACAGAAAGGCATTACACTCTTCTTTGGTGCCAGGAGAGGAAGCGAGGGCCTCTGCAGGCATCCACAGGGCGAGATGCCTGGCGTGTGATGGGCAGTGAATCTGTAATGCCAGTGAGCACCAGCACAAATCACTTGGGGACGTGGGACTCTTGCAGCTCCTGAGAGTGGAGGGCTCAGGGCAGAGGCAGGGACACCAGGACGGTGTAGCAGGGAGCAAGGGAACCTGGCTGACCCCAGGTGCAGACAGCAACTGGGAGAGATGAGCAGCTTCGGAGGGGCCAGCTCCCTCCCCTCCCGGCAGCCACCATGAAGGGAGGACAGGATGCCCAGTGTGGGCTGGGGGTGCCCGGGGAGGGGGTCTATTGTGTAGGCCATGAGATACCATAAAGGGCATCGGCCACTCTTAGTCCTAAAGTGAGTACAGGAGGAGAGATCTGGGAAATAAAGTCCTTTGAATCCCAGCTGGGAGCCACACCGCCTCCAGGAAGCCCTCCCACACCACCCTAGGAGGGCTGAGTACATAAAGCGCAGGGTTTCAGAGTCATGCAGACCTGAGTTTGAATCCCTGTTCGGTGGCTTACTAGCTGAGTGACATATTCCTAAATCCAGGCACTGGGAGACCACACCGGGTAATTGACAGAGTTTATTCAGAGACTCACCAAGGCCCCCTCCCTGCGGTGTGAGGTAAAGGTTTAACCACCAGCTTTCTGAAAAAAAATAACCAACTCCAGCTTGCAGTACCCGCCCATTTCCCTGGTGTAAACACTCCCACCACAGCAGACTGCAAGCTACCAGCATGAAGCCATGCAATGCCCACTTGGGAAAAGGTGGGGCAGAGACAGAGAGGGCCTGGGAGGTAGCACAGGGAAGCACACCCTCAGGGGGCAACTGCCAGGTGCCAGGGCCTATGCTGGGTGCCCCAGCACCGACTCCTCACCACAGCCCTCTAGGGTGAAAACCATCAGCCCTGCTTTTACAGACACAAAGAACTGAGGCTCTGGGAGGAGAAGCAACGAGCCCAAGGTCTCGCAGCCGAGCCCAAGGTCACGCAGCCGAGCCCAAGGTCACGCAGCTAGGAAGTATCAGAGCCAGGTTCAAGCTCAGGTCTGTCTCAGAGGAAGAAGGAGGCTCGTTTCACGGGGAAGCCTGGCTAAAGCCTTGAAAACCATGACAGGCATCCATGGAAGATGGAAACGGCCTCCTCCAGCCTCCAGACTGGACTGAGAGACACCAAGGCCTAGGGTGGCAGCTTTCAAGGGGGCATTTTTTCTAGGAGGGAGCTAGCAGGATGGGAACACATCTCTCCATGACTTACAGAAAGGCGTGTTTCTGCTTCCCTGGGTCCTGCGTCCAGCCTCTCTGCTCCCCGACTGTGCTGGAATCATAATTACCTGGGACCCCCCAACCCAGCACCAGCCTCTGAATACAATTCAGCCAAGAGAGACGAAGTCCTGAGCGCCCATTCTGACACCCTCAACTGTCACTCTGCTCAGGACAATGGCAGTCCTTATGGGCAGCATGCCAACAGTGGCCCCGAGGAACCTCGCAGGGCGCACCCAGGCTCCAGCTCTTCATGACCCCTCCATGCACCATCTCGTTTAAGTCTGGGAGACCCCTAGCAGCGGGAACTACCATCTTCCCCTCACTCCAGGTGAGGCTCAGAGAGCCTCAGTGACCGGCCCCTCGCCCCTGCCAGGACTCCTGGGCTGCGAACCCCAACAGGGAAGCTGGCAGGAAAGGCCAGCAGCAGCCCCAGGAGAGACGTTGATGAGGAATGCAGGGGTCGGAAGTGCCGGATGCTGACACTCCACCCCCCTCCCCCTTGGTGGGGGTCTGGTCTACCCTGAGGGGGCCTGAGCCAACTGAGGGGCTCTGGCTGTGGCTGTGCGGCTGGGGAAGGGACCCAGAACCAGCAGGGAAGGTGTGGGATTCCAGCTGGGGAAGCCCCTGGGCTAATGACTGGGGAGGAGGGAACAGGTACAGAGAACACCCTGGGCACCCACGTGTCATCAGAACAGTGACAACGGCCAAGCATCACATTCCTATTAACTTATTTCATCTTCACAAGAACGCTTGGAGAACAACACCTATGTCCCACTTTACAGATGAGCAAGTTGAGGCTCAGAGAGATTCAGTAACTTGCTTAAAGCCACGCACTGGCGGCGCCACAGGGCTGCAGGCTCACTCTAGGCCCTTGAGCCAGGGTTGTTCTACCAGGCCACAGACATTTACAGTGAAGCGCACACAGTTCAATGTCAGGCCTGATGCTCTGATGCAGAAGGATGCACCCCGTTACCAGCAGACCAAGACCAAAAACATTTCCAGACCTAAGGTGGCAAATCAGACTTTCCGTTGGTTTGGGATCTGAGATTTTCAGGATTTCAGTATCGGATTTCAGGATCCAGAACTGGGGTGATCAAGATGGAGAAGAGATTTCTATTGAATCATGACAATATGGCAGAATCACAGCCCCGGTGGGACCCCCAACCCTGGCTGTGTCCCTGTGTCTCCCCAAGGTCGGGTATGGAGTTACCCGGAAGAGCCCTCACTAGGAGCTGGGAGCCGTGGGGCCCGCCCTGGCTCTCCAGCTCTCACCTCTCCCAGCCTCATCTCCTGCAGCCCAGGTTAGGTGGGAAGGTGCTTAGTCCTGAAGGCATGGTAGCACCAGGATCCTGAGGCCAGGCTCCAGGAAAGGCTTGCAGGTGGAGCCCAGGGGGACTCAGGGCAGCCGTGCAAGGACAGGTCAGTGTCCCTTCTCAGAGCTCTTGAAGCAGACGGTCCTCCTCACCCCTGCAGCGCCTTCCACCAAGCTCCCCAGGGAGGGATCTCTGCCAGCTTTGCTCACATGCCCTGCCTCACACCTGGTGCTCAATACCTGCTTGTCCCCAGAGGCAGCCACCTTGCACTAGGAGGGTCTTTAAATGCCCAGCTCTGGCCACCGCCCCCATTAACACCTTCCAATGACTTTCGCTAAAAAAGGCCACTGCCAGGCCTGGCGTGGTGACTCATGCCCATAATCCCAGTACTTTGGGAGGCAGAGGTGGGTGGATCACTTGAGGTCGGGAGTTCGAGACCAGCCTGGCCAACATGGTGAAACCTCAACTCCACCAAAAATACAAAAACAAATTAGGGGGGCGTGGTGGCGGGTGCCTATAATCCCAGCTGCTCGGGAGGCTGAGGCAGGAGAATTGCTTGAACCCGGGAGGCAGAGGTTGCAGTGAGCCGAGATCGCACCACTGCACTCCAGTGTGAGCAAGAACGAGGCTCCATCTCAAAAAAAAACAAAGAAAATGCCACTGTCCTCCCCAGGCCCGGGTGTGCAGGTGGCGTCAGCAGGTCTAGCACACAGTAGATGCTCATTAAGTATCTGTTGGAGGAAGGACTGGAAGGAAGGAGCCCTGTGGATGAATAAGTTAGGGGAAGGGTAGCTTGGTGGCAGTGGAAAGAACAGGAGCCCCCCTATCCTGACTGAGGGTCCCCCACCCTGACTGATGGTCCCCCACCCTGCTGAGCGCCCCAAGGGCTGGCTACAGCAGGGAGATCCTGCGGCAAGCCGCCTGGAGCCTTCCTCTACCCCAGCTCCGACCCAAACCCTGCCTGGCTCCTCCAAGGGGGAGTGCAGAGGCTGGCGGCCCCAGTGGGGGCAGAGCTGAGCGAGCAGAGGCAGCCAAGACAAGCAGAGAGGCTTCCAACGCCCCTTCCCAGGACACACGCCGAGGCCAGGGCGGCCCTCACGCAGGCTCGGGATTCCGCCTGCAGAGCCCGGAGCCAAGGGCTGACGAAACTGCAGCACCAGCCCCCACCAGGCTACCGCTGCAGGGGTGCGGGGGGCAGAGGATGTCTCCGGAACACCGCCCCCCTTGGATGGCTGCCTTGGTGAGAGGCGATGGTTCTGGAAGAAAAACAAACAGGCACTGAGGGAGAAGGAGGTAGGCAGCAGATGCTGGAGGGGGACTCTGTCTGGGGATGTGAGGGCAGGCTGGCACACCCTCCCTAACCCCGTGTGTGGGGAGAACCTGGGCAGAGAAAACATCAATAGCAGGACGCCACCTCCCGGGGTCTTCCTGCACCCACCCACCCCCAGGCCTGTGTTGGGTCCAACAGCACCACAGGCCATGTGGCCCAAGGCAGAACCTCCAGCCTCAGCTCCTCACTGCCCTCCTCTCTCCACTGCCCCTACCCAGGGCCAAGCCCTCTGCATTCTTCCCTCAGAACCCTTCACTCATTCATTCATTCATTCATTCATTCAACTAGTGATGAGCAAACTCCTACGATGTCCCAGGCCCTGTTCATGACGCTGGGGTTGGAGCAGCAGATAGGCCCGTCTTGCCACAGGGAGGTTTCATTCACTCACTTTCTTTTTTTTTTTCTTTTTTTTTGCGGGGGACAGAGTCTTGCTCTGTCGCCCAGACTGGAGTGCGGTGGCGCGATCTTGGCTCACTACAAGCTCCGCCTCCTGGGTTCACGCCATTCTCCTGCCTCAGCCTCCCAAGTAGCTGGGACTACAGGCGCCCGCCACCACCCCTGGCTAATTTTTTGTACTTTTAGTAGAGACGGGGTTTCACCTTGTTAGCCAAGATGGTCTCAATCTCCTGACCGCGTGATCTGCCCGCCTCGGCCTCCCAAAGTGCTGGGATTACAGGTGTGAGCCACCGTGCCCAGCCTCATTCACTCACTTTCAGTGGCTCCCCAGTACCTTACGGAGAAGCCAAACCCCAAGCACGTGCTGTCAATCCCCAGCTCGGAACTCCCTCCCAGGACTGTAGCCCCACCTCTGCCCTCCAGTCACTGAACAGTCCCCTGCAGCGGGCACCGTGCTCAGCTCACACCTCCTCTACCAGGTGTAGGGCTCTAATGCCATTTCTATTGTTTTATTTATTTATTCATTCATTTATTCTGAGACAGTCTCTTGCTCTGTCGCCCAGGCTGGAGTGCAGTGGCGCGATCTCAGCAAACTGCAACCTCCAGCTCCCGGGTACAAGTCATTCTCCTGCCTCAGCCTCCCGAGTAGCTGGGATTACAGGCGACCGCCACCACGCCTGCTAATTTTTCTATTTTTAGTAGAGGCGGGGTTTCACCATGTTGGCCAGGCTGGTCTCAAACTCCTGACCTTGTGATTCACCCACTTCGGCCTCCCAAAGTGCTGAGATTACAGGCATGAGCCACGGCGCCCAGCCCATTATTCTTTCTGGAAGTCTCTTTCATCCTCTGTGAGACACCAGCTTGAAATGGAAACCCTTGGGGTGGTGACAGTGGTCATAAATGCACTCAGGGTGCAAGTGACTCACAGTTCATTCGGGGAGTTCTGCAAGGGCAGGTGGCTGGAAGTTGTGAGGTCTAAGGAAGGGATGGTCGGGGGGAGCCAGGCAGAGGTCCCAAGGTCCCAGGGGGCCTTGTAGGTACAGGGGAGGCACACCTTAGAGGTATTACAGGCAGCAGGAGTTGTTCCCTCATAATCTCTGGGGCACTCTACCCAGGCTGGAGAGAGAACTTTGGCCAGGACTCCACAGGCCACTCTCCTGCTCAGGAACCTTCAATGGCTCCCTATGACTCAACCACAAAGTCCAAAGAAATACAGGCTGTTGGGACCCAAGAGCAGGCATTCACAGCCTTCAAGCTGGCCCAACCCACCCCCAGGCCTATGCACACACTGTTCTCTCTCCACACCATGAGACACACGGAAGGTACCCACACCCAGGCCTATGCACAGGCCGTTCTCCCCACAACGGGAGTCACACATGATGTGCTTGCCTCCGCTCATTCCTATGCCCCCAGTGGGACCCCAAGTCTCAGAGTTTTTAGCCCACTGGGCCAGAGGCCCAGACCCAGCCAGGGCCATGCAACTTGGGGGATGTGAAAATGAAGCTCTGTGGACTTGACCACACTCAGATCCTTATTTGACTTTTACACAGAAGTCAGCATCTGTTGTGCCACAGCTCGCACCACGGGGGCCAGCCAAGGTGCCCTAGGACCCGGCCCTTCACCCCTCCGGGCCTCAGTTTCTCCCTCCGTACTATGGGGGCCCCAAGAGCCGGTCCCAGCCCCCACCAGGAGAAACCCGAGCCCGGCCGCCCTCTTTTCCGGTCCGGTGGCCCAGCTTACAGCCTGCCCGGGAGCCACACAGGCAGCCAGGGAGGGAGGAGCCGGGAAATCCGGGAGGGGCGGCACCAGCCCCAGCCCCAGCCCCAGCCCCAGCCGCAGCCCCAGGCCCAGCCTCAGCCCCAGGCCCAGGCCCAGGCCCAGGCCCGGCGCCGGAGGGGGCGCCGGCTGCTGCAGCCTCGCTCCCCAGATGCGCGCATTCCTGGAAGGTAGCGCCCGGCCAGCGCGGGGGCGGGGCGCGGGCGCCGCTGCCAGATGTGCATCGCGAACAGCTGCCCCGGCGCCCGTAAGGTCAGCTCCTGGCTCCAGCCAGCCGCGCTCACCGGCCGGCGCCTCGCCCGCCTGGCACCCGCCACGCTTCCTGGGGCGGGCGGGCCCCCCACCTCCTAGTCCCGCCGCAGAGGGGAAGGGGCCAGAACGCCACCCAATGGTCTGGGGGAGGGGACGGAATCCAACCCCACCCTCGGGGGGAGGAGGGGGGACGAGGAGTATGAGCCCCACCCCCGTGGTGGCAGAGGAGGGGCGAGAACACGCGCCCCCCCCCCACCCACACACACACATATAGTCCCTTTATCACCCCCTCATCCAGGTCTGGCCAGGAAAGACCTCTCTGCAGTGGGAGGGAGATGGGAGGCCAGAACACACCCCCTACACACACACACACACACACACACACACACACACACACACACAGTACCCTTCCATCACCCCCCTCACCCCACCCCCCGCTGCGGTCTGGAGAGGAGAGGCCTCTCTGAGGTGGGAGGGGGGTGAGGGGGCCAGAACCAACCCCTCTTCGCCTGGGGAGCCGTCACCCCCCAGCAGTGGGGGAAGAGGCCAGCCCACCCCCGCCTGGCAGCCAGAGGCGGCCGGGGGGTTGGGAGCTTGTTCTGATTTTGTTTTATTGGATGTTTCCTTTCAGTAATTGAGAGCCCCAGCCTGGGGAGAAAGGACACCCCTATTTCGAGCTGGGCGGAGCTGCCTGGGAGGGGCAGCGGTGAGGAGTCTGGGGCCCCTAGGACCCCTGCCCCTCCACCTCACCCCACCCAGGAACACCCCGCCCCCATCTACAGATGTCTGGTCCCATCTCTGAGGGTCCTGGGGATGCGAGGAGCCAGGAGGGGGATCAGGGCCCAGATTGGCCTCTCTCTCTAGTATCCGGGTCTCCGGCGGGGCCCAGGGCAACCCCCGCCCCTCCGCAGTAGATAAAGGCGCCGGCAGCCGCCTTTGTTTCTTTGGTGTAAACTGAGCCAGATGCCTTCTAATCCCCCAGCTGGGCCGTATTCGCTGGCGGCCGCGGCTCCCACCGCCTCCACCCCACCCGCCAGCATTCCCAAGGCTGCCGGCTCCTCCCTGCTGCTGCGGGGGCGGAGCCGGGGCGGGGCCGGCATCCTCAGCCTCTCCCCTGGTCCAGCAGAGGGTCAAGGGCAGTGTGAGGCCAGCGGCTTTGAGATCTGCCCTCCTGGGCCTCCTGGCGTTGGGAACGTCACAGGGCCTCCCTGAGCCTTGGTTTTCCTGTCTGTAAATTGGGAATGAGGACACAGCCCACAGGGATGGAAAGTGCTTGGCAGGCATCTGTTACCCTTAGTGGGATCCGCTAGCTCAGAGCCACCCCGCCCCACCTAACCGCCCATCCGTCTCCAGGGCAGAGAATAGCAATGGCAGGAAACGTCACTATCCAGAGTTGCTGCTGGAGCGGTCCCTGTGCTCACTCACTCCTTCCATGAGCCGGAGAACCTGGGGAGGTGGTGCTCATGTGATCCCCACTGTACAGACCAAGACCAAGATGGTGGAGCCCAGAGAGGCCCCAAAGCTAGTAAGAGAGGAGACTCTGGTTTCAAAATGAGGCAGTAGCCCAGAGAGGTAAAGTGACTAGCCTAGCATCACTCAGCAAAAGGGAGCCAGGGGATGGGTATCTAAGGGGCAAATATAGGAGGGCGGGGAGTGGATACCTTCCTGGCCTGCACCAAGACTCCCTTGCAGCACTAGGTGGGTTCTTCAAAGCCCACCAGAACCAGACGCCTACAATGGTTGTTAAAATGCAGATTCCCTCGCCCTGGTCTTGTCCTATTGAACCTGAGTTCCCAAGGGGGCCTTGGAATCTGCTTTTGTTATATAGGGGCTGGGGGGCTGGTTCTGGGGCCCATTCAGGTTTGAGGAGCCGCCTTCTGTGCTCCTGCCCATGTGATCCCTGCCATGTGTGGACAGGGGGCAGGGGTAGGAGGGCCCTGGGACAGAACAAACCTGTGTCGGCTCCAAAGGGGCTCCCTACACCTCCCCAGGCCACTTGGGCTGAGCAGGCAGCCTCACCTGGGCTGGTCCAGCCAGGAGGCCAGCAAAGTGCCAGCTGAGAACCTGCCAGGAGCGTCTGATGGATGCCTGCCTCCTTCCAAAAACCATTAATCATTCCAAGAAAGTCCCTGTCAGTGTGTCTGTTCCCACTGCCTCCACCACCCATCCACACGCACACCCCCCATCCACACACACCACATGCACACACACACATGCAGAGGCCACACATGCAGACGCCACGTGGACACATATCACACACCGCATACATGCAAGCATCCAGACACTGTACAACATGTGTGCATGAACATACATGAACACACAGGCACATGTGTGCATATGCAGCTGTCAGAGCAGTTCCCACCCCTCAGGAGGAGAGAACGGGGCCCTGGAACTGTTCTAAATTTCCCCAAAGGCCGAACCACCCCGCCCAGCCTCCACCTGAGGGCTCCAGCCTGGCTCCAACTCAGGTACCCTTGATTTTGGTGACAATTCTGTCAACCTAGCAGGCACTGGGCTGTTCACCCCACGCAAACACCTGGTGGGTGGATAGTGATTTGATTAAGAAGACGAAATGATGCAATGAATGAGTGCTTGGCTGACAAACGAGGCTGGGTAGACACCTCGCCTTTGCAGGCACAGGGTCCCACGAGGGAAACAGCAAGGGGGACTGTCGGGGATGAGAAGACCAGGACTGGAGCTGCCTCTGCATTTCATTCAAGAGGACAAGGCCCAGCTGGGGGGCCTGTTTGGAGCCATGGGGCTAGCAGCCCCAGCAAGGCCACTGGGACCAAAGCAAAGGTCTCCCTGCCCTCGACTGCCGACTGCCATCTCTGACCTCAGCTGCCCACCTTGACGCCCACGTGGCCCCCGCCATGTGGACCTTGCCCAGGCTCATGCACTTTGCACGCTCACACCTGGAGCCATTCATTAATTCACACCTGGGACCATTCATTCATTCATTCATTTGGATCAGAAAGAATCCTAACATAGGGTTGAGATCCTGAAAATGCAACCTGGGTGGAAGGAAGCTAAGAAAGCTGGGGTGGTCAGCGAGGCCTCCGGGAGGAAGTGGCTTTTGAGCTGAGACTTGGAGCTGGCGCTCTGGGCAGAAGAGCCACATACAGTGGCAGGAGACTGTTGTTTCGCAGGACCCCACTGGCTGGAGCCTAGCAAGGAGCACCTCGATGGGAGGGGAAGCCACCTCCTCCTGCCCAGTCCTCACACAGGAGCTGGGTCTGCTGGGCCTCCCTTGGGCCACATGGCAGGAGACCAGGGCTCTGGAGGGTCTATCCATTTTGCTCCCGAGACCACACCCTGAGCAGGAAAAGCCACCAGGGAGCAGCTCGTTCCTCTTTCACTCTGGACACTCACAGCCTGTCCACACCATCAGCCCCTGTCCATCCACCCATCTGAGGATGTCAGAGCCTGAGTCCTCCTGGGGTAGCCTGGGTTCCCATCCTCCCCCTGGGAAGGTGGAGGTCCGAGGGGAGTAGATGTCAAGTGGACAGAACATTTAATTTCAGATAAACGAGGGTTGGCCTTTTCAAAGTGAGGCCCCTGGGGAGCACACTGTGGCCACAGCTTCTCTTTGGATGTTCTTTGGGGTTCAGAAGGCAGCTCCCAAGGAAGGAGTCATAAAAATGCTTGGCTCGCTGTGGCCTTGTTGAAACAAACATTTACCTCCCAAGGGATGTATCGAAGGCCAACGCCTTGCTTCTGGTCTGCCTGCCAGGAAGGCTTTTGCTGCTTTATGTCTCCCCAGCACCGCCTCTCACTGTGGGGGAGTGAGCCTGGCTTGGCCCAGGTCCCCTGAGGCCTGGCACTCCCTAAACAGCGGCAGGGGGGCAAGCCAACACTGGCATTCATGGCGGTCAGAAAAGAGCCACCAGAGAGACACCCACCAGATGTCAACATTGGGTATCCCCAGAGGCCAGCACCATGATGACTTTTCATTTGCTTTTGCAAGTTCCTCGCCTTCTAGCTTTTTTCAGATAACCAGGCATCATTTTAGGCTGAGACAACAGTAATTCTGACACAGAGAAAAGAGCAGAAATAACCTTGATACAAAAATGAAGGTTTAAATGGGCTTCAGAGCCTAGACAGGTTGCTGACCAAGAGGAAGACCCAACATGGTCATCATCACACAGGTAGCTCTGCCCAGAGAGCTCCTAAGGAAGGCAGGGAGAGGGGGCTACATCCAACTAGCCACCCCTCTATTCCACCCGTGCATCTAACCACTGGTCCATCTATCATCTACTCATTCATCTACACTTCCACCTGTCTATTTTGTCTAACCATCTGCTCATTCAGCCATCCATCTTTCTATCCATCCCTCCGTCCATCCATCTATTCATCCATCCATCCATCCATCCATCCTTCCATCCATCCATTCATCTGTCCATCCATCCATCCATCCATCCCTCTGTCCAGCTATCCATCCATCATCATCCATCCATCTATCCTTCTGTCCATCCATCATCCATCTGTCCATCCATCCATCTGTCCTTCTATCTGTCCTTCCGTCCATCCATCCACCCATCCTTTCATCCATCCATTCATCTGTCCATCCATCCATCCCTCTGTCCAGCTATCCATCCATCATCATCCATCCATCTATCCTTCTGTCCATCATCCATCTGTCCATCCATCCATCCATCCATCTGTCCTTCTATCCATCCTTCCATCCATCCATCCATCCTTCCATCCATCCTTTCATCCATCCATTCATCTGTCCATCCATCCATCCATCCATCCCTCTGTCCAGCTATCCATCCATCATCATCCATCCATCTATCCTTCTGTCCATCCATCATCCATCTGTCCATCCATCCATCTGTCCTTCTATCCATCCGTCCGTCCGTCCATCCATCTATCCATCCATCCGTCTGTCCATCCATTCATTCATCCATCCATCCATTCCATTCTATCCATCCTTCCACCCATCCCTCTGTCCGTCCACTCATCCATCCATCCATCCATCCATCCATCCATCCATCTAGTCTTCCACACACTCATTTGTAGTAAGGAACTTTTCCATTTTATCTAATCAGCATCTGTCCCTCTCCAACCCAGGAGGACTGTGAGTTAATACACCCCTTTCCCCCTTTATACACACGGCATGTGCCCCGGGGTAGGCCAGTCATAATCTGCCCTTGGGTATTTGCTAAGAATCTCTCCCCACATGTCCAGGATCACTAGACGTCAGCCTAGAACTGCTGGTGGCCATCTCCGACAGCATGCGAGGAGAGCCTGCTGGAGAATGAACCCCCGCAGCAAAAGGCAGAGCGAAGTAGGGAGAGGTAGAGGCCTAGAGACAGCCAGTGAGTCCTGCATCCAAGAGGCTGAAGCCAATGTCACCCCATCGGTTACACGAGTCAGTAAACCCCCTTTTGCTTGAGTGAGTCTGAGTTGGGTTTGCGTCAGTTGCAAAAAGAAAGGGGCGTGGGTAACACAAACCCTTTCAATATAATACAAAGTGATTTAGAACCTTCTAGAAGCTTAGCCCTGAGCCAGAGGACACACAAAAGATAAATAAGCCCTGTCCTTGCCTGCCGGTTGGAGCAGCAGTTCTAAAACACAAACAATGAGGTTACAAACCAGACGGCACAGGCACTCAATGCCAGCATGGGGTTAAAGGAGGCCAGACAAGACCCCAACCAATTAGCTTCAGTTTTCCTACGTGTAAAATGCAGACAGCACCACTTACAGTGCAGGGCTCCTGGGAGAACCCATGATGGAGCAGGGGACTCAGCTGCCCACGCAGCAGCCATACTGGCCCAGCCTGCCCCCCACAGAGCCTGAGGAGGCAGATAACGTTCCCAGAGCCCTTTCAATTACAAGTGGGCATGTGGCACAGCCCTGGACAACTGGACCTAGGTTTGCACAAACCTCCTGGGAGACACTTTCTTCCCCTAAAGAGAAAAGGGCAAGAGGGCCCTCTACCCCCTTCTCACCCTGCTTTTGGATGCTATCGTGTGAGAATGTGATGTTTGGAGCCGTGGCAGCTATCTCGCAACCATGAGAAAAGGACCAAGAGAATCACATTTGGATTTACTCTGATTTAAGGAAAAGCTCATTTGTTGTACCCTGGAGCTGCGAACTGCGCTTTCCACTCTCACTGAATATTGGTTTCAGGAGTCAGTCTCTTGAAGCAGTTAAGAGCACGGCTTCTGGAGCCAACCTGCCTGGGTTCAAATCCCAGCTCAACGACTTGCTGGCTGTGTGACCTCAGGCAAGTTTCGGAACCTCAGTTTCCTTCTCTATAGAATGGAACTCATGTGAGTATGAAATCGTTTAGTACACATGAAAACACTTAGCACGGTGCATGGCACATAGACAGTGTCCAAGAGACTCTGGATGCCGCACTAGCCAGAGAAGGCAGGGCGGAGTGAGAGGACGGACCAGGTGGGCCAGGGAAGGCCAGAGGGGTGCAGAGGCCAAGGCCCCAGTGAGCTGAACGGCAGCCACAAGCCCGCTCCCGGCCTTGACACGGCACAGGTGGAGCTGACTCTCACCGTGTCCGCCCTGCCAAGGCCAGAGCTGGCTCCGGCCTGCCGCTGACTGCAGGGAGGGCCACCCCCTCAACCCGACATGGCTGCCACCCCCCTACCCGCCCGCAGGCCAGGCCGCTGGTGCCGCGCCAGATCTCAGCTGGAACCCACAAAGGGGGGCGTCCTCTTAGGTAGGGAGACCTCAGCCCCCTGCTCCCACGATGCCGCCACCCCCACGCTGCAGGCTGTGCTCCACAACTCCCCAGCGGATGTGTTTCCTCCTTGGTGGGGATGGCGAGTGTCGCACCCTCCCACGGGCCCAGCGTGGACGTCCATCTGGTGAGGCAGGAACAGTTGTTCCCTCCTGGGATGCCCAGGTCCTGCCCAGCTCAGAACAGGCTGCAAGGCTGGGATGGCTTAACTCCTTCGGGTATGTTTTCCTTCTCCATGGAAGACCAAAGGCCCCAGGGTGCCTTCTAGTGGGGTAAACTGAGGCAGAAGGTGGCCTCAAATCTTGCTGCACAATTTCCTTTTCTGAGAAGATGCTTTCTGCCAACTGGTCTTCTGGGCTCAAGCATATGTCACCGCTGGCCCTCTCATTTTCCAAAGCCACCCAGCCACGGCAGATCTGCTCTCTGGCCCGTCTGTGCCTGTGACCCATAATTCATGCCATTCTCGTGGGGCCTGGAAAACGGCACCCGTTAGGCATACACTGCAGGCAGGGACTGTACTGCTGACACGCAACACTTCCTGGAATGCCCACGGCAACTCCAAGAGATAGGCGATATTATTATTCCCATTTTATAGGAAAGCACACTAGGGCTGGGGAGCGTAAACACCCTATCCACCTCCCACAGCAGGGTGGGGGTTCAAACCCAGGCACAGCTGACCTGGAAGCCTGGGCCTTCGCCGCACTGACTCAGCCTTCCCCGAAGCTCCTGGCCCCAGAGCTTTGCCCTCTCCCTCCTATCTAATCCTGTACGCTGCTGGCCACAAGCAGTGTGGACAACCTCCTCTGCTCAAAAACCTACAATGGCTCCCCAGCAGCCACAGGAAAGAAAACCAAACAAACCCGTCGCAAAGCCCTCTGTCTGTAGCTCTTGACACTACCCCCAGACTTGACTCATGTTTCACTGCGAGCCAAGTGACAGGGCTCCTCCGGCGGGGGCCGGGACTCAGCGCTGCTCCTCCAGCAGCCAGGCTCACTCCTGCCTCGGGGCCTCTGCCCGTGCTGTTCCCTCCTCCTGGATCACCCGTCCCCAGGGAGCCACTCGCCCACTGCCCCTCCACTTGACTGCTGCCTCCTCCACAGAGGGGCCCTCCCAGCCCTCCCAGGCCCTGCTCCCCACCACACCCCCTCCTGAGGTATTCCCTGTTTCACTCCCCTGCACGGGGTTCTCTGCGTTGATCTGTTTCAGGTTTGATGCTCTTGACTCAAGTGTGAGCCCCGTGAAGGTAGGGCCCTCCCTCTCTTGTTCACTGCTGTATCCCCCGGTCGGCATGAGGCCAGCATTCAGCAAACAGTGAGGGAATGAATGAATCAATCAGTCAACCCATCAATCTCCATCTCCCAGGGCCCAGCGCAGAGCCAGACTATGGTGGGTGCTCCAGAGCCTGCGGCTGCCCTGAAATGAATCTCCCCTCCCACTTCCTCTCTGCCTGCCCTCATCTTCCCCAACCCTCAATGTTTCCCTCAAGTGACCCAACCACCCGGCATCCAGCCCCAACCTGCAAGAACCTCCCCGCTGCTCTCCCAAGAGACTGCCCAGCTGCTTACACTTTCCCATGCTCGCCACACTCTCATGCCTCCTGGGCCCTGCCTGTGCTGTTCCTGCTACCTGGATCGCCCTTTATCTCTCACCCACCCAGTCAACTCCTGCACATCCCTCAAAAGCCCATTCAAGTACTTCGTCCCTTGCAAGATAGAGCTGATCACAGCCCCTTCTGGCACCTCATCCTCTGGACATACCCACCGTTGAGGTCCGTGAGAAGAGGCCTGCGTGCAGTAGCCTTCACTGAGAACAGCAGGTGCTCACTAAACCACTGCAGGATGACTAACCATCTTCTCCATTCATGCATGAAGAACAGGCCTTCCCAACCAGACTGGAGCTCTCTGATAGCAGGGGCTGTTTTGTTCATTGCTATGTCTTCAGCATAAAATCCACTGCCTATTGGATGGATAGACGGACCAATGAACAGATGGGTGGGCGGATGGATGGATGGATGGATGGATGGATGAAAAGAAGGACTGAGGAAAGATGGGTAATGGGTATATAAATAGACAGATGGAAGATGAAAGGAAAATGGGTGGGTGGGTGAATGGATGGAAAGGGGATGCGTGGGTGGCTGGATGGGCAGGTGGGCCCTAGGTGTGGGGATGGCCGCTACCTGACTGACTTATTCCTGCAAGGAGAACCTCAGTTTTCGGGCCAGATGAAGAGCCTGCAAAGTCTTCCCCCAGCCTCACCAAGTGCTACCACTGCTCAGAGGAACAGAGGGGTGCTAGCTCCTTCGTCCTCCTTCACACACACACACACACACACACACACACACACACACACACACACACACACACACACACCAGTCCAGGCAGCACCACAGGCAGCCCAGGGAGGCTCAGGCTCAGGCCACCTCCCAGCAGGGGACACCCATCATGCCAGTCCCCATGCCGAGCCCCCTGTGCAGACTCCATTCTATCTAAACCTCACAACAGCACCGGCAGCAGCCTGCTCCCTCACCTTATTAAGAAGAAACCGAGGCCCAAGGACGTAAGATGCCCACTGCAGACACACAGCTGTAGGCAGCTGAGCCAGGACTCCGACCAAGGCCATCTGGCTGCAGAGTCACATGCTGCCAGCAGCCCCCTTGGTCAGGCCCCACCTCTGCATCCTGGCATGCTCCCTCCACTTGTCCTTCACCATCACTTTACTTAATATTTTTTACTTCATAATTTTCCTTAAATCAACTCACTCTTTAAGCTTAAATAAATTAAAATAAAATTGTAGATGACTATCATAAAATGGCAATCAGTATCAAGCAACATAAATAGAAATGTAACCCTAAAAAGAGGTCCTGGGAAACCAAGCAGTGTTACCCCATTTCATCCAGATATCACTCCTGATAGACGGCCTCTCTGCCAGTGGTGGTTTCGGAACATGTCCATGGATCCTCTGACGTGCCTACCTTCTCAGTGACACGTGTCTAAGGAAGTGAGTATGGTGGAGTGGCAGGGTGTGGCTTCTGAGACCAGGCTATCAGGGGCACTGCAGCATCCACCTTGCTTAGGGGGAAACCAGCGCCCTAATGTGGGGACATTTCAGCAGCCCTCTAGAGAGACCCACATGGCCAGGAACTGAGGCCTCCAGCCAACAGCCACAAAAGAGCCACCCGGCCAGTGGATCCCCCAGCCCCAGCAGAGCCTTCAGATGAGACCACAGCCCCAGTTGACGTGCTGATGAGGGCACCTTGTGTGGGAGCAGCCAGCTAAGCTGCTCCTTAATTTCTGTCACACAGAAACTGAGAGATGATAAAGATTTATTGTTTTAGGCTACAATGTTTTGAGGTATTCTGTTACACAGCAATACATTACGAATACTGCAAGTGTTTGAGAGGCTCTGAAGACAATAATTCCACACCAAGATTCTCTGTGCAGTGAAACAGAGTGGTGTCAGAATGGCCAAAGACACCTGAAAGGGGAATGAATGTATCCTTGTGGGGCTCCACGCATTCCCTAAGACCGTGACCGCACCAGCCCCTGCAGCAGCTCTCTACCCGGCAGCGGAGGGACAGGGTTCATGCGGATCAGGCTGCACCTCCCTGGGGACCCTTCTCACGGAGTGTGAGCTAAGTGCTCCAAGGCCCTGCTGACCTCTGAATCCCTACCCCCCACAAAGCCCCTGTGCTCACTGCTCCAGCCCTGCTGGCCTCCTGCTCTTCCCAGGAAGCCCCACACCCGTTCCCTCCTCGGGCCCTCTGCACTGACTGCTCTGCTCTCTGCCAGGAACACCCCTCTCCTGGCCAGCCCCAGCTCCACCCTGGGCTCTGCAGAGAGGGCCCCAACCACAGAATCTATGGGGCAGTCCTCCCAGAGTGTCTGCTCAACACCTCAACTGTGTCTTCAGCTTTGTGTATGTGTGTGTGTGATGTCTGTGTTGCATTCAGCTCCCTGTGATCCCACGTGGTCTACTATTCACTTACTTCTTTCTTTTTTTTTTTTAAGAGGGAATCTCTCTCTGTCACCCAGGCTGGAGGCGCGATCTCGGCTCACTGCAACTTCCACCTCCTGGGATCAAGCGATTCTTCTGCCTCAGCCTCCCACGTAGCTGGGGCTACAGGCACATGCCATCATGCCCAGCTAATTTGTTTTGTATTTTTACTACAGACAGGGTTTCACCATATTGGCCAGGCTGGTCTCAAACTCCTGACCTCGTGATCTGCCCATCTCGGCCTCCCAAAGTGCTGGGATTACAGGTGCCACCACACCTGGCTAATTTTTTTTTTTTTTTTGTATTTTTAGTAGAGACAGGGTTTCACAATATTGGCCAGGCTGGTCTCGAACTCCTGACCTCATGATCCGCCCACCTCAGCCTCCCAAAGTGCTGGGATTACAGGCGTGAGCCACTGCGCCCAGCCAACTTATTTCTGCATTCTGCAAACCAAGTGCCCCCCTCCCCTGCCATCAGAAGGTAAGCTCGGCAGGGGAAGGGATGGAGCTGTCGTCCACGGCTACACCACCATCACCAAGAACAGTGCCCGGCACATAGTAGATGCTCAAGGAACCTCTGTGGAATGAATGAATGAATGAGTCTGGATACTGCCAAAAGCTCAGCATCCAGGAACCTAGAGAGTCAGGCTCCAACTGAACTAAGCTATAAACCCGAACTGGAACCAACCACACTAATTTGCAGAGCCTTGAGCTAAGCCCAAATATTAGTTTATCAGCTGCCAACCAGATCGAGAATTTTTTTTTAATGAGTTTGGCTCCTGGAATCCGCCCCTGTGTGTTCCCTTTTTTTTTTTTTTTTTTTTTTTTTTTTTTGTATTTTTAGTAGAGATAGGGTTTCATAAGGGTTATGAAACCCTCCTCCTCCCTCGCCTTCTCGCTTTTCATGCGCATCCTTCAAGGGCAGGTTTTTCTACAGAGGTCCTGTGCTCCTTTCTCCCCACCAGCATCGTGGGACAGGGCCTCTCCCACAGGAACCGGACAACACTTCCTTCTCCTGGGGCTTTGAGATGCGCCACGTGCCCCCAGAATCGCCAAGGGAGGAAGTGTCTCTGCCTCCAGAATGTCTTGAAAATGGTGCTGATAATGGGGCTGGGGCTTCCTTTTGGGGTGATGATAAAAGTTCTGGAAATGGAGGGAAGTGGTGGTTGCACGGCCTTGTGAATGGGCTAAATGTCACTGAACTGTGTGCCTTAAAATGGTTACAGTGGTGGGCCAAATGAGGTCGCTCACGCCGGTAATCCCAGCACCTTGAGGGGCCAAGATGGGTGGATCGCTTGAGATCAGGAGTTTGAGACCAGCCTGGCCAACATGGTGAAACCCCATCTCCACTAAAAATACAAAAATTAGCTGGGCATGGTGGCGCAAGCCTGTAATCCCAGCTAATCGGGAGGTTGAGGCAGGAGAATTGCTTGAACCCGGGAGGCAGGGGCTGCAGTGAGCCGAGATCACGCCACTGCACTCCAGCCTGGGCGACAGAGCGAGACTGTCTAAAAATAAATACATTTAAAAAACAAAAAATAAAAATAAAATGGTTACAGTGGCAAATTTTATGTCACGTGTATCTTACCACAATTTTTTTGTTGTTGTTTTTTGAGATGGAGTCTTGCTCTGTTGCCCAGGCTGGAGTGCGGTGGCACGATCTTGGCTCACTGCAGCCTCCACCTCCCGGGTTCAAGCTATTCTCCTGTCTCAGCCTCCCGATTAGCTGGGATTACAGGCTCAGGACATTACACTCAGTTAATTTTTGTATTTTTGGTGGAGATGGGGTTTCACCATGTTGGCCAGGCTGGTCTCGAACTCCTGACCTCAAATGATCCACGCGCCTTGGCCTCCCAAAGTGTTGGGATTACAGGCGTGAGCCAACGTGCCCAGACTATTTTACCACAATTTTAAAAGGGTTAAAAACATGGTTCTGGTTCCATTTGGCATGACTGAATTCAGGAGCGTGTAGGATTTATAATAACCATAGGCTTGAAGACTTTTTTCTGCCTCTTCCTGAGATAAGACAAATGGGTATGGCAGCCTTGACTCCGCCGGCCCCGTACCTGAGAACAGAGCCTCTCCTTCATGCCTAACCAGAAAAAAACAAAACTAGAGGGAAGCAGTCCGGTAAGACTATCTGCAAAATGAAATTCTGAAGAACTCTGCAAGCATGATTTTTGGATATATAGCAGACAGTTTTTCAATTTTTATGTTCCTCTTTTGCATGCAAAACTAAAATGGTAAGAAAACAGAAGAAAAGCCACCGTATGAAGGAAGCTCCGCATGGATCCAAACTTCTGCTGCAGAGGAGGCCCGTCAGCAGCGGGAGACCAGTGAGACAGAAAATCAATAAACAAAAGCTCCCCACCCTCGGAGAGGGCATCTTCAATGAGAAACATCTCCTCCCGGCAGTCCACGCAGAGACGGAGACACGTTTTTAATTGGGCCACGTTTTCCGTTTCCTGGACTTCATTTGTGTTGGAGGAGGCAGTAAAATTCATTACGATTTCCAAATTTGTTTGATCCGACAAAGAGATGTTGGTGCATGGCTGCTGGGGGTGGGAACTGGCTATTGTGAAAAATAGCTATCAGCCTCCTGGCGGTGTTTTTCCAAGATCTGAAGCTGCTGGTGGCCTGGTGTGAACCGTCAGGCACGTCTTGGAGAACTCCTAACTCAAAGGCACTGGACCATGAAGATAATCCCCAAGTGGAATGTGCCGACCCCATTTCACGCAAGCAGGGGGCATAGCCTCCAGCCCGCCCTGTGGTCTAAGGGACCTCTCCACCAATGCCGAGGCCTGCCTGGGCTGGAGAGCCGTGCGCTGGCCCCAGCCCGGGACCTGGGCTCCCATGCTGACATTCTGGACAAATCTGTCCCTAAGGTCTGGTGGGCCCCGCTCAGGGCAGAGTTCACTGGAGGGAGAGGCTGGCCTCTACACTGAAGTGCAGGAGGCTGCTCCACCAGAGCCACAGGGAGCGGGGAGGGGCAGTGGGTGCCAGCATCCATCCTCTCGTGGAATAGATGTGGCCCAGAGGGAGAGGACTAGTGTCCTGTCCCCTTCCCCAGGCCCTGGGCCTGCGTACCCCAGGCTCCCAGCAGACCCGAGGCTGACAGATACCAGGCTGCTGTGGGCCTCCCCGGCCCTCCCTGAGGCCAGCCCACCTGGTCACCGGTGACCCTGTGGGGCGGGGACCGGGAGGGGCAGCTGAGTCAACTCCCTCAGATCAACAGAGAGCTGGCCTCTCCATCAGAGGCGGAAAACATGAGGGCTCCAAGCGGGACTGACGTGGGCTCTGGCCCCCAGCCCCGGCAAGGGGTAGGGTGTGCCATCCATACCCCACCCCGAGATGCCAGGGTGTCTGGGGGCCGAGCCCCCACCTGCCTGGACATGAAGGAAAGTGGGCCTCTCTGGCTCTGGGCTTAAAGGGCTGCTGCTGTTTCAAACACTCATCTTGTTTAGGAAGCCGGGGCCGAGACCATTCAGGCGGCACGTCCTGGCCTCGTCAGGGGATGTGGGTAGGGGCAGCCCTGGCTGGGGAGTTGGGGCTGGACGGGTGGTGCCTGGTTTAGGGAACCTGCTGCCATGTGAACAGGGGACCAGGTCATCCCTGTAGAGGGATAGGGATGTGGCGTACCCTGCTCATAAGCAGTGTGTGTCTGTGTGCGTCTGTGTGTGTGTGTGTACACATGTGCACACACGTGGATGCATGCATGCAGGGTATGTATGTGGTATGTGTGTATGCATGTGGGTGTGTGTAGTATATGTACATGGTGTGTGTGTGTGCATGTACTTGGGGTGTGTGTGTGTGTGTGTGTGTGCGCGCTAGGGAAGTGTGAACCAGGCCAGTAGCCTGCAGCTGACCTCCCTGGCAAACCAGCCGCACAGTGGGGCTCCTCGCACAGCCCGGCCCCCCGCCCGCCCAGCACGGGAGGGACAGCTGCAGATGCCGACCCTGTGACCATGAGGCCTGTGCCCCTGGCCTCCCTGCCTCTGGGCGGGGGCTGCACCGCTTGACCTCGGAGGTCTGGTCGACTCCAGGATTTTACGGCTGGGGGCCTGGTTTTCCCAGCCGCAGGGTCTCGGAGAGGGGGCAGCCCGGAGGACGCTGAATCCCCACAAAGGCTTGGCTGTTCTCCCATGTGCCTTGCTGGGCCAGGGAGGGGGAGAGGGGCCACTGGAGGAGGGGGTGGGCAGGAGGGGTGGGGGGCAAGGTAGGAGGAAGCTGGAGGAAGCAGTGGGGGGCACGATTTGGGAAGGTTTCCTGCAACGGAAAAGGGATGGGGAGGAAGTGGTGGGAGAGAGTGAATCAGAGACAGAGACACATACTGAGAGAGATGGAGAGACAAAAAAAGAGAAACCGAAGCAAGGAGAGAGAAAGGGATAGAGGCAGACACCAGAGGTGCAGAGAGCGCGAGAGAGCACGAGAGTGGCAAAGCCAGGGACTCCAGGCAGCAAGACAGAGACAAAGCGAGACGGGCCAGGGCAAGCGGGCAGCAGCGGGCAGCAGCGGGCAGGCCCGAGAAGCCCGCCTGTGTGGGGAGGCTGAAGTTCAAAAGGGAGGGGAAGAGGTGGTTTGACGACCAAAGTCATTGAAAAATTTTTGGCACAGCTGCCCCAGGCTCCTGGCCGCGGGCCCGGCTCTGAGCTGAACTTAAACAAACCCCTGTTGCAGCCATCTGCTTGATTTTAAAATAAATCAAACAGTCTGCTGAGCCGGGGGTGATCGAGTTTCCATCTGCGCCGCCGCCCGCTCGCCGGCTTGGAGCCTCGCTTGCCTCTCCCAGCCAAGGCTCCTGGCAACATGTGGTCCGGTAATTCCTCCAGGAGCAGGGAAACCAGACCCCCGCCTGCCCCCAGCTCCTAACTGAAACCAAGTGCCATTTTCACAGCCACCCACTGGAAAGCGGACCAGGAAGAGCTCTTGAAATCCCAGGTGCGGGGTAACGCCGAGCTGCTTCTGGCCCAGAGGGGAAAATGTTTTGGGATTTCCCCGTGCTCCTTGAGAAAGGGTGAGGGGCCGAGGGTGGGGTGCTGGCCCCCCAGCCAGAAGGATGCTCTGACATCATGTAAGAACACACAGGCCACCAAGTCTGGGCAGCTGTGGCTCATGGGAGAAGGGAGCGCCCACCTGAAGCAGCTGAAAATAGCAGCAGGGATTCCCATCCTCCAGGCTGGGGTCACCCTGGGAAATGCTGCCCACCTGTTCCAAAGGAAGTCCTGTCACCTGCAGGGCCAGGAGACCAGGAGAGCCTGCCTTCCCTGGCCCAGGCCAGAAACAAAGAGACGTCGGCTTGGGGGCCCTTGGTGAACCCATCTGTAAACTGGGCATAAAGCAAAGCTGGTGGTCCCATAGTCATGGGGCTGTGGCTTGCAGAAGGGGGAAGGAGGGGCTCCAAATACAATTCTGGAAAACGCAAGAAGAAAAGAAATGACCACAGGAGACAGGTCAGGTGCACGGAGGCAGAGGACATGATATGAACACTCAAAGTGCCACAGGCGACATTCGGAGATGGAGGTGGGATGGAAGCAGAATGAGAACATTTGTCTCTTCTGGGCCGTGCAGTGAGTGTACTCATGCTGTCAAGAGGGGGCTTTCTAGAGAGTGCAAGGTGGTCCAAGACAGCTGGCCTGAGGGCCGAGGCTCCCTGACCAGGTAGGACCCAGGCCAGCCCCAGGCCAGCAGCTTCATGCGGTAGGTCTGTCCTGGGCTCCAAAGCTACTTTTAACCAGCTCCCCACAAAGATTATTCTGGATCCAACCAAAGTGTCAAAATATAATTCATTTTTTTAAAAAACCCACATGGGCAGCAGTCCTTTTGGCCGGGCACGGTGGCTCACGCCTGTAATCCCAGCACTTTCGGAGGCCAAGGCAGGCAGATCACCTGAGGTCAGGAGTTCGAGACCAGCCTGCCCAACATAATGAAACCCTGTGTCTACTAAAAATACAAAAATTAGGCCGGGCGCGGTGGCTCATGCCTGTAATCCCAGTACTTTGGGAAGCTGAGGTGGGCGGATCATGAGTCCGGAGATCAAGACCATCCTGGCTAACATGGTGAAACCCCGTCTCTACTAAAAATACAAAAAACTAGCCGGTCGTGGTGGCAGGCACCTGTAGTCCCAGCTACTCGGGAGGCTGAGGCAGAAGAATGGTGTGAACCCGGGAGGTGGAGCTTGCAGTGAGCCGATATCACACCACTGCACTCCAGCCTGGGCCACAGAGCCAGACTCTGTCTCAAAAAAAAAGAAAAATCCGCATGGACTGTCAGAATACATAGGAAGGACATGTGACATTCAATCGGTCATTTGGTTCTTATAAAAAATATGCAAAGGGTGCCTGGCTACTGCACGCTGGAAGCTGTGGAAGCAAAGATGAAGTAGACGCAAGACCAGCTGGACGCACAGAGCAGGACCTGCAGAAGGCAGGTCATGGGTGAGCCAGGCGCAGAGCTGGGCCCGTCACTTGCTGGACTCCCACAGGCCTGTTCTTACTCCCATTTTCCATATGATTTGGAAAGTGAGGCCTAGAGGCAGAAAGCAGTTTGGGAGGTCACACAGGTAGCAAGTGGCAGAGTTGAGCTCAAACCCAGGTTCACTGCTCCAAAGGCCGCGTTTTACCACTACGAGCGGCACGTCTCGTTTCACGTGCAGCCCCAGAAGTGTGCCTGGCACTCCGCAGGTCTCCATAAACATGCACTCAATGAAGGGGTTTAATTCTCTTTCAAAGAATCTTAGGAGCTGAGAATATGCACTGTGTTCTAGAGATGAGGCCATGAAGACTCAGGAAGGTTCAGCAGCCCATCCCGAGTCACAGGGTAACACACGGACTTGGGGCTCAAACCTGGTGCTCTGGACCCCCAAGCCCATGACTTACAGTGGAAACCCTAGGAGAAAACCACCTCAGCACAGTGAGCTTCAGATGAGGCTGAAACGAGCCAGGCGTGGTGATTCATGTCTGTAATCCCAGCACTTTGGGAGGCTGAGGTGGGCAGATCACTTGAGGCCAGGAGTTCGAGACCAGCCTGGCCAACATGGTGAAACCCCATCTCTACTAAAAATACAAAAAATTACCTGGGTGTGGTAGTGCGTGCCTGTAGTCCCAGTTACACAGGAGGCTGAGGCACGATAATTGCTTGAACCTAGGAGGCAGAGGTTGCAGTGGGCCAAGATCGCGCCACTGCACTCCAGCGTCGTAACAGAACAAGACTCTGTTTCAAAAAATATATATAAAAAATAAATTTCTGTTGGAAAAAAAAAGAAGAGGCTGGAAGGACTTCTGACTGGGGACAGGGAGTGCACAGGTGGTAGTCAGGGAGGGCTTCGAGGAGGAGGCAGGAGGAAGAGGATTCGGGGAGGATGCAGCAGGGAAAAATGACGTGGGCAACAGGAGGGCTTAGGAAAGTCCGCTGGGCTGTTCGGCTTTGAGGCAGGGAATGAGATACTCCTGCTTGCTGGCCTTCACTGAGCACTTCCTCCCACAGGCCCTGTCCTGAACGCTCTCCATGTATTCACGCATTTAACTCTCACAACCAGGCAAGGGCATCATCCCCCATTTCACCCAGCATCACTTCTCACGCACTCCCCATGTGGCTTTGGGAAAGTCACGCACTCTCTGAGCCTGGGATCCCCCTGGTCAAACTCAGAGAATGGAGGAGCCGCTGGCTCAGGGACCTTCCAGCTCCCACCTTCTCATACTCTGCAGGGCACACGGTTCTCTGGAGGGATCGCCAGCCTTCGCATGGTCCCAGGCGTGGCGGCTTCTTCTGGCCCACCTGACCAGGCTTCGCTCCCAACCCCAAACACAGCACAGAAATGAAAACAAGCTGATTCTGAGAGGCACATCCCGTCCAGGGCCTGCCCCAGTCCCCTCCTCCTGCCTCCCACCCTTTTCCCCCATCGTCCCAATGTGCAGCATTTGCTGAGCGCCTATGCAAGGCAGCGCGTCACAGGGAGCTTGACACCCGCCCAGACACCTGTGAAGTCGCTACTCTCATCACCCCCACGCTCCATATGGGGAAACGGAAGCAGAAAGGGGCTGAGTCAGTTGCCCAAGGTTATCTCAGGATTACCTGGCGCAGCCAAGGCCCCAAATCCAAGCCACTCGCCTCTACGGCCCTGTGTCAACCACAGCGCCCCGCTCCTTCATCCCACACAAGCATCAGGGGCTTGCCGCTTTCCATAGGCCACCTCACCCATTCCTCAAGAGAACCCAAAGAGGGGGTGCTGCAAACTCATTCTGCAGTTGGGGAAACTGAGTTCTGTAGATTGCTCAAAGCCAGGCAGCCGGCAAGAGACAGGAGTGGGTTTGAGCAGCAAGTGCTATATCTTTCCAGGGACAGCCCCAGAAACAGCCCAAGGCCAGGGAGTCCCCCAGAGGCTGGAGGAGGTGAACACAGCACCTCTAAGCAGGTGCTGGGAGTCCCACAGCCCAGGCTCAAATGCAGCCTCTACACCTGCTGTGTGTCTGTGGGAAAACAGCTTAACCTCCCTGTGCCTCAATTTCTCATCTGTCCCAGGGAGATAAGAAAAGTACCAACCTCCTGGGTATGAAGTGAAGGTCATAGGCGTCAGTTTGTGTTCCTGACACGTGTGGTAAGCTAAAGTTTTTCTATTTCTTATGACTACTTAAAAAATATTATATTAGCTATGAATTATTATAATCAGATAACATTATATCACTATTAGATATGGTAATAGAGAGAGCTGGTAATAACAGTGCTTTATCTTTTGTTGTTAGAGACAGGGTCTTGCTCTGTCATTCAGGCTGGAGTGCCGGGATCATAGCTCCCTGCAGCCTCCATCTCCTGGGCCCAAGTGATCCTCCCAAGTCAGCCTCCTGAGTAGCTGGGACTACAGGTGCACACCACCATGCCTGGCTAATTTTTTGATATTTTGTAGAGATGGGGTCTCACTATGTTGCCCAATATGGTATTGAACTCCTGGAGCACTTTACCTTTAAGCCCTTTAAGGGGTCGGAATGATGGTGGAAGAACGAGAGAGAAGGGGCAGAAGCCCTGGGCTGGGCCACCCTCTCGCTCAGTCCTGGGAGCAGGCAGAGGCAGGGTGGGACAGGAGGGGCTTGCCCCTCCCCAACTCCTGTTGGCTGTGGGCTGACCCCCAGGGCTGAAGGGAACACGTGTCAAGTATGTCTCTGGCCCACCCCTCCAAGGGCTCTGCTCACAGCTGGGTTTGCAGACAGGCCTCCAGGTGACTGAGGGCCCTCATGTCTCAGTTGGCAGCCAACAACCTGATCCTGTTCTGCAACAGAAGCAGCAACCGGTGGGGTTACGGTGGGGACGGGGGAAGGGGAGAGTTGAGTCCTAGGCTAGCCCTCCAAAGCCAGCTTAACCCATAACATCCCATAATAATCACACCCCCCCAGAATGTGTGCTCTGAAAGCAGTGGTGTTCACTCCCTGATCCCCAAGTGCTGGAACAGTGCGGGGCACACAGCAGGCACTCTGTGAATGTTTGCTGAGTGAACAAACAACAGCCGCGTGTCAGGCACTTCTCTAACAGGCATCTATGGGACTGCCACCACAGCTCTATAAGGCAGATATTATTATTTTTTAAAATGTTTATTTCAATTGCTTTTGGGATACACATGGTTTTTTGTTGCATGAATGAGTTATACAGTGGTGAATTCTGAAATTTCAGTGCACCTGCCAACTGGGTAGCGTACACTGTATCTAAGGTGTAGTTTTTATCCCTGGCCCCCCCACAACCCTTCCCCTTCTGAGTGTCTGAAGTCCATGATATCACTCCGCCTGCCCGTGTGGACTCATAGCTTAGCTCCCACCTACAAGTGAGAACGTATGGTTTTGGGGTTTCCATTCCTATGTTACTTCACTTAGAATAATGGTTGGCAGATATTATTTCGCACCTCCATTTTAAAGATGACACAAGTGAGGCTTGCAGCAGTTAAATGACCCAAATCACAGGGTTTCAGAGCTGAGGAGCAGGGATCTGACTCCACAGAATAGAATTCGGAGTCAAAGCTCTTTAACCACTTAACTTCTGGCCACAATCCCATGTCTGTGTAGCCTGTGTCAGGGGTCAGTGTTAACGGTGGCCTACTCCCCAAGGCTCTGGACACTCAGCTCTTTCTTCTCTGGGCACTCTAGCTGGGCCTTGCGCCTGGCATTGTGTCTCCACCCACCCGCCACCCGCAGAGGCCAAGACCGGGCAAGGAGGGGTGAATGGACATGGGGAGGGAAGGGGCCAGCCCTCCTGTGGCCACAGGGTCCGCTCTCAGAGTCAGCCCTGCCCTTCTCCTCCTGCCCCACCCCCACCCACCTGTCCATCCACGAGGGCCCCTGCATCCTCTCACTCACTGCAGACCTATGTTTTGCCAGGCCTGCCAACCCTGCCTAGGATACCAGGCCATGCAGAGGAGGCTCTAGTCGCCTGCACCCCACGCGGTCTGTGAGAGGGGACCGGGCGGGGCCACAGAGGCCAGAGAGGGAGGCCTCAGAAGGGCCCGGGTATTACTGTCTCAAGGCAACTGTGACAAAGAACCACCATCTGGTGGCTTAAAACCTCAGAAAGTCATTCTCGGTGCAGTTCGGTTAGGAGAAGTCTGGATTCAAGGTGCTGGCTGGGCCGCGCTGCCTCTGAAGGCTCCGGGGCCGACTCCTCCCTGCCTTTTCCAGCTTCTGGGGGCTCAGCCACCATCCTGCGCATCGCTTGGTCAGTCGCTGCATCACTCCGACCTCTGCCTGCACCCTGTGTCTGCGTCTCTAAATCTCCTTCTTCTTGTGAGGACATCAGTCCCTGGATATAGGCCCCAAATCCAGTATGACTTCACCCTAACTTCATGCATGGGCAAAGACCCTATTTCCAAACAAGGTCACACTCACAGGTTCTGGGTGACAAGAATCTGGGTGGGGGGGCCCTCACCCCAGCATAGTCGGCTTCCCCGAGGTGGTGCCTCCGGAGCTGCTCTCGTGGGTGAGCGGAGGCCGCCCACAGAGGGAGAGGCCGGCGGGCACGCCAGTCTCGGAACCCGACACTCGTACGATGTCAATCTTCTTTCTGTCTCTGTGCACTCCAAACAGCCAGGCCCTATTATGGGATATTATGTACCCAGTGGAACGATGCCGGTGCCAGCCTGGCAAGAGATGCCCTGGGATGGCCTCCACCTCCCTTAACAGCCCTCTCTCTTTTTCTCTGTCTCATGGAAGCAGTCACAGAAAATCTCTGCGGGGAGGACTGAGGCCTCTGTTCCCACGTGACTGACCTGGCACAGCTGCCAACAGCCTGGGGCCCTCTGTCCTCAGGGCCTGTGAGTCTGAGCTGCCTATGGACTCTGCTCCCCACTCCCACAGGCTGGGCAGCGGGGGCCTTCAATGTTCTTCACTCTTTGAGAATCGGCTCAGAGCCTGAGCTCAGTTCAAGGTCATGTGGTCCCTGCAAGGGCACCCCTGATGCGTGTGAGTCCAGGCTCTAGACTCTGGGCTGGGGGTGTCTTCCTCACACAGCAGAGCCTGCCTTGCTGACTATCACACACGGGCTGGCTGTTGCAATCCGTGCAGGAGCCATAGCCCGGACACGTGACACTTCGGCTCGGAAATGCCACTGTTGGAATTGTGCCCTGCAAGCATGGCAATGACAAAGTACACAGGGAGGTCCTTTGCACTGTTATTATAATAGTAGGGGGTGAGGGGCTGTTCTTTAATTTTTAGAGACAGCGTTTCACTTTGTCGCCCAAGCTGGAGTGCAGTGGCACGATGATAGCTCACTACAGTCTCCACCTCCCGAGCTCAAGCGATCCCCCTCACCTCCACCTCAGCCTCCCAAGTAGCTGGGAATGCAGACGCATGCCAACATGCCTGGCTAACTTTTTCTTTTTCTTTTTTTTTTTTTTTTGAAACAGAGTCTTGCTCTGTTGCCAGGCTGGAGTGCAGTAGTGTGATCTCGGCTCACTGCAACCTCTGCCTCCCGGGTTCAAGAGATTCCCCTGCCTCAGCCTCCTAAATAGCTGGGACTACAGGCATGCGCCACCACGGCTGGCTAATTTTTTGTATTTTAGTAGAGAAGGGGTTTCACCATGTTGGCCAGGATGGTCTCGATCTCCTGACCTCATGATCTGCCCACCTTGGCCTCCCAAAGTGTTGGGATTACAGGAGTGAGCCACCACATCCGGCAGCCTGGCTAACTTTTAAATATTTTGTAGAGACGGGGTCTTGCCATGTTGCCCAGGCTGGTCTCAAACTCCTGGGCTCGAGCGATCTTCCCGCCTCGGCCTCCCAAAGTGCTGGGATTACAGGCACAAGCCACCACACCCAGCTACAGTTTGTTCTAGACATTCAGCAATAAGGTATCATTAAGAAAACACAGACGCCCCCTCTTCCTACACAGCTGGCCATCTTCAGCTGTCACCCCTGCGAGTGGGCGGACACCCCTCACAGACGTCTGTGGGGCGTCATATTAGTTTTCTTGGGCAGCCATAACGAAGTGCCACAGGCTGGGTGGCTTACACAATAGGAAAGTATTTTCTCACAGTTCTGGGAGCTGGAAGTCCAAGGTCAATGTGTGGGCAGGGTGGATGTCTCCTGAGGCCTCTCTCCTTAGCCTGAAAACGCTGTCTTCCCCATGTCCTTACACGGTCATCCTCTATGCAATATCTGTGTCCTGATCTATCCTTATGACTACATCAGTCCTATCGGCTTAGGGCTCACTCTACCCAAACCATTCTACCCCAGGTTTGTTTTTTTGTTTTGTTTTTTTTGAGACCTAGTCTTGCTCTGTCACCCAGGTTGGAGTGCAGTGGCGCAATCTCAGCTCACTGCAACCTCTCCCTCCCAGGTTCAAGCGATTCTCCTGCCTCAGCTTCCCAAGTAGCTGGGATAACAGGCGCCTGCCACCATGCCCAGCTAATTTTTGTATTTTTAGTAGAGACAGGGTTTTACCATGTTGGCCAGGCTGGTCTCGATCTCCTGACCTCAAGTGTTCTGCCGGTCTCGGCCTCCCAAAATGCTGGGATTCCAGGCATGAGCCACCGCGCCCGGCTTCTAGCCCAATTATTAATACCTTTCTGAAGACCCTATCTACAGACACAGGCACATTCCGAGGAACTGGGGGTCAGGGCTGCAACACACAAAGTTGAGGGACATGGCTCAGCCTGTAACAGGAGTCCTCCCCCAGTCAGAAACCATTTGATGGGCGATGGTTCAAGTGATGCCAGCACGGGGGTGACACAGAAGCCTTCAGCCCCCTGGTGCCTTGAAATCCAGGCGCTCAAAGCTGTGTGTGACTTCAGGAAGAGAGCCCTGCTGGAAATCGCTCTGCCCCAAGAGGCAGCATCCAAGTCTGGGGAAGAGCCCGGGTCAGCTTCCAGCTGCAAGAGGCAGCAGCGGAGTGGCACTGGGCAGGCACTGATACCTCTCTCGCGGGTGCCCAGTACCCTGTCAGGCTCCATGGGGCACCCTGGCCCACACCTCCCATCCCCAGGATCTCACTCCACCCCTGGTCTCTCCAGGCCAGATGGGAACCACACAGCTCCAAGTGGTTCCCGCCACAAGTCACCACCTGCAAAGGGCTTGCACGCCAGGGCCCCCTCCAGACCCTCAGCCCTGCGGAGAAGCTGCGAAGGTGCCGCCTCGCCGTATGGATGACTGAAGCGAGGCTCGCCGCCAGTGACTTGTCTAAGGTGACACAGCGCGGCAGTGGCAGAGTGGGACAGGAACGCAGTTCTCACACTCCACCCAGGCTGCAGTGATGCTTGGCTGGAGTCAAGATGTGGGACTCCGCCCTGCATGCCAGTGGCTTGTCAGCAATAATAAAGTGCTTAGCAAGAAAGACATTCCCTTAAAAAAAAAAAACAAAAAAAAAAAACCACAAGCCTGAAGCTGAGACCAGTCTCTCCTGGCACCCCACATGCTTTCTGGCATGGGAAGGGGCAGCTTGGCCAGGGGGCTGGGTACCCCCCTAGAAGTGAGGCCCTAAGGAACTCCCAGAGGGGTGGTGTCGGGATCCAAACCTAATGGAGGGTGTGGGTAAGCATGCCTGTGGCTCACAGAGCCCAGTGTCTGCAAACAGGAGGCACTCAATAAATGCTCCTTGAGCACTCAAGGGCCCCACAGCCAGTATCAGCAAAACCTGCAACCCAGCAAGGTCAAGTGGCACAGTCCTCACCTGTGAAAAGGAGTCTGGGAGCTTCCTGGCCCAAAGATCATCTTACAGAGAAGGAACCCGAGGCCCAGAGAGGCAAAGCAACCTTTCCAAGATCACACAGCTTGCTTGGGTCTTGGCCAGAAGAAGAGTCCAGGTGGCTCCTCTCCTGCTGCCAGAGATGACAAGCTCAAGTGACAAGAATGCCTCCCTCCCATTTAGTGCTAAGATGACACGGTGACAACATTAAAGGATGTTTCAATGGGCAGCGGGTGGCACCCCCGTCACCTAATCACAGCCTCATGCAGCTTCCCAAATTCCTCCCAGCCTCAACTTACACAGGCATATTTCTTTAAGGCTGGAATCAGGACACGTGTACAGTCTGGCATCTGCTTATGGCCACTCAACATGACATCACTGGGGTGTTTTTTTTTTAAGACAAGGTCTCACTCTGTTGCCCAGGCTGGAGCACAGTGGTGCAATCACAGCTTACTGCAGCCTGGACCTCCCTGGCTCAAGCAATCCTCCTACCTCAGCCTCCCGAGTAACTGGGACTACAGGCATCATGCCCGGCTAATTTTTTTGTAGAAATGGGGTTAGCCATATTGTCCAGGCTGGTCTCTAACTCCTGGGCTCAAGCAATCTGCCCGCCTCAGCCTCCTGAAGTGCTGGGAACACAGCAGTTTTGTCAATCACACCTTACTGTGGACATTTGGATTTTGTTTCCACCTGGTAAATAACAGTGCAAAGAACAACTCTGTGCACCTATTATTTCCCTTCTTATGAGTTACTTCTTTAGGACAAATTTCCAGAAGTGGGACTCCTGGGTCAAAGTAGCCAGTGTTTCTCAAACCCTTGACACCTGCTGACAAATGGTTTCAGTAAAGACGAATACGACACAGAACTATGCTGCCAGCGGCAATATGAATGAGCCATATTTTTGCAGCTCACCAGCACCGAGTCTGACCATCTTTTTGGTATGCTAATAGTTGGGACTATTATGCTAATAGTTTAGACTGTAACCGTGTCCCCATGTATTTACTGCTGTGTCTCCTCTCATTTGAATTAGCTGTTAAAATCCCCTGCTAAATCACAGCACCCCTGGAGGTAGGAAAGCTCAGTACCAGTCTCTGGTGGCCAACAGCTTTAGGTCACCAACTGGTCACTTTCTGGACCAGGTCAAAGGCAGGATTAGGGTAGGGACCCCTAACCCTCTCCCAGCGGCCCCCTCAGCCTCAGCTGCCTGGATCACCAGGGCAGGCCCAGCAGGCAACGTCAGGCGGCCTGCCAGACTCTCCCTCCCAGCCTCGGGATCACGTGTCGTGACCATGGCCATGCACCTCGATCTAGGGTTGCAGAATGTGGGCTGAGCAGCCGGGGAACACCTCCTGGCCTTGCGTGACCCTTGGGCTGGCCGCGGGAGGCCGGTGCTGCAGAAGCCGTTTCTGGAACTGTGAGTTGCTTATGGGTTTCTCCCTAATGTGGGGCAGCGATGGTGATGGGGGAGAGGGTGGGAGGGGTCAGTGGTCCAGGGGGATGCACGCCAGCTGGGGGCCACAAGAGATGCAGAAGACTTCAAGAACAGAATGCGGCAGGTTCCTCTGCATGCCAAATGATCAGAGCAGGGGCGGGGGCACGGGAGCCAGGCACTGACAGCCAGGAGGTGCACATCGAGGTCACGAACAAGGACGGAGGATGTTGCCCTGGCCAGCTATGACACTTTGGGCAAGTTCCTTAATCCTCGGTGCCTCAGTTTCCTCATCTGTAAAATGGGAGCATTGTGCCTACCTCGTGGGGTTGTTGTGAGAGTTAAAGGAGCCAATTCCTGCGCAGCTTCTGCAGGCCAGGGCCACAGTGAGCAGAGAACAGAAACACTGGACTCAGTAAACACACGGCAAACCCCAACACACAGCGAACCCCATCACGCGGCAGACCCCAACACACAGCGAACCCCAACACAGGTGAACCCCAACAAGTGGCAAACCCCAACACAGGCGAACCCCAACACGCAGCGAACCCCAACACAGGCGAACCCCAACAAGTGGCAAACCCCAACACAGGCGAACCCCAACATGCGGCGAACCCCAACACAGGCGAACCCCGACACGTGGCAAACCCCAACACACGGCAAACCCCAACACGTGGTGAACCCCAACATATGGTGAACCCCAACACAGGCGAACGCCAACACAGACGAACCCCAACACGTGGCAAACCCCAACACAGGCGAACCCCAACACGCGGCGAACCCCACCCCCACCCCCATCCGCTAATCTAGAGCGGGCAGCAGTCAACTGCGGCCCAGGCTAAGCTAAGAATGACTTTTACATTTTTAAAAAGTCATTCAAAAAAAAAAACAAGGGAGAGTATGGGGCACAGAGCCTGAGGCTAAGTGGCCCGCAAAGCCTAAGGTATCTACAATCTGGTCCTTCACAGAGTTTGCGGTCCCTGGTCTAGAGGTACCAAAGTTTCCTTTGGAATCATGTGAAAGGGGACAGGTGGTGTGGGGGACGAGGACCTGAAGGAGTCAGGAGCTGAGGCAGCAGGAGGCCAGCGTCAGGCAAAGCGTCAGGGAAGGGGCCTGGTCCAGGGCGTGGCTGCTATGACGCCCCTCGAGCCCCAGGCAGGCACCAGGAGGGAGTACTGAGTGGGAGCACCAGCCGAGATGCCACGGGCGATGGCTGAGAACTCCGCAGACCGTTCAGGGAGCACTGATGATTCCTTCCGCCAGCGACGTGGCGGAGTGCATCCCCAGCATGTGGTGGGGTCCCTCTCCATCCGGAGCTCAAGAACCCAGGCCTAGCAGGAACGTTGAGACACCAAGGGCCTGGACACCAGGGAAACTGAGGCTAGAAGAAACAGCATGACCCATCCAAAGTCACCAGGCCATTCAAGGACAAGGACGACAACCAGGCATCCTGACTCCCTCCTAATGCTGCTCCAACCACACACTGACTGTGGGGTACATCCCCATGGTCCTGGGCACCTGGCACCCCCCCCAAACTTCCTCTGTCCCCAGGGACCCTCATCAGACACCCTCCTGTGAGGTCACCCGGGCCTGGATGCAGGGCCCTTGAGTGAGCCCCTGGGACAAAGACCCAGCTACCCCCCAGCAACATCGTGCCTTTCCAGAGCCGGTCTCCTCTTCATGCGCCATCCCTGAAAGCCTCTGTGGGTTTGTTCGTCACATCCCCAGCACCCAGCACGGCGCGTGGTGACCGGGAGTGGGTGTGTGAGTGAATCAGTGGCGACCCAGAGAGGTCGGCTGTCAAGTGACGTCCTCCTCCGCTCATTCTACAGGCGAGAAAGCAGAGGCCTGGAGAGGGTGATGGGCTCATCTGCCCTCACCCCGCTGGTCAACGGCAGAGCCGGGATTCAACCCAGCCTCATCTGGCTCTGCAGCCCGGGCTCCTCACACCAGCGCCTGCAGGGGATTCATGAAGGGGCTGCAGGCTCTGAGAAGATCTCCTGCCGCTGGGGCAGGGTGCAGGGGCCTCTGAATGACCCTCAGTCACCCCCAGCAGGGGAAGCCAGCCTCTCCCAGCTGGGCTGCAGGTCCCAGTGCATCTGTCATGTCCACTGCCATCACCCGGGGGCCGGCACGGACCAGGTCCTCAGCAGGAACCTGCTGGGTGATTGAGTGATGGGGATGGCTGGCGGCGGGCAGGGGCCCCCAGTGCAGCACAGCAGAGCCGGCCCTGAAGACCTTCCCAGTTGGAATCCAGGAGCCTGGCCCGCAGAGCGGAGCCTGAGTGAGGGGCCAGGCCAGGGCTTCTGGCCGAGAGGAGCAAGTGGGGGTTCTGCTGGGGAGCAGTGCCCTTGGGAGGACGGGGGGGTCCCAGATTCGGCTCCACATTCTGCCTCCCTGAAGGTGGAGATGCTAGGTGGGGAGAAGGCAGGCAAGTGCAGACGCCAAGAGCCCCAAGCCGCCAGCCTGTCCCCATCACCAAGAGCCCTCCGCTCGGACCTGCCAAGAGCCGGGGCCAGCAGTGGGCCTGGAGAATAAACATGTCACTGCGAGGCCAGCCCGCCGGACCGCTGGAGCCAAGAACTGCCGCCGGAGGCTGTAAACAGTCTCTCTCCTCTTGGCCACCGGCGCTGGCCCACCCCTCTGGGCTGGGAATTAGCACTTTGCCTGCCATAAAGAAAGGGCAGGAGGGCTGGGGGGGCTTGTGGAGGGGGCGGTGGGCAGGGAAGCTGGGCTGGCGGGGGGCCAGCACCTCCATCCTGGCGGGGGGCCAGCACCTCCATCCTGGCGGCCTAGAAGCTTCCCCCTTTCTCCAAGAGGCGCTGGGAGATTGTGAATGAATGGGGCCTGCTGAGGACGCTGGGGGCCCAGCCGGGGAGGGGACGGGCAGGGGCAGGAGAGGAAGGGGTGGGGGAGGGGCTGAAGCCCATGCTGTAGGGGCCCCCCGGCCTTGGCCCAGGTAGGCAGACGCTTTTCCAGCATGCCAAGCCCCACCTGGCTTGCAGCTGGATCTGGGAAAACCTGGGGGTTCCTGGGGAGGGGGTGTCCAGGCCCCATCGAGACCCAGTTCAGCCACCCCGAAAAGCCTCTCACACCAACTCTCACTCTGCTCCTGGCTGCTGGTTCCAGTCAGGCTCAAAACCTGGCTTCATTCCAGTTCTCCTTGCTGGAACACAAGGCTTCTCAAAGGGCAGATGTGGCCCGGCCATCCCCAGCTGAGACCCTTCCACCGTGCCCCCACCCTTCAGATCATGGCCTGGGTCTCCAAGAAGGTCTCCGGCCCGGGCTTCCCCCAACGCCCGCCTCCTTGCCAAACACAGGTCTTCCCACCACACCCGGCGCCCTTTGCACATGCGCCCCCCCCATCTGGGTGCTTCCCTCCCCCCTTCCCGTGCCCGGTTCACTCCCCCTTATCGTTCAGAACTGGGATCAGCCAGCACCCCCGGCAGATGCCTCCCGGCCTCCCCAGGGAAGTCAGTTCCCTACCTGCCCTGTTCCCTGTTTCTCTCCTTCCAAACCCCTGTCCTGGTGGCACGCTGACATTTGTTTGTGTGATTTGGCCACCGACATCTGTCTCTCCCACCAGACTGGAAGCTCCGTGAGGGAGGAGCTGTGTCTGGCTTTGCACACCACGTTTCTGTCTTGCAGGCACGTGACGGCACTCAGTAAGTACTTGTTAAATGAATGAAGCACCAGATGAATGAATGAGTCAGGCAGCCGTGTCACCTGGAAAGGTCATCCAGGGCTCAGTTCAAATGTCCTCCCAGTCTGCGAGGATTTCACAGATGGGCCCCTGGGTCCCGCTCCCCAGAGCTCCCCACAAGGCAGGCCCATGGGACACCCACTCACACTGAGGAGGGGACACCGCATGCTGCCCAGGGCAGGGGAGATGGGCAGGGGCCTCCACAGCTGCCTCTTACCCCCAGTGTAGAGCCCTGGAGCCAAAGAGGGGCTGTGGGGGATGAGTGTGTTTGAGGGAAACTAGGGAAGGAAAAAAAAAGTAAGGCAGTGAAGACACAAAGCCCAGCCTGCTGTGACCTCAACTCCTGTTTCTGCTGGGTCGCCTCAGGCCAGTGGTCTAACCTCTCTGCACTTCACTTTCCTTATCAGCAAAACAGAGACAAGGCTGGGCGCGGTGGCTCATGCCTGTAATCCTAGCACTTTGGGAGGCCAAGGCAGGCGGATCACTGGAAGCCAGGAGTTCAAGACCAGCCTGGCCAACATGGCGAAACCCCGTCTCTACCAAAAATACAAAAATTAGCTGGGCATGGTGGTGGGCACCTGTAATTCCAGCTACTCGGGAGGTTGAGGCAGGAGAACAGCTTGAACCCCCAGGAGGCGGAGGTTGCAGTGAGCCGAGATCATGCCACTGTACTCCAGCCTGGGTGACAGAGCGAGACTCTGTCTCAAAAAAATAAAAAATAAATAAATAAATAAAAATTAAAGGAGACAACGATGACAGCATTCACCTCTTCAGGGGCTGCGGGGAGATCCAGTGAGCCAAGACGTACGTGTACATGCCCAGCAAATGAGAGCTTTTAGGATTTGGGCAAGTTACCTTTCAGGAACATTCTAGGGGGTTTAAGGGATTCCCTTTTGGAGTGTCCTGGCCCAGGGGCTTCAACTGCATGGACTCCAGAACTCTGAGCTTGTGGTCTGTCCCCAGTCCCAGGCCCTAGGCGGACGACCCTGTAAACAGCTGTGAGCACACAGCACCCTTGGCTGGCTGGGTGTGGGGGACTGGGGGGCAGGCCTGGCATAGCAGGGAATTCAGAGACATGTGAGCCCCACCCTGTGAGCTCAGCTTGCTGCTGGGGAAACAGGAGTCCCCAAGAAGGGCAGATCCCTTTGTCATTCTCCCTGGGGGAGAGGACACAGTCTGTCCGGGCAGAAAGCCCACAGTTCAAATCCTTAACCAGGAGACACCACTTCACGCCTGCTAGGATGGCTAGAATCAGAAAGGCAAATAACAAGAAGTGCTGGTGAGGTGGTGGAGGACTGGAACTTCAGACACAATAGCCTGGCAGGTCCTCAAAAAGTTAAACACAGAATTGCTCACACGACCCAGCATTTCTGCTCCTAGGAACTGAGAATTCCTCAGAGAATTGAAAACATCCATCCACACAAAAACTTGTACTCACATATTCACAGCAGCATTACTCACACTAGCCAAAAGGTGGAAACAACCCAAAAGCCCACGGGCTGATGATGGATAAAGAAAACATGCTATTTTCCATACAGTGGAGTATTATCCGGCCATAGGAAGAATGAAGTTCAGGGGTGAACCTTGAAGACATTTTGCAAAGTGAGAGAAGCTAAACACAAAGGTCACATGTTATGATTCCATTTACAGGAAATATCCAGAATAGAAAAATCTGTAGACGGAAAGGAGATTCACAATCGCTGGAGACTGAGGGGAACGGGGAATGGGGAGTGACAGCTTAACAGGTATGGGTATCCTTTAGGGGTTAAAGTTTTGGGAAATTGGCCAGGCACGGCGGCTCATGCCTGTAATCCCAGCACTTTGGGAGGCCGAGGCGAGGCAGAAAGACTGCTTGAGCCCAGGAGTTTGAGACCAGCAACATAGTGAGACCTCGTCTCTACAAAAAATACAAAAAGTGAGACCCCATCTCTACAAGAAATAATAAAAATCAGCGGGTCATGGTGGTGCACACCTGTAGTCCCAGCTACTCAGGAGGCTGAGGTGGGAGGATCGCCTGAGCCCAGGAGGCTGAGGCTACAGTGAGCTGAGATCACACCACTGCACACCAGCCTGGGCGACAGAGTGAGACCCTGTCTCAAATAAGTAAAGTTTTGTAAAACTGACTATGGTGGTGGCCGCACAACTCTGTGAACTGTACACTTGAGACAGGTGAATTGTATGCTCTGTGAGTCATGTCTCAATAAAGCAGCTGCACAAAGGAAATCCCACTGCTTGGCCTTGGCTGCCTATCTGTAGAGTGGGGTGACTCTAGGCCCACTTGCCACTCTTCCTCCCCTTCCGTGTCCTGCACAGCTGTGTAACCTGCACCAAGGGCCTGCTGGCTTCCCACGAAAGAGCGAGCAGGGTCTCCCTCCATCCAACCCCTCCCTGAGGGGCCACAGGGGCAGGCCGTGTCCCACGTGCTGTCCTCAGGCCTTGGCTCTGCCCGCTCACCACTGTTGCCAGGGTGCCACACCACCTTAGCATCCCGCACCTGCCCCACCTTTAGACTGGACCTGGACACAGGTGTGCCTGCTTCACCAGGACCCCACCTGCCCAGCCTGGCGCTATGCCCTGCGAAGCTGTTGCAGGGCTGGTGGCCATCACTCCATCTAGGTGGCCATCGCAAACGCATGCTGAGGAGGACAGTGGAGCAAAGATGGAAAGGGGGTGCCTAGGAGAGCAGCCCCAGAGCCAGGTGTGAGCTCAGAGCACAGGCACCCCCACAGGAGAGGACCCAGGGCCAAAGCAGTGAGCATCTCAGGAGAAATCCAGGCCCCTGCCACCGCCGAGGCCAGCTGGGGCCAGAGCCACATTCCCCAGGAACACACAGATGTTCTGGCCAAGGAGGAGGGGGAGAAGGGGGGTAGAGGTGGGGAGGGAGGGGGAGGAGGGAAGGGGAGGAGGCGAAGGGAGAGGACGAGGGCTGGCTCTGACCTTCCCACAGAGCTGGGGCACAGCCAGGAGGCCCACAGCCTGTCTCCAGGGCGAGCGCAGGACAAGGCCCAATCCCCAGCCTCCGCTCCCCCTTGGCCAGGCCTGGCTCCACGCTGGGCCTGGAAGCACAGCATCTGGACTCCCAGAAGGGCTCCAGGCGAGAACAGACACAGGGAGCTGGGTGCGATCGGCCTGGCTCCGGCCAGAGGCCCCCCAGGGCCCCTCCCAAGGGGCTCTCCCAGAACCCTGTGGGCCTGGCCTGAGGATCGAAGGGTCCCCCATGAATGCTGGCAGCCCCATCACTGTGGCAACTGAAAACATCCCTGTGTGGGGTGGGGTTCTGCCTCGGGTGAGCCCACAGCCTGGCTGGGGGCCTCATGTTCTCCAGAGCCGGCCCCCTCCCCATCAGCGCCACCATGAGCCCAGGAGTTTGAGACCAGCAACATAGTGAGACCCTGTCTCTACAAAAAAATGTCCTGTGGGCCCCACCCCCGCTCTCTCCCAGCCAAGCCAGGCCGCTTGTTCCAATACTCCCAGCAATGGGAAGAGCTTCCCAAGCCCACCCTGGAGGCCGTGTGGGGCACAAACGGGGAAGAATGAGGATGTAGGGAAGTCCCCAGAGACCCTAACACTCAGGCCCTTCCTCGGAAGCTGCCGGATTCCAGAAGGCAGTTGGGGCTGGGGAGGAGAGGTTCCTGGGAGGGGGACAGCCAGCCCCAGCCCTCACTGCCCAGGCAACCCTGTGCCAGTTCCTCCACATCACAGGCCGCCCGGGCCCTGATGGGGGCCTAACAGGGGAGCACTTCCTAAGCCGGCCAGCCCCACCACCTTCCGCCAGCTCAGCTAAGGCCCGCCACCACCCACCAGGACTTGCACTCACCTCAAGTTTTCCTTTTCATCAACTCACTTTTAAAAACTCTTTAAACATTAAAATGTATCTCTCTCTCTTACCATCCACAGATGGCAACTAAAATATATCCACGGGTTGCACTGAAAAGCCCTAGCTTCCTTGTCCGCAATTCTGAAATCCAGGAGGCCCTGAAAAACTAAAAAACAAAAATTCCTAAGTTTGTGGCAAATCATTTGGCCATGAGACTGCATGCTGACAGACAAAAGGCTACGCGGCTTTGTCTCACATCTCCAACACGTAGAGAAAAGTGAAGTCTGGAACTGTGGGGCACGGCCAGGACCCAGCCAGGGCTTGAGTCAGTGGTCAGCGGCCCAGCCATGGTCACTGGCTTTTTTTGTTGTTGTTTTTTTTTTTGAGACGGAGTCTTGCTCTTTCACTCAGGCTGGAGTGCAGTGGCCTGATCTCAGCTCACTGCAACCTCTGCCTCCTGGGTTCAAGCAATTCTCCTGCCTTAGCCTCCCGAGTAGCTGGGACTACAGGCACCTACCACCATGCCCAACTAATTTTTGTGGTACAGATGGCGTTTCACCACGTTGGTCAGGCTGGTCTCAAACTCCTGACCTCAAGCAATCCACCGCCCTCGGCGTCCCAAAGTGCTGGGATTACAGGAGTGAGCCATCGTGCCCGGCTTCACGTTCACTTTCTGAAGTCAAAAAAAAAAAAAAAACACCAAAGGGAAACATGAGTTGCAAGGATCACTCGAGCCTAGGAGTTCAAACTCAGCCTGAGCAACACAGGGAGGCCCTGTCTCTAAAACAAAAACAAAATAGCTGGGTGTGGTGGCACCTGCCTGTGGCCTCAGCTACTCAGGAGGCTAAGGTGGGAGGATCACTTAAACCGGGGAGGTTGAGGCTGCAGTGAGCTATGATTGCACCACTGCACTCCAGCCTGGGCAACAGAGCAAGACCCTGTCTCCAGAAAAAGAAACACCTCTAGTCCCAAGGGTTTTCAGATAAGGGGTTACAGATCCACACAACGAAAACAAAACCAATACTGCTTCGTTCTGTTCTAGACACTGCCCTGCTCCAGGCTTGGAGCCTGCCACCAGGGTCAGTTCGTCTCTGGCCTGTTCAGACTCACGGAGAAGAAAGTAGAGAGCAGCCAGGGCTGCAGGAAGTGGAGTTCATGTTTACCGGGGACAGTTCAGTGTGAGAAGACAAAGTTCTGGTGACGGACGGTGGTGGTGGCTGCACAGCACTGTGAACGCATTTAATGCCACCGAACTGTACACGTAAAAATAGCTGAAATAGTCCATTTCCCGTCATCTTAGCACGACAAAAATTGTTGAGGTTTGTGTGACCTACTAGCCCTTGAACTGTCCCCTTGCAGTAAGATTAAATGTGGGGCGAAAGAGGGCAATGTCCTCTTGGGGTGATTCATTGTCAGTGAATGCTGCGTCAGCAGGGCCCCTTGAAACACGTCATCCGGTGTTAAGAGTTCAGCCCACACCTGGAAACACCTGCCCAGAGCTGACAGGTCAGGATTTAGAGAACAGGGCCCTGGGTTCAGGCTCTGCCTCCACTGCATAAGAGCTGTGTGACGTGGGGGAAACCACATGACCTCTCTAAGCAAAGCTTCCTTCTTTCTTCAAGGAGATGGAGGATACTTGCAGCCACCGAGACCCAAGCCCCCAGGAAAATGCTCCATAAACATTCATTATTCTCCCTGTGATTACTAGATAAAGGTGAGGTTGGCGAGCCCACCTGCCGTGGGAGATAGGAAAAACATCCAAGGGTTCTATGAGGTCCCTGTCCCGAGGAAACTCAAGACCCCTGGTAGAAAGATATAAAACTGGGCCCCAAGGACAAACCTGTGTATTATGTGATAAAAATGGGATCCGAGCATATTTGAAGGTGGGAGGAAAGAGTGACAAGGTGTCAGCAAGCGGGTGAAGGAAAAGGCAGAATTATCTTCAGCCCGCAGAGGGTGGGATAACAGAGGAGACGAAGGCAGAAGGCAGGGTGACAGCCCACAGCTATTTTTATTTATGGCAAAAAGAGAAGAGGGCAAAGTCAGGCAGGGGCTGGTGGCTGCGTCTTCTGGCCTAGGAGTTTCATGTGTCCCCCTCGTCCTCCACATCCCACAGTGGCCATCCACGCTGTCCCATCACTGGTGCTCGGACCACTGCAGTAGCCCCCTCCCTGCTCTCCCAGCCACCAGCCTCTGGAAGCCACCTTGGTCTCCACACGGGGGTCTGCCAGCCACATCACACCCCTGCTCAAAACCGTTCCCTGCTGTGTGGCTGAGTGGGCAAAGCATACCTTCTGAATAGAATGTCCCAATGTCATCCTTTTTGGATCCTGAGCTCCCAAACTTAGACTTCAGAGAGAAAAAAAAAGGGAAGAGCTGCAAACTCGGTGTTCCGGCCCGCAGCACTTTTCACAGGAGAAAAAACTACGCATTACCCAGAAATCAGCGGAGGGGCCTCCTGGAGAAGAAACGTGTCTCTTTTCGCAGCTAAGCCGATGCGCCTCTGATAAATTAAACGCAGCTGGACACTCTGGTTTGTATTCTTGGAGAGGGTGTTTACATTTTAAAATAAACACATCGCCCTCCTTCAAGTCTTTTGGTCAGAAGACTCGGCCCCGTGAGTCCCACCAGTGGACAGAAGAAACCCCACAGCCAGGTACTGTGGCTCTCGCCTGTAATCTCCACACTTTGGGAGGCTGAGGCGGGAGGATTGCTTGAGTCCAGGAGTTTGAAGCCAGCCTGGACAACATAGTGAAACCCCATCTCTATAAAATATACAGGCGGGGCACGGTGGCTCATGCCTATAATTCCAGCACTCTGAGAAGCCGAGGCGGGCGGATCATCTGAGGTCAGGAGGTTGAGACAAGCCTGGCCAACATGCTGAAACCCTGTCTCTACTAAAACAAAACAAAACAAAACAAAAATTAGCTGGGCATGGTAGCACATGCCTGTGATCCCAGCTACTCGGGAGGCTGAGGCAGCAGAATCACTTGAACCAGGGAGGCAGAGGTTGTGGTGAACCAAGATCACGCCACTGCACTCCAGCCTGGGCAACAGAGCGAGACTCCGTCTCCCAAAAAAAAAAAAAAATTAGCCGGGTGTGGTGGTGCATGCCTGTAGTCCCAGCCACTCCAGAGGCTGAGGTGGGAGGATCGCTTGAGCCCAGGAAGTCGAGGCTGCAGTGAGTCACGATCACACCACTGTACTCCAGCCTGGGCGACTAAGTGAGACCCTGTCTCGAAATAAAAAAGAAGGAACCCCACACTCTAGCTCATATTTTCTCAAAACAAGGAGGCCTGGCAAGGAGCAAGGGGCTAAAGGGTCGGGGTGGGGGGTCTCTGCAGTGTAGGGCGGAATCAAATGGGGGCATTGCAGTCTCAGCAGAAAGAACCGTGGCATCCAGGGCTGAGTGGGCACTGTCCAGGGAAGACGGCAGCCCTCCCCAGCCCCAGACTCTGGCCAGCAGAGCTCAGGCTACCCCCATCCCGACCCTCCCAGCACATCACCACTGGATGCACCCTGGCTCTGCTCATCCACTGCTTTATGGCCTGTCTCCCCCATCGCAAGGTCAGCTCCTGGCAGCCGGGGACTCTGGTCTGTGTTGACCACAGCTAGGCACCCCCACCCTGTCCAAGGACAAGCCTGGCCCACAGCTGGGGCCTAGAAAACACGTTCCAAGGACATGTCTCAGTGTACTTTGCCAGCTGCTCTCATCCCCTGTTGACCTCGTCCGTAGAGAGGACCCTTTCCTCTCCCCTTTTACAGCCAGGAACACATGACTTCGGTCTTTCTGAGCCCTGGTCCCCATGGTTGGGAGCTACAGTGACCCTGTGGGTCCTCAGGTTCACTGCAGCTCCCAGCCCTCCCAGTGGTGGCCAGGGCTTCTGATCTTCCTTCCCTTCTGCCACCCACATAGAGGCTGACTCCCAGCCTGAGGTGTGAGGACGCTGAGGGCCACACCTGCACGTCCTGGCCACCCTCTGCTGGAACAGGACTCGCCCAACCAAGGGGTGCTCTCGGTAGGAGGCAGGAGTTGTTGACTCCTTGGCATTTGGTTTGTCACTGACTGTATCTAGGAATTGCCCTGCGTGCTCACCACACATCCAAGATGGAAAGAAAACACACCTCACGAGAACCACGCTGATTTTTGCTCCAACAGCCCCGTGGGGACCCTGGGCTGGCGGTGCTACCCGGACAAACCCTCTCTCTGCTCCAGGCCTCGGATTCTCAGCTATAACAACGTGCAGGAGGGGACTGCCCCTCTAGGTCCCTTGGCCAACGAGGAGATGGGGCAGGCAGATGAAGTTGCTTGCTCTAAGGTGACACAGAGTGGGGACGCCAGGACCAGGGAGGGCCTTGATCCCGGAGGGAGCTGCCAAGCTTCCTAGCATAGAGAGGGATTGACTTTAGTCTGCAGAGAGGCCAGCGCTCTTGTGACTGCCGGCGACGCAGGAAACACTGTCCCCAGGACCCATCTTCTGGAACCAAGTGGAAGACCTGAATTATTTGGGTTTTAGGCCCTAGGCTGAGATAAAAGATTTGGGATTTTAAAGCTAGAAGTGACACCCTGGGTGTTATGCTGGAACAGGAATTGAGTTAAAGACGCTGTAAGCAAAAAACCAGTTATATGTAAGAAATTCCCCGAGGAAGAGAAAGGGCTGGAGTCCTTTAAAATTAACTGCCTGCTCTTCTCTCTGTGGCTAGTGAGCCTCATCTCTCCCTTTCCCAGGCATTGGGAAGACTCCCTTCCCGCCCCTCTCCAAGTGGACGGAGGGGGCTCACTGGGGTCCCACAATCCCCCTTCCCACGTGGATCCCCAAGTGGCTCTGGGTCCACCGTTCTGAACTGCCCGTCCCTGTGTCTGGCTTCCCCGCCAGGCTCCGAGCTCCGAGGGGCCAGGTCTTGTTGTCTCTGTGCCTGGCATGCAGGAGGTGCTCAATAAATGGCTGATCGATAAATCAATCACATCCAACCCCTCGTCTGACCCCACAGGAAACGCAGAAGTTAAGCGGCTGGCCTGAGATCACCAAATAAGCAGCAGGTCCCATACCGGGGTCTCCAGACTCCCTGGCCAGTGCTCATCCTCTGACGCAGTACAGGCTTCTCCAAGTGTCCTGGACACATATTCACAGGGGAGAAACCCAAGCCCAGGGTGACCTTCAAATTCAGTTAAAAATGGATTCTGCTGATCTTAATAAAAGATCCATTTAGCTTCTGAATGAGGGAATGAAAATTCCGGCAGGCCCCCCCGCCCCGTCTAAACATGCGGTCTAAACACAGGGCCTAATGGGACTCCCTCCCAACACAGGGAGCCTTGGCAAAGAAGGATAGCATGTCGCTGGATTAATTTATGGAGCTGCTCAAGGTCAGGGCAGGTCTGGCTGCCAGCAACCGGGGAAAGAGCACGTCTGTGTTCCACCCATCGAGAAACAATGCTTACCAAAGGCCTCGGATGGAATCCAGAAAACTCTCCAAACTCCCCCTGGGCACCAGAGACTCAGCCAGTACCAGCCACACTGAGGGCCCTTTTTTCTCTTTCTCTCTCAAATTAAGAAAGTCACACACACTCATTGTGACAAGCCAAGACGCAGGAGTGCACACGTGAACTTGACGCCAATCCCTTCCCTGCTCTCTCCTCTCCCATCCCCCAGGGGCTGACAGTCAGATGCAGGTCCCCTCCAAGTTCTCCATGAAACTTGTGAACAAGTTGGAACTTGGAACAAAGTTCCAGAGGACAGAGGGGCCTTCTCTCCCTAGTCACCTAAACTGAGATTATCCCATGCACATTACTCAACATTTCAGGGGCCTCACTCAGGTCGAGACAATGATAACACGGGCCCCAACCCTCTACCCACAACCCCCAAGTCCAAAAGTTCTGGAAACCATACGTTTTTCTTAACTCGTTTGGCAGCAAAAACTGCCCTGCCCTGAGACTATTTAGAGCCCTCGTTTTTCCCCACTGGGCGTGAATACTCACATGTTTTGCAGCAGAAACATGACCGTGTTTGGTTATCGGGTGCTGCCCCCGACTCCGCTGGGGTGTCGTGTCAAACACAGCATCGGTACTAAAGCATCTGTCTGAGGTTCTGAAAAATCCTGACTTCCGAGACATATCTGGCCCCAAAGGTATCAGACCAGGGGCTGCAGGTCAGAAGTGATGGGAACAGGAGCTGCTGGCTTTGATTTGTTTTATTTTTTAACTCTGTGTAAATGGAATTAGGCTGCTGACTTCTGAAACACAGAGGCTCTCATTCTTTCTAACCTTTCCGGGACAGTCTCAGCAGTGCGGTGCCCTGGTGCATCCTGAGTCTTCTCCTTCGTGGTTAAGTTCATGGGGTTAATTTTGACGACCACAAGACGCTGCAGTGGTCATCCTCAATGGTGCAAATGCACCCCCTGGAATCTTTACCTCGATAGGGGATTAGCAGGGGGGACCCAAATGGTGTCAGAAATATAGGGCAGAAGAAGGCGGATTTGACAAATGTGGCATAGAGCAATACTCCAAGACTCTAAATCCAGAGAGCTGCATCCAAGTCCATCCCCTGCGTGACTCGAGGCAAGTGACTTAACCTCTCTGGGCCTCAGGAACATGGGAAGCTGCAAAGCTGCTTCCAACTCTCCTTTGACAGCTGCCACCCCTGTCCCAGCCAGGGTTACGGCCCCCACCTCCAACGTGGTTCTTGCTGATTTCCTCCTCTCCTTCTTCCAACTCGCCTGCCCGGTGGCACTCAGAAAAATCCTTCTTGTAAGATGTTTTGTTACAGCGTCGTTCACCCCCGCTCCAAATACACAGTGGCTTATTACCGCCCCAGTGAATGGAGCTCAAGCTCCTCTGTGGGTTTTTTAAATCTTACATTAAAAATATTAAAGTACTTAAAATTCCACCAACCATAAGATAGCTGACTTCACCTATGCCTGTTCCTCCTCTCCCCTCACACGTAGGCAGAGGTACATGCCTGCGATTGGATGGTGGAGTCTGAACAGGTCTGTTTCTCCCTTTTCCCACCTCACAAATCTCCTGAGTGATTCCTGTACCGGGAACAAGTCTTTATGATGATCTGAAAGCTACTGGCCTCACGACCGGCCCTGGCTGAGCTATGACTGCCCCGAACACTCACTGTTAGCCATTTTTAGCCACTCACTTTTAGCCTCTTCTTAAAAAAAAATACACAGACCTAGGCACCTTGGATCCTGCTCTGTAGACACTTGTGTCCACCCCAACCTTGGCAGCAGAACTTCAGATTCGCACCCTGGAGAGAAGGTCTTTTCAGCCATTTCCTGAAACACACTGCACAGAACAGAAGTCCAACACAGTAGACATCCGTGCATTAAAGGCACTGATAAGTCCTGCAGCCAAAGCTCCTGGTTAACTGTCTTTAATCTAACTGTTTCCCAAATGCATTTGAGCAAGGGGGAAAAAAAATCCCAACACTCGAGTCATTAGTCTTCCTGGCACACACATGGGGCCCTGCTAAGGGTCCACGGTCACCTCCCATACTTCCAGAGTCATCTCCTGCTCAAAAACCTTCCAGAATGGCCCCTGTCTCCCTGGTAACCAGTCTGAATCCTGATTGTTTGCAATCAACCTCTTTTTACCTCTTAGAAAAAGAAGCTCATTGTGGTTACTGCCTTGTGCACATCTAGAAGAAATAGTCCCAGACCAGCCTCTGACCTCCTGGGTGACGTTAAGCGAATCCACTGGCCTCCCTAAGCCACAGTCTCCTTCATCTATGAAATGAAAGAACCAGCATCCCAGGACTAGGATTTTTGGGTTCTAGTCTATCCAGGGCCAGGGGTCTCAGCCCAGAGCTGCAGCAGAGACCACAAGGGCGCCCGGACACGGAGTCCAAGAACAGCAGCAAAGAGAGAAGGTGACCATTCTCCTGAACGGATTCAGGGGCGTGGAGTCAGAGTGAAGCTCTGCTACGTCGTTGAGTCAGAGTCGAGCTCTGCCACATACTGGCCGCATGAGCCTGGGCAAGGCCTTCACCTCCCAGAGCCTCATTTCCTTTTTCAAAAATGAAGCAGGCTACACACAGATGTACGCACACACAAACACGCGCGCGCACACACACACACAAGTGCATGTACAACTGGAGAAGTCGGAATAAGATCTATGGACTGTCGACGTCAGTGCCCTGACTGTGGCATTGTACTATAGTTACCCAAAAGGTTACCACTGGGAAACATTCAGTGAAGGGTACACTGGCTCTTCATTATTTCTCACAACTGCAGGTCAATCTACAATTATCTCAGAATAAAATGCTTTTAAAAATTGGCTGGATGCAGTGGCTCATGCCTGTAATCCCAGCACTTTGGGAGGCTGAGGCGGGTGGATCACTGAGGCCACAAGTTCAAGACCAGCCTGGCCAACATGGCAAAACCCTGTCTCTGCTAAAAATACAAAAATTAGTCAGGCATGGTGGCGGGTGCCTGTAATCCCAGCTACTCGGGAGGCTGAGGCAGGAGAATCGCTTGAACCCGGGAGGCGGAGGTTGCAGTGAGCTGAGGTCACACCACTGCACTTCAGCCTGGGCGACAGGGTGAGACCAACTCAAAAAAAACAAAAGCAAAAAACAAAAAAAAGAAGCAGGTGAGCCCAGGAGTTCAAAGCTTCAGTAAGCTATGATATGCCACTGTACTCCAACTTGGGTGACTGAGCAATATCCTGCCTCTACAAAAAAATAAAAATAAGAATAAATTTAGAAACGTAGCAGGAATACTCATGCAGATGTGGCAGCTATTCAACAGGATGGTGTGTTTATCATTCCTTTCCAATGCCTATCCACGTCACGAGTGTTCAATAAACAGACACCGAAGAATTGAATGAATGGAGAAATAGAGGGAATGTGGACTCGGTGTTCAACCTTTTTTCTTATTCTTTTGATGAAGTCTTAATAGTCCAGAAAAGGAAACCCGTTTTGAAGTCCGATGGCTGGGTACACTGTAACCAGAGGGCTCCCTATGGTCTCCCAAGCATTAGAGGCCTTACCAAGATGTGCCAGATGCCGGGGGAAGAGCCTCCTAGCAGGCTCCCAGCCCCCTCCAACAGCCCTCCTGCCCTAGTCGGCCAGACGCCAGGTTGGGCGCAGGCACACAGCCAGCAGAACCAAGAACAGGGGTCACTCTTGTTTGCGAGGGCATTTACACAAATCCCCCCTTCTTCCCAAAAGGGCGAGGCAGCTTCCAGGTGAGGCCCAGATGCTGCCTCGACCCCATCGCCTTCTCTCCTTCTGCCTTAGTCCCTTCCAACAGCTGGCCCAGGGAAGCCACCCAGAGGCTGCCAAAGAGAATATCCCCCTCCTGATCTCACGCCCTCTGCCACTTGCTGAAGCTGGCGAGGAGGCCAGGAGGCCTCCAGGCTCCCCAGTGCCCGACGAGCTTAGGCTCCGGAACCTGCAAGGTCACTCAATAAGAACAAAAGGGTGAGGGGGACAGGCCCAGGATGGAGGCAGCAGAAGCACAGATGAGGTCCACAAAGGCTCCTGCAGAGCCACTCACACCTGTGAAGCTAGAAACAACCTGGGCACCCAGCAACGGGCGGCCATATGCACCCAATGAAACTCCTGTTCTAGAAGAATGCTGAGCCACGTGAGGCCATATAACAATGCTTGGCACATTGCTCTAACACGTCCTAACTTGCTTAACCTTTGAAACAACCTTCCAATAGACATATGGCTATTAACCTTTACAGATGGGGAAATTATAGCACAGAAAGGTTAAGTAACAGACCCAAGAACGCACAGCTAGCAAGGGGTAGAGCCCCGATTTGAACCCCAGCATCTTGCTCTACAGTGGAATAATCCTAACCCCTCTAAAAGACATTCATGATGTCCTGGGTGAAAAAGACCAAAACATACAATGTACAGCATGGTCCCACCCACAGTACTGCCTATGTGTGCACCCTGCACGTGTCTGAGTGCACCAGAATGTGCATGAGCAAAAAAGGGCTGGAAGCTCTGGATGGCGGAACTTAGGTCATTTTCATTACCTCCTTCACATCTCTGCTGTCTACATTTTCAACATGAATAGCTTAGACTTCGGAAAGATTCAAAACTGCTGCCCTTGTCCTCCTTGGTGCCCTGCCCCTCTGCACACGCCCACCCATGCCTGCCCACCCTGGAGACCCTGCTAATGGCCTAAGTCCTTCAGGCCCCCAGACCGTCCCACCACCCAAGTCTATCCGTCATGGTGTCAGGGAAATCTTCTAGCCAGAAGCCTTGCAAGTATCACCTCCCATACGTGTTGCATCAGCACAAGCGGCCCTTCTCACCCGGGGCGTTTACTCTCGAGGTGAGGGATAAGTTCCGGCCTCTACTCGGAGCCCATCACAGGCACGAGGACTATGTTTGTAGCAACACCGGGGGATGTTCATGCCGGGGCGTGAAGTGAGCAGAAGAGGCACAGCGGCACGTAGAGTTCCATCTCAACTTGATAGAAAGTACGTACTGAACATGCCGAGGGGGAAACAGGAAAGATCAGCTGTCTCTGCCTCTGAGCTGCTCAGGGAGCACTGCTCCTTCATTCCTCTCTGAACTTTCCAAAATTCCTACAGCAAGCATGGAATAATCATAAAAATGAAAGCTAATGTGGCCAGGCAGAATGGGGTTTCTTTCAGGGGTGAATTTCTAAGATTAGACAGCGGTGATGGTTATACAATTTTGTGAATATACTAAAAACATTGAATTGTACACTTTAAAGGGCAAATTATATAATAAAGCTGCAATATTTTATATATATACATTTGTTGTTGTTGTTTTTGTTGTCGTTGTTGTTGAGATGGATTCTGGCTCTGTTGCCCAGGCTGCAGTGCAGTGGTGCAATCTTGGCTCACTGCAGCCTCTGCTTCCCAGGTTCAAGCAATTCTCCCGCCTCAGCCTCGCAAGTAGCTGGGATTACAGGCACACAACACCACGCCCAGCTAATTGTTTGTATTTTTAGTAGAGACAGGGTTTCACCATGTTGGCCAGGCTGGTGTCGAACTCATGGCCTAAAGCGATCCACCTGCCGTGACCTCCCAAAGTGCTGGGATTACAGGCATGAGCAAGACTCTGTAATTCTAAAATATATATATCTTTTAAAAGAATGGAACTGACACAGAAGCAGCTGTCAGTGGCTCTGACAGGACCCTAGGCCACCCTGGAGATGAAAGAGCAGTGGGTCTGCAGGATGCTGCTCACCATCAGCCCCACCCTGGTGAGTCCGCCCTTTGTGCCCTGGGCCAGGAATCCCACACAGGCTTGGCAGCTGGGGCTGACCTCCCATGGCCCCTCAAATTGCTAATGTAAAAATACCAGGATATCTATTGCCAGAGGGACAGTCTTGGCTGATGAAGCAGAAATTCCCAGGGCACTGGCATTCTGCCTCAGCCTCTGACAGGCTAAGTTGGAGGCAAGTCCTCCGTATTGGTGGGCAAGTCCCTTTCCCTTCCTGGGCCTTGGAGTCCTGTTAAAGTGAAGAGTGTTAGACTCAACTTCACCCAGTTTTGTGATTCTCAACAGACACTCATATTTGTTAAAAATACAAAGACAAGTGAAACTGGAATTTCAATCAAGGTTATGGATAAACCATACTTTGTAGCAAAAGCACAGAAGGTCACAAATACTTTAAATGGTGGATACTTTGTATAAGAAATGAAACACAATATTATTAAATGCATATGCTCCAAATAACACAGCCACTAATATATGAGAGAGCCAGCAATTCTTTATGATCTGTGATTCTGAGATAAAGTAGTTCTCTTTTCTGCATTAAAAAATATTTCAGTTTAGTATCTTTCTTACTTATCCAAGTTTTCATAAAATCCACTCAAGCCAAAGGACACACCATCTGGACTTCACCAATGTCCATCACAGGGGCAGGTGATAGAGAGAAATTGCTTTAGCCTCCACTGGCTCAATGCATAGAGAGAAGATCAGGCTTGGGAAGTGTGCCCTTAGACCTAGATAACTTGGAACAGTCCCGGTGTTTTCATACACATTTCTTCTAGATTTGCAAAAACAGAACAAGATAGGTGACAAGTGCAAAAGATGATACATCTTAAGCCCCCCAAAAAACTGGTTCAAAAACTTTAAAGAGGTAAATCTCTAAAATATAAACCTTTTGGGAGATTAATAAAATTCCTATACTGGTTAAGAAAAGAGTAGGCACCAATATCAGGAATGAAAGGGGGGACATCATTACAGAACCTACAGGCATTAGAAAGATAATAAAGAAATATTAAGAACAAAGTTTTATCAACTAATTTGACTACCTAGACAAAATGAATAAGCTCTTTGAAAACAATAAATCACCAAAACTGACTTAAGAAGAAATAAACCTCATGGGAGAATTCTCATTGTCAGTACATCAAGACATTGGCCAAGTTTCCCATCTACTTAAGAAGGTAATTCAGAAAAAGATTACCAACTGGAACAGGTTTTTAAATGTGGACAAATCTGGTTTGTTTTGGCAGTGATGTCTCTTAGAACTTTTATTTACTGTGGTTTTTAAAGACATATACTTAATGCCATTTTTATTGTTTTTCCCTAACCTCCCATTTTCACTGAGACTTTGATCTTGCCAGCTGTGATTTTGCCAAGTGCAGTGCTTTTCAGGAATGCCACTCCCACAGCTGGCAAGGAATCACTGTGTACAATGCACAAAAGAAAAACAATAGAGGGTCAATGGGTAAAAATTCAAATTTTAGCTATTTTTTCTATCTAGTTGGAGAAACAGGGCTTACACATATGAGTCAATCAGAAGACAACATGAAGTCAAATAGAATAAAGTGCTAGGTTATTATCAAATGTCAAAAATGCTACATACAGATAAGTGTCTAGGTCAGCCAGGAGAGGGAAGAGAAACTTCAGCTGGCAGGAGCCAGCAAAGAAGGCTCCCCGGAGCAGGAAAATAGGCAGAAATGTGAAAGAAAGAGCATGTGTCAAGACTTAATGGTGGGAACAAGCTTGGCTCTTCAAGGAATGGTGAGGAATAGGCTTCCGGCAGCACTGGAGCGTGTGCAGGGAAATGTGTCTATAACAATGGTTGTTTACATTCTGGGAGTCACATGTCCCCCACAGCAAGTCTGATAAAAGCCACTGATCCTCTCTCCAGAAAATGCACATATGCACCAGATTTTGCATTAAATTTTGAGGGTTAAGAAAGGTGAATGTAAGAACAGAGGTAGTGATGAGGATGATGGATCTTTGTAAACTCCTGTGTTTTTTTGTTTTGTTTTTTTTTTTTTTAAGATAGAGATAAGGTCCCACTCTAACACCCAGGCTGGAGTGCAGTGGTGTGATCATAGCTCACTGCAGCCTTGAACTCCTCGGCTCAAGTAATCCTCCTGCCTCAGCCTCCCCCGTATCTGGAACTATAGGGCATGCCACCACGTCTGGCTAATTTTTAATTTTTTTGTAGAGATGGCGTCTTGCTATGTTGCCCAGGCTAGTCTTTAACTCCCGGCCTCAAGTGATCCTCCTGCCTTAGCCTCCCAAAGTGCTGGGAGCCACTGTGCCTGGCCTCCCCTAGCTCTTTCCCATAACCTGACCTAAAAAGTAGCCCTCCTGATTCACCTGGACTAAAAGGGTCTAGGTCCCTGTGTTTTTGAGGTCTAGGTGACAGCTCTCCAGAACAGTGAGAACGGAGGAACAGAAGGGAAATAATAAATAGCAAAAGTAATAAGAGCCAACATTAATTGAGCACATACTATGTACTACAGCCTGTGACACACACTCTACTGTAATTCCCATATACAGATGAGGGAACAGGGCCCGCAGACAGACGGTCAGGCAGCAGGTGCCCGCTGACTGCTGCCCAGTGCCCAGCAGCCCCGTGAAGGACCACGTGTCTGAATGCCCCTCCGTCTCTCAGATGAGCACTGGGAGCCCACGGGGTGTTGAGGGAGCCTGGATCCCAGGTACCCTCCAGCCACTCGCAGGTTTCCATCCCACACCTGCCTCCCCTTGGATGACAGTGGCCACGGCCTGGCAGCCACTGTGAACAGGGCCCAGCACCCTGCAGGTGGTACCAAGGCCCATGGGAGACGTGCCAGGAGTCTGGGAGCAGGGGTCCTGCTACAAGGCCAGGGTGGTCCAGGTGGGGGAAGGGAAGGGTTATCCTGAGCGTGAGGGGCACAGGCCCCTTCATTCCCACGGCCTTTGAGTGGGGCCTCAGCTACCTCCCCCTGCCTTTCCTCTGCCCCTAAATAACCACAGCGATCATTTCCCCAGTCTGGACCACAGGAAGGGCCCTCGGCTATGGCTTCACGTGCTCCATGTCCCACAGTCCTGTGAGGTCGGTCCCAAGCCTGTCCCTGTGTGTGGGTGAGGAGCCCAAGGCCCAGAGAATGGAGTGACCTGCTGAGGCCACCCAGGTAGGAGCAGGTGGGGGCGAGGCCTGATGTCCGCACACCCTTAGCCAAACCACGCCATCTCCCGGTCAAGAGCAGACCAGCACGACTGTTCCTGAAGCCTGGGTTTCTCTGTCACAGGAAAGGGATAGTACTCGCGCTGGCCTCAGCTTCTTTTGTAAGGATGGCTGGAGAGCCAGGTGACACTGAGCAAGAATGGGCTTCGTCACGGGAAAAACTTGAGAAGCAAGTTTTTAACTCCTTCTCTCTCTTCCCCCAGAGCAGGGCTCTCAGTCCAGGAAGCGGGGGCCCCGGTGCTCCCCAGGGCCTTGGCGCAGCCTGAAGCTGCCCCCAGCACTGCCCAGCGTCGCTCTGTCCCTTCCACCAGCCAAGGCTCCCGAGCTGCGGGGCTGCCAGCTCTGCTGCTGCTGACGCTGCATTCCACTGGCCTGATTAAGGCCCTGGAGCTGCTGCAGCCACAGTCACAAGGGATCCCATCATGCCTCCTAGGCCCCAAGCTCCAGGCACCTGGACACCACAGAGCCTGCCAGGCAGCTGAGTCGCTCCCACTGGCCGGCTCCAGACCTGGAGGCGACAGAAACAAGAGGCACCTCAAGGAGGACCACTCCCCAGAGACACCAAGCGTGGCTGCGTCACTGCACCAACCCCAGTGCTGGCCCAGCACATGCTCAGCAGGGCTGGCCTCATCCAGACCCCACCAAATCACCCTGAGGGGCTGGTGGGAAAGAGGAAGTCAACTTCCCTGGTACACCCGTCAGAGGGTCCTGTTTACAGGGTCAGTGAGATAATGTCTTGTAATCGATACATGGCAACCATCGCTGCTATTTCTTTATCACCACCACCATCATCATCATCCTTACTGTATTTCACTGATTTGAAGACTCAGACTGTTTAGATTTTTTTGTCTTTTGTTGTTTTGATATAGGGTCTTACTCTGTCACCCAGGCTGGAGTGCAGTGGCATGATCATAGCTCACTGCAGCCTCAAACTTCTGAGCTCAGGCCATTCTCAGCCTCCTGACTAGCTGGGACCACAGACATGCGCCACCACACACGGCTAAATTTTTTTTTTTTTTTTCTTGAGACAGAGTCTCACTCTGTCGCCCAGGCTGGAGTACAGTGGCACGATCTCGGCTCACTGCAACCTACTCCTCCAAGGTTCAAGCAATTCTCCTGCCTCAGCCTCTCTAGTAGCTGGGACTACAGGCATGCGCCACCACACCCAGTTAATTTTTGTATTTTTAGTAGAGATGGGGTTTCACCATGTTGGCCAGGATGGTCTTGATCTTCTGACCTCATGATCCACCTGCCTCGGCCTCGTAAAATGCTGGGATTACAGGTGTGAGCGACCGCACCCGGACAATTTTTTAATTATTTGTACATATGGGGTCTCACTATGTTGTTCAGGCTGGTCTCGAGCTCCTGGGCTCAAGCAATTCTCCTGCCTTGCCTCTCAAACTGCCGGGATTACAGACGTGAGCCACTGTACCCAACCTGTTTTACATGTTAATGTATGTGAAATGTGAAATCAGGACAAAATCTCACGATGGGTGGAGGGTCAGTCTCCCAAGGCAGCATCTTCTCAAGCCTAGGGGGACATAGAACAGTATCAGTGGTGACTATGGTCAGATGTCGCTGCCCGGCCCATCGTGGTCTCTCGCGCTGGCTTCCATCTACTCTCATCTGGCACACAGTAAGGCCCGTGAAACTGCTGACCGAACCCACCCATCACCCTGCTCAGGCCTCCGCGCCCTCGGCAGAGATGCCCCTCACTGTGTCAATTTCCCCCATAAACATCTCCTAGACAACGGCCCTCCCAGCCCCCGCAGGGCCCTCCAGAGTTTCCCAGAATGCCCCAGGGAGGGTTCAGACCATGGGCAGGAGGCCTTCTGCCAGCACGGAGCCCCTGAGGCACTTCAGGCCACAGCCTGGCGAGGGCGAAGCACCAGGAAGTGGATTTGGCTGGGGCTCCCAAAAGCCCACACAGACCAGGGGAGCCAGACACGGGGGACGTTTCTCCTGCTATCCAGAGAAATTCTTATGACATGTGAGTCCTGGGAAGATCTGGCCAATATGCTCAGAACCATCTCACCAAACAGGGAGATGGCGCCAGGAGCTCCAGAGCTAGAGCTTAGTGAGAAGTTTCCAGTGGGTATTCCAAGCGTGCTCAGCCCAGCTCTCTGCAGGCTGCAGGCCAGATGCTGCGCTCTGCATGGAGGTGACTTCTGGGGCTGCTGGGAGGTCCTCTGCCAAGGGCAGGCGGGGACACAGCTCTGGCCACCTGGCAATCATGAAACCAGAAAGTCACTGGGAAGGAGCATCTCTCAGACCCATGGCCCCAAAGCGACTGTTGGAGTAGAGAAAACCTGTGTGCAGCTGGGCTGAGAAGGGAGCACTCTGCCCCTGGAGCTGACACCTGTGTGGCCTTGGGCAAGTCACTTTCCCTCTCCGAACCTCAGAGACCTCAGTGTCCAGATGTGAATAATTCAGATAAAAGAGGTGCCAAGACAAAGATGCTGCCAGAGATGGAGGAGCTGCATCATAGTGGAAACAGCGCCGATTCATCTGAAAGACAAAACAACCACGAATGTGCCAAATCCACGATGAAAGACTGGACAAAACTAAAGGGACAAAAAGACAAATCCAAACTGTAGTAGAAATCAGCACTCTTTTCTTAGCAACTGATAGACACACACAAAAAAAGTTAATGACCTAGACAATTTGAACACTGCTACCAAGCACCAATCTCTTCAAGTTAATTAATATGTAGAGAACCAAATACTGCTGTTTCCATATCCTCTTCAAGAGCTTGTGGTCCCTTCTTCAAGAGCGTACACTTAAATATAAAAGGATTAAAGCCATACAGAGTACCTTCTCTGTTCACAGAATTAAATTAGAAATCAATAACCATAAGATATTAAGATAGTCCAATGTTTGGAAATTAAGCAACATACTTCTAAATAATCCATAGGTCAAAGAAAAAAAACACAAGGGAAATTGAAAAATATTTCAAATGAGATGAGAATGAGAAATGACTTATCACAAAGTGTGGGGTGCAGCTAAAGCAGTGCTTAGAGGAACATGCATAGCTTTAATTGCCTCTATTAAAGTAGGGATAATAATCCCTCCCATGCAGTATTTTAGAGAAAAGGAGCTCTCATGGGGGAAAGAGGGAAGCATATGGGGAATGCTTAGCAAATATGCCAGTGCCTGGCCCCCTTCTTAAGTATAATTTAGCAGGCATCACTGAGGTTAGAAATTTCTCTCTCCACATCCTGAGGGAAAACATGACTTTGCAGATTCCCCTCTTTTCCCCTAGGGAATACAAGATCAAGAATTTGCCAGGCATGCAGGGGAAGGGGGAGTAGAGACATCAGAAGATGCCACCAGCAGAGTCACTGGGGAGCCACAGGCATTGGTTCTGAGACAAGGTAATAAACCAGAACCAGAAACAACAAAAAGACAGGCCTGAGTCACAAATGGGGTCCAGAAGCCCTTCCCAAGACTCTTCCTGTTCCCCAGAACTCCCCAGGCAGAATTCTCAGAGCTGCAGAGGATCCTCAGAAGCCTGTCATTCCTTCCTGACACATCACAGGTGACGCCTTGCTTCTGAGGGAGTGAGTTCGCCATCCCTGGAAGGATTCAAGAGGAGACTGAAGACTCTCTGGGGAATGATAAGTAAGGCCACAGAAACAAATATGAACAATTACCGAGTTTTTACTGGGAGCTTGGTCTGTGCAGAACACGTCAACAGCTTTGTCTCACCCTCATGACATCTCTGTGAAGAAAGTTCTAGAAAGGAGGCAAAGGGTGGTATCTGAGAGCCAGACTTTGGGTCAGACACACAGGGATCCCATGTCAGCTCTGCTGCTCCCCAGCTCTGACCTTGGCACGTGTCTCCACCTCTCTGAGCCTCAGCCTGTACATCTGTAAAATGGGGATAATCACCTCTGAGGTAAAGGGGGGCATCCACGTAGGTGAGCCATCATTCCTGTCCCAGCTTTACAGCCAAGCCTAAGACAGGCCAGTCGACTTACCAAGTGTCACACAACAGAGAAGGACAAGTGCAAACATCTATCTGAGTCCAAATGGCCCCAGGGCATGGAGGACGGCCAGATCACCAAATCAGAAGGGACCCTCTGGGGTCACAGATGAGAACCCAGAGGACCACAGGGGTGAGGGCAGAGCAGGGAGGAGTCTGGGTGCCCTGGCTGTGGAACACCAGCCTCTCCAACCCCACCCTGTACCTTTCCTCCCCAGCCACTGTGCCCACCTCCTTCCTGGTGCAGCCCAGCTGGACTCCAGAGTCTGTGCCAAGTTGTGTCTTAAGACGGACACCCCTACGGCCAAGAGGAAACAGTGGCACAGGTGAGAGCTAGGCTGGCACACGGGCCCTGCCAGATTCACCTCCAGGCAAGAATGTGAGTGTGTGTGCATGAGTGTGCATGAATGAGAGAGGGTGTGTGGGAGTGTGTGCATACACATGTGTGTGAGGACATGCGGGTGTGTGTACATGCAAATGACTGTGCAGGTGTATGAGTGCGAATGTGGCGGTGAGGGGGTGAGGGTACAGGTGTGCATGGAAGAGCACGCATGTGAGTGTGTGGGCACAGGTGTGAGACAGTGTATGAGTGTGCACGGGAGTGATGCATGTATGAATGCATGTGACCGCATGTGTAACAGTGAGTATGCATACAAGTGTGTGGGTGGGTTTGCATGTGAACGTGTACGCATACAAGTGTGCGAGCGTGGTGCAGGAGAAGGAGGTGCAAGGTGCGTGTGTGCGAGAGGGAGGCGGGTGTGCTGGGGTGTGTGGGTCAGAGGAGTGGTGGGGGCAAAACTACCCCACCCTGTGGATGCTGGGGCAGGAGGGGCTTCACTCCCATCTCATGCAGCCGTCAACAATCCACTGTCCCTCCCACGCAGGCGGCTCCCAGCACGCCTGTTGGCTTGGCCTGCCTCCCTGAAGACCTGCACTGCACCAGGTCTTAAACCCTAAAGACAGGCCTGGTTCACCTTGTCACCTGCCAAGAGACAGGTGAGCAGTCAGCGTGCTCCAGGTTTCTCCCGTTAATGGGAAGTGCTCTTGCAGGAGGCATCCAGCAGTCACACCCCTGGGCGCTCAGAAAACCAGACCCTGCACTGACCCCAAACACTTACGAATCAGGAAGAAAACGCAGTTTCCGGAAGAGAAAGAGGTTGAGGCATGGGAGAAGCAGCGATCCCCCCTGCAGGGACCAGGCCGCCAGGGGAGTGACACCTTGTCTGGGTGCTGCCTTTCACCATGGGGCTCACACGTGAGGCCACCTGAAGGCCAGGCCCGAGCCTCCTCCCATCCTCTGGAGCCTGCCTGGTTTCTTGGACAACAGGGCTGAACCCAGAGGCCATTCTGCACGCCCTGGGGTCCACCAGGTACATTCTGGCCTTCTGTACGAGGCTGATGGTGGGTATTGTTCCCACGATGGCACCTCCTCCCCCCACAGGAGCCCAGACTACCCGGACTCCTGGCAGCGGGGGGCGGGGAGGGTGGGGGAGGGCTTCCCAGGAGCCCTCGCTGTCCACCGTGCGTCCCCCATGCTTGGTGTGAACAGCCTTGCTGGGGATGCCGCGCAGCCTGGAAGCAGAGCACGAAGCCACATTCTGGACGTTCCGGGGCTCCCTTGTCCAGAGGCTCCTGGGTACAATTGCACAAGAGAAAGAACAGTGTACAGCCGTGAGACGGTCCGTCTCAAAGGGCAAGGGCACGCCTGGAGGACGCGCCAGCTCAAAGGGACTGCAGATTCACAGAGCTGGCGCTGCAGCTGTGGCAAGGCCCCGCCATGCTCTCGGGACATCCAGGCCTCAACCTACCCTCAGCTGCCATCCAGGTGCCTCCTGGCCTCCCTTTGCTGCTGGGTCTGGACCCCAGGACCCGTCCCAGCCCCATGGCCAGTCCTGTCGTGTCTGGAAGTGTGGAGGCCCCACGCCACTTTTCAGCTGCCGCCCTTATCACTGTCACTCCCCCACACAAGCCTCCTAGCCTGCAAACCTTCCCACCCGAAGCGGGAGACTAGGTTGATGGGTCTGGAAAGGTGAATAAAACGCCGCAGCAGCGGTCAGCCCTCTGACCCTCTCCCTCCGGAACTGAGAGCCTTTCTGAAAGCTGATGCGAGAGAGCACGGCGGCCTCCTGTGCTCAATCAGGGGCAGGGCCGTGTGGAAGCCAGGCCCCCACCAGGGCTGCATCGCCTCCCAGAAGCACCCCTGAACTCCAGGGCAGGGGAAAGGCTGAGGCAGTGGCATTGGACTGGCCACTCTCCCACACCTCCCAGCCCTGCCAATGACGGCTGGCACCTCCACCCCGAACTCTCTTAAGTTTCTGAGCCTTGGCCTCCTTATCTGAAAAGCGGGAATGATACCATCCGCCCATGGGGCCATTCACGCCCCCTCTGTGGTCCAAGGAGAAATGGGAAGGCTTTAGGGAGGGGAGGAACTGGCACCCTGCCCAAGGTCACCAAGTTAGCCGGTGTCAGCGTGGAGCCCAGATGAGACCCAGAAGGATCCCGGGGCCAGCGGACCCTGTGGGCAGCTGCGGAAGCTGGGGCTGACACCAGACACATGGCCCGGCATTCACCGGCTCTAAGCTTTCCAAGTTCAACATCATGAAACACATGTTCTTTCTATATGTAAAATACGACACAATCTGAAAATGACTTAAAACGTTGAAATGGTTCCCACAGTATAATACATTGGCAGGCAGCACCCTGGCACACATTTAAAGAAGAAAATCAGGACCTTTTAAGGTGACATCACTGGTACGTAAATTCCAGAAGAGGAAGCTTTTCTACATTCGCCACTTCGTTAAATCCTAAGAACTCATCGGATACCCCTTCTCCAGGGAGGCTTCCTGACCCCATCTACCTTCATCTCCCTCCCAGCCTGCCTTCCCATTCAGGATGGGTGTGATGAGCATGGCAGAGTGCAGACGCTGGAGCCAGGCAGCCTGGGTGCGGATCCCGGCGCCGGCACTTCCCCACTGTGTGACTTTGGGCAAGTGACTTAACCTCTCTGTGCCTCCATTGCCTTGTCTATAAAAACAAATAAGCCCACTTATAAGACAGTGAGACAGTCACGTGGGGCAATGCAGGCAAAACTCTTCGGACACTGGCTGGCACCAGGCGCATGCTATCAATGCCCTCTGCTGCTGCCACTGACACTGGCGTCCCCTTGCAGCTCTCATCAGAGCCCGAGGGCTTGGGAGTGGAGGGCCGGAACCTAAATACCCTTTCTGTGCCAACAAATGACACTAATGATGGGCAGGATAGCGTGGCCTCGGTGGGTGACCTTTGAGGGGCCGCCTTTGGGCCCTGGGCTGCCTCCTCTCCCCAGCCCACTCTCGCCAAGTGGAAAGAGCTGCAGCCAGAGGCACCTGCCCCGGGCCCTGGCTTGGCAGGGCAGAATACCAACCCCGGCCTTTGTGCCACTCCAATGAGGTTCTGCACCTCTCGCGGGAAGCCCAATCCAGCAACCGATTTAATCAAGGGCTCCACGCCAGACAGGCCAGGCAGCAGAGCTTAAAACACAGCAGTCAGGGCAACCAGACCCCAGGCAGGGAACCTGAGAGCCATGGGCTCACAGAGCCAGGCCAGACCCCAACCGCCCAGGTCTTCCCTGCCCCACAGCCCCCCGCCAACACATGTAGAAAGACGAGATGGTTAGCGACTGTCAGCTGTGCAGGAGCTGAGGGCTCAGCTAATAGTCTATCATCTACCATCTGCCCCCATTTTCCAGAGGGGAAAACTGAGACCCAGCCAGGGTAGAACATCTTGCCCAAGGCTGCTGTGAGTGTTGGGGCCATAACCCAAGGCTTCTGATGCCCAGGGTTGTGGCTGGAGCAAGGCAAAAGCCCCCAGAGCCAATGCAAACCCCTTCTCAATTCTTAGTACAGCTCCCCTCATCCCAGGGAGAACAAAAACGATCGCCATCTTCAAACACAAATCCACTGCCTGAAGACCAGGAGTAAGAGGATGGACTGCAGGCAGAAGTGATGAAACAGGGCTTCAAGGAGTCACCAATATGACTTTTCCAAACCTAAGCCCTATCACGTCATTTGCCTGCTGAAAACCCCCAACGGGAAAACAGTCCTCAGAGGGTTAAATCTCCAGTGACCCTAGGACGCAGCAACCTTACTCCCAGGCGCACACTCAAGAGAAATGAAGACATCTGTGAACACTTGCCCATGCGTGTTCACAGTGGCATGATTCAGAGGAGCCAAAAAGCAGAAACAAGCCGATGTCCACGGTCTGATGTTGGGGACACAGAACGTGGTCCATCCATACAACGGCGTTCTTAGCCACAAAACGGGATGAAGCTCTGATCCACGCAACAGCATGGATGAACCCTGAAAACATGGTGCTGCGTGAAAGAAGCCAGTCACAAAAAGGCACGAATTAGATGATTCCACTCACAAGAGACGACCAGAACGGGCAGATCCATAAAGACAGAGGGCAGACGAGTGGGTGCCAGGGGTGGGTGGAGGAGGCGACGGGGATTGACTCCTGACGGGCACAGGGTGTCCTTTGGGGGTGATGGGAATGTTCTGGAACTGGACAGTCATGGTGGTGCACAACTTCGTGACTGCACTGAAACCCACTGAACTGTACACTTTCAAAGGGTGACTTTCACGGTGTGTGAATTGTATCACAATTAAAACAACAACAAAAACCACCATGCTTTCTCCAGGGCAGCCCCACAGTCCCTATTCCCACCTGACGGGTCCCCGCCCGCTGCTACAATGGACAACGTACCCCTCATCCCTCCCTGCCCACCCCCCGCACCTCCCTCCTCACCGTCCCTCAGTCCCACCTCGAGCCCCTGCCAGGACACTCGTCACTGTGCAGACGGCAGGCCCCCACCACCCCTCTCTCCGGCCACTCTGCTGGCCACCATCACTGCCCCCAAGACCCTGCCTGGTTGCTCACTGCTGGGTCCTGGTGTCTAGAACAGTGCCTGGGACACAGTGGGCACTCAGTAAACACAGGCTGAAACCTGGAATAGCATCCTTTTCCCGTGGCCTTCCAGGATAAATCCCAGACTCCTCAGCTGTGCCCACGATGCCGTCCGTCAGCAGTTCTCACCCTTGCACTTGAATCTGCTAGAAGCTTTAAAATACCATGGCCCGGGACCACCCCTCAGAGATCCTGATTTAACAGGCCTGGGGGCAGGGCCCTGTCATTGGTATTTTTAAATTCAGATTGATTGACACTGATTCGAGTGTGCACCCAGGGATTCCAAACACCGCCGGGAATGCTGGTCCTGCCCACCCCTCGTGCCCGTCCCCTCTTCTGGCTCCATGCAGAATGACTGTTCGCCAGCACATTACCCCCCAACATCCAGGCCTTAACACTTGCTCCTCTGCCAGGAGCACATGGCCCCTACACGGACTTGGCTGAATCCTTTTCAGTCTTCAGGACTCAGCTTAGATGTCACCTCCTCCAGGAAGTCTTCCCTGTGCACGCCTGTTTCTCACCCTGCCATAGGCTCTCAGCAGACCCTTCCCTGACCTCAGCACAGAACTCAATGCACTGCACAACCACGGCTGGACCTCTTCACTGGTTCCTCAACCTCTCATCGCCCACCAGCACCCTGAGGTCAGGGGATGCCTGATGTCATAGCAGGTGCCCAGAGCGCCACATGCTCCCGGAGTGCCTGGCCCAGGGCAGACACACGTTGTTCAGTTAGTGGGTAGAATATGGGTGCTCTTCTCCAAGGTAGATATGGATGAGGGTAGAGGCTCACACAGGGACGGGAGGCAGGACTGCAGTTCGTCCCTGGCCCAGCACTGCCAGGGTATAGCGTTGTCTGAAAGTGATGGTCTGTGAGATTCTTCCTGACCCTAACATGTTATCCTCCAAGGGACAGAACCCCATGGCGTTTTGGGGTCCCGGCATCATATACTAAATTTAAAACCAGGCCCCAAGATGAAGTCATGCTCCCGTTCTTAGCCTCACAGCAGAGACTGCCAATAAATCACAAGACGTTTTCCTAGAGAGTCCAGACATGGCCTCAGAACCCTTCTTAACACAGCACGAGATGGCAGAATGAGACACCACGTACACAACGCAAATCGCCTGTGATCTTTGCAGACCAGTCCTGTCACTTTGACGGATGGGGAAACTGGATGAAGGTCGCCCAGTGAGGAGGGGCTCCTTCCACAACTGACCCCAAGAGTGTCCCACCTGGAGCTATGTGCAGTCAGGAGGCAAGTCCTGCAACGCTCTTCTCCGAGGACAGACATGGCATCTCTCTTCAGTGTCCCCACTAGAAGGGGGACCTGAGGCGGAAGAGGGCCCTGAATTCTGTATGCGGGGTCTTCCCCAGCCAATAAAAGGTGCCCAGAAGCTATACATCCTCCAAAGACACTCCCAGCAGAGTTAACCTCACAAGGGTGAGATCCTGAGAGATCTAAGCAGAGGAGGAACCAGGAAGCTTTGCCGACCCTGGCTCCTCCAGCCTCACCCCTTCCCCCTCCTGCTTCCAGGGGAGGCCGAGTTTTGAAGACCTTTCGCCTTCACTTCCTCCTTCCCCTGGTTTTCTCCGACTGCCTCCGGGTTTAGGAGGGGCACAGCTGGAAAGCTCACTCCTCTGAGTTTGAGAAGGGCCTGGCCACTTTCCAGCTGCTGCCAAGGAGAGGGTGCCAGTACCAGCCCCAGCCAGGCTGCCTCCTGTGGCACCTTCCAGAAGGTCCCCACTTCCAATCAGTCCTGACCAGGTGTTCCAGAGCCTGGGCCTGGGGAGGAGGGGCAGCCAGGCCCCCTGAGGAGCAGGGAACTGCGTGGGCGCAGATAGTCAGGAAGCATGGGAAACAGATGTGCACGTGGCCTGATGGGTGGGTGACGACAGACGCTCTCTGCAGACCTCAGATGTCCCTGCAGAGAAGAAAGGTGGTTGCGGCAGCAACACCTGTTCTGGGCTCGGAGGCCACACTCGGGGGGCCTGGCCGGGGCATCCCCACAGTGAGAGGCTGGGGTATGGTTAGGTAAACAGCTGCATGCGCCATTAACCAGAATGCTCTCCGGACAGAGTCCTGGAAGCGGGAAGCGCGGCCCGCCCGCCAACTGGCTTGCAGGGAGAGCCAATCCATCATGCAGCAGACCCATCTTCGACGGGAGCTCTCCCAGCAACAGAAGGAAGGTGCCGGCTAAGACCTCAACAGATGGTCCACACTGGGGAAGCCAAGGCACGGGGCACCACTGCTCAGTAAGCAAAGAAACTCAGGGGTGCAGCCAAGGCAGCCAAGTGGGGCGTCTCAGGGCCTCTGCCCCATGCAAGCTAACTCCTGCCCCTGAGATGTTCTAGAGGCTGTGGCAAGGAGGGGTGGGCACACACAGGAAATTAAGAGCCACTGCCCCACCTCCAGGCCATGGCCACCTCCACAACTGCAGACCCACAGGAGACAGAAAGGCAGGATTTGGGGAGGCCAAGGTGGGAGGATCACTTGAGCTTAGGAGATCAGCCAGGGCAACAGAGTCTCTAGAAAACAACAAAAAATTAGCTTGGCATGGTGGCGCACACCTATGGTCCCAGCTACTCAGAAGACTGGGGTGGGAGGTTTGCTTGAGCTCAGGAGGGGGAGGCTGCAGTGAGTGCACATTGTACCATTGCACGCCAGCCTGGGCAACAGAGTGAGACCCTGTCTCAAAACAAAAGAAAAGAAGCAAACAAAAAGGCAAGACCAAGTAGAGGCTGGAGCACAGACTCAAGAGCTGGACTCAGGCCCGACGCTGGTCCTGGGGTTACTAGCTGAGTGACCTTGGACAAGTTGCTTAACCTCTCTGAACTTATTTCCTTATTTACGAAAAGGGAACAGTGGCACCTCCTGAAACCGGGCTGCGGCGAGGCTTCAGTATGTGTGAATACAGGTGAAGTGTGCACGCCTCCTGGAGGGTGGGAAGCACTCCATAATGGTTATCACCCGCATTATCACGTCCCCAAATGCCGCCCCCAACATCCTGGCTGGCCTTGTTTCTAGCTCTGAAGGGAGGGACAGCCGTTCCCCATCCCAGCAGAAAGGCAGCAGGCAGAGGCTGCAATCTCAGAAACCCAGCGTCGCGCCAGCAGCACTTCACGGGGGCGGGGGGAAGGGGGCGTCAACGCATCCGCAACCCCACTGCGAGCCAGGCGCTCTCACCCAGGCCGGCTCACTCGGTTCCAAGGCCCAGACAGGGCAAGAGTCTTACCCAACATCACACAGCCGACTCCCAGCAGCATGAAGATTGAAGCCAGGCTTGTCTTAAGGCAAGCCCGGGGTCCTTCCAGGGTTTCACAGAGCTTCCTTGGGAAGCTTGCAGGGAAGGGTCCGTCCTTGGGGCAGGGGTGCCCAGCCCAGAAGAGCAGGCTTCAGCCCTCCCCAGGCCACCCCAGACACAGCCCTGGCGAAGGAGGCACGAGTCAGGTGCCTGCAGAGCATGGTGCTCTCTGGGGACCCGGGGCCCAGCTGGAGGGAAAAGTGCAAATCCTATCCAAAGCAGAAGGTGCAGGGGACACCCTCCTCCTCTTCTTTCTTTCTTCTCTTTATTTTTCTCATGTTTCCTCTTGTGTTTTAAAGCTGATTCGCTAACGCATGAACACATCATAGGGAACAATAGGGAACAACTGAGGAGTCACAGGAAGCAGCAGAGATCATGGTTCTGGGACATGCCACGTCCCCAGCTGAGTGGCTTCCCCGCAGCTAACTTCCACTGCCCTCCTCATCCCACCTAAATTCTCAAACCACCCCCCAAAAGACAGATGGGAAGATGCACGTGAGGATCAAGATCTTGGGGGCTGGCATGAGGAAATGGGCTTGGGGACAGCCCCTCCACCCTCTCTCCCTCCCCAGGGGGCTCACAGGCTTCTCCCCTGCCCGGAGCCCCAGCTCTCATTCCCAGCTCCTGCAAGTGTCACCTTCGCTGCCCATGCCCACCCTGGCACTGGGTCCTAAGTTTAATCTGCTCGGCTACTTCTCGGCACTTTGCTCTGCTGGAAGTGGCTCCTTCCCTCCACTCCTCATGTGTGTCCCCCTCCCCCATGACACTGGAGGCTCTGTGCTTGCCACCAGATCCCCAGCATCTGGAACCGCGCCTGGCTCAGAGCTGGCGCTCCATAAATATTTGTTGAATGAATGGGAAGGAGGGGGAGGGAGGACGGAAGACCAGAAGGCTGCATTTCCGGCATTCTCCCGGCTGTCAATCGTGCTTCCCTGGGAGCTGAGAGCTGAGGCTTCTCCTTTCCCTCCCGTCCAGGGGAGCCTGAGACCCATCAGAGCTGTCCTCTCTGTAGGCAGACCTGCCCCAGCGGCCTCACCACCCACCTGGATTGCTGCCACCTCTGGGCCCTGAGCAGATCTCTTCTCAGTCCGTTCCACTTTCTTTCAAGAAATTGTTATTGCTCCCCTGAGCCTTCAACTTCAAATCCAACCTCCTATTCCTGATTTCAAGGCCTGGAGTTCACTCCAACCTTATTTCCTCTCATCCCCAACAGGCACCTCCCGCCCACGGAGGCTGAACAGGTCACCCCTGCTTCTGGGCCTGTTTGCCTGCCTCATTCCAACAAATTCTACCTCTTTTCTGAGGCTTGACTCAAGCTCCACCTCCTCCAGGCAGCTGGTGGAAGAGGGCGTAGGGAGCAGAAGCAGGTTCAAAACCCACCTCAGATACCCACTGGCTTTGTGTCGTCTGACTTCTCTGAGTCTTGGTTGACTCGTCTATAAAATGATATAAGAAGGCCTCAAGAGCCATGATAAGGAGTGAATGCACTAACTTGTTCTAGGGAACAGAGCACACATCCATACCACATGAAACCTCACCAAACCCATGCTGACCCCTTCTGGGCAGACACCAGCCTGCGTTCCCGTCCACACCAGACTACTGTCCACTCCCCCTTCCCAGCTGCCTGGGAAACGGCGGCTTCTTGTTTCCTGGCGTTCTTATCAGTCAAGGCCGACGGGCAGCATCCCATCAACTCCTGACACGTGAGCAAATCCACATGAGAAAATACACCAGAATTTGGATACTTTGCACAAAACCCTGTGTTTGAGGATTTGCAGAGAGTTCTGACTGCCCCTTGAAACACCACTGCCAGGTATAAAACTGGCACCCAGCCTGCAAGCCAGCACCTCGCACACAGAACCAACCCACATCCAAGAAGAATTTGCTCCTATGCACCAGGGTGGAGGACACGAGGGTCCCACTATATGTCAAGCATCTGACCCTCTGGGGGAACTTACATTTCCCCCAATCCATTGAACTCTCACCATGTCCCTACAAAGCAAGTGGTATGTTTCCACTTCTCAACCAAGGAAACTGACATTCCACCAGGATAAGAAACTAACTCACAGGTACTTAGCAAGAGAAAGGGCAGAATTTCGAAATCTGCCTCAGATACCTACTGACTGAGTGTTGTCTGACTTATCTGAGTCTTGGTTGACTCATCTATAAAATGAGATGAGAAGGCCTCGCAGCGCCATGGTAAGGAACAAATGAACTGGGGTCAGTCTTGCTCCAAAACTTGTTCTCTTCTCCCAGTTTCAGCCCTTTTGGGAACTGCAGCTCTTCTGACTCCCAGGGGCTGCACTGCTATATGCCGAAGAGGAGAGCTTCAGCATCTGTGACGGGAGACGACGTGCTCATCCAATTAAAACGAGAGACCATCCCACCAAAGCCACAAAGACAGCTTGAAAGTCCAAAGCTGTCATCAGTAGAAAAGGAAATCTGAGTAGAGCATGAAGACAGGGGCCGCGTATCGGGGGAGAGGTGGGCAAATCATGGCAGAGCGCACTTCCCGGGTGCAGCCACTGTAAGTGAACATGTCCCCCAGATAGTCCACCTCCGTGCCCCACACGTGCAGGTGGGAGGCAGGATCAGGAAGCTTTCAAAGGGTGGAATGACCCTTTCTGAACACGACAGCGCCACCTTTCCCATCCACACGTCCCTCTGCCCACACATGGCCAGCAGCTGCCACTACAGGCGTTTGATTAAAACAAGTCGCACTGACTGTCTTTGGCAGAAATGAGCATCCATGCCCCGGTGGCCGGGTTGGTGACTGCCACTCACAGACGCCTACATCTACCTCCCCAGACCCACCGGGGGCAGTTCCTGCTTGGTCCCTTGCAAAGCCGGATCCCAAATTAACTGAGCCCCGTCTGGCTCCTCGCGGGCGGGCAGCAGGAAGGCAGGCGCCTTATAAACAGGGAGAGTGCCAGGCCTCCCGTCTGCCTCCTGCACAGCTGACTTGCAGAGAGGAAAGACTCTCTTCCCGCTGGGGGAAAAGTCTGTTTAGGCCACTGTCCCTCAAATTCCACACCCCCATGTCTGGAACCCTATTTCCCTCCGCCGTAAAGCAAGCACGGTCTCAAAAGAACAGTGTGAACTTAGGTGGAAAACTCTGGAAAAGCCAAGCCACACGGGAGCTAGAACGGAGAGGAACTTCCACCTCTGATGTGTTTCAAACCGGGTGAGCACGGAGACCTCTCTGTGACCCGCACGGCTGGACTAATTACCAATGTTATCAGGCGGATGACAGACATGCCCCGAACTTCCTCTGTTTGATAGATCCCACTGCAAACACACCCAAGTTCAGGCCCGTGCCTGCTGTTCTCAGCAGTGCCCTATTCTTCCCTAAGACCACTCCTGATCCCCACTCCTCTGACCCCTGCCCCATGCCTCCAAGGTCAGCCAGGCCAACGTACCCACCAAGCACCAGCCCAGTGACTCAGGGAGGGTACCTCCCCCGGAACACCCCGCACAGAACCAGTGAAAACTCCTCCTTCAGAGTTTTTCTGAGGAACAGAAAACATCTCTCCCTTCCCTGAATGGATTTTGGAGGAAGCGTCTAAGATGAGATGAAAACTGCTGCTTACCTTCGTCGCTGCTGCCACCGGGGAGCTCCAGCTCATGGGTCCTTGGCGGGTGAGCCCTTGGCCCGCACACACCAGGGTCCCACACTCCACGCAAGCACCGATGATCAGCTGCTGTCCGTCATCCACCAACAGGCTGTGGCTTGCTCGCAGGGTGTATAGGAACAGGGGCAGCCGGGCCACCCGCACGGACTTCAGCCCCAGACACCGTTTCTTCTCCTGCTGACAAAAGAAGCACACGAACGTCTCCACCTGGTACTGCCGGGACCAGGCGCTGACAGCGTGGTGGGAGCTGCGGGCCTCATGCTGCAGCCACTGGGCCAGCAGGTCATGGTAGCAGAGCACACAGGTAGCCACCAGGCCGGTGGAGTCCACAGGCCTGGCACGAGGGGCAGGCGGGTACACGGTGAGGAAGGGGAAGAAGGGCTCCTTCTCGCCCAAGCGGCTGGCGGGGTTCACGTTGAGCTGGAACTCCTTCCCGGGGCCCAGCTCAGCCCCACAGATGTAGCAGATGGACACGGGGCCGCCCTGGGCCGACGCCGGCAGCTCGGAGAGGGCAGGGTCGGAGGCGGAGAAGGCCTGGTGGTACCTGCCCAGGAAGCCCTGCACGGAGGTGATGAGCTCCTCGTTCTGGCAGGCCCGGTACAGGGCCCAGACATCCTCCAGGACGCTGAAGCACTTGGGGCAGCTGCGGACTTCACAGCGCTTGTTGGGGCCCTGGGCGTTGGGCGGGCAGGGCAGGAGGCTGAGGAAGGGGAAATGCATGGCGCTCCTGGCGTTGCCGTTGAGGATCCTGGAGGGGACCGCCCGGGCATCCGGGGTACAGTCCTCCCCACAGAGGTAGCAGGCCTCTCGCAGGGCCCCGGAGGGCAGGCCCTCTTCCCTCGGGAGCCTCCTGCCCTTAGAGGCCATGCCGGGGGCGTGGCTGTCCAGGGGCACCACATAGAGTCGCTGCAGGACTGGCACGTTGGCCAGCTCGAAGCTCTGCCACTGCTGCGTGAGGGAGGAGAAGCAGCTGGCGCACACCAAGGTACTGCCGCCCTCGCTGATGGGCTGTGCCCCTGGGGGCGGGCTGTGCAGCCACAGGAAGGGGAAGAACGGGGCCTGAGCCAGCTTCTCCTGCTTCTGCACGTGGACCTGGTGGTGCGAGGCCGGGGACAGCGGGGCCCCGCAGATGTAGCAGCAAAGGCCTTCTGCTGGTGCCGCCCGGCTGTCCTGGAGAGCCCGGGGGACACGGCCACTGTTCTTCTCTTTGGGGTTGCAGACGCCTGGGAAAGGCTGTTCCTTGTGGTCCTCTTCCCCACTGGTGATGTTGATGTCACTGTCCTCGGAGGTGCAGAAGCCCCGTAGGGTCTCCCCCAGCGGCCTGCTCTCCAGGGTCTTAGTGGCTCTGCCAGAGGGAGGCCCTTTCATGCCGTCTGCAGGGGCCTCTTGGACAAGAGGGCCTTGCCAGGGATCCTGAATGCTCCTCAGGACGCTGGCCCGGGCCTCGGGAACCCAGTGCCTCCCAACCCCCTTCCGCCGGCGCCTAACCCCGGACTTGGGCTCCCCATCCGCGTGGGCCTTCGCGGGGAGCCCCTCCTCCTCCGCGCGCCCCTGCGCCGAGGCCTCTGCGCCCTGTCCCGGAGCGGGTCCCGGAGCCGGCCTCCACTCCTGGCCGCGCCCCCCGCGAGGCCCTGGCCCTGGGGCCCCGTCCTGGTGGGGGCTGGCGGCGTCCCGCGCGGGCGGGTCGGGCTCGGAAAGGGGGTCGGTGTCCGACAGCTCCGACAGGTCGGAGTCTCGCGTCTCCTCCGCGGCCCCGCGCAGCCGGGGGCCGCCACCGTCGTCCTCGTCGTCGTCGCCGGTGGCGCTGCCCAGCGCGTAGGCGACGTTCCACTCGCGGGGGGCCCCGGCGCCGCCACGGCGGCCGCCTGCGCCCGCGTCGCACTGGTGGGGCCGCTTGAGCCAGTACATGCGCTTGTCCACCGGCGTGCGGGCGCGCTCGAAGGCGGCCCACTGCTCGCCCAGGAAGCAGCGGCACACGGCGCACACCAACACGCAGCCGTCGGCCGGGGACAGCTCGCGCGCGCCGGGCGCCGGCTCCTGCTGCTGCAGGAACGGGAAGAAGGGCTGCGCCGGGGTCCCCGCGCCCGCCGCCGGCTGCTTCACCTGCAGCTTCAGCTCCTTGCCGCGCCCGATGCCGCCGCCGCAGATGAAGCAGGAGAGCGGCGCGCCGCCCGCAGCCCGCTCGCCCACGGCTGCCATGAGCCGCTGCTTGCGGGAGACCGGGGCCGGCCGCCCGCTCATGGCCGCGCCGCGCCGCCCGCCCGGGCCCCCGCGCGCCCCGGGCCGCCCTCAGCTCCCGCCCAGGCCGCCGCCGCCGCGCCCAACTTGGAGCATGTGTGCGCGCCGCAAAGTTTGGCGGCGGGCGGCCGGCGCGGGCGCGGGCGCACGGCCCCTCGCAGCGGCGCCCCCCCGGGCCTGCCGAGCACCCCCCGGCGGCGGCGCGGGCCGAGGCGGCGCCGCGGCGAGCGCGCCCGGAACGCGGCGGCGGCGGCGGCGGCGGCGGCGGCGGCGGCGGGGCCCGGGCGGCTGGAGCGGCAGCCGCATGTGCGAGCTCCGGCGCCTGCCAAGGCGTGGGGTCATTTAATTGGGGAGGAGGGGGCGGGGCGGCGGCGGGCGGGAGGGGCGGGGAGGGGCGGAGGGCGGGCGCGCGGCGGGCGGGGGAATCCCTCCCCGCGCGCTCCCTCCCCCCGCCCTCCTCCTCCAAGCCTGCCTCCCTCCCGCCCGCCGCCGCCTCCCCCCGCGTCCCAAACTGCGCACAATAGCGGCCGGCTCCTCTATCTATTTTGTGTCCAGCCGGAGCCGCGCGCGATGATTCATTGCCCCAATTAGGGGCTCTCTGCAGCGCGCCCGGCTCTAGCCGTCTGAAGGGTCTCCTGGGGGACCCGCCGAAACCCATCAGCGGCTGGAGCTGGTCTTTAAGTAAAGGTCAATCAGGACGCGGGAGGAGCCAGGTAAGGACGCTGCGGGCGCCCCTGGAGGCGGAGGAACCCCCCACCCCAGGGCTGCAGTGAGGGCAGCCCCAGCCTAGATGCAGGCACCCTGCCGGGTTCGTTCAGGGTTGTCCGACCCTCTCAAAAGGGGGGACCAAGCGAGAAAGCCATTTACAGTCCCGAACAGGCCCGAGTTGGGGATACCATTCAGGGCCCCGCGTTCTAATTTTGGAGAGAGAAAAGAGGAGCCGTCCCCGTCTCCTAGAACCCGTTAGTGAATGCATCATCCTGCGGACAGTCTGAGGCCTGCTCTGCCCCTTCCCACCATCGACAGGGGTCACTGGGTCACCAGCAGAGGTAGAAAGGGTCCTGTGTGTCCCAAGGTCAGTGAATCAACCTCTCTGGGTCCTGATTTTATTCCCTTCAACAGGAGCTGCAGCAGGGGATTAACTGTTTCCGTGTCTTTATTGTGCATGTGTAGAGATCCATTGTATTTATTTAACAAGCAGAGGGACTTGCGGTGCGAGGCGCTTAGGGTTAACTGTGGTGATCAGCCCCATTTCACATACAGGAAAGAAGTGGCATTGAGTGTTAAGTTTTCGTCCAAAGGGGCTAAGCAGAATTCAGACCCAGGACGTCGGGCTCCAGGCCCTACTCTTGACCACCAGGGCGAGTAGCCGTGCGAGGCAAACGTCTGGTCCACGTCGCCAGTCTGCTGATGGGGACGGGACCGTCCATGGCAGGACAAGGCCAGGATCCCTGGATCCTCCCGGATGATCTGGCTCAGGCCCTGGTCCAATCTAGGCATCTCCAGACCTCTCATTCCCCATCTGTGAAATGGCACCCCTTCCAGCTTCAAAATTCTACTAGTGTCTGACTTCTGGGCAGTTTAGAGCTTCCTCATTTGCAAGCAGCAGCCCAGAATCAGCCTGGGGACAAAGGTGCCCGGTGGTCCCCTCCACCCTCTGGGACACTGAAATGTAAATAAAACTGGGCTTCCTCTTGGCAAGGAAGAGGGCCATGCATTGTAAACAAACGCAAGAAGAAGGCCTCCGGAATCCCTGGGGGATATTCCAGGGCTCAACCCTTAGTCCAAGGGTTAACAGGAAATCATCATTGGTTGGGACTTTGGGCCTTCACCCTGGCCCAGAGGAATGCTGTGTCAGCAAAACTGTCCTGAAGGAATGTTGGGAGCGGGGCAGGGGGCTTCTCGGCTCCTGGCATTTTTAATACCTGGAGAGAGGAGGAGGGCTGATTAGGAAAAGTTTAAAGGACAATGTCTGTTGAATTGCATCCTTGCACAGTTAAAGAGGGACTATTAGGTCCCACACAGACCGAGAGGTTGCTAGTAAGACACTGCCCGGCTGGGGACATGCAGGTCAGCGGGTGAGTTAAACATGGGTTCCTTAGGGCTCGGCACGTGCTGTCCCTTCTGCTTCAAATGCATTTTGGGCTCATCTGTATGGCCATGGTCACAGCATCATCCTCAGAGGCCTCCCTTTCCTCTCTAGAGCAGGTGCTGTTCCGCGCTTCTCATCCCAGCTCCCCAGCGCAGGAGTTTGCCATTGATTTTATTGATTTTTCCGTCCCCTGCTCCTGTCTGCCCCGCCCCGGAATCCTGGGTGCTCCCTCTCAAGGGCAGGAGCTAGGTCTGTCTTGCTCACTGGAGATCTGGGGCCTGGCTCAGTGCCTTGGTCCCACACACCTGGGTCTCCATCCTGTTCTGTCCCTTGCCAGCTGTGTGAGCCTTGGGTGGACTTCCTGGCACACCACCCCTCGGTTTTCTGCTCCGTACAATGGGGGTTGTTAAATAAATAGGGATTTGGGCACAGGCATGGGCTCTGGCATGCTATAGGTGACCGTGTACGTGTGTTGCCTCTTCCTCTTTCCAGTGGATGAAGAGGTTCTCCTGCCGCCTGTCCGCACTGCAGGGCACACTGCAGGGCGGCAGGGAGGGCCACTGTGCTGAGTTCACACAGAGTCTGAGGGAGAAGGATCACGGGGCCAACCAGACCAAAAGAGAGAGCTAGGGTTTTCTTGGCTGAGCCGGAATCCTCCAGGAGGTATTGCACCATACATATGCAGGTGTGAGTGTGCGCGTATCTGAATGTGCATGATTCTGCATTTGTTAGATTATATGTGTGTGTGTACATGTGCATAGTTTGTATGTGCACCCTGTGTGTGAGCATGTGTGTATGAGTTCACCTGTGTGTTTCTGTGTGTGTGCCTGTGTGTGCATGTCAAGCGGGCCAGGAGTGGGAGTGGGAGGCGTCCAGCTGAATGTTTTTCTTCTCTTCAATGACCCAATGACTCAGGAAAGTCCCCTGGAACACGTCTTGGGAGCCAGGAAGCAGGGTGAACACAAATCAGAGGAGGAGGCCGGTGATGATGGCTGCTCCTCTGGGGGGATGACATGGGGGCAGGGCCACTGCCACAGCTTGACACAGCAGACTGACATCACACAACCGTTTACTAGCTGTGTGGCTTTCGGCTTGCTCGTTTAGGTCTCTGAGCCTCAGTTTCCCCATCTGTAAAGCAGAGCCAACTTGACAGTGCGCAAAGAGGGTGAACTGAGCCAATGCTGGTAAAGTACATTGCACTGGGATGCAGAAAAACAGTGATATAAGCACACACAGCATGTGTAGACATTAAACACACAGCACACCCATTCAGTGTGAAGCACACACCAGGACCTATGCTTTGCAGGTGCCAACTCATCAAATCTTTCCCCAAAGCCCACGAGGTAGGTGGTGCTGTACCCGCAAGTTTAGGGGTGAGGAGACTGGGGCATAGGGGAGGGAAGTCACAGGCCCAGGGTCACACAGCGTGGTGGAGTTGGGACTGGCACCCCGGCCGCATGCCTCTGAAACCCTCTGCTTTGCTGGCTAGTGAGATTCACTTTCTCTTCAATCCTGCAATGCTAGGACAGGAACAGCCTAGAATCTGGTCCCCCCTCTCCTCACATGTGTCCCCAGTTTCATGCCAAAGGAAACAGGCCCTCAAACGTGCCTGTCTGGGTACAAAACGGGCCAAGTTTGTGCCAGGAGATGAGAAGAAATGTCAGGGTGCATTGGCATGAACTTCATGCACCAACGTAGACTTGAAGTCCCCGTTTCTAATGGAAATGGGCAAAAGGCTCCAACAGGACTAAGCCATCCAAACATCCCTGCCAAGTGCTGCTGGGGCCACAGCCTGACCATCCCCAGCAGAGCCATCTCCTGGCTTCCCTCTAAGTCCTACACCTCACCCTGCAGCTGGAGAGAGGGTGCCAGGCTCCCTCCAGACCACACACTGCACAGCCCGGCTCTTCATCTTTCAATTGTAGGACTTTAAAAGAATTGACAGATGCTCACAGACAGACCTTGCATTGGGAGCAGGTAAAAAATGCCCACCTGGATTCTGCAGGAGACAAGGAGGCCGTCAGCATGGAACACCTGGGCACATCTCAGATTTGCAGCTACCTGTAGGTTCGTCTTAGCCCAGAAACCGCAGGTATCTGCCCTCATCCTGCCCAGGAGAACTCATTTCCAGCCTCCAAATGCTTAACCACACGTTGTTTTGTATCTCTGTCTCTTTGCCTGCCTCTCCTACTGGGGCAGAGCCTGAGCTGGCTTGCCTTGCCCTGCCCCACAGTTTCACAAGGATGTGGACATGGTTGGGGACCAATCAGTGCTTGAACCAGGGACGCCGCTAGACTCTATCCAAAACCTCACTCATTATGCCTTCCAAGTTCCAGAATCATCCAGCTGCCTGGCCAGCTTCTGCTGCGCCATCTTTTATTCCTCTTGAGTGCCAGCAATCAAGATTAAGCTCTGTCACGTGCCCCTGGCTTTTCCCAACCCTGCAACCCGACTTCCCTCCTCAGTGGGCCTTTTGCCCTTTTCCTCCTTCCTCTAAACTATGCCTGCGCCTTTGGCATCCCGCCCAGGACCCATTTACCTTCTTAGGCTGGTCCATCCTCTTCTTTTCAGAGACAACGTGTGCTGTGTTTGGCCTCTGGCTCACTGGGGACCAGAAAAACAAAATTTATCATCTGACTGCCCTATTTTTTCTTTTTTCTTTCTTTTTTTCTTTTTCTTTTTTTTTAAATTCTTTTTTATTCTTTTTGCCTAAGAACGAAGCAAGCCCTTCTCTGCTATCCTCAGAAAGAGCTTCAGACATGGCAGGCCACTGGCAAAAATATATCCTCCTTCTCAGAGGGAAAGAATGTAACTGTTAACAACGAAAAATCCCTGGGATTTGTGGAGGCCTTGGGCTTATGAACCGGTTCACCTCCATGCACTCATGTGACACAGCAGTACATGGAGGCATCACATCCATTTTAAAGACAGAGAAACTGAGGCTCCAAGAAGCAGGGATTTCCCCAGGGGAACCATTCTTGGAATCAGGATAAGTTGCCAGCTTTGGGGCTGATGAAATTTTGTTGCATTTTCTGTGCATTTATTGTGCTAATTTGTTAAATATAAACATGAAACACATACAGCATGTTTTGTAGCCGTGTCTTAGCATCTTGTTGCCTTTTCATTTTTTATTTTATTTTTATTTATTTATTTATTTTTGAGACGGAGCCTCACTGTCACCCAGGCTGGAGTGCAGTGGTGCAATCCCAGCTCATCACAATCTCTGCCTCCCAGATCCAAGCAAGTCTCCTGCCTCAGCCTCCCAAGTAGCTGGGACTACAAGGACACGCCACCACACCCAGCTAATTTGTGTATTTTTAGTAGAGACAGAGTTTCACCATGTTGGCCAGGCTGGTCTTGAACTCCTGACCTCAAGTGATCCACCCGCCTTGGCCTCCCAAAGTGCTGGAATTATAGACATGAGCCACCGCGCCCAGCCTTGTTGCCTTTTTAAATACAGGAGTTTCTGAGCATGGAAGTGGGTGGGCCATTTTCTATCCCGGGGCCTGAGACAACCTAGGCAGAAACATTCTGTAAACTGCAAAGTGCCTTTTTAAACAATGACGGTTTGCATTACACAATTAAGTGTCAGAGCACGGGCTACAGATTCACAGAGCAGAATCGGGTGCTCTAAAACCTCACCTTGCTCCCCTAAGCCTGAAAAAGAATCCAGCAGAGAATAGCCCAGTCTCCCCCTCCAGGAGACATCATCCCCCACCCCAGCCCTCACCATCTTGAAATCCAAGGATATTGCCATGAACTTCAGGGCCTCATAAACCCTTTTGATAAATGATTGCTGGAGCTGACCTGCCACTGGGGATGATGGGACAAACACTCACATAAATCTGGAGTGGACTCAAAGACTCCCTTGCCGCCGGCATCTCAACAGGCCCCTGATTTGCAGCATGAAATTCACAGCAGCCATTTATGTGGTTTGTCCCCAAGCTTCCCAGCCACGGAGGTTTCTTGGTGGGGCACAGTGGGCGGGGTGGGGGCACAAGCAAAGGGAGACAGAAGCCAGAGCAACCGAGAAGTGCCATGAGGGCACCCGGCATGCAGTCGGCGCCCAATACTAACCAGCGTGCAACCGAGAAGTGCCATGAGGGCACCCGGCATGCAGTCGGCGCCCAATACTAACCAGCGTGCAACCGAGAAGTGCCGTGAGGGCACCCGGCATGCAGTCGGCGCCCAATACTAACCAGCGTGCAACCGAGAAGTGCCGTGAGGGCACCCGGCATGCAGTCGGTGCTCAATACTAACCAGCGTGCAACCGAGAAGTGCCACGAAGGCACCCGGCATACAGTCGGTGCTCAGTAGTAATCAGCGTACATCCTGCAATGACAATAGCTGATGTTTAACTAGAAGCCAGGTACCATGTTCACAGCTGATAGTCATATTATTATCCCATCTGGCTCTCTCAACAGCCTAAAAAGTAGGCACGATTACACTCTTACAGACAAGGACACTGAGGCTTGGAACAGCAAATCCATGTCCCCAGTGTCAGAGCTGGGAAGTGTTAAAGCTGGACTGAGACCCGATCTGGCCGGAGCGCCTCACTCTCATCCGCCCTGCTGTGTGCTCAGCTCCTGGCCTGTTGGGCCACCTTCCCAGATCCTTCCTGCTAGAGGCGTCCTTGTCCCTCAAGGGGTCCTGCCAGGGAGGCTGATGGTCAGGCCTCGCTGCAGGCCTTCGAGTCCTGCCTATGGCTTCATCAGCGGCCGCCAACTTCAGGACAGGTTTCCCCAGCTCTCTGGCACTGGAATACTCAGTGGGCCGTGGCAGGTCCCCCGAGCTGCCGAACAGGAGGGCGGTGAAGTCAACAGCAGCAGATTATTTCCAGCTGCTGCTCTGAGTCACCGAAGCATGTTCCAAACCCAGCCGCCAGCTCGACTTCCCTGGCCTCTGATTTATGCGGCTGGTGGGTCGTTGCTGGACTCACGGATGGGGACGTGAGGTGGGACTGAGGCATGTGTCTGACGCTACACTGGGGTGTCATTTTTAAAAAACCTTTTTACACTGAAGTGTCGCCTCCGTACAGAAAAGTGTGCATCTTCATACGTGTACAGCAAGCTGCATTTTCACAAACAGAACATATCTGTGTAACTAGCACCCAGAAAGAAGGCATGTCCAGACTCCCAGTAGGCCCCCATGTACCTGCTTCCAGACCCTCACCTACCCGCAAGGGTAACGACTTGAGCCAGGACTGCAGGCATCTTGATTTCTAACACCAAGAACATTTTATTTTTTAGCAGCTTTATTAAGATATCATTCAAATACCACACAATCCGCCCATTTAAAGTGTACAATTCAATGGCTTTTAGTATATTTACAGAGTTTTCAGCCATCACCACAATCCATTTTAGAACATTTTCATCACCCCCAAAAAGAAACCTCATACCCTTTAGTTCTCACCCTCAACACCTCCAGCGCACCCCCACCCGCTCCCTGGCAATCAATAATCTACTTTCTGTCTCTGTGGATTTGCGTGTTCCGGACAGTTCGTATAAATGGGATCATACAACACGTGGTCTTTTGTGACTGGCTTCTTTCACCCAGCATAATGTTTTCAGACCTTCACGTTGTAGCCCATGTCCGCACAGGCTGTTTTTGTACCTTTGCTAAGTGGAAGTGTATCATATGTACCCTTCGGGTCTGGCTTTTTGCTCTGCATTAGATCTGTGCAATTCTTCCCTGTTTTTTCCTGAAGCAGTACATTGTTCTTTTTGATTGCTGTATAGTAGTCTATGGATGAATATTCCGTCATTTGTTCATCCATTCCGCCATTGGTGAGCTTTTGGGGAGTTTGCATTTGGGACTTACATGATTGTGTTTTTCTGAACATTCTATTTCATGTCTTTGGTTGAAAACACAAAATGCAGCCTGGGTGTGGTGGCTCGCATCTGTAATCTCAGCACTTTGGGAGGTTGAGGCAGGAGGATGGCTTGAGCCTAGGTGTTCGAGACCAGTCTGGGCACTATAGTGAGACCTCATTTCTGCAAAATTAAAAATTAACTGGTCAGGCTGGGCGCGGTGGCTCACGCCTGTAATCCCAGCACTTTGGGAGGCCAACGTGGATGGATTATGAGGTCAGGAGTTCAAGACCAGCCTGGCCAAGATGGTGAAAGCCCGTCTCTACTAAAAATACAAAAATTAGCCAGGTGTGGTAGTGGGCACCAGTAATCCCAGCTACTTGGGAGGCTGAGGCAGAGAATTGCTTGAACCCAAGAGGCGGAGGTTGCAGTGAGCCGAGATCGCAGCCACTGCACTCCAGCCTGGGCAACAGAGCGAGACTCCATCTCAAAAACAAAAAAATTAGCTGGTCATGGTGGCGAATGCCTGTAATCCCAGGTACTGGGGAGACTGAGGCAGGAAGACTGCTTGAGCCCAGGAGTTCGAGGCTGCAGAGAGCTATGATCGTGCCACTGTGTTCCAGCCTGGGTGACAGAGTGAGAAGCTGCCTGCAAAGAAACCTCTAAAAGCAAAAATACGTAATGCATTTCTGTTGAGTAAATACCTAGGAGTCGAACTGCTAACCATGGGGTCAGTGTATATTTGACTTTAATGCATACTGAGATGTTTTAAATCACATTCATAGGCCTATGGAATTCCCAAGGCTCCCTGGTTCCCAGACTCCGCCCTTCCTGACTCCTCCCCTCAGCTGCTCACCCACCAGCCCAACCCCCTGGGCGGCTTCTTACAGGGCACCCCCTGCCTTCCAGAGCAGCTGCAATGAAGTCCGTACAAGCTACAGAGGAAACGGTCTTCATGGCCAAGATTTGGGTTGGGTTTTGTGAGCACACATGGTTTTTCTGCCCTGGCTCTGAAACTGTGTTCCTTTCACAGGCCAGAAATACTTAGGCATGGCTCACTCTAAAAGGGGAAATACATTTTTAAATTCCAATCTGCCTGGGTCTTAGAATGATTTAGAACATTCCAGCTGTCTGAAGGACAGTGCTCACCAGGAACAGTGGCTTACAGTCCCCGAGATCAATCGCCTGTGATTTTGGGTCCTGACTCCACCGGGCCTGGGTTCAATGTGCATTTCTTCCGGGGGACTTCTGGGTTCAAATACTGTGCAGAGTCCGGCCGTGCGCTGTGGCTCATGCCTGTAATCCCAGCACTTTGGGAGGCCGAGGTGGGCAGATCACGAGGTCAGGAGATTGAGACTATCCTGGCTAACACGGTGAAACCCCGTCTCTACTAAAAATACAAAAAATTAGCCAGGCCTGGTGGCAGGCGCCTGTAGTCCCAGCTACTCGGGAGGCTGACGCAAGAGAATGGTGTGAACCCAGGAGGCGGAGCTTGCAGTGAGCGGAGATTGTGCCACTGCGCTCCAGCCTGGGCGAGAGACCGAAACTGTCTCAAAAAAAAAAAAAAAAAAAAAAAAAAAAAATATATATATATATATATATGTATATACACACCGCACAGAGTCCAAGCAAACAAGCAGCAGGCCGACACAGTGGCAAGCACATGTGTCTTCGAGTGAGACTTAATCAATACAGCAATCCCGAGCCCTTAGCTAGCTGAGCTAAATCTGCACACGTCATCCCATTTCAGCCTTTCAGTGCCCGATGAGGTGGGTGCACAAGTATTATTTGCACTTCACAGATGAGGAAACAGAAGCACAGAGAGGCTAAGCTATTTGGCCAGGATCACATAGCTTCTAACAGACAGAGCTGGGATTTCAACCCCGGGCTGTCTGGCTCCAGAGACCACACTGAGTACTGTACTACTTTGCTCTAGATTTCAAAATCTAGATGGAAATTCAACCCTGCCATTTATTATCAGTGTGGCCCCTGCTAAGTGGCTGAACTTGCGAGCCACATTTCCTTACTCCACGTGGGTGTGTCGCAACAACCATGCCCGTGACACCCCCTTGTCAAGAGATCAAATGCCAAAGGGCCTCGAACACAGTAAACGCTGCTCAAAGGTTCATCTCCCCACCACCAGCACCCCCCACCTGGCTCCCTGAAATGGCTCCCACCTTCCAGAAGTGCCTGCCTTCCAAAGCCTGAATTTTTAGAGAGAGTTGAGGCATTGGATGTGCTCCAGCCCACCCCCTGAATTTGAGAGTCCAAGGCCCAGGACAGCCCTGACTTGACCAAGGTCACACAAAGTCCAGCTAGAACTCGGCATTCCTGACTCCCAGCCTAAAGCTCCTTCTACCCCTTTGGAAAAGGGTGATTTGTGGTTATGAGGCCAAGGGGCCCTCAGTCAGTCATTCAAGAACTTCTTCCTGACTCCATTTCTTCCTTGGAAGCCCGAGGTTTCACTCAAGGGAAGTTGAGCTCTGGCATTAAGAGAAAACCAGAGAAAGTCTGATTGTGGGGCTCCCAGGCTTGGCGCCCAGTGGGATGGGGTGGGGGCAGGCGAGGAGGCTGGGAGTCAGGCCCGGGTGTCCCGTTGCGACTGTGACTGGGCACCCTGATGTGCCTTCCAGAAAGACTATCTCTCCGTGGGGCCCCCCTCGACCCTACGTGGCCGTTAATATTTATCAGAGCTGAAAGCTGAGCTGCTGGAGCAGTGGAAAACAGCCATGGACAGGTGCCGCGGTGGCTGGCACTCCAGCCCAGGGTGTGGGCCGCTGGGGGGGCTTAGCAGAGGGTAAGGAGGTGGGCAGGGTGGTGTGGGCCGAGCTGGGGCCTCATTGGGGGGTGGAGCCAGGACTGCCATCTGAAAGGGGGAAGCAGGTGATCAAGAAAGTGGGGGTCTCCTTAGGAGAAGCTGGAGCTCCCCTCCTGCCATGGGGGTCTGAGACCAGAGGGTGGGGACAATCGGAGGTCCCCGGCCTGGGCCGGAAGCTGGGGAGCTGGGGGAGGGGCTTGGCGGGGCAGCCCCAACCTCCAACCTGCTTCCCCTCTGGGGGCCCCCGTCCGTCTGTTCTCCACCCAGCAGCCAGCACGGTCTTTTCAAAAGCGCAAGTCTGGTTGTGGTCTCCCTCTTGCTTAAAATCCTTCTCAGCGTTCAGAGCTTTCAGGTTAAAGGTCAGAATCCCTGTTTGCTGGCCCTGCCCAGGTCTCCTGGAGACCCTGAGGCCTCTCGGGACCCTGCACCCTCCTGGTGCCTTGGCCTTCCTAAGAGGCACCAGGCACGTTGCACCACAGGGTCCTTGTATGTGCTGCTTCCGTTGCCTGGAACTTGCGCCCCTCCCCTCTGTGCCTGATGAATTCCTGCCTGTCCCAGGCATACCCCATTCCTCACCCTTCTGCTCTGCAGGCTGACCCTGCAAACTACATTTCCCAGGCTTCCTTGCCTCTGACTTCCCATTAGGGACAGTCCTTGAGAGGCACTTGAGGGAGACTAGAGGGCCAGGGGAGGGAGAAGCCCTCCTCTCACTCCCTCTCTCTTTCTCTCTCTCTCTCTCTCTCTCTCTGCTTGGGCAGTGTCTCTGCAAGTGGCCAGATCTCTGTGGTTCCGGCAGCAGCTCTAGTAACTCCATCCTCCTCCCCTGTCCTGCCCAGGGGTGACAGCAGCTTCCTGCTGTTCTTCGTCACGAGTCAGCCTCACTTCCCTGCTTGCTCTTGCAGCTTCTTCACCGCTTTTGCAGCCCGTTCTCTTTGTTGGATTCCTCTCTTGACTCACCTGGCTCAGGTGCCCTTTTCCTTGACCAGCGTTGGCCTCTGCATGACCATCCAGATCTCGCAGGAGTCCTCCCTGGCCCCGGGGCCTGGCTCGGAAACCTCTGTGATATTCTGAGTGATTTCTTTTCTTTCTGGGCACTGTGTGGGCACCGCTTGTAATTGCTGTTTGTAATTATGGCTTCATGAGCGTGGCTACTTGGCTAACATCTGTCCCCCCTCACATTTGTAAGTTTCATGAGGGCGAGGCCCAGGCATCTGTTTTTGCTCAACTGTGTATCTCCAGCACCAGAACCGAGGTGATGTCTGCCACTTAGGGGGCACTCAGTAAACATGTGCTGAATAATGGGCAAATGAATGCATGAGGAGAGCTGGGAGGGACGCGTTCCACCAAAGCCACTTGCTCCAGGGGAATCTTTTTCCCTTTCTCATAAGGTTACTAAATAAATTGCTTGGAGAGACTCATCATTCACTCATTTGATTAGATTTATGGGCACCTGTCTTGGGCACCAGAATGGATAGGTGGATAGGATAGATGGATGAGTGGATGATGGTTGGGTGGGTGGATGGGTAGACAGATGGAAGCATGGATGGATGGAAGGAAAGAGAAATGAAGGATGGATGGATTGATGGATGGTTTGGTGAGTGGGTGAATGAATATGGGTGGATGGATGGATAGATGGATGGACAGATGATGGCTGGGTGGGTGGATGGATAGGTAGATGGATGAATGGATGGAAGGCAAGAGAAATGAAGGATGAATGGATTGACAAATTGATTGTTTGGTGGAGGGATGGTTTGGTGGGTAGGTGAATGAATGATGAGTGGATAGATGGATGAGTTTGGGATAGAAGGTTTGGTGGGTAAATGGATAGATGGATGAATGGGTGAATGGATGGATGGATGGAGAAAGGATGGATGGATGGATGGATAGAAAGAGAACAGATGGATGGATTAAGATGGGTTGGTGGGTATATGGATGGGAGGAAGGAAGGATTTACTCCTGGAAAAAAAGGCAGGGAGAGAAGACAGGCAGACTGATTTAAGATAAAAAGCACAACTGCCCTTTGCGGAGCAGCAGAGGGCCAGGGAATGTCAGTGCTCACGTGGGAACTTCGTGCTGTGTTCCGCAAAATATGCAGAAAGGTCAGGCTCTGAGAAGGGAGTGGGCAGGGAAGGTAATATCTGAACTGAGGTGCAATTCCCTTGCGTTAACCAAGATTAATGACTGGCTTTGGAGAGGCCACTCCCAGCCATGGCTTTTTGGCCAACAGGACATGCCTGACAGCCCTGTGGCTGCCTCAGAGAGACGGGGCTCCCAGGGTGACAGTTAAGGTTGACGTGCTCCTGGCAGCAGGGGGTAGAGGCAAAAAGTGAGATCCTGGAGCCCCTAAGTTCAAGTCCAGAAGAAGTTGGAACAACATTTCCCTTCACCCCAGTCCTGGGACCCTGGACAGAGAATCTCAAACTAAAAAGCACGCAGAATCACCGTGAGCCTATTAACAAGCTGATGCCTGTGGCTCCCCAGCGATCAGGTCAGGAGGCCAGACTGGGGCCTCAAAGTCTGCACTGATTTTTTTGTTTTGTTTTTTGTTGTGTGTTTGTTTGTTTGTTTTTGAGACGGAGTCTTGTTCTGTCACCCAGACTGCCACGCACTGGGTTCAAGTGATTCTCCTGCCTCAGCCTCCTGAGTAGCTGGGACTACAGGCACCCGCCACCACACCCAGCTAATTTTTGTATTTTTAGTAAAGATGAGGTTTTACCGTGATGGCCAGGCTGGTCTCGAACTCCTGACCTCAGGTGATCCACCTGCCTCGGCCTCCCAAAGTGCTGGGATTACAGGCGGGAGCCACCAGGCCCAGTTTGGATGCCCACATCTTTATATAGGGCTCTGTCCCTTACCTGCAGTTCTAAAATCACAAGTGCTCAAAAAAACCAAGTTTTTGTGTCACTCATTTGGCTGCAAAAAACTGACCTGAGGCTCATCGGAGCCTCCACTTGCTGTACTCTGCATGAATATTCATGTATTTCGCTACAGAAATATAACAGTGGTTGATTAAGGGAACTGCCTCAGCCCCGCTGGGGTGTCATGTAAGATTTGGCACTGGTACCATTTTATAATTCTAATGCTACAGAATATGCTGAGTTCTGGAACTCCTCTGCTGTGATGGAGGTGCATTCGATTTTAACCACGTGGACAGATGTCTTCAGGGCTGACATTTGCTGGATCTTTGCTGGTGTTTTGCTCATGTATTGAATTCAAACATGGAGAGAATTTGTTCTATCTCACATAAAGACATTGAGGTTTAGGGAGGTTCCACTCATGAGAGATAGGCCAGAACTGGGCCTAGATCTCTGGCTGCCAAGCCCAAGCTCAAGCCGTTAGACCTTCCTGCTCCTTCCCCTTCTTGGGGGATGCTGTTTGAGATGTCTCTAATGTTATTGTTTTTCAAACTGTAGTCCATGGACCTCAGAAACCCCACATGTTCATGAAATCCAATGCAGGCTGGGCACCGTGGCTCACGCCTGTAATCCTAGCACTCTGAGAGGCTGAGGTGGGCAGATCACCTGAGGTCAGGAGTTTGAGATCAGCCTGGCCAACATGGTGAAACCCGGTCTCTACTAAAAATACAAAAACTAGCCCAGCGTAGTGGCGGGCACCTGTAGTCCCAGCTACTCGGGAGGCTGAGGCGGGAGAATCTCTTGAACCCAGGAGCCAGAGGCTGCAGTGAGCAGAGATCACGCCATTGCACTCCAGCCTGGGCGACAAGAGCAAAACTCTGTCTCAAAATAAATAAATAAATACCTACCTAAATAAGTGGGCATCCAGGTGATGCTATGAAAAAAAATCATGCTCTGGTTACCTAGGTATTGACCTGGAAGGAGGTTAACCTTATATTGTTAAATAGAAGGAAGATTTTTAAAAACTATATATGTCTTCATAGAAAAAAATACTGGAAGACTGATAGTAGGTGTATTTACCTGGGAATACAGATGGTGCTTTTTCTCTTTTTGCCTGTGGATATTTTCAAAAACCTCCACCTTGGACCATGAATGTATATTATTCATCTGATTTATTTTTAACAACAGGAGTTTTAGGTCAGGTGCAGTGGCTCACACCTGTAATCCCAGCACTCTGGGAGGCCAAGGCGGGAAGATCACTTAAGGCCAGGAGTTTGAGACCAACCTGATCAGCATAGTGAGACCCCATCTCTACAAAAGAAAAATTAGAAAATTAGCCAGGCAGGGTGTTGCACACCTGTGGTTCCAGTTACTTGGGAGGCTGAGGAGGGAGAATCACTTGAGCCAGGGAGGCTGAGGCTGCAGTGAGCCACGATCTCGCCACTGCACTCCAGCCTGGGCAGCAGAGCGAGACCCTGTCTCAGAAAAACAACAACAAAAATAGGACTTTAAAAGTCTTTAAATGCCCAAAGATTTAGTGAGTGACACCTTCGAGGGACAGATTTGGTGGGATCTTTAAGGGACCGAGGTGGGATGGGGTGTCAGGGGACATGGGGGTCAGCACCTACCCATGGCCCCACTTGGGGTCTCCTCTGAGAGGTGTCCAAGCCCCTTCCCCTTGGTCTGCTGGGGCTCTGCTTTCCCTGCCCTGAGCCTTTGCAAACCAGGCTCTGAAGAGGATGTCTGTCCCCTCGTCACCTGTCCAGCCTCAGTTGGTCCCCTCTCTGTGAGAGCCCCTGCCATGGATGCTGCAGGGGCTCAGTGCAGAACACAGGGAGTAAGTGAGGCCAGCAGGTAGGCAGGAGGAGGGGGGCGGTGGAGGTGCCTCTGGTGGGGGTTGCCAACTCGCAGCCATCCCTTCCACAGGTGGCCTGCCATCTGCCCCGGCTCCCCGCCCAAGCCACGTGTCCAGCCCTCTTGAGTTTAACTTTGGCTGTGCACGCAGCCTGAGTTCATACAGCCAGAAAAAGAACTTGCCGAGAGCAGCCAGGCCTGAGGACAGAGTGTGGGTCACTTGTCCCCAGGGAGGGAGGCTAAAAATGACCAGGGACCTTGGAAAGTCCCCCTGCTGGGGCCCCAGGCTGCCTTTTGCTTCTCTGGGTTCCTGGACCTTGGCTTGAAAAGCTTTCTAGAGCTGAACGCTCCCAGGCTTAACCCGACAAATGGAAATGCGGGCCCAGAGAAGTGAGGAGGCTTGCCCGGGGTCACACAGCGCAACTGTTCATTGATTCATTCATTGATTCTGTTTATTGAATGAGCTCCCTGCCCTCTGCAGAAAGGAGGGGGAGCCTATAAATCCAGTGAGAAGAGGAGCTGTCTATACAGACACCTAAACTTCATGCACGAGCTTCCCAGCTCTGCTGCTGATGACCTGAGAGAATGTTCGCTGCGCCCTGAGCCTCTGCTTCCTCATCTGTAAAACAGGAATAATAATAATAGCACTGACCTCTTGGAGCTAGCATGCTTGGCCATGTCACGGATGTCTGATGAGAAAGTCCTTTTATTCAACCTCAGCGTCACGTGCTTTTAATTTTTTTCACACAACCTTGAGCAGTCGCCATCAACATCAACAGCTGTTGTTGTTGTTGTTGTTTGTTGTTTTTATAGGGTCTTGCTCTGTCACCCAGGCTGGAGTGCCGTGGTGCAATCATAGCTCATTGCAGCCTCGACTTCCCTGGCTCGGGTGATTCTCCCAGCTCAGCCTCCCCTAGTAGCTGCAACTGCAGATGTGTGCCACCACAGCTGGCTGATTTTTGTATTTTTTGGTAATGACAGGGTTTCACCATGTTGCCCAGGCTGGTCTCGAACTCCTGGGCTCAAGTGATCCTCCCATCTCAGCCTCCCAGAGTGCTGGGATTACAGGCGTGAGCCCCCGTGCCCACCCACCAGCCTTTTGCAGTGAGGAAATAGACGTGGCGAGTTATTTGTCAGTGCACCCAGGACAAGCCCAGACTCGGACCTGGTCAGTCTGATCCCCAGCCGGCCATCCCCACCCCCTACCCCCCCTCCTCCCTGAATCTGCCTCTGCCCTGCAGGGAACGTGTTGGAGCCTGTCCCCTGGGGTGGGGCCCAGCTGTCATCCTCCGGCTGCCAGGACTCTGGTGTTTGACACCTGGTGCCAGGCCTCAGGCCGAGGCTGGGGAGACACACGCAGCTTCTGGACCATCAGGGGCAGGAAAGGGAGCCCAGGGGGCCAGGCAGGAGCCTTGGGTACAGCATGTTCCATCCTGCGCTACCCACCACACGAGGCCTGCACCCTAACAGGCCCCCTCCTCCAGGCAGCCAGCCCTGCCTGATGCCTGTGGGGAGAACCCAGCCTCTCCTCCTGCCACCATGCATCTCCCTTACACCAGCCTAAGCATCCACTGGGAGAGTCACTTCCTTGCGGGGTTCCAGGGTGGGAGCTGCCCACCATGATGGACTCTCTGGCGCCTGCAGAGCCTGGGACACCCAGTAACTCAGCAATACATGTTGGGTTTTCCGAGTATCAGCTGGAAGAACGTTGTGTGCGTGTTTCTCAGAGCACTGCTGTTGAGGAGTGAGCGTTCCCGCAGCTCACGTGGAGGTGGCCAGTGGGCGCCATGCACTCACGTTATTGAAGACACCTGTGCCGGGCATGGGGCCCTCTCTGTGACCTCAGCCTTCCGGCTATCCCGGTGGGCTGGGGCTCTTACCTCCACCTGGAGATGATGGCCTTGAACTTGGAGACATCCTGTCACTGACAGGGGCAGCTGGGCTGTGGCCCCAGGGTGGCCAACTCCAAGCGTGTTTGTCCCGCTGGGCTGTTTGTGTTTCTGATGAGCCCTACAGACGGTTGTTCTGAGTGGGCTGGTGGCTTCGAGGCCAGCTCAGGCCTGGCTGCCCTGGGGACTCTGACTTCCTGGGTCCTGCGGGGGGCTGCCACCCTCAGAGCTGTCAGGGGCTCCCCAGTGACTCATCTCAACTGGGGCCAAGAAACACAGACCAGCCGGGGAGAGGAGGGCGGGGGCGATTGCTGAGGGAGGCTGGGAGGGTGGGGCCTGGCAGGCCACTGAGGGAGGTGGGGCCCAGGCCTCTTCCCAGCCAGAGGTTGCCTGGACTCCTGCAGAACCCGAGGGCATGCAGAGCTGGCAGCGCTCCTCAGGGATAGGAAACAGGGGCCTCTCCCAGGAGGAGGGAATTCATCCTGAAGGCTGGAAGGCATGGAGCCAGCCGCTGCCTGCTGCCTGCTGCCTGCTGCCTGGGCAGGAGCGGGGTAGGCCTTGTCCTGGGAAAGGCCTGAACGCCTCTTCCTGCTGCCTGGAGGTGCTAGAGCAGCCTCAGAAGGAGCCACCGAGTCAGGGCTGGCCCATCCCCTCATTCCATCTGCCCGGAGAGGGGCCTTCTTCTCACTGTGCCACTCAGGAGCCCAGAGGCAGGAGAGGGACGCTGTGAACCTGACCATGCACAGAGATGGAGGGAGATAGAGATGCAGAGACACACACAGAGCGGGGAGCAGAGAGACAGAACGAGATACAGAGACAGAGAGACACACACAGGATGCTGTGAGACAGATACAGAGACAGAGATACAGAGACAGAGAGACACACACAGAACGGGGAGCAGAGAGACAGAACGAGATACAGAGACAGAGAGACACGCAGAGAGACACACACAGAGCGGGGAGCAGAGAGACAGAATGAGATACAGAGACAGACACACACACAGGATGCTGTGAGACAGATACAGAGACAGAGATACAGAGACAGAGAGACACAGAACGGGGAGCAGAGAGACAGAACGAGATACAGAGACAGAGAGACACAAAGAGACACACAGAGTGGGGAGCAGAGAGACAGAACGAGATACAGAGACAGAGAGACACACACAGAGGATGCTGTGAGACAGATACAGAGACAGAGATACAGAGACAGAGAGACACACACACAGGATGCTGTGAGACAGATACAGAGACAGAGATACAGAGATGGAGAGACACACAGGGGCCCAGAAAGACAGACAGGGATACAGAGAGACACTGAGAAATACAGAGACACAAAGACAGAGACAGAGTGTGTCAGAGGCACACAGAGATACAGAAACAGACATGCAAAGAGACAGACACACACAGAATCAGAGAGACACAGAGACACCCAAAGAGAGACACACACAGACACAGACAGAGGCACACACATGCAGCTACACACACACACACACAGACACACACACACACACAGACACACACACACACAGACACATACACACACACACAGACACATACAAACTGATCCCAGTATCCCCCACAGAGCCCCCAGCCCTCACAGGCCCTGTGCACACGTGCAGCCCTTGCAACCCCATCTTGGCTGCTTCTTGGGGAGCAGCAGGAACAGCCTCCGGGGCCATCCTGCCAGCCGTGACCCAGAGCTTAGCCGTCCCCAGGGCCCAGCAGTCCCCAGCTCTCAGCCCCCAGCTCTCAGCCCCCAGCTTTCTGCTCCCAGGGCCACACATCCCAGCATCAGTGTCTTGCGTTTTGACCCAAATTCGCTCAGGGCGAGGCTCTGCGTGGTGAGGAAGCCCACCAGTGGACACGCTTGGACCCAAGACCTGTGTGTGCATCCTAGGACTGCCACCCGCATGCTGCGAGACCCAGGGCAAGGGACTTCACCTCTCTGAGCCTCAGTTTCCCTCATCTGTGAGGTAGATAGAGTTGGTGGCCAACCTGGGGGCTTGGGGTAGCTGCAGGCTGTGGGAGGAAGGTTGATAACCAGGACGTGGCCCCTGCTTGGCCTCGGAGGGGCTGCCAGGCTGCCTCGGCCCAGCGGTGTGGACTCCAGGAGTGGAGGCGTTTACACTGCCGGTCTGAAGAGTCAGGGCCAGATCAGATGCAGGTCCAGTGGGGACCTGGCTTCTAGTCCCAGCCATGTGGGCTGTGGCTTGGGTTCTGAACAGAACTCCTCCCAGACACAGCTCTGCCCCCGTCCAGGGAGACAACAGAGCTCGGTCAGCAGCCGCCAGGTTTCCCGGTGAACTTACTTCGTGCCCAGCACTGGCGGGACTCCAAGTGCTGCACTCAGGCACCAAGCGAAATAAAGGGAATCCCAGGCTACATGGCCCAGAGAGCTGGGGCTGAGCATGGGGAGCACGGAGAACAGCAGGCATGGAGGGCTGGGAAACTCAGCTTCCTGGGTTTTTTTTTTTTTTGAGACAGATTCTTGCTCTGTCACCAGGCTGGAGTGCAATGGTGCCATCTCGGCTCGGCTCATTGCAATCTGCATCTCCCTGGTTCAAGCGATTCTTCTGTCTCAGCCTTCTGGAGTAGCTGGGATTACAGGCACCTGCCACTGCACCCAGCTAATTTTTGTATTTTTAGAAGAGACGGAGTTTCGCCATGTTGGCCAGGCTGGTCTCGAACTCCTGACCTCGTGATTGGCCCGCCTCGGCCTCCCAAAGTGCTGGAATTACAGCTATGCGCCACCGTGCCCAGGCTCAGCTTCTTTTTATGAATGGATTTCATTGAGGCATAATTTATACAATAAAATACATCCGTTTTAAGTGAGTTTGGCACAGGTGTCCACCCTCCTCCCCACCACTGCAATCGAAATAATCAATACATTTCCCCTTTCCCTGCCAGTTCCCACTCCAGTCCCTGAATGCCACTTGTGGATACTCTGTCCCATATTTTTGCTTTTCCTGGAAGTTCGTACCGCTGGAGTCACACAGAGTCACAGCTTACAGTTGCAGTCCCGTGCCTGGCTTCCTTCATTGGCATCTTGTTTTTGAGACTCTTCCAAGCTGCTGCGTGCATGGGTCATTCTTTCCTCTTTCCTGATGAGGAGCGTCCCACTCCAGGATGACACCACGGTTTGTTTACCCAGCTCCTGTGGATGGATATTTGGATCGTTGCCAGCTCGAAGTTATTACAGAGAAAGATGCTGTGAACATTTGTGCACAGGTCTTTGTGTGGACATGTGTTCTCATTTCTCCTAGATAAATACCGAAAAGTGGAACTGCTGGGTCACAGGGCAGGTGTTGACCCTGAGTGGAGCGGTTTAGCCTCAGTTTACATTTATTTATTTGTTTGTTTATTTATTTATTTAGAGACAGAGTCTCTGTCTCCCAGGCTGAAGCGCAGTGGCGCGATCTCAGCTCACTGCAACCTTCGCCTCCCAGGTTCAAGTGATTCTCATGCCTCAGCCTTCTGAGTAGCTGGGATTACAGGCTCACACCACCACGCCCAGCTGATTTTTTGTATTTTTAGTAGAGACGGGGTTTCGCTGTGTGGGTCAGACTGGTCTCAAACTCCCGACCTCAGGTGATGCACCCGCCTTGGCCTCCCAAAGTGCTGGGATTACAGGCTTGAGCCACCGCACCTGGCCAGTTTCCTTATCTTTATAATGGGAATTAAAAAGTTGGAAACAACCATCTGGCATGCATCAGCAGGTGAACGGATAAACAAAATACGATGTGTCCACAACATGGAGCATTATTTGGCCAAGAAAAGGAATGATAGCCCTTGACAACATATGCCTGGAGACAGAAGCCAGACACAAGGCCACACACTGATCCCATCGACATGAAATACCCAAAACCGGCAATCCGTAGAGACAGAAGGCAGCTTAGTGGCTGCTTAGGGCTGGGGGCCAGGGGGCTGGGGAACCACGGATCGTGGGGATAGGGTTTTCCTTTTGGAGTGATGGGCATATTCTGAAATGAGATACAGGTGGTGGCTGCACAACCTCATGACTGCACTGAACGCCACTGAATTGTACCCTTTAAAATAGTTAAAGTGGGCCAGGTGCAGTGGCTCATGCCTGTAATCCCAGCACTTTGGGAGGCCAAGGCGGGCAGATCATGAGGTCAAGAGACCGAAACCATCCTGGCCAACATGTGGAAACCCTGTCTCTACTAAAAATACAAAAATTGGCTGGGTGTGGTGGAACACCCCTGCAGTCCCAGCTGCGCGGGAGGCTGAGACAGAATTGCTTGAACCCGGGAGGCCCAGGTTGCAGAGAGCCTACATCGCACCACTGCACTCCAGCCTGGCAACAGAGCGAGACTCTGTCTCAAAAAAAATATGTAAATAAAATAAAATGGTTAAAGTGGTGAAGTTTATGTTATTTGAATTTTGTCTCCATTTTCAAGAGGAGGAGGCTAATCTGATCGTCGTTTTTAGGGTTCCTGCAAAGGTTACACGAGATGCCCCAGGGAGCATTTAGCACAGTGCCGGGCACACAGTCCCAGGATGACAGCTGCAGGTCTTCGGGGGTTCCATCTGCTCACGTACGTCTCTGTCCCCGTGCTTACAACACTGCCTGCATGTGGGAGACACGCAATGAATATCTTTTCATCAGGAACAGTTAGCTTCGAGACTATGATGTCCTCAGGCCCCTAAGCAAAGCCCTGCCAGGAATGCATGGTAATGAGAATGTCTGCAGCACGACTGTGACCTTGACATCCACTATCTTCAAGAAATCTTCACAACAACCCCATCGTTAATCTCCCCATGTTTACAGAGAAGGAAACCGAGAGGGGTTAAGGAAGCCGTCCAAGGTCAGCCACCAGCCCAGACTGGCGACTCCCGAGCCCATGGGGCAGGTGAGCAGGCTGTGTGGTCAGCCAGCGCGGACTCCCCCCACGCAGCATCACCGAGCCTCAAACGGAGAGGCCCACCCTCGACGATCTGTGCAGAGCAAGGCTCTCTGCCCTACTCTCAGGCTGGATTTTCACAGAGACGAGGCCAGGAAGGGAGATTGTCCCTGTGGGTCTGTCCCGGAAGAGACCCTGGGCTCCAAGCACAGAGCAGGATGTAGCCTGCCCCGGGGTCCTCCGGCCGAGCCAGGAAGAAGGCCTCAAGGCAGCCAGGCCGGCAGGGATTTCCCAGAGGCTCTGACTTGGAGGGAAAAAGGAGGTAAGGAAAATGCAGCCAAAACTAGGCCAGGGAAACCGGCTCATGGCTGCCTGGGCCGGCCGCTGTCCCCTGGCAGCTGCAGTGACTCTCCCAGGGCTTCGGCCATTGATTGGCCTCTTGTCCTTAGCCCTCAGTGGCCATGGGCGCACCTCGTTCTCATTCTTGGAATTCTCCTGAGACCTCACTTTTGGCTGGATCTCAGCCTGGCTGACCCCTCCCCAAGGCCATCATGCTACTTCCTGCCTGGATTGGGGAAGGATCACCCTAGAGGCTTCCCCCTCCTCATTCCCCCATTCCCAATTCCCATCCCAACCCCTGAAAAATGTTTACCCCGGTGTACTCGTGAGCATGCTTCTGCCACATCCAGTTCTGCAAAACTCTGTTTCATGCATGTCACTCTCCTGCTCTCAAACTATCCGTGGCTCCCTAGTGCTCTCAGAGAGGCAGTTCGAAGACAGGCTAAGAGCAAGGATGCTGGAGCCAGGACATCTGGGTTTGAATTCTGACTCAGCTACTTACACATTGAGAGATCCTGGGCAAGTCACTGACCTTGCCGTGCCTCTCTTGCTCCATCTGTGAAATGGAATAAGCACTGGGGCCTCCCACACCATTCTTGGCATAGTAAATGAACTGATGGACATAACATGTTTAGCACAGGGCCTGCTGGTCATTGTAAGGACTGTGAATACTGAGGGCAGAGCCAGTCCATCTCCAGGGTCTGGACCAGGGCACAGTATCTGGGATCCACTCCAGCCAAAACACACGGCCTCCACTGGCCGTCCCCATCACTGTGATGTCGCTCCCCCACCCCGAAGCCTTCCACCCCTGCAGTCAAATTATCTTACAAGCTCAGCTCAAAAGGCACCCCATCCACCCGGCCCCAAGCAATCAGGTCACCCGACTTGACCTTCTTCCATGGGTGTCCACACCAGCGCTTCTCAGACAGGAAGTACACGTGAAGCCCCCTAAGCCCGCCTGGAAGAGGAGCTGATCCCCATCTGGGCTGAGCCCTGGACAGGCAGCTCTGGTCAGGAGGCCCCTGGCCTGCAGGCTTTGTGTCCGCCCCTCCCGGGAGCAGACTCCAGGCTGGTGTGGTGCCCGCTCAGGGCCATTCACCAGAGTTAAACATCTAGCCAGCAAGAGGGCGGGGGCCTCGGCTACGCTCCAGCTTCTGCCCTCCCCGGCCCTGCCCCAGTGGCTCTGTCCATCCGTCCTGGGCAGTGCTCAGCAGCCTCACTTCCTCTCTCTGTGGCCCCCTCCCCTGCACAGGACCCAGGGCACCCCGTCGGCTCCTCCGTCCCCATCTAATGCCACCTCACAGTCACTTGTTCATTCATTCGACACGCATTCATTAAGCGCCCTCTGTGGCTTGCCCAGGTCTCTGATCCCTCAGCTGTCATGTAGCTGTTCTCGGGACAAGCTTTACTTTCTCGCCTTGTAAAGTGGTCTTGGGTGGGTCATGTCACCTTCTTCCCCAGGCCCCGCTGGGATGGCCCATGGGACGTTGCCATCACAGGTTGAGCACCTACCATGTGCCGGGCACTGTGTCATGCAGGTTACAAATATCCTCCCACAGATGTCCCCGCAAGCCCTGGAAAGCCAGGGCCTCTTCTGCTCCCTGCCCCTCACTTGCAGAAAGTGAAGCTCAGAGAGGCAGAGTGACCTGCCCCGGGGCGCACAGCTGGTGAGAGGCCAAGCCAGGGCTTCTTGCTCCAAAGTCTGGGATTCGCAGGGCTCCACAACCCCTCGCCTGTTGGTGTTGGCTGCGTGTAACAGCCACATCCTACGATGAGATTTTCTGTGGCTTCTCAGTCCCCTCAAACCCCTGTAGATGGCAGCTCGGTCCTGTCCCCGACCCTGACCTCGGGGTCCTGAATCTCCAGCCCAGAAATGTTGACCTTGACGTCAACCCTGCAGGCTCAAACAATCCCCAAAGGTGCCCCTCGTCCTAACCCCTGCACCTGCAACTGTGTTAACTTGGGTGGCCAAGGGACTCTGCAGACATGATTCAGTGAAGGACCTGGATGTGGGGGGCGGGTGTGTGTCCTGGATTAGCCAGTGGGCCTGAGGAACCCCGGGGCCCTCACAGGAGGGAGCCAGGGGCATCACACTCAGAGAGAGGAACTGGAAGATGCTCCAATGATGGATTTGGAGAAAGAGGAAGGGGCCAGGAGCCAAGGAATTCGGGTGGCCTGGAAGCTGGGAGCACAAGGACCAGGGCTTCCCAGAGCCTCTAGAAGGAACCAGCCCTGTCGACATCCGGATTTTGGCCCAGTGAGAGCCATGTCTGACTTCTGACCTGCAGAAGCAGGAGAGAAGCAGCTGCGAGGTTTCAGCCTCTAAGCTTGTGGTGATTTGTCAGGGCAGCCATGGGACACTCACACAACGCCCTGGACACCCCGCTGCTGTACGAGTCCTGGCCGTGCCTGACCTCCTCCCTTCCCTACCCCCAGGTTGATGCAAGGCGGCCCCCACCCACACCCAGACCCCAGGCGTGAAGGAGGTCTTGGCCGCCCCAGCCTCTCCGGTCTCGCAGCCTCTGGGCTCTGGGCCCTGCCTCTGGCCCTGCTCGCTTTCTGCCCTGGGCCATTGTTAGTGCCTTATCAGCCCAGCACATCTCGCCTGCATCTAATTGGAATTTCCTCAGAGGCAGGAAACCTGGCTCAGGCGTCATCAGGGCTCAGATGGTGGACCTGTGGCCTTCCTACTGGGTAAACTGGGTAAACTGAGGAACTGACTTTTACTGAGTCGCACACCTGCCCACTCTTGGCTAACCTCCTGGGGCTGCTTGATGCTGTTTCCCGTGGCCCAGGAAGCCCTCAAAGTCAGCCCATCTTCCCTCCCGCTGTGTCCTCCTGCAGGGCCTCTGCCCAGGCAGCTCTCTCTGCCCGTAAGCTCAGCCCCTCTGGGTGCAGAGCTGCTCCGTCTTGCTCAGGGCTCAGCGCGGCAGGAGTGAGAAGCCACCTCTTCGAGAGCTGCCCCGCACGGCACTCCCTTGCTGGAAATCACTTCATTTATTGCTTGGCCTTTTTTTTTTCCCCTGAATCTTCTGAGGGGATCATGGTGCCTACACCACTCCCAGGACCTGTTTCGAGGCACGGGGTCCACGTGTCTCTCACAGATGGGCCACGGCAGCTGTTGCACAAAGGTGTTCCTGGCTCCAGCTGACCTCAGGCGAGTCAAGTCTCCTCCTGGGCTGGGGGTTGCACCTGGAACATGGCAATACAAAGGCAGGTCTGGTAAGGACATAAGACGCCTGATGGCACACACAGTATGTGCTCAGCTAACAGCAGCTCTTTCCCTTGACCCTCCAATGATCGTCAAGGTGCCCCCTTGATCCACAGGCCAGGGAGGTTATTGATTGATAAAATGTTTCCCCTGGCATGGAATGCACAGCCCATGATGCCCTGTCCTCCTTCAGGCAGAGCTGAGGGCACAGGAGACCCACAGCTGTGCGGACTCCCCGCTGGTGGGGATGGCCACATTCCAGGTGGGACAACAGAGCTCTGCTCAGGGTCATACAGCTGACATGTCACAGATTCAGACTTCCAACCTGCTCTGTGTGGCTTTGCCGTGGCCCGAAGAAGAAGAGCAGGACTCAGAGGCATCTCACAGGTGGACAAAGACCCCAATCTGCATGCAGCGGTTAAAGCTCCCTGTACACCTCCTGCTGTGGACAGAGACCCCCGAATCTGCGTGCAGCGGTTAAAGGTCCCTGTACCCCTCCTGCTGTGGACAGAGACCCCCGAATCTGCGTGCAGCGGTTAAAGGTCCCTGTATGCCTCCTGCTGTAACCAGAACCCCACGAACAGCTCGTGTCAAGGTTCCCAGGCCGGCCAGGCAGGGCTGGGCAGAGTGAGGTGCTCCAGCTCACGGACAGGGGGACTAAAAAGGCTTGGGGGCTCAGAGAACGTTCATTCCAGTTCCCCAGGGACAGGAATCCGCCCCAGCCCAGGTTCCTGCCCCAGCGAGGCCTTCTCATCGGCGTGATCGGGGTCTGGTTTGCAGCCAGGCCACACAAAGCCACACAGAGCAGCCTCGGAAGTTTGGTGACAGAAAACGACGTGACCTTGGCGGGGTTTGGAGGCTGCAGCTTTTGGCGGGGCAGGTCAGGGCCCCGGGGTGTTGTGGCCACAGAGCCACGCAGGGGAGGCGCTAGGTTGTGGGTTAGGGGACGGGGAGGCCCCTTCATCCCTGGCCAGGTTGGGCAGCAGTGACGCCTTCTTTCCTCCCCCACTGCCCCCCTACAACCCCGACACTCTTCACGGAACCCCTGTGTCTGCTAGGCACTGGGTAGGCACTATTTGTATAAATAAAACTCCTTTTGGGCCTGTGTGGATCCCCTCCTGAGCCAAAAGGCAGTTTGAGTCTGGGAGTGACAAGACCTGGCCGTCACAGGAGTGGGTGGGGCAGGGAGAGGAGGTGACCTTTTGCAGCTCAACCCCCTCCACAGCCTCATTTGAAAGGTCCTGCCCAGGACTGTGGGGGAGAGGGGAATAAGGAGGGGGACACTGTCTCAACAAAGGTCATGATGTCCCAGTTTTGCCCGAGGCTGTCCCCCATGTCATTCCTGCCAGCTGCAAAGAGCAGGGGAGCCCACAGCCAGCTCTGAGTGAGGGGATGGCGGCCACCACCCGGTCAGAGCCCCGCTCCGCGCCTGCCAGAGCAGAGGATGCTGGAGAAGCAGGGGCCAGGACACATAGGTGGTCCCAGAGCTGGGAGCTGCTGAAGGAGGCTCCAGAGACCCCGCAGCCTCCACAAACAGCATCCACTTCCTGCAGGGTCCTCTCCCCAAGGCCCCATTTGCTTTGAGCAAACAACCCTCTCACTGACTCCCAGGCCTGACCCTGGCCAGGCTGCATGGGGTCCTCTGGGGAGGTTTTCTCAAAGACCTGTCCAGCCCATGGGCCACTGCAGGAAATCCTGGAGGCCAGCGCTACAATGCATCGCTTCCGGCAGCCTAGGGGTACCTGGGCACAGGAAAGAGGTGCCGGCAGCTTTCAGGCTTTCAAAAGGGACTGGGTGGCCCCCTGGGATCATCACGGCCTTGAGCAGCAGTGGTCAGGCAGGGGAACAGAAAGGCTGACCTGGGAGGGCAATGGGAGTTTCGAGCTGTGAGGGACAGCCTTCCTAAAATCCCACTTTCTCACTCCTCTGCTTACATACATTCCATGGCTCCCCATTGCCCAAAGGATCAAGTCTAGACACTGAAGCTTGGCAGGCAGGCTTTCTCGAGCGTCTCCACCAGTGGTAGCCCTCTCTCCAGGCAGACCAGTCTTACGCCAAACACTCCCGCCCTGACTGAGGTCTTTGTCTTGGCCGCCGCATCTGCCTGGAAGGCCCACACTCCTCCCCAGAGCAGCTTTGGGGCGGTCCAGTGTGTTTAGTGCTTATCGTGATTGACTCTGACAGCTCCTCAACCCTATGGTGACTGCAGTTCTCCCAGGTCCAGGACGGTGCCCCAGCTGCTCCCACAGGGAAGATGTGCACAGCGTGATCAAGATAGCCAGACAAGGCCAGGTGCGGTGGCTCACACCTATAATCCCAGCACTTTGGGAGGTTGAGGCCCGTGGATTCATCTTAGGTCAGGAGTTCAAGACCAGCTTGACCAATATGGTGAAACCCTATCTCTACTAAAAAATACAAAATGAGGCCAGGCAAGGTCGCTCACGCCTATAATCCCAGCACTTTGGGAGGCCAAGGCGGGCAGATCACGAGGTCAGGAGATCAAGACCATCCTGGCTAACACGGTGAAACCCCGTTTCTACTAAAAATACAAAAAATTAGCTGGGCGTAGTGGTGGGCGCCTGTAGTCTCAGCTACTAGGGAAGCTGAGGCGGGAGAATGGCGTGAACCCGGGAGGTGGAGCTTGCAGTGAGCCGAGATCATGCCACTGCACTCCAGCCTGGGCGACAGGGCCAGACTCTGTCTCAAAAAAAAACAAAATTAGCCGGGCTTGGTTGTACACACCTATAATCCCAGCCACTCGGGAGCCTGAGGCAGGAGAATCCCTTGAACCCGGGAGGTGGAGGTTGCAGTGAGCCAAGATCACACCACTGCACTCCAGCTTGGGCGACAGAGTGAAAATCTGTCTTAAAAAAAAAAAAAAGATATTCAGACCAGGCCGGGCACAGCGGATCATGCCTGTAATCTCAGCACTTTGGGAGGACGAGTTGGCGGGAGGATCGCTTGAGCCTAGGAGTCTGAGAACAGCTTGGGCAACACAGCAAGACCCCATCTCTACAATTTTTTAAAATATTAGCTGGTCGTGGTGGTGTGCACCTGTAGTCCCAGCTATCCAGGAGGCTGAGGTGGGAGGATCGCTTGAACCCCAGTGGTTGAGGCTGCAGTGAGCTGTGATCCCACCACTGCATTTCAGCCTGGGCAACAGGGCAAGACTCTATCCGACACCGCCCCTCCCCGGAAAAAATAAAAATAAAAAAGATAAGGTGAGCATTGAGCATGGAGCTGCCATGTGTGGAGATGCTGAACCTTTTCTCTGCAGCTCTCTGCTTAGGAACAAAAGGAAAGGCAGCTTCTTACAGGACTCAGCTTTCAGCTTAATTTCTTCCTTTTGGCAGAGTGGATTGAGGTCCCCATATTTTATTTTCCTTTCACACCCCCTCCGGCACAAGGCTCAGGTGCTTGGTGCTGGATCTGGAACATGGGCTGGCTCTGCAGGGCTGCTCGGGGAGGAAGCTGCTGAGTTAGAACCCCTCTTTTGGACACGTCTCCCCACCACCCACGCCACCAGCAACTGCAGGAATCTCTGTAAACCACAAATCTGGCGATGACACTAACACTAAGAGTTAAACCCTCCAGTGGCCCCTGAGGTCCTCAGAACAAAGTCCACCACTCTCCTGGAGCTCAGGCCTACCACAACCCCACCCTCCCTCACCTCCTCACTTGTGCAACGGGGAGCACTTAACTTCTATCGTCCTCAAATGTGTATGTTTTCTCTTGCCTCTGTCCTCTTGCACAGGCAGCTCCCGTTGCCTGAAACACTGTTTTCTGCCTCCCCGCTCCTCTTTCTTCTTGTTTTCTTCCTTTCATTTTCGGCTTAAATGCCTCCTCCTCCAGGTTGCCCTCCTGATTATTCCAAGACTGGTGGGATGTCTTTAAGGATTTGTGCAGCCCCCAGAGCTGCCCATATATTTTATATTTCTTACACTGTCTTGTCAATACTTGGATAATTGTTCTCTTTGCTAGCCAGCCCCCTGTGAGGATAGGGACCTTTGACTTCTCTAGGTTTCATCCTTTATTCCCTACCTCTGGGGTCACCATCTCATTGATGTCACCAGCACCTCCACTTAAACAATGAAGAATCGCCTCCTCCCCGCTCACTCTCCCTCCCCTCACGCGGTCCCACCACCTGGCCAAGGGGGTCTTCCTAAAGCATGAGTCAGACCCTGAGCTCCCCTGCTCAAGCCCACTAGTGACCTCCCCACTGATCTTAGAATAAAGCCCCAAGTCGTCACCATGGCCCACAGGACGCCCGGATCAGATCCTGCCCCCCTTCCCTTGGTCCCTCCTTGTAAGCCCCCTGGGGCTTCCTTCCATACTCTACAGCCCAGCAAACCTCTTGTGCCTCAGGGCCTTTGCACATGCACTCCTGCTGCCAGGAGAATTCCTACTGCTCCCCATGTGACTGGGCCCTCTCCTCCTGCCCAGCCCAGGTGAAAGGAGCCCCCCTCAGAAGCAGGCTGACCTTAGACTCACGGGCTCCAGCACCTGGCTGACTCCCTTCCTAGACCCACCCTAATGACAATTACCGTATTTACCCACTTGGTTATGTTTTTATTCCTCGCATTTCACTAAAATGGAGGAGGCAGGATATTCTGTCTCGCATGCTGTTATAATCCAGATGCCTGGCATGCACCCTCACCCCCAACAGGACTCGGCCAATATTTGAGAAACAAATGGATGAGTGAAGGGACGTAGGCCTTCTCTGCCATGCTGGGTTTGAGGAGGCCAGGGACCAGAACCCCTGCCCACGCCCCCCTGAGCCCCTTCGTCTACCGGCCTCCCCAGGCTCTCCTGGAGACATGTTACCCAGTCACGTGCAGAAGAGATGACGCTTTTAAACAAAACAAACATGCTTTCAAGTGGCCTGGGGACATGGTGGCTCACACCTGTAGTCCCTGTCACGTGGCCTGGTGTTGGCGGAGGTTTCAGCAGGTGGCATTGAAGGGAGCCACAGACGGATGGACAGAGGGCTGGGCAAGCAAGCAAAACCACCAGCCTGGGTCACAGCTCTGCTGAGGTCCGAGAAGTCCTCTCTGCACCGTGTCTGTCTCAAAAGTGTCTGCAATCCATCAGCGTCAGGGGAGCTAGGGGCCTGCCACTGGTGGCTGCAGGCTTGGCTCTCTCTGTTGAAATGCTGTGGACACTGGGCATGGTGGCTCATGCCTGTAGTCCCAGCACTTTTGGAGGCTGAGAGGGGGAGGATCTCTTGAACCCAGGATTTCAAGACCAGCCTGGGCTACATAGTGAGATCCTGTCTCTACCAAAAAAAAAAAAAAAAAAGGAAGAAGAAGGAGAGATAGAGAGAGAAAATTAGCCAGGCCTGGTGGCGCATGCCTGTGGTCCCAGCTACCGGGGAGGCTGAAGTGGGAGGATCACCTAAGCCCGGGAGGGGAGGCTGCAGTGAACTGAGATTACATCACTGCACTCCGGCCTGGGTGAAAGAGGGAGACCTTGACTAAACAACGACAACAACTAAAAGGATGCAACCCATGACGTGGGCGGGGGGTGGGCAAGAGCACAGCTCCCCCCACCAACCCCATCTTTAGAAGCGGACAGACTGGGCTTTTCCAAAACCACATCATTTGTTCAGGCTCTTGCCTTTCAAAGGGACATCTTCAGAAGGCGGTCTTCAAGCAGGAAAGAGAAAATGTTGTGGGAAGGAGAGGCAAGGAGAGAACAGGAAAGAAAAGAGAAGGAAGGGATGGAGAGAGAGAGAGGAAAGAAAGAAAGAAAAAGAAAGAAAGGTAGGGAGGGAGGGAGGAAGGAGAGAAGAGGGGAAAAGGGAGGGAGAGAGAAAAGGGAGAAGGAAGAAAATGAAAGAAGGAAGGAGGGAGGAAAGAAAGACAGAGAGAGAGAGAGACCAACCGAAAGCCAGAGAGACGGGAGAGGAAGGAAAAAGCAGAGAAAGAAAGAAGAAAAAGAGAAAGGCAGGAGGGGCAAGGGGAAGAATGAGCATGCACATCAGCCCTCAATCAGAGGAGCCCCAGCCCCCTGTCCCTAAGCCACCCCAGAGGCCCCCGTCTCCCCTTGGCAGACCAGGCTTGCTGGTGGGACCCCACCCACCGCCCAGGCCCGCCCCGCTCCTGGACACGGCGGTTACACAACGGCCTCTGTGGACACCGTCCAGAAGCTGGAGGTCACATGGGGCAGCTTCGCCCGGGACTGGGAGGCGCTTCCCAGACCCAGGCCACCCCTCCTGCCCGGCGAGCTTGGCCGGGAGTCAGCTCTCCAGCGCACTGGCCAGAGTGTTCCCAGATGTGCACCGCGGGTGATAAAAGGCGCACTGGTTCCTGTCAGCAGCAGGGAACTCCAGGAGGGGACCCCCAGCAGCCGGCCGGGGCAGATGTTTGCAACGTGTGCGCTGGCGGCAGGGAGGGGAAGCCAGAGGCACCGGGATGGCCTGGCTGGCTCGCAAGGGGACCACACAGGGGTGTCGCCACACCCCCTCTCCTGGGACGCACATCAGACAGGATGGGGTCAGGTGCAGTTAGGAGGAGACACCCTGCCCTTCCCACCTGGCTGCTCACTCCACCGTGGACTGCCCTGGGAGTGGCATCCGGTTTGGGGTTACCTGGGCCTCTACTGCCTGCCCTGGAACTGCATCCCGGCTTGGAAATGGGCTGCTCCTCCCTCTGCCCCTGAGTTTCTGGGGATGGTGCCAGTCCCAGTACTTTGCCCTTGACCCTTGGTAACAGGGGAAGCATGTAACCCAGTCCCGACCAATCACAGTTTCCCATTCCCCTGGCCACTGTGATTGGTGCAGGGATGGGCACGGGACCTGAACAGGACCAATGGAGTCCTTCCCTGAGAATGAAGAATGTTCCCTCCTGAGTCTCAGACCGTGCGAGGAGCGATTCCGGAAGGTCGCTCGTGGCCACTGGACTCTTCTGCAGACCAGGAGATCGGGATCTGGAATGGGGCTTGGAGTTGAGCTCATGCAGCAAGCTAGGGGCAGGGTGAGTTTAGGAGAAGAATCAGCCAGGCTCCTGGCCGGCTGGGAGGGGCTCCGGCAGTCCCAGCAGCGTGGGCGAGGAGAAGGGAGTGGAGCAGCCACTCTGGGCGACCCAGTGACCTTGAACATTTGAGCCCCGTGAAATCGGGGCAGCTGGATGAGGAGTGCAGAGGCAGCTGGGGCTGCGCACAGAGCACGGGGAGGGACTGCCCCCGCTGGGTCCTCAGAGAGAGGCCGCTTTCTGCTTTAAAATGCAGGCAGAGGCCAATTAAACCAAAGTACCGAGGTGCCTCCCGGCAGAGATGGCCGCAGGAAGGGGGTTAAACAAGGGCACAGCTGACTGGCCAGCTTGGGACAGGAAGTGGGGCCCAGCTGAGGCCAGGCCAGGGAGGAAATGCAGGACTCTCTCCCTCAACCCTCAAACTGACCTTTTCAGATCACCCAAATCTTCTTCCTTTTTTTCCTAATATGTCTGAGCGCCAAGCAGCCCTGTGATTTGTGGTCGTGGTTTCTGTGTCTCAGGACAGCTGCCGGGGGAGGAACTATGTTTTGCTCACTGTACAGATGAGGAAACTGAGGGTCACAGTGGTGATGCAGCTGCTGATAACTGACAGGGCTGAGGCTGAAATCAGGCCCTTCTGACCCCCAGGCCAGGGCTCTTTCTGTCTTTTTTATTTTTCTTTTAGAGACAGGATCTCACTCTGTCGCACAGGCTGGAGTCCAGTGGTGCGATCACTGCTCACTGCAGCCTCTACCTCTCAGGCTCAAGTGATCCTCCCACCTCAGCCTCCCAAGTAGCTGGGACTACAGGCATGCACCAGCACACCTGGCTAATTTTTTTAACGTTTTTGTAGTGATAGGGTCTCACTATGTTGCCCAGGCTGGTCTCAAACTCCTGGGCTCAAGTGATCCTCCCACCTCTGCCTCCCAAAGTGCTGGGAATGCCAGATGTGAGTGCCGTGCTGGGCCTTTCCAGAGCTCTTTCCTTGACAGCTCTGTGGCTCCCACTGACAGGGCTCTGCCAGGGAGCTGAGGAGCTGCCTCTCTGTCCCTTCGCCCTATGCTGGGGTGACTCACAGATGCCCTGGTCTCGTGGTGGCCTGACTATGGCCTCCCCACTCTCTGCTCCCATCTCCTCTCTCACAGAGCCCAGCTGTGAGTGGATATCTGTCCACCATGTATAGCTGGTGACCACACACACACACACACACACCACAGTCTGTCCTGGAGAAACTTCAGAAGGAAGGGACATCACAGCTTTGAGCCTCTGCTCCTGGAACTGCTATTTGGGCCAAGTCCCTTCTGACTTTCTGGCCCATCCAGGGCATTTTGCTGGATAGTTTGGAGCCGTAGCTGAGGGAAGGGCTGTCCTCTCTGATTCCAGCACTTCCCAGTGCTTCCTCCAGGTGTGAGGGTCACAGGTACAGCTTCAGGGAGGGGCTGGAGCCCACCAAGCCCTGTGGTGTCTGCAGCGGGGGGATGGCAGTGGCTGTCCCTGTTGAAGGCAGATATGCCTGGGCTCAAGCCTTGCCCTGCCTTCCCCCCGGTACACTCAGTTGTGTGACCCTGTCAAGTCGCGTAACCTCTGAGAGCCTCAGTTTCCCCATCTGTGAAGTGGAGATAATGATGCCCTTAGGACTGCTGAGTGACTGGTGGACCGTTGCCTGTAGGCTGTTATACCAACAGGCACCGCTGTCCCCAAAGCTGCCACCCAGCGAGCCCAGCGCCACCCCACTCTCATGCCCCAGTCCAGCAGCCCTGAAAGGCTGGGGGTGGGGTCAGGCAGAAAATGGAGCAGCCCGGCCAGCAGGGTGGGGACCGGAAAAAGAAGGGGGTGGCTTCAGGAAAGGCGTGGCCGGAACCCCCAGAGCCAGCAGCTGGAAGGAAGGAGTCGCCAGGTGGGTCCCGCCCTCGGCAGGCTGCGCCGGGAGGCATGAGGCCAGGGTGCTTGGCTGGGCCATTCCTACCTCCGGAGACCCTGGGATGTCCTTCGGGATGCAGGGCCAAGCATTGTCCCTGATTACAAGAGGTGCTTGCTGGTGGCTTTCACGTGGTTCATTGTATGCTGGGGCCTTGGGAACTGACTTCAGCGCTCCTGGATCAGTGGGGTCTCAGATCACGGCCCTCCATCTGCCATGTCCCTGAGCTTGGTGCCGGTGCGGGCTGCAGACCAGGGGTGTGGCGGGAAGGGAGGAGGGCTGAGCTCTCCCGGCTGCAGTCACTCATTCAGCCTGCGTCAGCGTGTGCCCCTGGATGTCTGGCCCTGGGCTAGGCCCTGAGGAGAGGGCGATAGAAACTCTGTGTGACCCCTGCCTTCCAGGAGCTCTGGCGGGGTCTGGCCAGGAGCAGCCACATGCACAATGATTCTGCAGGTGCCCCAAGAGCAGCACGTGACCCGGCCATGGGGAGATGGGGAAACTTCCCAGAGGAGGTGGAGGTTGAGACCTGAAGGACCAGGAGTCGGCCAGGCTGAGGTGGTAGAGAGAGAAGAGAAGGCACTCCAGGCCAAGGGGCAGCACGTGCAAAGGCCCTGAGGCCAGAGAATCCGTAGGACAAACAAATAAGCAACCAAAAATGGGGATGAGGGAGAGGAGTCAGGCTTCGGGGCCATTCTGAGTGCCTTTAAAGGGCTGGATATGAAATGTGGCACATCAGGGCACTGCCGAGGGTCACATGGCTAATAGGAGTGGGTTAGGACTCAAACCCAGGTCTGAGTCCCTTTGATCCGTGAAGTCATGCACCACACAGAGTCTTTCTCAGGCCAAGGGTGTAGCCCTGTCCCAGGGGATCTGACAGACCAACCAGAAACCGAGCCACAACTTAGAACTTGACCTTTGGAAACAGACAGCAGGCACTGGCCAAGGGCGTCATGGAGAAGGTGACCTTAGGCTGAGCCTGGAGGGACAGGTGAGTTTAGGTTCCCAGTGGGTGAAAGGAAGAGAGGACACAGCAGAGTCCTCCAAAAAAAGATGGGCCTCCAGGCCACCTCCCGTCTGCACTCCCGGCCCCCACCTCCCCCTCTGCACCCCTGGCCACCTTCCCATCTGCAGCCCCCACCTCCCTCTCTGCACCCCCTGACCACCTTCCCATCTGCACACTTTCCTCCCTCTACCAGCCAGTTTCCTCCCCTCCTCCAGCCTCAGTCTCCCCATCACAAGGGGAAAGGAGGAGACCCAGGCAAAAAGGGCCAGGACAACTTGGGGACTCTCAGGAGGGCTCTGGGTTATCTCCTTCCCAAGGAGAGGGGAGGGGGCAGGGGGCCTAGAGTCAAGGCCCCCAGCCTAGTCCCCTGCACTTCCCTCCTGCCAGGACTCTGAACAATGACTCTGGAAAGTGGGGTTACTAAGACCCTCCAGGGGCATGGGTAAGGTGCCAAGGAGTGCCTGGTACACAGTAGGTATTCAATAAATGCTCCTGGGCCCTCTGGGTGCTACCCATTCCCCCTGACAAGAAGCAGCTACTGATCCACAATGAGTGGGGCAAAGTCCTCTTGTAGGCCCCAAATGTCCGTGCTAAAGGGTCCCCACCTGAAAACAAGTCCTACCCCTCTCAGTATGCAGGTGTGCACACACAGAAACATGCTCACACTCACACATACGTGTACACACAGAAACGTGCAAACACGTGTACACACAGAAATGCATACACACAAAAACACATGCACACACAGAAATGTGCACGCTTAGACACACGTGTGCACAGACGGCGTCGAAAATCCCATCCCCCTGGCCAGGCACAGTGGCTCACACCTGTAATCCTAGCACTTTGGGAGGCCGAGGCGGGCAGATTGCCTCAGCTCAGGAGTTCAAGACCAGCCTGGACAACATGGCAAAACCCTGTCTCTACTAAAATACAAAAGTTAGCTCGGTGTGGTGGTGGGCACCTGTAATCCCAGCTACTGGGGAGGCTAAGGCAAGAGAATGGCTTGAACCTGAGAGGCGGAGGTTGCAGTGAGCGGAGATAGCGCCACTGCACTCCAGCCTGGGTGACAGAGCGAAACTCCATCTCATTTAAAAAAAAAAAAAAAAAAAAAAAAAAATCCCATCCCCCTATCTCTCCGTCCGTGAACTCACCCCTGCATCCCCAAGGCTCTGCCCGGCTCTGTGTCCTGTAAATAGCCATTCAAGGTTCCAGAGCTCCAAGCCCCAGGACCAAGGGGAGATCCCACAGCTGAGCACTTCATGTCCCTTCCTGTCTGACTCCTCAGTGCTCTTAGTCACTAGTGGCTAGAAGTTGGGGTGGGCCTCATGGCTAACTAGGGATGGAATAAGTGGTACCCAGGCTTTGGAGAGGCAGCGCCAAGTTCAAATTCAATTACTCATCAGGGTTACTGTGTCCCGTGTTTTTTTTTTTTTTTTTTTTTTAAGATGGAGTCTCGCTCTGTCGCCCCAGGCTGGAGTGCAGTGGCACGATCTTGGCTCACTGCAACCTCCGCCTCCCAGGTTCAAGCGATTCTCAGCCTCCCACGTAGCTGGGATTACAGGCGTGCACCATCATGCCCAACTAATTTTTGTATTTTTAGTAGAAATGGGATTTCACCATGTTGACCAGGATGGTCTCAATCTCTTGACCTCGTGATCCGCCTGCCTCAGCCTCCCAAAGTGCTGGGATTACAGGCGTGAGCCACCACGCCAGGCCTCACTCTATTCCATTATTTAGGTTGAGCACTGCAAGGAATCCATGACAAAGGGGATGCTGTTCACATTGTGGATATCTTTATAATCTAGAAAACATGTTTGTGTTTTTATGACAGCTTTATTGACTTGAAAGATGGACTACTTATCCATCAATTATATCAATTTTCTGTCAGATGGCAGCAAAGGCGCTTGTTCTAACAAAATCAGTGTCATGCAATTGTCTTAATTACTCCCAGTGGTTGTTATTAAAACTGGGGGTTCCTATTATTTTGTTTAATTTATATATAATGACATCATATCTGGTATACTATTGTTAAGAAATTAATCATAGGAGGCCGGGTGCGGTGGCTCACGCCTGTAATCCCAGCACTCTGGGAGGCCGAGGTGGGCGGATCACAAGGTCAGGAGATCGAGACCATCCTGGCTAACATGGTGAAACCCCGTCTCTACTAAAAATATAAAAAATTGGCTGGGCGTTGTGGCAGGCACCTGCAGTCCCAGCTACTCGGGAGGCTGAGGCAGGAGAATGGCGTGAACCCGGGAGGCAGAGCTTGCAGTGAGCCGAGATTGCGCCACTGTACTCAAGCCTGGGCGACAGAGCAAGACTCCATCTAAAAAAAAAAAAAACAGAAATTAATCATAGGATAACTTTATTTATTTATTTGACACGGAGTCTGCTCTGTCACCCAGGCTGGAGTGTGGTGGCGTGATCTCCGCTCACTGCAATCTCTACCTCCTGGGTTCAAGCAATTCTTCTGCCTCAGCCTCCTGAGTATCTGGGACTACAGGCATGCACCCCTACGCCTGACTAATTTGTTTGTATTTTTAGTAGAGATGGGGTTTTGCCATGTGGCCAGCCTGGTCTCAAACTCCTGACCTTAGGTGATCCACCTGCCTCGGCCTCCCAAAGTGCTGGGATTACAGGTCTGAGCCACCTGGCCAGATGAATCATAGGATAACTTTAAAATATTAGTTGGAGAAAGAGGTGGCCTCTCAGCCTGTTTCCACATGTGTCTTCTGGGCCTAATGGCTCACCCCTTTTGAGTTGTGCCAAGGATACGGGAAAATCTATGTGAAGTTTGTGATGGCAGGTAGGTGCTTAGCCAGTGGCACCTCTGACATGCAGCTCTCCTGGAAACTTGCTCTGCAAAGTGGCAAAGTGGAGGGAGCTCACTGCCTCAGTTTACCCACCCGAGAAGAGAGGCAAATCTCCCCAAGATCGGAGGAGGCTCGGTCATCACAGAGTCCTGTTCCTGCCTGGGCTGAAATTCTCACCCCTGAGCTTCTCCAAATTTGGTGCTGCCCAGAGTCCTGACCCTGTTTCCTGTCCCCCCACATCCCGCCCCTCCGTCCTGGCTGCCAGAGGGGCTGCACTGATGGGTCCCTCCCTAGAGCCCCCAGAAACTGCCCAGAGAGGAAATCCTCTTCCTCCTCTTACAGGCTGGAAGCTACAGAATGTTTCTTTTGGAATTTTTTGGCTTCCACATTGCAGAATGTTCTAGCCTCGTC